>NC_000020.11:61866644-62483525 GCF_000001405.40 Homo sapiens | reverse complement strand
AGAGCTTGGAGCCATGGCTGGCTCTAAGGTGCCTCTGCGTTCTCACTCCCTCAGACAGGTTTTTGCATAATCCGCAGGGCAGCTTCAGCCAGACCCTAGAAAAACGTTATTTCCCTTTTCAGATTATCTCTTTGAATCATCCATGAAATATTTCAGTCTCTATTATCAATGAGCTTTGTTCATGGTGGAAAATACAGAAATGCAAAAAAAGTTAAAGGATGAAAATAAAAGGCTTGCATCGTCCCAGCCCCTCAACTATCCTTTTTTTCTCTATACTTTTGGATGCTTTCCGAAGCCTTTTAACTCCCCTGGATTCACATCTCAGGTCCCCTCCCGCCCGCAGAGTGGGGCTGACTCTTTGACACTCACCAAAAGCTGAACATTGGGCAGACATAACTGGAATGTGACAAACTCTGCTCCTGGCCAGGAAACCCCACTGTCCTACTCAGAGGCGGACAGACGGCTGCAGGGCTCCTGGGCAGGAAGCGGCAATGCAGCCCACAGGCAGGCTGGGCACTCCCAGCTCCTCCACGCTGCTCCTCTGTGGACAGCCCAGCGCAGGACAGGTCCCCTTGACAGGGCTCCAAGACTGTCAGTGGCAGACGTCTCCAGGAAGACAGGAGAGAAAGAGGAACATGGGGTCAGGAGGCTGCGGGCTCCCCAGGCTCCTCTATGCGGGGGTTAGGAGCAGAGAAGGAATGAAGGAGCGGGCAGGCCAGAGGAGGGAGGGAGGGGAGGAGTGGAGAGATGTTGTTAAAGACGAGAGCAAAAGAGAAAGCAAAGGCGAGAATGCAGGGGGTGGGGGGTCCCAGGCACCAGCAAAGCCCTCCCCCAGCTGCCTGGGCCAGGCTATGAGCCTCCAGCCACCCGCTGGCTCTAAGAGTCTCGAGAGTAAATCCCGCCCCCACATCCTAAGGAGGTGGCGTTGCTGAGGTGGTGGCCGGGCTCCCGCAGACGGGGCCACAGTCTAGTCGTGCCCAGCCCAGCCCAGCTGACACCTCCCCCGGTCCCCGCATCTAGACCTGAAAGTGAGTTGAGTGCAGGCCCCATCATAAACGGCCACCCCACCGCACAGGGCCAAGGTCATCACCAGCCCTGTTTGCATCCCCAGGTAAGTCTGTCATGTGGGAGACCGAGGGTGCCGAGGGGGTGTGACAATGGGTGTCGCCAACTGCAGGGACACCAAAGCAGCTCACTAAGATGCCCTGCAGGCCCCTTGGCTTGCAGCCCTAACAGCCCAAACCTGCTTCCCCTCCCTGCCCCACGGAGGGCACGCCTGCGGTGGGTGGGGTTATCCCAGCACATGGCAGGACGTTTGAGAACGCTGCAGTCACGGGGACCTTGAGTGCAATGACCTCCTCCCCGAAAACAAACTCGCTTTGAGCTCCTCCCAGAAGACCCCCTGAGCAGTCCTCGGGGATCTGGCGGCGAGTGCCTGCCCTGCCGAATGCGGAGCCCGCGTTGCGAGGGGCTTTGAAAACAGATTCGGTTACACAGGCGATGTGGCCGAGAGCTGTTTTCCTTTCCCGCTCCCTTTTCTTGGCAGCCAGTTTGGGCCCGGCCGGCCGGGTCACCTACAGTGCAGGCTGTTTCCAAGGCCCAGCATCTTCCGTTGGCAGGACCTGGCTGCCACCTCTAACACGAAGCCTGCACAGAGGTCGGAGATGGTGCTGGTGGATGCGGGGTGCTGAGCTCTGTCCCCACCCCACAGACCCTCTGAGGGCTGCAGGCGCCTTAGACAAAAGGAACACCCACAGAGCAGGCGCCAGAAGGAGCTGACAGGAGGCTGCGGGGCCCACAGAGCAGCACTCAAGAGGCACGCAGCTGGGTTCAAATGCCAACTCCGCCCCTGCCCAGCTGTGGCCCGGGGACAGGTCACTTCTGTCCTGGCCTTGGCTTCTTCACCATGAAACGACACGGGAATCACCCACCTCACAGGACAGCTGTGAGCTTTCAAATGTCAGCTTGCTGGGCTGAGCCAGGCGCACAGGATGCTCCAGAAATGCCCAGACTGGAGTCAGGCAGAGGGGGGACACTGCCAACCTGTCCTTGCCCCTGGAGACTGACCCAGAGTGGCAACAGCCAAAGGGGCGGTGAGCCTGGCCTGCCCTTGGGCTATTGAGCTCAAAGGTTCCGCAGAAGGGGACACACACTGTGTCCAAAATGAATTCTTATACCCGTATGGTGCCCCCAGGCTCCCCAACCCCACCCAGTTGGGACCACCCCCAAGGCACCCACCTCCCGGGCCCCCCTCACCATTGATGAGCTCTGCAGTCCTTGGCCTTCGGGCGAATGGAGCCCCCTGTGTAGGAGAAGCCCTGGAATGCTACCCTGTGGGTCCCAAGGGGTGGCGAGGTCCTGAGGGTGCTGTGGGCCCAGTGGGCTCAGCTGATGCCCCGGGCCCCACAGCCCTGCCAGGGTGGAGACTGGGGGGAGGGGCAGTGCTGAAGGTGGGGAGAGGGCCATGAACTGGCTTTTCTCCCACTCTGGGGGCCCGGGGCATGCGGTTTACCTGAAATAACCAAGGAGAAAACAGACCTCCGCCCTGCGCTGACTGCCCTGCACTGACCACCCTGCTGGAAGCAGGCCTGCCCCTCCCTCTAACCTCCTGCCCGTCAGACCACAGGGAGCAGCACAAGGCCTCCCCCTTCCAGGCCCCAGCACAGCCCCCAGGCCTCCTTCCCTGCCCTGGGGTCTCTGGGGCCTTTCCCCACAACTTCTCATGGCCTCCCCACTTGCAGGGAGGGACAAGAGCCAAGGAACCCCAGGACTGGGATTGATAGGGGTCATCCCAGCCCCCTCCTCAGGCAACTCTGACAGCCCCCTTCTCAGAGGCACCCTCCCCCTGGCTGGACAGAGGGTGGCCTCGCCGGAGCTCAAAGCCTCAAGTGGGACCATCCCCGGTGCCCACATGTGGAGCATCCAGCACCTGCAGGCAGCGTACAAGGCGAGGACCCACCTGCCAGGGCTGCTCCTCAAGGGGGCCCTGCCCAGGACTGCTTCTGGGAAGGGCCCTCCCTGGGGCCGTTCCTGGGCAGAGAACAAGGCCCCTGGGGGAGGCCATGTACCCAGGACTCCACCCACAGGGGCCGTGTCTGAGGCGTCTCCTGGGAGCTGGTCCTTATCCTCCTGAACAATGAGACTGTTTTCTTTCCCTTGATAAGTATGTCTGAGTTAAGGGTTCCCAAGCTGGGGGCGGGCAGGATGGGGGTTATGTGGGCACTGCTAGGAAAATGACAGCAGGAAACGAAACCCAGAGCCTGATGGTTTGAGCCTTCCTCCCCCAACCCCAATGCCAGCCCCCCCAACACCTGCCCCCTCTCACCCCAGCCCCACCCAAACACCTGCCCCCTCTCACCCCAGCCACCCCCCAACACCTGCCCCCTCTCACCCCAGCCACCCCCCAACACCTGCCCCCTCTCAGCCCAGCCGCACCCCAGGCCACTCAGGCCCCCAGAAGCCCCTCACAGCCCAGGACTCATGGAACTTAACTCTGTATGGTCACCAGGGGGTTAACATGCCCACCCTCTTATCTCACTGGGGGTGGGGTCCCCGCCTTAGAGGTGTGTCTTCCCAGGCCAGCCATGGCAGGTCCCTGGGTCCCAGTGAACCAGGGAAGCCTTCAGGAGAGAGGGGTCACCCATGGCAGGGCCAGAAATTCCTTCCTGGTCTTTGTCACTTCCCCTGGCTCCCCGGCTCTCAGGGCCCTGGGCACACAGCTCAGAGCCTCCATCCCTGCACTGGGTTTTATCTCAGACAGCATTAGCCCAATGCCTGCTGCATGCCCATCCCGGGTCAGACGCCCTTAGTACCCAGTCCCACTAATGCCTCCCCAAAGCCACCGTGAGAGGCAGGCACTATCATCACCCCCACCTTACAGAAGAAGCAGCTCACCCAAGGCCACACAGCCCGGAGATGCCAACGCTGAGTCCCAAAGTTCTGACTGTGCCCGCTCGATGCCCTGACCCGCTGTTCCTGAAGCTGTTCTCCTGACTCAGCTTCTGCTAAGGTGACAAGACGGAGGCACACAGCCATCTGACCACACCGCACAATGAGGCACCAGGAAGGGGAGAGCAACGTAGGGGAAGGGACAGGAAGGGACCTGCAAGACGGGCCTTGAAGGATGTGTAGGAGTTTGGCAAGAAGAGAAGAGGGCAAAGGGCCCATTCAGGAAGCAGCATGGGCGGGGTCCAGGGGAGAAGAGGGCTTGCTGCTGGGTGGGGTAGCCTGGTGGACTGGGTCACCTGGCTCAGGGGCCACCTCCTTCCTGAGGGGCCCAGAGCACCGGGAGTGGAGAGCTGCACGGAAGCATGGTTCGTGGGGATCGAGGACGTCGGGGGCACCTGGGTTTTGAGGTTTGAGCCGAGACTCCTCACTTTTTGGCTCAAGTAGAAACAGGTCTGAGAGGGGGTCCAGATACTGTCACAGACAACCCCCACGGATGGGTGCCCACCCCCACCAGTCACTGTGGAGGCAGCTGGATCCACGTGGAAAACACGCCACCAGTGGCTTCTGCTGCTGCTGCAGAGCAGGTGAGCTTGTGACTCGCCTAGCAGGGCACCAAGTGACCAGAACAGCCCCGGACCCCCAGCCCTGTCCTGCCTTGTGTGGGGCGCCGCCTCGGAGGAGCCTTCGAAGGGTAAATTTTCCCTTCCCCGCCCTTCATGGAGGCCCAGGGTTTAATACAAATGTCCATTGTAGATATTTATTAACTCAAGAAAGCAACCAACCACTATCACTCAGAGACTCCCTTCTTTGTTTTAATTGGCTTGTTTAATTGCTAGCTGTGTGGCCTGGGGCAGGTTAGCTCACCTCTCTGCGCTCCATTTCTCCATCTGTATATAGGAATGATAATGTGATCTGTTGCATAAGACTGATGTGAGGACTAAATGGAAATGTCAGGACAAAGCACAGCACCCGGGCAATGTTGGTGTTTCCTATTCAAGAACTTTACAGATTTTATTGCAAGTAAAAAGCACGAATCCCTCCCCGATTCGTCCTGCAGGGTCCCAGGTTTGCTGTGGTTCTTTTCTTGTTCTCTAGACTTTTCTTGGGGTTAGCGGTGGCTCAGCCCCCAGCAGGTCACAAGTGTCCCTTTTTACTTCTCTTCGTTCTTGGTGCTCATGAGGGCTCGGTAACCCGGGCTTTGAGGGCAGAGGGGTCAGAGCTTGGGTCCAACCAGCTTTGCTGCGCTAGAGCCCTCTGCAGCCGCTTGGACTGCACTGCGCCCTCTCGCCCGCACCGAGGCCCCGGCACCTCTCCACCCCTTCGTGGAGTGCACTGCCATCCACAGACAAAGTCTGCACGTGTGGGGTCAAAGAGAGACCCTCGCGGAGACCCAGAGTGCCGGGAGAGCAGAAGGCAGGGGAGTCCACACAGGGCAAGCAGCAACCAGGCTTCTGAGGACAGGAAAGGAGGGAGCATCTGGTGGGAAGCTGGCGAGGAGGGGCTGGGAGCTGGTAAAGGGGTAACGGAAGGTCGCCTAGCTCCCTACCCCAATGGCAGCCGACCCCCACCCCAGCCTGCCGCGCTGCACCCTCTCCTGCACAGGCCTGAACCTGCTGCGGAACCGTCTGTGGGGTCCCAAGTCCACCACAGACCAGGGGCTTCAGCCTGCTGCCTTCCCAGACGCAGGGACCCTGGACGCCTCCACAAGCACCCTGAATCCTTATCTGCTGTGGGCGAAGAGGAAAGGCCAGGAATAAGGGCGCATGTGGGGCACCCCAGCTCTTCCCAGACGGACAGCGCCGGCTGTCCAGACCCCCGTGGGGGGGATCCAGTGACACCCACCCCGACGGCCCCACATCGCCGCCTTCCTGCCTTCCCAGGTCTTCACCCTTCACCAGCGTCCTCTCCGAGCCCTGACTGACAGGAGTTGAGGGCCCGTTTCTGCAAGGAAGAACTTTCATGCGGTGGCTCCCGCCTGTAATCCCAGCACTTTGGGAGGCTGAGGCGGGCGGATCATCTGAGGTCAGGAGCTCGATGAGACCAGCCTGACCAACATGGTGAAACCCCGTCTCTACTAAAAATACAAAAATTAGCCGGGTGTGGTGGCGGGTGCCTGTAGTCCTAGCTACTCAGGAAGCTGAGGCAGGAGAATCGCTTGAACCTGGGAGGCGGTGAGCTGAGATCGCGCCGCTGCACTCCAGCCTGGGAGACAGAGCGAGACTCCGCAAAAGGAAGGAAGGGAGGGAGGGAGGGAGGGAGGGAGGGAGGGAGGAAAGAAAGAAAGAAAGAAAGAAAGAAAGAAAGAAAGAAAGAAAGAAAGAAAGGAAGGAAGGAAGGAAGGAAGGAAGGAAGGAAGAAAGAAAAAAGAACTTTCATGGCCACCACGCCTGGGTCCACCCGGTGTGCTCCGAGAAAGAAAGAAAGAAAGAAAGAAAGAAAAGAAAGAAAGAAAGAAAGAAAGAAAGAAAGAAAGAAAGAAGGAAGGAAGGAAGGAAGGAAGGAAGGAAGGAAGGAAGGAAAGAAAGAAAGAAAGAAAGAAAGGAAGGAAGAAAGAAAAAAGAACTTTCATGGCCGCCAAGCCTGGGTCCACCCGGTGTGCTCCGAGAAAGAAAAAAGAAAGAAAGAAAGAAAAGAAAGAAAGAAAGAAAGAAAGAAAGAAAGAAAGAAAGAAAGAAAGAAAGAAAGAAAGAAAAAAAGAAAAAAAGAACTTTCATGGCCGCCAAGCCTGGGTCCACCCGGTGTGCTCCGAGCCCGCCGTTCCGTTTCCCGCAACCTGCGGAGCTGCTCCGCGGCAGCGGCGCCTCCATGCAGCCCTCACCGGGAGTGCGAGCGGGACACGGTTCCCTGACCTGGGTCGCCTCCTACCCACACGCATTTCTGGCGCCTGGAGGAAACTCTTCCCGAGTCCCCGAGAGCCGGCTGAGAGCCCCACCGGGGTTGGGGCCTTCGAGCCTGGCACCCAGATCGGGCCTTAGAGGCTGGACCCTGCCCACCTCCCACTGGGACCCCGAGCCTTGTGGCCCCGCTTGCTCAGAAACCGAGGAAATCGCGGGGCTCCCGCCAGTGCACCCCGTCCCAGTCCAGCGACCCGAGCCGGCCGTCCCTATGGAAGCCGGTTCCCTGCACCGAGCCCCGGGTGCGGCCACGCAACGAGGGGGCCCACGGGGTTCCACCGCCGCGTGTCCATCGGTGAGCGGGGCCGGGATCACCGACTCAGCCACCAGACACGGAGCCCGTCTTTAGGCCAGCCTTCGGCGGGGGCCGGGGCAGGGAGGCAGAGGGCTCGGGACTCGCACAAACTTGGAGAAGTCTCTGCGCCCGACTCCCCGGGGCCCACGAAGCCCTCGGCCCGCCCGTCTAGCTGCACTGGTCCGGGCTCCGCGCTGGCCGCCCCGTGTCGTGCGTCCTTGTCGCCAAGCCCCGCGAGCAGGGCCTGCCAGGGTCACGTGGCTCTACGGCCGGAGCCCCAGCGCTGACCCTGCGGGGAAGAAGGGGCGGGCGCGGGGAGGGAAGGGGCGGCGCGGCGGGGGCGGGCCGGGGCGGCGCGGAGGGGGCTGCGGAGCCTCAGCGGCCCGGGCTTCCAGTCTTCGGCCCGCCGGTCGCCGACCCACCGCCACCGCCGTGCCCTGCCGCCCTCCCTGCCCGCTGGTGAGTGCTCCAGCCCGGGCTGCAGCCGCGCGCCCCTCCCCACCCGGCCCCTCCCAGCGCGGCGGGGCCCCGCTCTCCAGGCCCTGCGTCCTGCGGCCGCGCCAGGCCCGTCCTTCCCAGGCCCCCACCGAGCTCACCCCGGGGACCTCCGAAGCCCGGTCGGGGAGGAGGTGGGCTCGGCGTTGTGACTGCCCCGGGGATGACGCGCTGGCCTCTCCCATCCCCGCGGTTCCTCTCCCTCGGGTTCGGGGACCCGCCCCGCGAACGTCCCGGGCTGGGGACTGGGAAGCGCTGCCCGAAGCGGCGGCACCTGCCCGGCATAAGCTCGGGCGCTGGCGGAGGGCGCAGAGCTCCCGTGACCTCCACACCTGTCCCTCTTCCCTGCAGGTCAAGACCACGCCTGGGAGGATGTACCAGAGCCTGGCGCTGGCCGCGAGCCCCCGCCAGGCCGCCTACGCCGACTCGGGCTCCTTCCTGCACGCTCCGGGCGCCGGCTCTCCGATGTTTGTGCCGCCGGCGCGCGTCCCCTCGATGCTGTCCTACCTGTCCGGGTGTGAGCCGAGCCCGCAGCCCCCCGAGCTCGCTGCGCGCCCCGGCTGGGCGCAGACAGCCACCGCGGATTCGTCGGCCTTCGGCCCGGGCAGTCCGCACCCCCCAGCCGCGCACCCGCCCGGGGCCACCGCCTTCCCTTTCGCGCACAGCCCCTCGGGGCCCGGCAGCGGCGGCAGCGCGGGGGGCCGAGACGGCAGTGCCTACCAGGGCGCGCTGTTGCCTCGAGAACAGTTCGCGGCCCCGCTTGGGCGGCCGGTGGGGACCTCGTACTCCGCCACCTACCCGGCCTACGTGAGCCCCGACGTGGCCCAGTCCTGGACTGCCGGGCCCTTCGATGGCAGCGTCCTGCACGGCCTCCCAGGCCGCAGGCCCACCTTCGGTGAGTGCGGGGGCTCCACAGTCTCGGGGCCCAGGAGCGGCCGAATCCGGGTGCAAACCCGCACCCTGCGAAACGCTCCCCTCATCCTCCCCCACGGTCCGAGCCTCCCTGCCAGGAGCGACACCAGCAGCCCCGGGGCGAGACGAGTAAACCTGGGTAACACCCCGCACGGGAAACACCCATCCAGAATTCTGTTTTAACCTGTTAATGAGAAGGAACATCTATTTCCAAACAGCATTCCGGATTGTGCCAATGTGGAGCCTCAAAAGTCTTAATCGTTTTTGTTTTTGTTTTTGAAAAGTTTTGGAAACGATTTTTATAAAGCCCAAAACATCGGTTTATTTAAGTGGCCACATTCGTCTCGGTTCTAGGACGTTTACTGATTTTAATTTGAGACCTGGTTTCAGTCGCTTCCCGAGTATCAGTTTGGAGAATCGGATTCTCGGCCTGTGAGGGGAGCGGCTCTTCCCGGTTGCAGCGTAGTCACTTTCTGGCGAAGGCGGCTCCTCTGAGCTCCGCAGGGGCCCATCCCGTCCCTCCGGGACCTTGGAGGCCTCGACACCCAGCTCCGGAGCTGCCTTTGGGACCCCGCCGGCCCTTTGGCGCAGGAAGCGGGCGCAGCGGCATCCGCAGGACCCCTGGCCCCCGCCTCCCTGGACAGCCCGGCTGCTGGCGCCCACCCCCGGCGGGGCGATGATTGATCCCTGCCCCACCCCCACTCGGCGCCCGGGCCTCCCTCGCGCCGGCGCCGGGCCGGGCCTGGAGGGGACCAGGAAGACCTCCACCCCCAGCCGCACAGTGTGCGAAGCCCGGCCCCAGGGGGCTGTGAGGCGGGGCTGGCCTTCTAAAGGAAGGACACTGGTTGCGACCACAGCCAAGCTGACAGAAGGCACCTCCTCCACCCTCCCAACCCCCCACCCCTGTCATGGACCCGCTTTGCAGAACAGGAGGACAGCGGGGTTAGCGTTCCCAGGAGAGCCCAGGGGCGCCCAAGAGTGTCTGCCAGATAAAGCCCCTTCATCCCTCCCCTGCCAGTGTAGACACCACTTCATCCACCTCCCCCGCCAGTGTAGACACCCTGCTTTCCCAGCAGGTCAAACAGGCAGAGGCCAGTGCTGGCCCCCGGTCCCGGAGCCGGGAGTCCCAGGTGTCTGTCTTCAGGTTCTGTTTATTAACACCCCATCCTCGAAAAACCAACCCTAGCGAATTTTATCGTATGTGAATTAAAAATTTAAAAATAAGATGAAGTAAGCAAATAAATTTTAAAATAAAATACATCTAAGGCACAAGATTTGTGCCTTAAGTTTATTCGTCTGACGAAAGCCGCCAGGCTCCTGGGGAGGGGAGGGTGCCGGCCCATGAGCTGGGGAGGATCCTGGGGAGGGGAGGGCCCGGGCCCACCAGCTGCCTGTCCCCTCAGTGTCCGACTTCTTGGAGGAGTTCCCGGGTGAGGGTCGTGAGTGTGTCAACTGCGGGGCCCTGTCCACACCGCTGTGGCGCCGAGACGGCACCGGCCACTACCTGTGCAATGCCTGCGGCCTCTACCACAAGATGAATGGCGTCAACCGGCCGCTCGTTCGGCCTCAGAAGCGCCTGGTGAGTTCGGGCTGGGCAGAGGGGCGCCTGGGCGCAGTGCTCCCCCGAGGGGACCTCTTGCAATCCACCCAGGTGACACCAGAGCCCCTGGGGTAGGGGGTAGGGAGTGTCCCAAAAACAGCCTGGGTGCCCGCCCCGGTGGGTCAGGTCAGGCCGGCTCAGGTCTTCTTTGAGAGCGCTCAGGGCAGGGCAGGGGATCCCAGTGGGGATGCCAGGGGCCACCAGCTCATAGCGCCCAGCCCTGGAGCGCTCTGGGGGCCAGGAGCCCAGGCTCTGGAGCAACGGTGTCAGCCAGGCTCAGCTGAGTGCTGGGTCCAAGAAGGCCTGCTGCCAGGAGCCAGGAGCTCAGCCCTACGAGTCGGTGGTGGCTGGCTGTGGCCTGGCCCTGTCTCGGAGGCCTCAAGGTGACCCTACCTGGGATGAGGCTTGAGGGAAGGTGGCTGCTGGATACTTGATTGAAGGGCCTTGAAATCTGAAACTGGAGAGTCTTTGGGTCTGTAGTCCCCTCGGGGAGCACTTTCTACCCATATTTCAGGGACCGCAGGGACACCAGGTTTATGCCTGTCCTCTGCCTCATGGGCTAAACTTGTTTTCACTTTTGGTTCTTCCTGGCTTGTGGCTGAGCAGGGAGTGGGGGACTCCGGAGCCTGGACTTTTGCCCCAGGCAGGGCACAGTCCCCAGAGGCTGGAAGAGGCTGAAAGTTGCTTTGTTCTATACGTTTCCCCAGGCAAACCTTTACTTTCGAGTAATTGTACAAATAAGGATTTGGGGTGTTGATGTCGTTTGCAAGTTATCTAAAATTGGGGAGGCCACAGTGGCACCTGGGTCAGAAGGCTGAGCAAGGGTATGTTCCTGGGCACCAAGTCCTCCTCCGCTGGTGGTGTGGACTCCGTGCGGGGTCGATCAGCCAGCTCCCGCCGTCACCCTGGGTGGAGGCCAGCCCTCCTGCCGCTGTCCTTGCCGGGTGGCTGTTCTAGATGCCTGGATTCGCGTGCTATGCCGGTGCAGCTCTGAACATCCCTCAGTTACAGGCTGAGGGGAAATCCTGGGGCCCTGGGCTGTGGGGGACCAGGACCTGAGCGTGGGAGGTCCCAGTGGAGCAGGTGGTGGGAAGCAGGACCACAGGCCGGGGGCGGCCGTCACTTCTCTTCCTTGGAGCTGGCCTAGGGCCTGGGGCTCTGCAGGCCCAGCCTCCTCCCATGCCTGCCTCTCGGAGGGAAGGCTCCTAGGAGTCCATCCCCCTCTTGGCTTGTGTGCCGCTGTGACTCTGCCTGTGCTCCCAGGTGTGCTGTTCCAGCCTGGCGTCCACGTGGCCCTCACTGAGGGGTTAACCACTGAGGTTAAGAAGGGGTTAGGGGCCAGGCACGGTGGCTCATACCTATAGTCCCAGAATTTTGGAAGGCTGAAGCAGGAGGATTGCTTAAGCTCAGGAGTTCGAGACCAGCCTGGGCAACATAGCAAGAACCCATCTCCACTAAAAATTTAAAAAAAAAAAAAAAAAAGAAATTAGTCAGACATGGTAGCACACACCTGTGGTCCCAGCTACTCAGGAGGCTGAGGCAGGATGATCACTTGAGCCCAAGAGTTCAAGGGTATAGTAAGCTATGATCACACCAAGGCACTCCAGCCTGGGCAACAGAGGGAGACTCTGTCTCTAAAAATAAATAAATTGGTCCTGTGCAATGGCTCATGCCTGTAATCCCAGCACTTTGGGAGGCTAAGGCAGGAGGATCACTTGAGCCCAGGAGTTCGAAACCAGCTTGGGCAACATAGGGAGACCAGGTCTCTACAAAAAATTTAAAAGTTAGCCAGTCACGATGGCACACACCCATGGTCCCAGCTACTTGAGAGGCTGAGGCAGGAGGATCTTTTGAGCTGAGAGGCTGAGGCTGCAATGAGCCGAGATGGCACCACTGCACTCCAGCCTGGGCAACAGAGCAAGACCTCATCACAAAAAAAAAAAAAAAAATTGTAATTGAAATTAACTTCTCTTTAATTTAATTACATTTTAAGTTAAATTAAATTTTTTTTTAAAAAAGAGAAGTGGTAGGGAGCTCAGCCCAGCTCCCGTGAGACTGCAGCCCAGACCTCCCTTCACCCTCACCCATGCAAAGGGCTGCCCCTCCTCTGGCTGTATCCACTCTCCCCACTGCCAGGCCTTGAACTGAGCACCGGGACACTCTGGTGTCAGGAGGAGCTGCTAGGAGGGAGCCCCTCCTGCTGCCCTGCCCTGCCCTGGGTCTTCCAGCCGGGCAATACCTGTGTCCAGTTGGATCCCAGACTCCTGGGCTGGGGCATCTCGTAGACAGTTCCCCAGCTCTTTGAGCCTTTGTCTCCTCATCTGAGAAGTGGGGAGAGGAACTTGGAACCGTCCACACCTTGCTGTAAAAGTTAAATTAGCTGGTGTTGTGTGCTTGGGCCTTGGCTCTGAGGACGGGCTAATGGGGGCCCTTGGCGTGATGAGGCCTCCATTCCCTGGTCTGGGGTAGACAGGGTGGGCTTTGGGGTGCCTCCTGGGGGAGGACCCTGTTTACTGTCCATCTTGCCAAGACCAGAGGCCTCGGAGGGTAGGGACCACCGTGCCCTCTCCCCATGGTCTGGCTCTGTGCTCGGACACGGTTGGGAGCTCTTGGGCCCCAAGCAGCCCACCCCCAAGAACACTGAAGCCTCGGCTGAAGCCTGGGGCCCGGCAGCCAAGGGCAGTGCGGACAGCAGACCTCCTAGCCCTGAGCCACCTCTGGCACCAGCTCCAGGAAGTAGCCCAGTGTTGCATGGAGCCAAGCGTCCCTTCCCGCTGAGCAAGACTGGTCCTTACCTGGAGTCAGGCACCTAACACCCACCCAACCCCAGGGTTTCCTTCCTTCGAGCCCTTCACAGACCCACGTCCCCAAGTCAGTTTGTCCTCGGCCAGCAAGGGGCATGGGCACTGTATCAAGTGCTTACTACATCCCCCCTCCAGGAGGGGACCTGTTTGAATTTGGAGACATTCCAGCCACTCACCCGTCCCCAAGGCTCAGACTCTGCGGCACAGCAGCCTCTGGTTGTCCACGGCCCAGTCTTCCATCTCAGAGGAGGCTGCTGCACTGCGGGTCACTGTGACCTGCACCTTTACTCCAAAGTGTTTCCCGGCGTGTGCGCTTCATCCCTCCAAGCCAGGCTCGAACCTCCTTCCCTCTCCCGCCTTCCTTGAATTTCCGCCAGCACCGGCCCGGGCCCTGCCCTGCCCAGAGCCTGATTTATTTGGATGTCTCAGATGCACACAGAGCCTGGTGCTTAGAGCGGCTCTGCTGCGCGCAAGGAGGCTTTGAAGTTTGACTTCTTTTGAAAAGAACCGACAAAAAAGAAAAACGAAATGCAGCCGGGAGAGAGGCCTGGGGGGCAGGGTGCTGAGTGTGGCCAGGCTGGGCTGCTTGTTGGGCAGTGAGGAGGGGACAAATGAAGGCATCGTCGCGGTATGGTGGCACAGGGAGCCCCAGCGCGGGCAAGCTGCTGGGAGCGTGTCCCCTAAGTACCTGGCCGAGGGGGGCGGTTCTGTCCACCCCGGGCCTCCCCAGTTTCCTCTGGTCCCGCAGCTCCTCTGAGCCTCAGCCTCCCACTCGTACAATAGCGATCTGGTGAAGATTTAGGAAAGGGTAGGTGAAGACGCACTTTGAAAAGTGTTGTGAGGTCCATGTTTTTCCCATTGTCTTAATTTGATAGACATGAAACATGCTCACTGTGAAAACATTCAAGGTGGGTTCCAGGTGTTTCCCTGGCACTCGCAGGGGTGCGGGGTGAGGGGTGTGCCCGCTGCTGGGGGCTGTCCCAACCCACGCACGTCCTGCGCGCCCCACCTTGTTTCTTTCCACAACCCGTGTCTCAGACGTGGCTCCGTCGGGGCGTGCTGGCAGCTGTGCGGGGACGTGTGGAGTGTGCTCATGTGTGTGCACCCCTATCTGTGTGTGCTAAGGGGTGATGGCCGGTCCCAGACCCGAGGGTCCCTCTGGTTCAGGGAAGAGGATGGGCCTTGGGCCATGGATGCCCCTCAGTCTGAAGGCGGGGACTGCTGGGGCACAAGGAGGGAGTCAGCAAATAAACTCCAGGCCACACACGGTTCCATGTGATTTCAGATAAACACAAATATTTTAGCATTCATGTCCCAAATACTGCAGGAGACAAAGGATTCATCATGTATCAGAAATTCACATTTACCTAGGCAGAAATTCACATTTACCTAGGCATCCTGGGTCAATCCGTCTGGCAGCCCTGGGGGAGATTTCTTTCCACTTCAGGAAGACAGACGGATGGGTGGGTGTCCGAGAGGTGGGAAGGAGACCATGCCTCATGCTGGACAGTGGCCTGAGGCCACCAAGAAAGCAGCCACAGCACCTGGCACCTGACGAGGATAGAAGAGAGGGAGGCTGGACCAAACTCAAATCCTGTCCAGTAACAGTAGCTGCTTCTAGACCCATCAGGGTGTGGCAGGGGGCATCCCAGGGAGAGACACCATCTGGGGGCCCTGGGTGACCCCAATTGCTCCTGCACGAAGGGTGCCCACCATCCAGCCGGGGCCAGGCACCATCTCCCTCCCAGCTCTGCTGGGGCCTGGGCTGGGCCCTCCAGCGTGAGCAGAAGTCTCACCCCCAGCATCCCCCTAGAGAGACCACTGGAGACCCTGAGTGGCTGGATGCTGTTGGCCCAGGGTGGGAGACATTGTCCTCCGCAGTCAGGCCAGGAGCTGCAAGCTGAGGCACCTCTCAAGCCTCCCCGGCCTCATTGGCCTGGCCCCCTCCTTTCCTTTCTGCCCCTTTGTCATGGAGCTCAGGGCAGGGTCCTGCCTGGAGACAGGAGGCCTGGCCCCAGATGAAGCAGGGGCAGCGTTCCCAGAGCCTTTGGCAACTGCCTGCAGCTGTGGCTGGGGGTTGAGGGGGCCTTGAGTTTGGGGGCTGGCTGGTACTCAGGGCTGCAGGGAGGCCCCCACTCTCCCACTCAGGCCTTCGACAGGACGGCCTGTGCCCTTGGCAGCAGCCTGGGGGAAGGGTAGGCAGGAGATGGTCAGCAAGGCCGGCCCTCATCTGATCATAGAGGGCAGTAACAGATGGGGAAACCGAGGCAGGCTATAACAGATGGGGAAACCGAGGCTGGCTGTTTCTGCCCATGGCAGTAACAGACGGGGAAACCGAGGCAGGCTGTAACAGACGGGGAAGCCGAGGCTGGCTGTGTCTGCTCATAGAGGGCTGTAACAGATGGGGAAACCGAGGCAGGCTGTAACAGACGGGGAAGCCGAGGCTGGCTGTGTCTGCTCATGGCAGTAACAGATGGGGAAACCGAGGCGGGCTGTAACAGACGGGGAAGCCGAGGCTGGCTGTGTCTGCTCATAGAGGGCTGTAACAGATGGGGAAACCGAGGCAGGCTGTAACAGACGGGGAAGCCGAGGCTGGCTGTGTCTGTTCATAGAGGGCTGTAACAGATGGGGAAACCGAGGTGGGCTGTAACAGACAGGAAAACTGAGGCTGGCTGTGTCTGCTCACGTAAGTAACAGACACAGACGGGGAAGCCGAGGCTGGCTGTGTCTGCTCAGCCCTCGTCCAGGATGGATTCTTTTCCCCTAGTGTGGCTGGCTCACTTGTGCCTGCTGTCTGGCTCTGTCCTGGCTAGAGAATCTGGGGGCATGGCTTTGAGTGTGGGGGGCCCATTCTCATGGGCTGCGTCCTGTGCCTGAGGCACACTGATGGTCTGGCCCTGGCTGCCGCCGGGAGGGCAGGAGAGAGCTCCTGCAGAGCCACCACTGTGATCCTGGCAAGAGAGGCCGGGGACCTGGACCAGGCAGGGGCTGTGCAACCTGAGGGAAGGGGACCGATGGGGTCAGGGTAGGGGCTGGGGGTAGAAACAGCAGCCCCCCAGGAGAACCAGGTCTGGGGACAAGTGGCTGGGAAGGGTGGTGCCACCAGCAGAGCTGTGCTCTGAGATTCGGGAAAGGGCTTCAAGTCTGAGGTGCCTCTGGGGCCCTGGGCTGGAGCTCCCGAGCTCCCAAACACCACCTCCCTCCAAGCACCAACTTGTGCGGCCAGTGGGAGAAAGGCTGGCTTGAGCTGGTGGGAGGCCCCTGGTCCACCTTCAACAGGGACTCCCCAGGCAGCCAGCTCAGAGCCTCCCAGGCCTCCCTCAGTTCAGATTCCTGAGCCCCAGCTGAGCTCACGGACTGGGGCCCTGGAGGTTTGGGACCTCTGATTGGACCCGGGCCTGCCAGATTGGGGTCAGTCTCTACTGAGAGCCACGGGAAGGAGGGAGGCAATGTTGGAGCCTCTGGAAGGTTCCAGATGGGTCTAGTCTTGCTCCACCACCAGGCGCAGTGCACAGCAATGGGGAGACATAGGCAGGTGGGACCCGGAGCCCTCAGCCTCTGTCCGGTGGGGCCCCCCGGCCTGGGAGGCGGGTGTCCAGGGGGACCACAGGCCCTGACGCTTGTTGTGTCTTGGCCTCCGGGGGACCCTGTGGCCTTGGAGTGCTGCTGCACTGCAGAACCGCGGGGTCCAGGCGCAGGGTTGGTGATAAAGAGACAATAGGGAAACCGTTGCCGTGTCTAGGTGCCTGGCCCCCACGGGCTCTGAACCCCACAACTGGCCTGTGGTGGGTCTGTTATCACCCCCTTTTTACTTGGGGGGAAACTGAGGCCCAGGAAGGTAAAGTTACCTTTCCCAGGGCTCGAGAGCGTGTCCAGGCAGAGCTGCCAGGCGAGGCCATTGCAGAGCTCACGACCTTCTCACCGGGTCCTGCGTGGCCGCAAGGCCGACCTGAGTCTCGCTTCCGTCCCCCTGCTCCAGCCGCGCACCCGGCCCGGGGCTCACTCCAGTCTCCCTCGCCCCCACAGTCCTCGTCCCGCCGCGCCGGCCTCTGCTGCACCAACTGCCACACGACCAACACCACGCTGTGGCGGCGGAACTCGGAGGGGGAGCCCGTGTGCAATGCCTGCGGCCTCTACATGAAGCTGCACGGGGTGAGTGTGGTCCCCGGGGCAGGGCGGGGAGGCCTCTGTCCAGCCTCCTAGCGAGCGCCGTCCGCACTCTCAGACCAAGAGGCTGGGGAGGAGCGGGCAGGATGGCTATTGTCCCCTGGGCTGTTGTACACACATGTCCCGGCCGGCCGACTGCGGCACCACCCCCGGGGGCCCGGGCTATTCCTGTTACACTCACGGCACAGACGCGCTGACTGAGGCTCACCACAGCCATTCGGCCTGGGCCAGACAAGGACACTGCTCCTGCCCTCTGGGCACCCCTGGTGCCTTCTGGCCCCTGGCAGCTCTGTCGGACGGGGGAATGGGAATCCAGCTCCACGGGCTCCCCCTCACCCAGCCCAGCTGGCAGCTGACCCACCAGGGCTGTGAGGACACAGCCAGCTCCAGGAGTGACCGGCTCTGGGGGGCTGGAATGAGGGGGTGCTGTGCAAGGGGCCCGGGGTGAGCAGGGATGGGACCAGCCTCCACCCTCGCCACCCCTGCCAGGTGCCGCGGCCTCTGGCTATGAAGAAGGAAAGCATCCAGACACGGAAGCGGAAGCCAAAGACCATCGCCAAGGCCAGGGGCTCCTCAGGTGCGTGGCCAGGCCCTGCAGTCAGCCCCGCTCCTGCGGAGTGGCCTTCGGTGCCTCCAGTTCCGTCATGAGAGACCTGTGTGTTTGGTTCAAGCACAGTCCTCTGGAAGTCCAAATGCCCCCAGCTCTGCCCTGTGGTGACCTTGCTGGGGGGGGTGTGGGGTGCCAGGGTGGTGACAGCATGTGGGCAGCAGGGGCAGAGGTGGGGCCAAAGAAGCCACGCCCGGCCACACCACCCACGCCTGCGGTGTGACCGTGAGGAGTCTCCAAACCTCTCTGGGCCGGGGCCAGAGGAGACCCGCTACATGGCAGGAAGGGGAAGTGAGGCCACACCTGACCCCTCTGTAAACACCCCCTCTTCGCTTCCAGGATCCACAAGGAATGCCTCGGCCTCCCCATCTGCTGTCGCCAGCACTGACAGCTCAGCAGCCACTTCGAAAGCCAAGCCCAGCCTGGCGTCCCCAGTGTGCCCTGGGCCCAGCATGGCCCCCCAGGTAAGGGGGTGGGCTGGGGTGGGGTGCCCAGAGCTGGGGCCCCTGTGCTTCCTCCGCCAAGTCAGATCCCATCAGAGCCCCTCGGAGCCTCTTCCAGCAGGTGGGCTGGACACACCGGCTGCCTTCGGCCATCAGTATGGTGGCCCTTCCCCTAGAGCTGGCTCTGTGCCAGATGTGGGAGAAACCCCAGTGCCTCACGTGGGGTCCCCCATGCCATTCCAGGGCATCAGGGGGTCCCTAAGGGCAAATACCGGTCATGGGAGCTCCTGACCTAAGAGGCTGCAGCTTCCCCCAGCCCCCCACGCCCCACGCCCCACCCCACATTCTCACGCTCTCCTGTCCCTGCAGGCCTCTGGCCAGGAGGATGACTCTCTTGCCCCCGGCCACTTGGAGTTCAAGTTCGAGCCTGAGGACTTTGCCTTCCCCTCCACGGCCCCAAGCCCCCAGGCTGGCCTCAGGGGGGCTCTGCGCCAAGAGGCCTGGTGTGCGCTGGCCTTGGCCTAGGTCCCCAGGCCAGCCCATGTCAGGGGAACAGCCTGGAACAGACCACCCACTGAGTCACCTCCGTGCCTGCTTTGCTCCAGCACAGCAGAGACCAGCAGGCCCCCCAACCCAGAGACTGGGTCTGCTGGAGTCTCCACACAGTGGTGGGGAGGCCTTCTGGACAGACGGCAGTCGGGCCCCAGAGCAAGAAGGCTGGTGAGGGAAGGGCTCAGCTTCCCACCCCACGTACAGCAAGGGACTCCCCAGGTGCGGCCCAAGGCTCCGGACCACACTGGCCCCCTGCGGCGGAGGCCAACGCAGGGCACCACCACCACCAACTTGAATTCCGTCATCAATGCTCACCGTCAATATGTTTACAAGTTGTAGCAGTTGGGGGAAAACAGTCAACCTCCCAGTGTAAAACCAAGATTCCCAGTGAAGCACCTGAGGCCAAGCAGGGGAGAGGAATGAGGGGAGCAGCTGGACATGGGCCTCCTGAGGCCTCGGGGCTGTCCTTCATTGCCCACATGGATAGACGGAGCTGTGGTGCAGAGAACTTTTCCCGCAACAGGTGCAGGACTGCCAGGGATCGGAGTGCGGGCCGCGCACGGTGCCAGGATTCCGCCGAGGGGAAGCCGCTCACATTGCAGTCATCACAGACTTACGCACTTGTTTGGACAGTTTTTCCAGAGGGGATGGGAAAGGGCCTTGTTCTAGCTGAATCTGTGTATCATGACCATTTCTGACAGGCAGAATGAATTGTCTGGTAGCCCTGTCCTGACCCATCCAAGCGCTGTTGGGGCTGGTGGTGACGTGGTCACATGTCCTGGCATATCTGGGGCCACGCAGTTTAGTCTCTTGTCCCAGGAGAATTGTTAGTGACCCCTCTTTCTCTTGCAAGCCCCCTCCACACTGGGTTGGATGATACCTTAATGAGTGACGCTGGCGAGAGGCACCCTACCCGACGCAGCTGTGAATGGCCGGTGATGTATGTCAGGAGGCCACAGGGAGCAGAGGAGCGGGGCAGGCAGCCACAGGGCCCTGCGGGGAGCACATCCTCGCCTCCGTCCGGCTGCTGCCCTTCAACAACAAGCCCTGATTTTTCCAGCAATGCCAGAAACCTGGATTTTAAGTCTTCCAATTTGATTCAAAAATATTTTT
This sequence comes from Homo sapiens, assembly GCF_000001405.40. Classification (NCBI taxonomy): domain Eukaryota; kingdom Metazoa; phylum Chordata; class Mammalia; order Primates; family Hominidae; genus Homo; species Homo sapiens. The sequence continues at coordinate 62,463,695 of NC_000020.11, read as the reverse complement.
AACATTGTGAGCCAGCTAGACCCCCAGTGCACCACCCCATATTGAAAAACAGTTGTCTGGCATCAGCTTCAGGAGCGGGTCCGGTCATTCTGAAACTGTCCCTCCAGAGGTTCTTCCAGCCCCACTTCTATGCGATGTCATCTTTTCTAAAAGAGACAAATGAAGCCACAGGGAAAGTGAAATAAAGCCTTGAACCTCACTCACTCTCCCTTCCCCCGCCCATCACCCATGGGGTCTCCCATCTCCCCCTGCCCATCACCCGGGGGGGTCTCCCATCTCCCCCTACCCATCACCCAGGGGTGCTCCCATCTCCCCCCGCCCATCACCCGTGGGGTCTCCCATCTCCCCCTGCCCATCACCCGTGGGGTCTCCAAGTCCTGCCCTGCCTGCTGGTCACCACCCTCCTAGCGATTTCCGGCTATCCTCTGCGTTCTGAAACATCCCCGGTCCCCTGCGTCCCCCCAGGTGCCCTCAAGGACATCTCCAGGCCCTGATGGTGCTCAGGACCACCAGCATCCCCCAGGTCCCCAGCGGCTGAGAGAGGGGTGCCAGGCAGGGCAGGTGTGAGGCTCGGCAGTGGCACTCAACAGGCCTGGGGCCTGGCCCAGAGGCGCAGCAGAGGGGCTGGGCTGGTGAACGCCTCCATTCCCACAGGCTGGGTCCCTGCTCAGAACCTCCTCCTAGCCAAGCCCACCTCCTCCTGGAAGCCTTCCCTGTCTGCTCCCAACCTCCTGCATCCTATTAGGCACTGGGGTGGGGGCTGTGAGCAGCTCTAGTAACTTCCTCAGCCACCTGCCCCCCACTGGACCTGTCTCAAGAGAGAACTCAGGCAAGGCCCCTCATTCTAGCCCATGCAGTGGGAGCCATGCTGGGAGATTTTCAGCTCCGTGGGATCTGAGGTGGGCACGGGAGTCAGCATTTTAAACATGAACCCCTCAAACCTGCTGGGTGCCTGGGGGCCCACACTTTGAGAAACCCTGCACTATGATGGCTTCAGGGTCCGAATCCAGTTCAAGTTCCTGCCCTGCCCTGCTCATCTGGCCTGGGGATGGGGGACGGGGAAATGGGCTGGGGCAAGGTGGCACCTGTATCCCCATAAGGGTCACATGTGGCATCCGGGCACCATTGGGGATCACTTGCTACTGTCCTGTTTCCAAACCCAGAAGCCTCAGGCTGCCTTCCCGGGTGCCCGTGCACAATGAGGATACTGAGGCACAAGGGACTGAGGGTCGCCCCCTCAACCCAGCTCCTGCACATCTGCCTCAGGGCTCATGCTGGGCGTTGGGTCCCTGAATGGGAAAATGGGTGACAGTGACCTCCCAGGCCTCACCAGTGGCAGTGACCTCCCAGGCCTCTCCAGGCCAGGCCACAGCTGGGGAAGGACAGTCTGTCCCCCCGCAGGTTGGACGGTTGCTGCCTCTACCACCTGAAGGGCTGACCTTGGGAATCCACGTCTCTATGGAAGGTAAGGCCAGCCCAGCCTGTTGTCAGCACCCCAGACCCTGGGTGAGGGGGTGAGGGGGCCACAGACCCAGAAGGAAGGAGGCCTGAGGACGGCCTGGGGGAGAAAGCGGGAAGCTGCAGAGCTGCCTGGGCTGAGGACCTGGAGCAGGAGGCAGCCAGTGACTGTCTGCGTCGTGGTTTTCACATCAGCGCCTCCCCATGCCTGCTGCTGGGTGGACACTGCGCAGCCTCATCCTCGCACTCCCCGCTCCCAGGAAGCAGGCGTTGGTTTTCCTCTTCCCTGATGAGAAAAACCATGGCTCAGAGAGGTGACTCAAGGTGCCAGGGTCAGAGGGCACAGCACGGCGTCCCCAGACCACAGTGCTGGGTGCAATGGAGCTGGCCACGTTGCTTCCGTTCCGGCCTCGGTTTCCCCACCTCTGCTGGGGAGGGGGTGCCACAAATCCGTGGCCATATCTGTAATCCATGCACTTGTGTAGAAGGCGGGTCCCTAGGAGGCCCCAGTATAGGGAGGTGGCACCAGGCACCAATCCCTACCTGGAGAGGCTTCCTGGAGGTGTTTGTGGGGGTCGTGCAGGACAGGCAGGGTCCCCATAGGTAGAGTGGAAGGAGTCCAAGTGCTGACCCGACTGTGGCCCTGGACACACCCCATCCATGAAGGGAGGTCCCCAAAGGGAACAGGGGGATTTGCCCATGGGAAAAGGGGAAGCAACCCTTTCCCTGTTTTTATTCCATTTTTAGGGATGTGTCCGGGATGACGGAGGCTGACAGCTCCACCTCTGGGCATGGTCACTGCTGCTAAATTTAAGCCTTTCTCCTCTTAGGGCGGAAGCCATGAGGACCAGAGCCTTAATATAGCCGCCAGGCGCCCTGCACTCTCCTTCCCACCAGCCCTCCCTGCGCTCTGCCCAGCCAGCCATAAACAACCAGACGAGCCGGAGGTTGGCAGGCAAAGTGGCCCGGCCCCTTATCAGAGCGACAGGACTAAAAGGAAAGTCACTTTACCTGCACTGCCTGGACCTGGGCATACTGACTTCCCATCACCTTTTGAACTAAAGCAGATGCCCAGGCAGCCTTCAGGAGGAGGGCGCCGCACCTGGAAATCCCCAAAGACCTTGCAGCGGCCCCTCCAGCCTGCAGAAAGTGTCCACCAAGACCCTCGGTGCTCGGTCCTGGGCACCCTGGGGGAGGGAGAAGGCCCTGGTGAAGCCCCAAAACAGTATGGGCAGCATAGAAAAAGAAGAGAGACGCAGAGCCCCGTCAGCTGGGGCTTCCTGACCCAGAACCATTTATAGAGCCCTCCCGCTTCAAGCCCTTAATTTATGGCTTCATTCAGAGCAGAGCAGCAAGGCTGAAAGCACCCCAGGCCCTGAGCCTGCAGCCCTCACTCCTCAAAGCAGGCCCGGAGGCTGGCACGTCCTCACTCTCCCACCATTCCTGGACCTGGCTGCGGCCAACCAACGGGGTGCTCCTTGACACCCGTAGGTGTGTCTTGGCCAAACACGGACACTGGATCCCGAGAGCCGCCCTGTACAGGCATAAACCCGACCGGGCATCTGAGTCCTGGGGACACACCACATCTCCACTGTGCTGGGACCGCAGCTTCCAGGGGTGGGCTCAGGGAGAGGGTCAGTCTCTCCTTTGCTGTTGCAAAAGACAGCTCATGGCTAAGTGACCATGATGCCTCTAAGGTTTGTCTGAAACATGCAACGTGCTCATTAAGGAGGGAACATGGGAGGATCACTCGAGCCCAGGAGTTTGAGACCAGCCCGGGCAGCATAATGAGAGCCCATCTCTACAAAAAAGTATAAATAAATAAATAAATAATCCAGGTGTGGTGGCGTCCGCCTGTGGTCCCAGCTGCTCAGGAGTCTGAGGTGGGAGGATCACTGGAGCCCAGGAGTTTGAGACCAGCCCGGGCAGCATAATGAGAGCCCATCTCTACAAAAAAGTATAAATAAATAAATAAATAAGTAAATAATCCAGGTGTGGTGGCGTCCACCTGTAGTCCCAGCTGCTCAGGAGTCTGAGGTGGGAGGATCACTCAAGCCCAGGAGTTCGAGACCAGCCTGGGCAGCATAGTGAGAGCCCGTCTCTACAAAAAATAATAATAATAAATAAATAAGTAAATAAATAAATAATCCAGGTGTGGTGGCGTCCGCCTGTAGTCCCAGCTGCTCAGGAGTCTGAGGTGGGAGGATCACGTGAGTCTAAGAGTTCAAGGCTGCAGTGAGGGCTGACTGCGCCACTGCACTCTAGCCTGGGTAATAGAACAAGACTCTGTCTCGAAAAAAAAAGAAAAGAAAAGGAACACTGTTCACGAAAAGTGCCTCCTTATTTGACCAAATAGGGACATCCCTCAGAAAAAAACAGTTCCTATTGTCACCATCGTCAAACAGGTCACTCTGCCGCCAGGAACACGGGTGGCATCTTTACCCAGCTATGCTGGTGCCACAGCCTCACAGGCTTGGGCTCACAGTTCGTGGGCTCCGGGCTGCCTCCTCCAGGGTGTGTGGACAGCCTTCGGGGACAGCCAGTCAGACGTGGGCTGAGTCAGGGCCTGGTGTGCTGTGGGGAGGGCAGGGCAGCCGAGTGAGCAGAGAGGAGAGAGGTGGGGAGGGCAGGGCGGGAGGGAGGCAGGACGGCCTTCAAGTCCAGGCTCTCACCTGAGAGCGAGGCCGGATCCACAGCCTCAGGGGCCGTGTTTCTGGGGACATCAGACTTGCCTTCGGAAGTTGGCCAGTACCCGGTGTCCACCCCAGCCCAGGCTCCCCGTGGCAGGAGCAGCTGGCACTGTGACCCTCGGGCACCCTGGGGCCCAGCCTCCTCCTCGGAGGGCCCACAGTGGGGAAGGGCCTGGTGTGTACTTGGTGGGGTCCCTGAGGGAGGCTGAGTGGGGCTCTTGACACACCAGTGTCCCTGGCCCAGCACTGCCGGCCGCAGCATCCCCTCAGCAGCAACCCCACCTGTGCAGGCTGGGGCCCCATCTCCACGTGGCCCCCCAGGTGCTCAGCCACCAGGTGGAAGGTGAGGCCCAGGGAACAAGCACCCAGGCCCAACCCCTCCACGTCTGCCTCTGGGCCGTGCCTGGGCCTCCACACGAGGCCGAGATGAAGAAGTGATGCTTGAGGGGCCCGGCACCCCCGAGGCTGCGAGGTTGTGGCTGGGGATAGACCCCAGGGTGCCCGCGCCTTCACCCCTCCACCGACAGGCGCCTCAGCAGCGGAGGCTGCCTAAGCCCACAGCCTCCCCCCAGGTGGGGGTGGCCCTGGTGGGCAGCCCCCTCCCCCACAGTACCCTGTGCGGCCGCCAAGATGTTGACACGGACGGCTCCAGCCGCCTTATTTATTATCTGATAACGCGCTCTTGGCCCCACTGCTGGACGGCGTCGGGCCACACTGGGGCCACAGGCCTGGGGGAGGAGGAAGACGGGGTGGGGGAGCCCAGCCCTGGCCACACCTCAGCCAGCCGGGCCTGCACGCTGCACTCTGGGCCGGGTGCACTGAGGGATCCCCACGCCCCCTCCTCCACACAGGCCTTCCTTCTCCGCAGCCCAGCAAGCTGGTGGGCCTAGAATGAGCCGCCTGGGGTCTCCCTAGGTGGGGAGGCCCCCGAGACCTGCTCTCCCTGATCCCGGTAAAACCCCAGCTGGGTCCCTCCTCTCAGCGCACCCAGCTCCAGCCACAGCCCATCCCCCACGCCCCTGCACTTGGCCCCGACTCGGATTTCCATGATGGGAATCTGGTTCCATTTCTCCTTTGCATCCAAGCCCTCACTCCCTCGCAGCCCAGGCTCTGCTGTGGCAACTCCGCACAGCTGGCCCGGCCCTGGCTGCCCCGTGGCCTCGGGACCCTGGTCCTGACACCTGCATCCACTCAGGTGTGGGGACAAGACCCATCACATCTCAGAGTCTCCACATGTGCTGTTTCCTCAGATCAATGGTCCTCCTTCCTCTATGTCCAGCCTGGGACATGGTGCTCAGGGGTCGAGGCCCTCTGATGCCACCACTCCCTCCTCCACAGCAGCAGGAGGGGTCACGGTACACAGAGCCGTCCTGCCTGGAGGTCAGGAGCCCAGGCCTCCAAGGAGGTCCCTGGCTGTGTGGACAACCTGCGTGGCGGTGTGTGCACCTGAGACCCGGATGTGCGTGTGCACCAGGTGTGGGGACATTGCGATGAGCGGCGTCGGGCCCTCCTTTCAGTGCCGCCCCAGGGGCCACCCCCCACCTCGGGCATGCCGCTGCCCAGTCTCCAACAGATGGAGCCATCGCCGGCCCCTGGGCTGCCCTGGGACAATGGCAACGGTCCAATTCGAAACAAGAGGGGCTGCCCAGGTGGCTCGAGGGCACGTGTGTCAAGGAGCCCTCACCCATCAGCGCCCTGGAAAGATGTAAGAATGCAGACATGCCACGGAAACGCGGGGTCTCAAGCCATATACGGGGTCTCATCCATCCCCTGTGTGGACAAATACTTAGTGTGTAATGATGTTTGATCTGGAGGGGAGTGCGTGATAATGATGGTTATCTCTCGACAATTATAGCTTATTCTAAGTTCTTTTTCCTGAACATTCTCCAGTGAATCAGCATTGATAACCCGGAGGAAAATGACAAAGGCAGCCTTCATGGGCTCCTGGGCCAGCCCTGCAGCCGCGCCATGTCCCCTCACCTGGGACACACCCCAAGGAGGATAGCAGGGAAGCTGAGGGAGGCAGGTGAGGAAGGTCTCCAGGCCTGTGTGAAGAGGGTCCCCGGGGCCTGTGTGAGGGGGGTCCCCGGGGCCTGTGTGTGGGGAGGGTCCCCGGGGCCTGTGTGTGGAGGCTCCCCGGAAGCAGGTGCTGAGAGGAGGGATGTTAGTGATTGGGTGGCTATGTGGAGGCTGCAGTGTGGGCTCCATCCGGGTGATGTTTCCAGCACCTGCCTGGCCCGCAGGGATTCCAGAAGCGCCGGCTCGTGCTGTCCTGCCACAGGTGGGGAGGCTGCTTCGCACCCGCCGCTCTGTGCTCCTGGGTACACTGTGGAGGGGCTCCAGGACCCCGCGGGGGGTCCTCTGCCAGTCCCGGGCTGTCTGCCCCCTCAGGGTGGGCACTGCTCCAAGTGGGAGACGGCTAGGAAGAGAATGTGCCGGGCAGTGGTCTCTGTCGTCTCCAGACTGCCCTGCTCCCATGGGAAGCCGGATCCTCACTCCCCACGACTGCAGTCAGGGTGTAGTAGGCGGTGCAGGCTCTGAGCCCACTCAGCCTCTCCGGGCCAGGGGAGGCTCAGCTGGACCCATCCTTGCCAGTCACCGACTCTCCCAGGACTGTGCAGGAGCTCGAGAGTAAGGGGTCTGCCGTGCTGCCAGGAGCCCAGGGAAGCCTGGCTGGGAAAGGTCTCTGGAGAGGCCCTTCCCAGGCAGCCACTCTGAGGCTGCTCCCAGCAGCCCGTCCAGGGGAACGGCAGCCCTGGCCGTAGCCCAGGTGGGAGCCGCCGCACAGGCTGCACACCCTTCTGAGAAGCCTGTGGACGCTGGCCGGGCCCGGTCTGCTGGATTCTGGGTCCCAGAAATGTGGAAACGACGTGAGGTTGTGGGGAGGAGGCCCCAGTGACCCAGCCCTTTGCTGGCTTCGAGGGCTTCCCCTTTGACCTCGGAACTCATCATTTCTAAATTGTAATGCTTGTGTATAAAACATGCCAGATTATTCGCTGCAAACACTGTGGAGGGTCCGCCACTTTGAGGCCTCGTTCTGCACCCCTTCATTTCGTAATCGGCAGGATCCTGCGACGTGCAGGGCCCTTGATCTTGACCTCCTAGAGACCCTGGTGACAGGGATGGGTCCAGTTGAGTCTGTGGCACGCCGTGTGCACGGGAGGGAGGGCAAGGCTGCCCCTCTGCAGGGAGCAAGGAATGGGGCCAGGATGGAGGACTCCCGAGGCAGAGACATGGAGACAGAGACAAAGACGGAGAGACAAAAAGGGAGAGAGACCAGTGAACCAGGCCCACCGACCCCGGTCTGGTAACCACGGCCTCCTGGGGATTGCATTCCCTCCAACCAGCCTCCTGCTGCACAAGGGCCCCGCAGGTCCCAGGGGGAACATTGACAAGCCTGTCCCTGTCGGCCCTGGAGGGTCAGGGAGGGGCAAGGAGGACCTGGGCCGAGCTGGGCAGCTGCTCAGCCAGAGCCGCCCCGCGGAGGCCGCCCCGCCAGCTCTCGAGCAACAATCCCAGGGCTGTGGAAGGCAGCAGGGCAGCTCTTCTGGGGGCTTTGAAGGAAACACAGAAAACCCTTCCCAGCAGCATGGTCAGGACCCCCAGCCCCACGCCAGGACCCCGTCAGATTCCTCCCATGGGCGTCTCCTAACAGCCTTTCCAAAGGGAGGTGCTGGGGGCAGATGGAGTCTGGGGAGGAGCCCCCACAGGGGCTGGGGGCCGCCACCAGGAGCCTCCGTGCCTCCCACTGGGCACTCTCCCCCAAGCAAAGCTCAGAGGTCAGCCAAAGGCACTGGCCAGCATGAGGCCGGGGCGATGGTCCTGCCAGCCTGAGATGGGGCACCAGCGTGAATTATCTGAGAGACTTTGGGGCCCTGAGCTTGGATGATTTGGGGGTGGCATCCCCTCCGAGGATGGGTGACAGTCGTCAGCCTCAATGTGGTGCCCTCTGGCCCATCTCCCCGCCTCAGGGAGAGCTGACAGGGTGCAGAGAAGGGGCCTGGGAGGCGGGGCAGCTTCAGGTATTCATCCGCCGTCACACAGGGTGTCACTTCCTTGGCTGGGCCAGGAAAGCCCATCCCGGCCTCGGCTGAAATAGGATCAGCCGAGATGAACGGCGCTGAGGGCCCGTCCCTTCGGTGACCCTGGCCCAGGCTCCAGAAGGATCTGGGGGAACGGTTGGTCCCTCCGTGAGCCTCCATGTCCAATGGCCTTTTCTGAGCCCTCAGCCTGAGCCCAGATCACCGCTTCCAGAAACAGTTAGGGAGAGCGCTAATGAGTTTTTCTGAAGATTTTAAACTAAACACAGAAAACCCTCAATACCTTGGCCTCCTTAAATCAACAGCACTTTCGAGCGGGTGCCTCTGCTGACAGATGGCTGCTCCGTGGCCCGGCTCTCCCCCAGGCCTCCTCCGAAGCTTCACCGGGATTTTCTAGTGAAAGATTTAAGGCCCTCCATCCCAGCCCGTTAACCTCCCTAACGAAAACACCAGGTCCGATGCTTCCTGCCCGCACCTCCCTTGCACGCAGACACTTGGGTTGAGTTGTGAGCAGCTCACAGCGCTGTGGGCCCGGACTCCGCAGAGAGCCTGGAAGTGTTCAGTCACTTTCAGATAAATCTCCCTTGTTTATTTTGTGGATGAGAGGGGAAATTAAACACTCAAATAAAGTTGTACATCCACGCACTGGAAGCCCAAGAGACACTTAGACCCCCCAGCTCTTGTGGGGGCCCAGAAGAATTCCCAGCTGAACCCCAGGGGCGGCCGTGAGGGAGGTTTGGTCACAGCTCAAGCCTTGCCCCCAAGCCCAAAACTCAGGGCCGGGTCGGAGGCCCTTGAGTCCAGGTCCAGGACAGAGTCTGGAGGTCCGCTGGCAGGCCAGGCACCTCGGATGTCTGGCAGAGTGCAGTCGGCTGGGAAATGGCTCGGGCCAGGGTTCAAGTCCCAGCTGCTGCTGAATGTGGAGGGCCCAGGGTAAGCTCTCTGTGCCCCAGCCTCCATGTCTGCAGAGCCAGCGAAGATTCCCAGCCATGTGCCCGCCTGACGGTCAGTGTTGGCCACTCGTCCAGTCCCTGAGACATCCTTGCTGCCTTTACTCCTGAATCCCCTTCCACGGGTGGGGCTGCCACTTGGCCTCAGCTCTGCTCAGCCCTCCTTCAGCCTGCCCCAGAGCAAGACCGGGGGTCCTGCCCTCTCCCCGCACTCTGTCTCCTTGCAGATGGATGAATGTGCCCACAAATGCCAGGACCGCTCCAGCTCTGCAGAGGAGCTGGGGGCACCCCGGGCCCATCCTCTGGGCCCAGACAGTGCACGCTGCCTCCTTGGTAGAGACGAGGTTAGAGGAACCTCGTAAGGATGGACAATAGGCTCTAAAAATACCCCAAAGGCAGGCAGGATTTGCCAGTAACATCTGTAAGTTCTGTCCGGCGGAAGTTATAAATACTAAATAATGTTAATTCAGAGCCATTTGTCATTTGGGGACAGCTGTGTCCTTTGTGGGGACAAGGGATGTTTTTCCAGATTTGTAATTTATTGCTCTTTACAGTTAAATCCAGCTACAGACCCAAAAAAAAGGAAAAATAAAAAAAGCAGGGTCTACCCCGGAACCACTGATGGCTAGTGCTCAGGGAAGGTCAGGAATCATTACAGGGCAGCCTCTGTCCTGGCCCCCAGGCCCACGGGAGGTCCCTGCCATCAGCCTCCACCTCGCTCCCCACTCAGGCAGCAGGACTTCTATGTGACCCCATAGGACCTTGGGGCTGTCCTTGGTGTCCCCAGGCAGCCAATGTCAGCCGCACCTGCCTCCAGAGAGGGTGACAGTTCCTTCACTTGACCCCACCCCCCTGCCCTGGGGTCTGCAAACCCGTCTGGGCAACCTTGGCGGTGTCCTTCTCTCCCCACCAATTCCACGCTGCCATCTGCCCACTCCCTTCCCACAAAGTCCCCAGGGCTCCTCAGGGCCTCCAAGACTCCCGCCCCAGTGGCCCTCGAGGCTCTGCCCACCTGCTTCACACAAAACCCCCGAGCTCACCCCCCACCTCCCCACCCTCACATGCCCAGGCCAGGGCTCCACACTTCTCCCACCTGGGCGCCCTCTGCCTGGCTGTGTCCCCCACCCCGTGGGTCCCATCATCCTTCCAGGCCAATGTGGGTCCGCGTGGCCCTCAGCGCCCCTCCCGGAGCTCAGCCACCCTCACGACTCCTTAGCTATTGGTGTCGCTGGCAGTTTGCAGTTGTCACTGAATCCCAGCCCCAGGAGGATGAGTCCCGTGCAGACCATGTTCATTACCACACGAAGGGGCCTGTACAGGGCCTGGCATACAGCAGGTGCTCCATAGAGCCCCATTGGGCAGTTGGGACCACACAGTCCCCACCGGGGGTCCCATTCGAGGGCTCCTGCAAGGGCCTCAGTGGCCAAGCCCCAGGGAAGGGCAGCCAGTCCGTGGGCCAGGGACCACATGGGGCTGCCGTGGGCTGGCCTGAGGGTGTGAGCACAGCCAGGCGGGTGACCAGTTATCCCCACTTAGCACAGGGCAGGTGAAATGTCACCGAGGCAGTGCAATAAAGGGCTCCCTGCTCCCTTAGACTTCCTCCGCAGCCCCAGCCACACCCAGATCTGCCCTGACTCCGACCCAACCCGGGGCCTTTCCAGCTCCCAGCACATCCCGCCCAGCCTGCCTCCCCGGCACCCTGACCCGTGCCTGGAAAATGGTCCCGTTTCCTCCCCAGGCGTTTGCATCACAGGGACCTACGGAGGAGCCCCGCCCGCCCGAGGCCCCAGAGGGTGATCTGGGTGGAGATCCAAAGAGGCTCCAGAGCCTGCACCATTCTGCTGGTAATTGCTGTGTGGCCTCAGGCAGGCCCTGAACCTCTCTGAACCTCAGTTTCCTGCTTTGAAAAGTGGAGGCAGTAAGAAGTCACCCCCAAAGGACAGCAGCATCCCTAGAATAACACGGACACCCACCTCCCAGGCACACAACCTGGGCACAGCGAAGGCTGAGGAGAAGGACTGAGGAGGGCTGGGGGCTTCCTAGAGCCAGGGGGGCCTGAGGCAAACCTGAGCCCGAGAGACACCTGGGCCTGCCATGCTGGGGTGTTGGGTGCTAGGACCACCCTGGCATTCTCACAGGGACAGCCTGAGGGCACGACTAAGGTGCAAATTAGTCTCCACCCTCTGCCCTCCTCAAGGTAGGCAGGCCGCTCTCCTCTGCCCTCCTCCGCTCTTTGTCTCTCCATGTATCTCTCTCTGTCTCTCTCTCTCTCCATCTCTTTCTCTCTCCCTCTCCCTCCCTCTCTCTTTCCCTCTCTCCTTCCCTCTCTGCTTCCTTCTCTCCCTCCCTCTTTCCTTCCCTCCCTCTCTCCTTCCCTTTCTCTTTCTCTCCCTCTCCCTCTCTCCCTCCTTCTCTCTCTCCTTCTCCCTCTCTTCCTCCCCCTTCTCCCTCTCTCTCCCCGCTCTCCTTCTCTCTTTCTTCCCCTCTCCCTCTCCCCACTCTCACCCTCCCTCTCTCCCCTCTCTCCCTCTCTCTCCCTCCCCCATCTCTCTCCCCCCCTTCTCCCTCCTCTCCCTCTTTCTCTTTCTCTCTCCCTCCCCCTTTCCCTCCCTCTCTCCCTCCCCCTCTCCCTCTCTCTTCCTCCCCTATCTCTCTCCCCCCTCTCTCCCTCTCCTTCTCCCTCCTCTCTCTCTTTCTCTCTCCCTCCCCCTTTCCCTCCTTCTCTCTCCCTCTCCCTCTCTCTTCTCCATCCCTCCCTCTCTCTCCCTCCTCTCCCCCTCTCTCTTCCTCTCCCTCTCTCTCCCTCCCCACTTTCCCTCTTCTTCCCCCTCCCTCTCTCTTTCCCTCTCTTTCCCTCTCCTCCTTCTCTCCCTTCCTGTCATCCTCCCTCCCTCTCTCCCTCCCCCCTCCCTGCCTCTCTGTCTCTCTCGCACTCCTTTTCCCTCCCTCTCTGTTTCCCTCCCTCTCTCCCTCTCTCTCCCTCTCTTCCTCTCTCCCTCTCTCCTTCTCTCTCTTCTCTCTCCTCTCTCTCCCCTCACAAAGGCCCACCCTCCCCAGATGCATGCGCTCATCCTTCAGGAGGCTGTGAGGCCCGGGCGCGGTGGGGGGCCTAGGACAGCCTGCACTGCCTCCACCTGCTCTGATCAGAATGTCACCACCCAGGCCCCCATGGCCCAGGTGAGACCCCTGATTCCACCGTGTGTTGGGGGATGATGCCAAGATGGCACCGGCCAAATAGGACCCCACAGGCCTGGGCCCCACCAGGCCTCCCCCAGGTGGAGGAGGGGCTGGGGTGGGGAGCAGGTGGGCCTGGGGTGCTGAAGAGCCACAGCTGAGGCTCGGAGCGGGACCCCGTCTGACCTGGGGGAAGGCATTGGCTTCAGCTCCCTTGGTGGCTGCTCTAGGTCAGCTGGGCTCAGGGCTGACCCGAGGGGTCTCCAGGTCCTTGCCAAGGCACTCTGTCCCCTTGACCCCCCACCACAGTGGTCATGGGGAGTCAGCTCCCCAGGGAGACAGGCTATTCTTATCTCCAGGACGTTGGTCTGACAGAGGTGAGAGGAGGGGAGGGAGGGTGAGCTAGGAGGTAGAGGGAGGCCTGGTGGGGAGGGAAGGGGTTCTGGGAGGGGACCTGGGGGAGGAAGGAAGAGGGCCTGGGAGGGATGAGGGGATCCTGGGAGGGAAAGGGAGGGGGTTCTGGGAGGGGTGGGGGGACCTGGAAGGGCAATAGAGGGGCTCCTGGGAGGAGGATGGAGGGGGGTCCTGGGACAAAGAGGGAGTACATGCTCACGGGCAGGGGCGTCCTGTTCCGCTGCAGGACTGTCCACCTGGTGCCTGCCTGGCCCTGCACGGCCACCCCTGCATACTGCTGCCCAGCACAAGGCGGGCTCACTCCGCCCTCCTGGGACATTGGAAGTGGGAGGGGCACATCACCTTGTGCACTTAGAGGCCGCCTGCCCCCTGGGCACAGTCCCCAGTGTCTCACCCAGAGTGAGGTTGGGGGCTGCCTGGGAAGCCATGGGGACTGCAGGGCCCAGACCACACAGTCCAGACCCTCCGCCGCAGGCCGCCCTCCGCTAGTGATGAGGGAGAAGCTACAGCCCAGCGCCCTGGGATGTCTGCCAGCCCAGAGAGTGGCTGCTCACAGTCAGGTCCACACCATCCAGCTCACAGCTCTCGCCCGCTGAGCGTCCTCCCTATGGCCTGAGGAACTACCCCAGGGGGCCACAGCCTTATCCTGAAGACCCTGCCAGCCCTGGCGGGACAAGCCGCCAGGCAGGATGGTGAAGAACAGCCACGTGGTCAGGAAAGAGTGGCCGGTCCCGGAGCCCCAGGCAGCGTGGCCGGGGTGAATGACCTTGGAGACTTCTGCCACGCACAGGGGCAGGGATCCTGGTACAAAGGTTCCAGAAACAAGAAGCAACCATAAACCAAAGGGCAGCTTCCATGGAAAAAAGAGTTGGTGCCACGGTCAGCCCCCAGCGGCAGGAGTGGGTATGGGAGCCGCTGGCCAGGATGGATGGGCAGCAGGTGGTGATGCGGGGCGTCTGCTCCAGCAAAGACCCTCCTGGGGGGGTCCTTTCCCTAATTCTCTCAGCAGAAGCTTCCTCAGTGGCCGCCAGAATTCACTGGGAGCTGGATGCGCCCCCGGAGCTCAGCGCCTCTCCGAGGACAGTCAAGAAACCGTGAAGGGCTCTGGGTGCCTCCCCAGACCCGGGGCCCAAGACTCTTCTGTCTTACTGGGGCTTCTGGAATATTAAGAACCGAAAAAGGTGAAAGTGGAGCTAACATGGTGTCAAGTGTAATGTATCTGAAATGTTTCACAAATTCATCCTTTACCCATCGTACACATGGCACTGAGTCGACCGGGTCCGCTCAGGGGATGGGGACACACAGGTAATAGGGACACAGTCCCACTGGGACCGTCTGTCGGGGGCTGATGCAGACGGTGGAGAAGCGCCCGCAATGCCATCCGCGATGGTGCTCAGGGCTGAGAAGGCTGGGGACGCTCATTCATTTGTGTGGGGTCGGGGCGGGGTGGAGGCCGCCAGATTCAAGGGGAGAGAGCAGAGAAACCCCCTGGGTGGGAGGAGGTCAAAGGACATGTGTGTTTTAAAGCTGCATGTAGCTCAAGGAGGGCCTGGGTGCCTCTGGGCTCGGAGTGGCCCAAGGATTCTGGGTGCCGGTGTCCTGAGCCAGGGTGAGGCTGGGGGTACGACCCAGCCAGGCCTCCCCCGGCACTGGGTCTCTGCCCACGGGAAAGGGTCCTAAGTGTTCCACCTCCTGCACACCTCCACGTGGCTCCTTCACCTACACAGCCCGGTCGGTGGCTCTGTGTGTGGCTCCGCCTGCTCACAGCTGTCCATTCCCAGGGAACACCTTCGGCCACAGGGGGCCGGGACCCACCTCGCCCAGAAATGCCTGCTTCTTTGGGTGGTGGTCAGCAGCAAGCACAGAGGCAGAGGGAGGTGAGTAGGGCAGGAGGATGAGTCCCAGAGAGGCCCCAGCCAGGAGCCAGCTGGCCAGTTTAGCGCAGCTCCAGAGAGGAGGTCATGGGCCCCCACCACCTCTGACCCCTCTGCCGCCCACGCTGAGCTGAGCGAATGGGGTGTGCTGAATGGAACCAGCGAGTGGACAAACGAATTAATCCCTGTGTGGATAAATGAATAGAGGGTGCAGGGAAGGACCCGCTCTGTCCCCACGTGTAGCCAGCAAGTGCCCACCGTCCAGAGCCCACCGTGTGCCTCGCCTGCTGCTGGGCAGTGTGAACACAGACCCCTGGGCCCCACCTGTGAGGCCACCACAGCCAATGGCTGCCAGAGGAGGGTGCAGGGACCCCCCTTCTGAGTGAGTGGGGCTGACTCTGGGGTGCGTTTCAGGTTCTGGGGCTGTGGCTGGGCTGTGGCTGAGAGCCCCTCCCAGCTCAGCTCCCCCAGTCCTGCGTCTCACCCCCACTTTCTCCTGGGAGTACCTCTCAGTGAGTCCCTTGTACAAAAGTCTCCATCTCAGACTCCGCTTCTCGGGAAACTGTGCGTCATAATAAAGCCTGGGGGAACCAGGGACGAGACATGTGTCCCCAGCACCAATTCAACCTGACCTGGGGCTCCCAGCCCCATTCTCAACCAGCTCCAAGTGCCGTGGGACTCGGAGCTCCCGCAGACAGGTCCAGAGCCCCGAGCTGCTCATCATGCTCACACACCCCTGGTGATGTGGGCGCACCTGTGTCTCCCAAAACTTCACGTTGAAGTCCTTTCCCCAGCACCCCAGGAAGTGGCCTTATTTGGAAATAGGGTCACTGGTAACGTAATTGGCTAAGATGAGGTCATGCTAGGTTGGGGTGAGCCCTTATCTAAGATGTCTGGGCCCTGAGAAAAGGGGAAATTGGGCACAGACGGGCACAGGGAGCAGGTGTGAGGTGAAGACAGAGACCATGATGCTTCCACAAGCAGAAGAGCAGCAGAAACTGCGGCACAGCCCCAGAAGCCGGAAGTGGGAAGCAGATCCCTCACCCCCTCTCAAGGAACCAGGCCGGCCGATGCCTCCATTACACGGACTTGTGAACTCTGGAACTGCAAGACAACGGATTTCCACTGTTTCGGCCACCTGGTCTGCGGCACTTTCCTATGACAGCCCACACCAGGCCACCGGCCTCTCCACCACCTTCGCACCCTCCCTCTGGTGTCATCTGCCCAGGAGAGAGGACTTAGCTTTTCTAATATCACCCAAGACCACAACCCATGCACCCCTATGGGCCTGGACCTTTCAAACAAAGGGCCTCTGACCTCACAGCCAGAGCTCTTCCACGCTGCTCGGCAGCCTGGTGAGATGGCCGGGCGGCGTCTTTGTCCCCAACACACAGATGAGAAAACTGAGGCCCAGAGACTTGAAGGCGGGGTTCTGTACCTGGGCCACAGTGGGTCAGAGACTGCCCCCCAGAAATCTGCCCATTGCAGGGTTGGGAGGGACAGAGCAGGCAGGACCGGCTGGGTGGGGCGAGCTGCTTAGGGTCCACCCTGCGGCTGGGCAAGGTGGGGCACTGACTTTCGTTGTAGCAGTGACTACCGTCCGAGATGTCATCCTCATTGGCCCGCTTGTCAGATGTCCGCCTCTGTCCAGGCCGGCGCTACCCTGTGTGTGACTTCAAACGTGCTAGTGGCCGTGCTAAGAAAAGGAAAAAGAAACAGATTATTTTAACGATGTACGCTAACCCAGCGCGTCGGAAATGTCATCAGCTCAGCCCGTTATCAGCATAACACGTGGCGAGTTGTTCTTCCGTTTGACCCAGGTATTCACAGTCCACGTGAGCTTTACGCCGGCCCCACAGCTCAGCAGGGACCAGCCAGCCTGACTTGGGGCCACTGAGCCGGAGGAGATGGCTCCACGGGACCCCGATTCCCCATTTCCAAGCCCACAGGCGAGGGCGCGCCAGGCTATAGAGGATTATTCGTAGTTGCTATACGAATGAACGACCACATGGACAAATGTGCGGTGACCCGGGCTGGGTTGAGGCCAGGGCTACATCTTCATGGGTGGGCGGGAGGCTGCGCATGGCTCCAAGGTATGGGTGGGAACAGAGAGCTGGGTGCAGGGGCAGGACGCTGCCCCTGGTGACCTCCCCAGGGGACAGGAGGAGGGGAGGGGAGGGTCTGGGACACCACACCTCAGTCTCCTCCATGAAACCGATAGGGAATGGGGACAGGGGCTTTGCTCCCCATCTCAACCCTGGCCAGCCACACCCCTGTGGCTGTCGTTCCAGCCCCACAGATGAAGGGCTGAGTCAGCATGCAGAGAAGCTGAGCCTTCCCCGTCAGAGCCCCCAGGCCCACAGGCAGACCCCGGCTCAGTGATAGATGGGGTGGGGTTTCCACGTAGTCTTCCAGCCAGCTCCCCAGAGCAGCTTGGCCACCCAGGCGGGGTGAGGGTCGTGCCGGTGTCTGCTGCCAGGCGGAGGCGTCTGCTGATGCCCCTGGTGAGGAAGGGGCCTGGTGGGAGCCAGCAGCAGGGAGTGGAGACTCAGGTTTTCCAGGGAGAACGCTGCGGCCAGGCCTGGGGGAGGCTGCTGATAAGAGGGGGCCCTGGTCCCTCCTGGGGCTGCTGCTTTGGGTGGTGGTTGGCAGCGAGCACAGAGAAGGAGGGACAGGAGGATGTGCCCTGGGAGGTCCCAGTCAGGAGCCATCTGGCCAGGTTTGTGTGGCTCTGGAGAGCAGGCCCCGGGCCCCCGCCCTGCCCTCACCACCTGTGCCCCTCTGCCGCCCCCACCCCGCCCTCACCACCTGTGCCCCTCTGCCGCCCCCACCCCGCCCTCGCCACCTGTGCCCCTCTGCCGCCCCCGCCCTGCCCTCAGCACCTGTGCCCCTCTGCCGCCCCCGCCCCGCCCTCGCCACCTGTGCCCCTCTGCCGCCCTGCCCTGCCCTCACCACCTGTGGCCCCCGGCCCCCGCCCTGCCCTCGCCACCTGTGCCCCTCTGCCGCCCACGCTGAGCTGAGCAAATGGCACATGCTGGGCAGAGGAGCCAGCGTGTGAACGAGCGAATGACCCGTGTGTGAATACATGATGGAGGGTGCCGAGGAGGACCCACTCTGTCCCCAAGTATAGCTGGCAAGTGCCCACAGTCCAGAGCCCACTGTGTGCCTCCCCTGCTGCTGGGCAGTGTGAACACAGACCCCCGGGCCCCACCCCACCTAGGGTCCTCCAAACACCAGGAGGTGAGACCTGGATGGGTGAGTGGCGTGCCTACATCTAACACCGTCCTCAGGGAAGGGCAGGTGCAGGCCGTTTGGAGCCCAGGCCAGGCCACGCTGGCTCAAGCAGCAGCTCTACGCAGCCTCGCTGTGTGGCCTTGAGCAGGCCACTACCTTCTCTGTGCCTCGTGTGGGTAAAACAGCCCTGGGAGTGTCCTGGGCAGCTCAGCGTAAGGCGTGAGTAGAAGAGGCGTGGAGCAGGATCCCACGGCCCTGCCTGTCACTGCGGAGAATGAAAGCCCCCCAAGCCCATCAGTCCGGGGGCTCCATGGCAGAGCCCCGTTTCTGGGTGATCTGCTGAGGAAACCTCCTGTCTCACTGCTCCATGGAGAAACCTGCTGCCAGGTGAGACCGGCACCCAACAGCGGACTCTCAGGCCAGAAGGACAGATGTCCTGCTGGGAACCTCAGCCACCTCGCGGTGAAGCTGGGGGCGCTGGGATGATGCCACAGCTCGAGGGCCCTCGCGGTGAGGCTGGGGGTGCTGGGATGATGCCGCGGCTCGAGGGCCCCCGCCGTTAGAATTCTGTTTAGAAGGAGAATGTGTTCCTGTATTACTCGTGTCATTAAAAATCAGTTTAGGAGCCCAGGCGCCGTGGCTCATGCCTGTAACCACAGCACTTTGGGAGGCCGAGGCAGACGGATTGCTTGAGCTCAGGAGTTCAAGAGCAGCCTGGGCAACGTGGCAGAACCCCATCTCTACAAAAAAATACAAAAGAATGATCTGGGCATGGTGGTGTGCACGTGTGGCCGCAGCTACAGCTGTAGACAGCAGGATGGGCACATGTGGCCCGGGATGAACCCAAGATTCCTTCCTCAGTGCCAGCAGCCACAGTTGCCAAGAGGCTGGAGAAGGGGCTACACTTAGTGGGACATTCTCTCTGAAACCCCCGAGGCATGCTGGGGATCACTTTTACAGCCATGAGTAATATCAAACTCTGAGTGACGGGTCTACTGATCAGCCCCAGCCCTACAGCCCCAGAAGCTGGCCAGGCTGCTCCCTTCCTCCACCCTCCTTCTCCTGCCCCAGGCATGGGGGACGAGGCCCAGCCTGGGGACTGGTGGCTGGCAGGTATGGGAGTGGCTTCTCCATCCACCTCTCCCATCCCCTGGGGCACCAAGCCCTTTGCACGGTTAGCTCCTGAATCCTCATCCCAACCCTGAGATGAAGGGGCTGGTTCATCCCCTTCCCCGCTGCACAGATGAGGCATCCCAGGACCACCCAGCTATGAGCAACGGTTTCATCACTGAGTGGGGCCACTCCAGTAGGGGCCTGCACAGGTGAAGCACTGCAAGAATAGGGACAAGCGAGCACTCGGGGTTCTGAGGGACGTGTAGGAGTTCACCAGATGGAAAAAGAATGCTGAGTCAAGATGGTGAGATTGGACATTGAGATCCATGCCCAGGCAGGGCTGAGCCCCCAGCCGCCCCAGCCTGAGACCTGTGGTCATGGGCCATTGCTCCTCACCTCCCTCATTGCTCCTCACCTCCCTCATTGCTCTTCCTTTTTAGCCTCCCTTCCTGGTCACCTACCAGCTGTGTTTTAATTCAACAAGGATGGTGTAAACACCTGCTGTACACCCGGCACCACCTCTGTTCATCCCTGGGCCCCAGCCCTGCCTTGAGTTGACCAGCAATATCCCACTCAGATTTCTCTACACTGTTCAAGAACTGGCCTCAATGTGGAATCCCAAAGGACTCCCAGCTTGCCCCAGCATGAGTCCCAGGGTCGGTTTGGAAGTCAGAGGAAGGGAAGATTGACAGGCATGTCTACATCCAGGTTTACCCTCATGTCCACAACACTACAAACAAATGAGAAGGAAAACATCAATGGTCTACAACATTTGCAACATATATGATAAAGTATTATTAGCCTTAAAATATAAAGAGCTCTTAGAAATCAATAAGAAAAAGATGAAAACCTCATCATGAAAAAAGACACCAGACAATGTGAAGGCAGTTCACCCAAAAAGAAATATAAGTGACTGATAAATATGACAAGTTGTCGGCTTCACAAGTAATCTAAGAAACCCAAATTAAGGGCCGGGTGCCATGGTTCACACCTGTAATCCCAATACTTTGGGGAGGCTGAGGTGGGCAGATCACCTGAGGTCAGGAGTTTGCGACCAGCCTGACCAACATGGAGAAACCCTGTCTCTACTAATAATATAAATTAGCCGGGCGTGGTGGTGCATGCCTGTAATCCCAGCTACTCGGGAGGCCGAGGCAGGAGAATCGCTTGAAACCGGGAGGCGGAGGTTGTGGTGAGCAGAGACTGCGCCACTGCACTCCAGCCTGGGCAACAAGAGCAAAACCCTGTCTCAAAAAAGAAAAGAAAAGAAACCCAAATTAAAGTAAGATATTGTTTTACCCAGCAACTGGCAAAGTTGAAAAAGATGTGATGCCCGCACTGGTGAGAATGTGTAGAAATAGATCATCTCGGGTCTGCTACGGGGGTCAAGGAGAGGACTCCCGCAGGGCAAATGTCGGTGTGTAGACAGCCTTAGAAATGGGCACAGCGTCACCAGGGAGTCAAGGTCTCATTTAAGAAGAAAGAAATGGATGTGGCATAGCCCCCACAGGTTCGACTTCTGGGGAGCATTCCCAAGACATAACCTCGGATGAGATGTGCCTAGAGATGTCCATACGAAGATGTTCATTCCGGGTTGTTTATGAGGCCCCCAGATAAAAGGGAAAACAGCCCAGTGCCCAACCAGAGCAGCTCATTGATCCCATGCGACTTTAGGCAGCTTTAAAAATGATAGCGTGAAATTCAAAAATGAGAGAATGCACCCATGAAATATTGTGAAAGTGAAGAAAGCAGTTTATGGAGAAGCTCAAGATGACCCCCCCATTTTTGTAAAAGGAGGAAAAAGAAAATAACTATAACCGTAACAATAGATAGATGATTGGCAGATAGACACATA
This sequence comes from Homo sapiens, assembly GCF_000001405.40. Classification (NCBI taxonomy): domain Eukaryota; kingdom Metazoa; phylum Chordata; class Mammalia; order Primates; family Hominidae; genus Homo; species Homo sapiens. The sequence goes on along the minus strand of NC_000020.11, from coordinate 62,442,893 downwards.
GATACATAGACAAATGTATACACATGGAAACATATAATGGAAATAGTAGTAGTATAACTGGGGGTGGCCGGCTGTGGGTGACTGTTTCTTCATTGGTGGTGTGTATTTATTTCCCAGGATTTAAAATCTTCCACGGTAGACATGTGGTTATTCCTGGGCAGTGTCCTTGTGTCCAAGCTGTTCTACTAGCCCCACTTTCCCCTCTGGCCCCCACAAATGCAGGAATCCGCAGGGCATGGGGGGCCCCAGCGTTACCAAGGTCCCACCAGCCCCACTACGACAGCACAGTGTGGACTTGGTGAGAGGCAGGGTCATCTCTGCTCCGGGCATCAGTTCCTCCACCTGCACGGCAAGCGCATTGGACCCCAGGGTCCAGGGACGTCTCTCTGCCACGGTGGGGCTTCCTAACCCACCTGGGGGCCTGCAGCACACCAGAGAGAACCTGAAAGTCTTGCTTCAACCCCAGCCAGCTGACCATGACCCTGACCAAGACCCTGACTGACCGTGACCCCAACCAACCCTGATCCTGGCTGGCCATGACCCTGACTATGACCTTGGCTGGTTGTGACCCCGACCGACCCTGACCCTGACTGACCATCACCCAGGGCTGACCATGAGCAGACTGGCCTGGACTCACCCCTGGCTCTCAGCCCCAGTGGCCGCATGCCCTGGAGCGAGTGATTCAGCGTCTCTGAGAATCCATGTGCTCGCCCTCAAAATGGGTTTACATCGGTGCCGGCCCCGAGGGGAGCTGCAGTGGCTCAGAGAGACGCATGTGGAGTCCTCACAGCCCGTCAGTGTTCAGGAGGCATCCTCTGTGGAGGAAGGAGGAAGGCCCAGGCTGGCCTGTAGGCTGCCTCACAGGCAGCTCTCCCTGCACCCAGTCCCCCAGGGTACGCCCCCTCCTCTCAGGGTCACAAGGCACCTGGCAGGGTTTTCTGTGTCTTCACCACCCTCGCCCTTGCCCTCGCTGGGAAGGCTCTACCTACCCCTGCCCCCAAGGAAGAAGAGGCATGCGCTGTCTTTTCCTAGGCCCAGCTAAGACCCAGCCAGGGTATGCAGGAGCAATGGCCTAGGGGAGTCTCCAGCAAGGGGGGGGTTGAGGAAGGGGATCCCCAAAGGTGTGAGAGGAAGAATAGCTGGAGGAGAGGAGGGGCCTGGGCTATATGCTGTGGATGGGGCAGCACACCAGGCTGGACGCTGGTGACCCTGGGAGCAGAGGGCAGGTCACTGGGCCCTTGTGTGGGGAGCAAGCTGGGAAGGAGCGCCAAACAGCCCTTCAGACACAGACTGCAGGAGCCTCCGAAGCCCCCGAAGCCTGCAGGACACCCCTAAGGCTGCCAGCCCCTCTACAGGGCAGAGCTGAGTGGAGCACCCAGAGTTGCCCCTTCAGCTCCAGACACCTGGGCCAGGCACCCTCCAGGGGTCCTAGGCGCATCCCAACAGAACAAGCACCCAGCAGATGCAAAGCCCGCTGTGCTGGGGCAAGCGCTCCGGCTCTGCCTGGGAACTCTGCTATGAGCCTAGGTTCTCCTGTGCCCTCTGAGCTGACCCCGACCTTGGCCAACATGGCGTGGAACTTTGCAAACCAGTCAGTGACACCCAGCCAAGCACAGACAGCAGGGCTCAGGTCAGGTAGGTGGGACCCTCTGCCTCTGCTCGCTGCAAACCATGAGGCCTCCCGCTGTGCCCCCAGCCCCACCCCAGATCCTCCACCTGGCGTCTCCCAGGGACTGGCTCTGCAGTGACACCCAGTATCTTTGGAGGAGCCTCAGTCTGGGCCCTTTCCCATCCTCCATGGCTTCCCTCCCAGAGAGCTACTTTTATAAAAATCATTTGCAAAATATTAAAAACACACACCAAAAAAACTCATCCTTAAAATTGCTTAAAGACACACAAGTCCCCCTTGTCCCCTAGAGGTAACCCCATTCCCTCCTCCTGGGCCCCGGCATCACCACAGGTGGGGGGCCAGCAACACCCGCATCATCCCCTTGACAGCATCTCCCTCTGGACTGAGATATGGAGCTGGAACGGGTGTCCTGAGCCAGAGGGATTACCTAAGACCTGGGTGGGTACCAAAGGAGTGGTCAATTCTGTAAAAAGAACATTCTGGGCCCTGGTGAGGAACCCAACCCTCAGGGTGACATGGACACCCCTCAGTCAGCAACCAGCCATTGCCTCAAGGCAGATCCTGTCCCCAACCAGGCAAAGTCCACACCCCTGGACACCCCATTTCCCAGCAGGAAAGCCAGGCTGTTCCAGAATGTGGCTGCTGCTCTAGGAGACGACCCCACAGGGCAGGCACTGAGCGCTCAGCCTCTGTTGACCGGGGAAACGCGTGGAACTAAAAAGCAATCACAACTCCAGGAACGTCACAATGAACGCACACTCATCCATCACAGTGGTGTCTACCCAGGTTGGGACCTCTGTCCTGCTGGGTCGGGTTCTCCAGAAGCAGAGCCTAAGACCAAGCATCTTAGAATGCACATTGAGGCTGCATTCAGGAGAAAGGTGAGGGAGGAAGGGCGGGGTAGGCAGGCAGGGCAGGGTAGGGAGGGCTGAGAAAGAATGGGGTCCTGGAGGCGTCCAGCCTCAGTCTGCTCCAGCGAGGAGCCCTGGAGCATGAATTGCACCACAGAGGTTCTCCCATTCAGAGGCAGGGGCCGAGTGTTACCCCAACACTGCTCAGCCATTGGTTATGGGCTGCCTTGGGGGCTGATGAGAAGACACAAACTCCCAGGCCCTTCCTGGTAAGGTGGCTCTGGTTTCCTAGAGCAATTCTCAGAAGTGACGGGTGGTGGCTGCTGGAGACACAGGTGTGAGCTGCTCAGGGCACAGGTGTGGGCTGCTCAGGGCACAGGTGTGGGCTGCTGGGGTGCACTTAGGGGTAGGCTGCTTGGAGTGCACACAGCTGTGGAGACATGCGTGCCTCAACCCAGTAACAGGGGTCCAAGGACCTGGGGGGAGCCTGACAGTGTCTGCACCCTCAGCCCCAGTAGCATGTGGCACTGCTGTGCAGGTGTTCCAGCTCACAGGTGTGGGGCCAGGGTTCTGGGTCCTCAAGCCAGGCCCTGCTGGTGGATACAGCTGCACACACCACTTAGCCATATTCTGGCTGAACACCTGCTTGGAGGCCACCCTGGGAAGAGCTGGTAGGAGGAGCAGGCAGGGCAAGTTGATGCAGAGCAGGAGCGGCATCCCACCCTGCAGGGAGGGAGAGAGAGAGCAGGTCAGGGTGAGCTGGGCCAACCCATAGCTTGGAAGTTATAGGCCTGGGAAGGTGGAGTGGCCCCCAGCAAGGAAAGGCCTGGAGAACAACTCATGAGCCAGACATGAGGAGCGAGAAGCCCAAAGCCCAGCCTCAGGGTGCCTGTGGGCTCAGCACTGAGCCTCAAAACAAGACTTGGGAAGCACCAGGCTGTGAGGTTCACCTGGAGTCCTGAGTCCTGGCTGGTGGACGCAGACAGCACACTGAAGGATTTCGCACTTCCTCATTCTCTCACGAATGTCTATAGAGTGCCTTTCTGGATGGTTTCAGGTTCCTAGGCCTCCATAAAATGAGCAGCTTACAACAGAAATTCATTCTCCCAGCTATGGAGGCCAGGACCCCAATATCAAGGTGTGGGCCAGGCCACGAATGCACCCCAATACAGGCTCCAGGGGTGTTGTGAGATGCTGGGATGCATGTTTAAGTGTGGGCTGCTGGGAGCACACGGTGCCCTGCTACAGACTCTTTTTGCTTCTGGCGAGCCTTGGGCGTCCTCACTCCGGGCTGCGCCTCCTCTCCAAGGCGCTCCCTGTGGGTCCGCAATCACGTGAGCTTCCTGTGAGGACGCCGCCATGTGGGTCAGACCTCCATGACTTCATCTCAACTTGACCACATCTCCAAAGCTCTTATGCCCACACGAGGTCACTGGGGATCAAGGGACCACTCCCAGGTTCCAGGGCTTAGAACTTCAGCATATCTTCCTGTGACACGAGTGACCTCCCTGCTATGTGCCTCTCAGACCCTCAGTATCTTCCTCTATAGAAGGATAAACCACCGTCTCCCTAGCGGTGAGCCTGGGGTAGGGAGGGAGTCACGCCGAAAGCTGAGTGTGCCGTTGTCAGCACAGCACAGGTAAACATCAGTGCTTCACCAACACCCTGTGCTCTGCGTGTCTTTCAGCATTGTGGCGCCAAGAGAGGGTAACAGGAGAGGCCGAGGAAGCGCCACCTCTCGAATCCACCCAGGCCAGGCTTTTCCTGTGGAATTACCCTCATTTTCCAATGGAATCTGGCCACACCCCCACCTGATCCCAGAAGGGTGGGGCCGGGCCCTCATGAGGACCCCCCAGAGCCTGGCGACAGCGGTGGCCTCTCTCTCTGCACAAGGGAACTGGGGCCTTTCCACCAAGACCCTGCTGTCCCCAGCCACGCTCTGCCAGCTCCCGGCAGCCCTCCTGCACCACTGCTGCCCCAGAAGTGCTGTCCGGTGTGGGGGTCCCCTGACCCAGTCACTCCGCACCACTGCCCCATGCTGACACCATGCACACTCCCTCTCCCATTTGCGTGTGTCCTCACAGGCCTCACACAGCCACCGCCCAACCCTGGCACACAACATCACGCGACACACAGGGAGGCCGAGAGCAGGCAGCGCAGGCCGGGCCGGCAGTGAGGACTCCATTCAGGTGTCTCCACACCCCGGTGGTGGTCACGGGCCATGCGCCCTGGAGCACCACGTCTTTGGAAGGATGGCACTCAGCTGCCAGCTCCCCGGCGCCAGCTGTAGCTCTGAGGCGGGCAGCTGGCCAGGGCCCGGCAGCTAGCAATGCTCACAAGCCCATATGGCCCCCGCCCAACACCCCTCACCCGTGAGTCCTGAGGCATCTCCCTGCCTGCCCGCTGAGCCCCGGGCAGTCGGTGGCTATGGGAAGGGGCGCTCGCCTCTGGACTCCACTGGCCCTTCCGCCCACAGCCCGAGCCCAGGGCTGCTCTCCGAAGGCCCTGCCGTCAGAGGGACAGGATGGGTCTCTTTCCCTTCCTCTTCTCTAAAGAAGAGACCTTTCTCCTGCCTTTCATCTTCCATAAAGCACTGTGGCTTCTGCTCCCTGTCGGCCAGGACATTGACAATTGTTTATTCATTTTAAAATAGCTGAAATTCATGTCAAACATTCCGCATGTTAGAAAAATGTTTATGAAGTGTTATCATCGTTTATGTAACTGTGCGTGTTGAGGAAAGCAACGTGGACTGTAACGGACCACACAGACCTCAGCGTCAGCCCAGGCAGTGTCGCCCAGAGCGCAGTGACCTGCCTGGTCCCCAGTAGCAGACGGCCGACCCCTGCTCCAGGGCCTTCCTCCCACGGCCTTGGGGAGGCCAGGGAACCATCCAGGCTACCTCAAGACCCCCAGTGCCCATAGTTGAGGTGGGGTCCCTGTCTACCCTGCGGGGGCACTATTGAAGTTTCAGAGGGGTCTCTCCCAGGATGTCCCCCCGAAGCCCCAGTCTTGGGGTGGAAATGCTGTCCTGGTTATCTTGCTTCTCCTCAAGGCTGAAGTGTCCACTAATAATTCCTCCAGCGCCTTTTTCTGGAGGTGGACCCCTGGCTTCCTCCCATCTCTAGACGGGGTGAGGCTCAGCAGGGTGTTCACGGCCACACTCGTGCTGCCCAAATCAACAACCAGCTGCCAGGCACAGCCCCCAGGGCCAACAGGACAGGCCTGGTCTCTGCCCTCCTGGGTCTCGCTTTTCAGGACAGAAAGGTATCAACTGCCACTTGCTGTCATTTCAAATGCATCACTCTGCATGAATGCTGAGGGCACATGCTGGCCAAGGGGAGCTGTTCCCGGCTCATGGGAAGGATAAAACCAGGGGAGAGGGGCAGCAGGAGCAGCTGTGCAAAGGCCCTGGGGAGAGGAAGGCACCAGCATGGCTGGAGCAGGGAGGAGAAGGGCAGGAATGGGCTGGAGGCAGGGGGGCCACTGAGGGCTTTAGGGGGCACTGGGGCATGGGGCTGTGGTGTGAAGTGAAGGCCTTTGCGGTCAGTCTGGGGCCTCAGGGGCCAGCACAGACCAGCTCTGTCTGAGAGGTGGGGTCACAGTCCAAAGGTCATGGGCAGGTTCTGACCCTGCCCTCCCCACTGTGCAGCCTGGACAGTTCACTTCACCTCTCTGAGCCTCCATTTTCTGATCTTTAAATTGCGACAAATACCAACAAGAAATACTAAAATTTAAAAGGCAGAAAATACCAAGTGTTGGAAAAGACGTGGAGGAACTGGAACGCTCCTGTGCCCTGGCAGGAATGAAAGGGCATGGCCACCGTGGGTAGCAGATGGGCAGTTTCCTGTAAAGTTACACAGATGCTTATCACAGGGCCTGGCCATCCGCGCCTGGGTTCCTGGAAAACCGGCACACGGATGTTTATCGCAGCTCCGTTCACAATCACCAAAAAGTGCAAATGACCCAGACGGCCATTGCAGGTGAATGGGTGAGCAGAGTGCCACCCACACAAGGCACATGTGCCACACACACAGGCCTCCAGTCCATTGTTCTGGCAGACATCAGAGCCACACAGAGCACCACTGCAGGGCAGGTGAGCCCCAGAATTGGGGCTTAGCCCACAGGGGTTCTTGGCTTCGCCCAGGAAAGAATTTAAGGGTGAGCCGGTGGCGTTAGCAGCTTTGATTGAAGCGGCCGTGCACAGCAGCAGCAGAGGGACCCCTCCTTGTGAGGTAGGACTCCCCCACAGGCAGCGAGCCCAGAGCAGCTGCTCAGAGGCAGTGCTGCACTCATATTCATACCTGCATTCTGAATTTTTAGAAAAAGAGTGGTACTTCCAAGTCATCACCATGGAAAGGGGGAGTAACTCCCAAGTGTCGCCGTGGCAATGGTAAACTGGCCTGGCACTGGTGGGTATCTTATGGAGAGATGCCTCTTCCCTGTCTCAGCCAGTCTTCAATCTGGTCCAGAGTTTCAGCCCTGTCTCTAGGGTCAAGTCCCACCTCCCGCCTCAGTGTGGTTCCATTTATACAAAATCCTATAAGAGAATTAATCTCCTGCAATAGAAAGCAGGGCATGGGGTGAAACTCACTAGGAAGAGGCATCCAGGAGCCCGTGGTGACCAGAACGTCCTACATTGTGATCTGGAGTCACACGACTGTCCGTATCTGTCAGAACTCATTGAACTGGACACTTGAGATGAAGCGTGTCCTTATATGAACTTGTGAATTCTTCAGCAAAATGTCCGTGACCAGGTAAATGCTCGATAGAGGTCATGATTCTTCAACAGGTGCTCCTCTGAGGGAGAGAAAACGTGTCTCAAATCCTGAGCAAAACACCTAAAAGAGCCGAAGGCAGGAGTGTGCCTGGACACCCACAGCAGCCTCTTCCCAGCCAAAAGTGGAGGCCACCCAGATGCCCATCAGCGGATGAGCAGATCACTGCAGTCCGTCCATGCAGCCCAGAACTTAACAGGAGCGAAGCACAGGTGCAAGCTACCATGGAGGTGAATCTCAAAAGCACAGTGCTCAGGAAAAGAAGCCACGCACAAGAGACTGCACGTGGCGTGGATACGGTGACACGAAACACCCAGCTGGCAAATCCGGGGACAGAAGCAGGGCAGTGTCGCCAGGGCTGAGGGAGGGATGGGGAGGACCTGCTAATGGGCACAGGGTCTCCTTTTGGGGGCAGGAAAATGTTTTGGAACTAGGTCAAGGTGCTGGCTCATGACAGAGTGAATGCGCTAAACACCCCTGAACTGACTCCCTTAAAATGAGTGATTTTATTTCATGGAAATCTCACCTTAGTAATAAGCATCTTAAACCCTGAGCAAAGCCTTGGCAGATCCTCACCCTGGGTGTGCCCGTGTCCCAGGGGTCCTCACGCAGGCACAATGGGGCAAGAGAGAGCTGCAAAGAGCCCTCAGGCCCCGAATTCCCCACTGACTCCAGCACAGAGCACAGCCGTGGGTAAGGGGCACAGCCAGCGAAGAAAAGGGATCAGTCCATCCCTCGCCCACAGGCGCATTCACCCAGGTCAATCCATCCCTCGTCCACAGACGCTCATCAGCGCCTGCTGCACGCAGATTCCAGGGTGGAAGGAGCTGGTCCCTGGGTCTGGGGGACTCGGCCCCACATGTGGTTGCATGGCTCAGGCCAGGACCTCGCCCCTGACACCCCAGGCATCCATGGTGCCATCCACGGTGCCATCCACGGTGCCTTCCACTGCCCCTTCACTTGCTCCTTTTCCAAGGGTCATTCAAGCCGATCTGTCACATAAAAATTTAAACCTGCACCAGAGGAAATTGTCATCCGACAAGGAGCATGTGGCAAGCCAGGAGGATTTCCTTCTGGAAAGGGCTTGGGTGAGACCGAGTCCTCTGGGTGTCCCCATCCACGCTCCCTGATCATGCCCCAAAACAGGAGGGCCTGGGCTTCCTGGAGGCCCTGTTCCTGCCATGTGTCCCACTGCCGAGCCATGCAACTGTTTGGACAACCCCAATGCCCTCGTCCTCTATCTCGGCTTTCCAAACCCTTCCCAAGGAGGAAGCTTCTAACTGAGCCGAAGGTTCACACAGAGGCTGCCAGAGCTGGCCAAGTTCATCAAAGCCAGGCGGCCCCTCCCCCGCCATGTCCCCATCCAGGACTCTGGCTCGGGCGGTGACGGATACTTCAGTCTCCCTTCCCACATCCTCATCATTTAACTTTCTTTTAGGCCATAAAATTCTGACTTTTAATATTTTCAACTCTAGTTTCTCATAAAACAACAATATTAGTATTTCTTTAAAGACACATAGACCATTAATGTATCTTTATGATGTGCGTGGGATCTGTGATGTATGGACCGTGCCTCCCCGACACCAGGCTCCTGGCCACAAGGCACAGGTTATGACATCTCGATCTGACACAGTCTCCGTGTGCTGCAGGACGACGCGGTTTTATTATCTGTGACGTGCCAGCAGACAGCCCAGCTCAGTCCGGGGATCGCTCCCATCACAGACACCTCCTTGTCCCTGCTCCGGCCTGCCCTCCAAAATCACGGATCAAGTTATCCCGACCGACAGAGATTTATGGTCCCATTTTACTCTCGTTAAATTCCCACAGCTCAAGGAAGCTGAGGCCACTCCGTGCAGACGCCCGGTCTGGGAGCGCTGCCACAACTGTTTCTAGCCAGGGAACAAAGTCAGCAGAGAGGAAGTCCAGAAGCACTGGCCAGGCTCGAGGTGGCCATCGCTGCCCCGTGGCAGCCCCTGCCAGCCTGAGCCATCATCCCTCCTCTGTCCGGCCCGTCTGCCAAGGCTGGCACTGCCCTGGAAAATGGTGACAAAATAAGAACCATCTCAGGAGTGTCGCTAGGACCCTCAGTGAGTGGCACAGCCCTGGGCCCTGGCACAGAACCCCTCTCATTTAACCCACACCCTCCAGGAGAGAGGCACCAAGGCAGCCCCACTGTCTCAAAAAGGAAGCTGAGGTCAGAGGTCAAAATGGCCCGGGGTACCCGCTGGTTCACCCCCAGGCACCTCTGCCCCCTCCCCGGAGCCTCCACCCCACACATCCCAGGCAAGAGCCCAACCAGGACTTGGCCTGGGAAGACCCCTCCCAGCCATCCCCCCAGTTCCACACACAGGGTCCCCATTCCACAGGTACCCTCATTTTCATAATATTTAACAAAGGTATAGGAACAAATAGTTTAGCCAGAGTAAAAGGCTTCTGTCGGCTCTTTAGGAAACACAGCCCTCCCCTAAACCACTCCCCAGTTCTCACCAAGCAGGGCCCATCCCGTCTCAGCCCAGAGGAACCTTTAGGCTTTGCCTCTTAGCACTTGAGTTTTCTGGGTAAGACACAACCCACCAGGGCCAGGCACGGTGGCTCACACCTGTAATCCCAGCACTTTGGGAGGCCGAGGCGGGAGGATCGCTTGAGCCCAGGAGTTCAAAATCAGCTTGGGCAGAAAAGAGAGACCCCCATCTCTACAAAACATTTTTAAAAATTTAGCCAAGCATGGTGGCGTGTACCTATGGTCCCAGCTACTCAGGAGGCTGAGGTAGGAAGATAACTTGAGCCCAGGGGTTCAAGGCTGCAGCAAGCTATGGTCTTACCACTGCACTTCAGCCTGAGCAACAGAGCAAGACCCTGCCTCAGAGAAAAAGAAAGGAAGAAATGTTTATGAAGTACCACCATATGCCAGGGGCCAAGACAGCAATGAACGGGCAAACACTTCCTGTCTCAAGAAGGTAGCACCCTGAAGACCCCTGAGCCAATACACAGTTTCTACCCAAGACTTGCATCTTACAGGCCTGTTGGGAAAAGGCCTGACCTACCTACAGTCATGGAGGGCTTCCCTGCAGAGGGGTGCTTGGATGCCCAAGAGCTGGCTGGGAGAGGGAGGGGAGCAGCCACAGGGGACTCCAGTCCGTTGGGGATCTGTGGGCCGGTCCAGGAGGGATCAGACCCTAAGGCTCTGAGGAGGCTGATGGCTGTCCTCACCTCGGTGGCAGATGAAGGTCTCAGGGAGGGGTCCACTCACCCCAGCCTGGGCCCCGTGTGCTGCTGTGTCCTATCTTTAGAGCAATCTGATGAGGCGGAGGCATAGGCAAACCCTTACAGGACAGAGGCCGGAGACGGGCACCATGCCCAGGTCTCCCTACCAGGCCCATTCTCCGGCCACACCTTGGGACCCTGGAGCCGATTCCACCCCACACTCTCACAGCCCCAAGAGTAAGGGACTCGCCTGCCTCACCCTAATCCTGTCTTTATATAAAACTTGGTTATTTGGTTCATTGTGAATTTTTCCCATTAATTTAGACTTCTTAAAAATACTACAGTGGCTGGGCGCGGTGGCTCACACCTGTAATCCCAACACTTTAGGAGGCCAAGGCAGGTAGATTACCTGAGGTCAGGAGTTCAAGACCAGCCTGACTAATATGGTGAAACGCCGTCTCTACTAAAAATACAAAAATTAGCTGGGCGTGGTAGCGCATGCCTATAGTCTTAGCTACTCCGGAGGCTGAGACAGGAGAATCACTTGAATCCTGGAGGCAGAGGTTGCAGTAAGCCGAGATCGTGCCACTGCACTCCAGCCTGGGCAACAAGAGCGAAACTCTGTCTCAAAAAAGTAAACGAAAGTTAAACTTAGGGTTACCATAAGCCCCATCAATTGCACTCCTAGATACACACCCAAGAGGACTGAGGACAAGTGTTCAACCAAAATCTCGCACACGCATGTTCACAGCAGGACTATTCACACCAGTGGAAATGTGAGACCACCAAGTGTCCGTCAGTTGATGACTGTGGTCCAGCCGTGCACTGGAATATTATTCAGCTTCAGCCAGGAACAGGAGCGAGACCCAGCTGAATCTTCGAAATATCGTGCTCAGAGAAACAGGCCAGACACGAAGAGCCAAATGCTGTTTGATTCTATTTTTATGAAATGTCCAGAATAAGCAAATCCATAGAGACAGTGACTGCTGCCAGGTACAAGGCTTTCTTGGAGGTGATGAAAATGTTTTGGAATCCGATCACGATGATGGCGGCACAAACTTGTGAATGTACGAATGACACGGAGCGGTTCACCTTAAGAGGGCTGACACTCAGGCAGGTGCTTACATAGAGAAGCATCCAGCAGGAAGCATGCTCACCCCAAGCAGCGGCTCACCTGGGGAGGGGATGAGACGCGACAATAAAAGGAGACTTTGGTCTTATTTGTCATGTTTAGTGCTTCGCAGGAGGGGGCAGGGGGCATCCTTGCAGTTCTTGTATTAGCAAAAAGTAATTTTTAAAAGAGGGTGCCTACGTTATCTTAAGTGAAACAACTCGGACAGAAAGACAAATACTGCAGGTTCTCACTCACAAGGCGAAGCTAAGTCACGTGTGCTCATGGAGCAGAGTGTGGACAGACGGACAACGGGGCCTCGCAGGGTGGAGGGAAGGGAGGATGGGTGGCTGCTCGGGGGTGCCGTGTGCATTGCACCCTCGACCGATGCACAGAAGGCCCTGACTTCACACAGTACAACGTCTCAATGCAGCATCATCGTACTTAAACCCCATGAAGCTATACAAATAAAAATCATGAGAACATAAAATAGGGTGACTAGCAGTGAGACCATGTGGAGGAAAGACGGGGGGCTTGATCCTTCCCCCCACCAAGAAAGCCTCCGCCCTCCCAAGTGCCCAGGCAGGGCCCACATCTGCACCCCTCCTGCCCAGTGCAGCCTGGCCCCATGGGCACACAGCACCCGCCATCAGGATGCCCCCCAGCCGGGCCAGCAAGGGCTTGTCTGCAGGGAGGGTGGGGATGGGCCCCGGTTGTCACAGAAGGCAGTCCCATTCCTGCAGGGCCGTGCTAATAGGTGACCCATTTATCTGGGGGCCAGGGCTGCAGGGCTGGCCTGACCTGGCCACTGCACTGGCCACCCCACCCTTTATCTATCGCTCCAGTAACACAAATACCAGGCAGCAGGGCCGGCTTTTAAAGGTGCGTTTTACAGCGAGATGCCTTTGAAGCTTATCTCCCACCCCTCCCAGCTCAGAGATAAAAGGCTGCCTCACCTCTGGGGTGGGGCATTGGGCCCCCATCTGGCCTAGGAAGCAGGTGTAGGGGGCCATGAAGAGCCCTCTTGGTCCCTCACCCCAGGCCCAGCAGCCCCAGCCCCTCAGGTGCAGGTGGGGGTGGCTGCCAGGGCTGGGAGGCCACACACACACTTGGGGCCTCATTCCTCAGCTGTATAATGGGGCGATGGAGCAGCCCCCACGCTGAAACCTGGCCACGGTTTGCCAGCAGCGTGTTGAGGCCTTGCTGCCTCATTCTGCAATGCTTCCTGCGAGCCCGGACGCCGGTGCCTGGGTGTCCATCACACCCCCCAGCTCCTGGCTGATCAGGATTCAACAGACATCGGCTGAATGAATGAACAGGTGAGTGGTACCAGGAGAGGAACCCCTTTCACCCTCATCAGCCCTGCAAGGGACAAGTAAACTGAGACTCAGACAGTGCCCTCTGTGTGCCCGATTCTCACAGCCAAAAGCCCCGTAAATGTGTGAGTCACGTTCTTGGCCATCCATGTGCCCAGAGCCTGGACAGGGCCTGGTGGGCAGCCAGGAAATGGGTCTTGGATGGTTGCATGAATGAACAAAGGGGCACACAAACCCACGGCTGCAGAAGGACGCCGACCTCCAGCGACATTCGACCTCCTCCTCCTCTCCCAGCCTTCCCTCCTTCTCTGCCCACAGTGCAGGTGCAGTGCCAGGGGGCCGACGATGTTGCCTGGAGTTCAGGGTAGGAGGCTGCTGGCCTGGGGTTGCCACCTTCTCCCTGGGGACCCAGCCACAGGCACAACCTGCACGGGCACCTCTGTCCTGTATCACCAAGGCCTGGACATGGCGGGGTGGGGTCCCTGGCCAATGAGCCAGGGCAGGCAGGCACGAAAACTGGCTCAGTCCAGGAGGTCGCTTGGCTTTGCTCAGGGAGGAACTCAAGGTCGAGCCGGTGGTGTTAGACAGCAGCTTTGATTGAAACAGCCATGCATGGCAGATGCAGAGGGACCCCTCCTTGTGAGGCAGGGCTCCCCACAGGCAGTGAGCCCAGAGCTCACATTCATACCTGGAGGCTGCAAGTTCAAAATCAAGGCACCAACTTGTTCCACGTCCGGAGAGGACTCACTTCCCGGTTCATAGACGGCACCATCTCGGGTCCTCACATGGTGGAAGGGGCAAGGGACCTCCCTGGAGCCGCTTGTAGAAGGACACTGATCCCCCAGCAGAGCTGCAGCCTCACGAACTTGCCATCTCCCAGAAGCCCCGCCTCCTAACATCATTGCCTGGGGCGTTAGGATTTCAACGAGAATCTGGGGTAGACACAAAAAACATCCAGACCACAGCACAAAGCAGCTACACATGTCCACGCACACATGTGCACACACACACGTGCAACACATGCACACACAGGCACACACATGTAAGACATGCACACACATTCGTATCCCCACACACACACACACACACACGTGCACACAGTCCCCACACAGGCACACACAAAACACACGCCAGCAGCAAGCAGACCCCACTCACAAAGGGCCCAGCCAGGAACAGGGAGGTGGCCGGAGGAGGGGCCTCCACGAAGTTCCCAGGCCAGCCAGAGCTGGAGTGGCCCATGCTGACCACAACCCCCTCCCAAGAGCCTGGTCCTGAGTGGGAGGGCATCGTGGGGCCAGAGATGACCCAGCCCTCATCCCAAACCCAGAGCTGGCCACCAGCCACCAGCAGGGGCCCTGCCAGGGAGCAGGAAGTCCGTCCTCCCCTCGCGGCAGCGGCTACAGGCCAGGCTCCCAGGCTTCCTCCTCTGAGCCCCGTGCATTCCTGGGGTACTCGGGTGCGCTGGGGATCATGGCCCCAAGGACTCGGGAACCCCCGCTCTGCTTCCGTGCAGAGCTAAGACAGGCTGAGGATGAGGCAGAGGCGGAGGTGGAGGCGGGGAGGAGGGAGTGGGGAGGGGTCGTGGGTAGGACACAGGGGGCAAGGCATGAGGGGGTCAGGGCTGTACCCCGCAGCCACAGTGTTGCTGTCCAGGGAACACACACGAGACCACAGTGTGAGGCTGCTCCAGCACCTGGGCCGTGCCACCCGGGGCCAGGCCAGCCCCCAGCCTATTTGCCCCCCTGGGCTCCACCTGGCCGGGGGCACCCAGCCTACCTGGAGACTGGAGAAGCCCACTCACAAGCACTCACAGACCCCGGGCAGACTGCGCAGACCAGAGGCCCAGCATGCGCCCAGTCCCCCTCAAGCAGAAGGCCTGCTTCCCCAGGCAGGGCGGGGCAGGCTGGGCGGGTCGCTTCCCATAGCAGCTGCTGGATTTCTGTCCACTGGGTTCTGGCAGGGACAGCTCTTGAGCTTATTATCCCCAATTTACAGACAGGGAAACCGAGGCCAGAAAGGGGACTGTCACCTACCTATGGTCAGCCCACGGTGAGCTGAGCTGTGAACAGCAGGAAGGACCACTCTGTGTCAGAGGCCCTACCACCTGTCCCGAGGTGGCGAGACAGCACATTTGCTCACTCCCACCTGCAGCCCCCGACCCAGGCACCCCTGCAAGCCCCCCACCCTTCCCCGCCCGGGCCCTCCGTGTCACAGGCACCAAACTGGATTCTCAGTGCTAACCAGCTTGGCTCCTGCAGCCCAGCCTCACAGTGATTATGAGGAAACAATCCCAACTCTATGTGGCTTCAGACCCAACCTGTCCGGCCACTTTCTGCGAGATGGCAGAACCCGCCTGGCGGCTCAGGGCAGTCTCTGCCTCCTTTCTGCTCCTGGCTGGGAGAATCGAAAACCTGTCAAGCGGGTTTGGCCAAAATCCTGTCTTGTTGCCTGTGCAGGTTCACAGCCCGCTCACTTCTCTCTCCCTGTGAAGAGCGTGGGGGACTCCGCGCAGAGGTCGACAGAGGTTGAGGCAGGGCCAGGAGCCATGTGAGTACCCGGGACCCCGGGGCCAGGCCACCCAAGTAGCCGGGTGAGCTGGGATCCCTGGCTGGGGTGCTCACCAGGGAGGCTGGAGGCCCAGCTTGGACTCCTGCGAGGAGAGCCGCGGGGGTGGGTGGGACTGGACGTCTTCCCTAAGGGGTGGCACAAGGCTGCTCCTGGTCCAGGGACCTAGCAACGGAGAGAGCTCAGTGGGCGTTCCTGGCAGGAGCTGGGTGCAAAGAGGCCAGGCCTAGTCTGGCACCAGGGCCCAGGAAGTGTCCATGGTCTGCTGAGGGGCTTGGGGCATCAGGGACAGGCTGGTGGCCTCGCCCTCCACCCTGGGCCTGTCCCGCCCCACCATCCAGGTTCACAAGAGGATAAGCGGGCGCAGCCACAGGGGTGAGGGTGGTGCAGGGGTGCAGCACCCGCAGCTGGGCACTGAGCAGGGGACTCCTCTGCCGCTGTGTCTGTGGGGAAGCAGCCACAAAGGCGGGCCTTGCTCAACCCCCTCCCCCACGGGCCAGGCCTCAGGGAGCCAGCCGGCAGGGCAGGAGAGCAGCCCGGCCCACCTCCACCTCCGGGAGGGAGTCAGGTTGCAGGGCTGCTGTGCCTGAGCTGCAGGGACACCTCGGCTGGCTCCTCTGTTTATGTGTACACACGAGTGCACGGGCGCACGCGCGTGTGGGGTACACGAGTGCATGTGCACACACAACATGCGTGTGCAGCTGTCCCGGGGGCCCTGCGGCGGTGTGTGCACAGGAGCCTGGGTCAGGGCTCACCACCAACATCTGTTCTACAGTCACAGAAACTGAGGCACGGCCAGACAAGCGACCTGGCCGAAGTCTCCATGGGAGAGGCTTTGCCCATTACCACAGAGGGTGGGAGGAGACTCTGAGGCCATGTCCAGGTCCAAATCTTGCTCCACCTGCTCATCTCTGATCTGCTTCAAGCCTCAGTGTCCAAACCTGTAGAATGAGACAATCAGCACTTCCTCCAAGGCCAGGTGGGCCCCGGCCACATGCATGTGCCCAACCTAGCTATGCAGTGGGTGTTCCACAGGGGCAGCCAGGAGGTGGACAGGGGCAGGGGAATCCCTTGGGGAGAAGCGGGTCAAGGTGCAGAGGGCACCACTCTGAGCTTGGCTTCCTCAGCAAAGCTGCAGGATGGTTTCAGTGCCCATGCAAGTGGGAAAAAGCCTGGTGTGGTGCTTGACACAGAACAGTATGTGATCAACAGCAGCCACTGCCACTGCCACTGCTAATGCCACTGCCACTGCCGCTGCCGCTGCTTCCACTGCCACTGTCACCACTGCCACTGCTACTGCTACCACTGCCACTGCCACTGCTAATGCCACTGCCACTGCCGCTGCCGCTGCTACTTCCACTGCCACTGTCACCACTGCCACTGCTACTGCTACCACTGCCACTGCCACTGCTAATGCCACTGCCGCTGCCACTGCCACTGCCACTCCCACTGCCACTGCTACTGCCACTGCCACTGCTATGCCACTCCCACTGCCACTGCTACTGCTACTGTCACTGCCACTGCTATGCCACTGCCACTGCTATGCCACTGCCACTGCCACTGCTACTGCTGTGGCCATCACCGTTGCTCCTGGATAGGTGGGCAGTCAGTCAGATGGACATACAGACAGCCCAGGCCTCAGAGACGGAGGGTACCAGTGTCCAGCTCCGCACTCCTGCCCCAAAGAGCCTGCTGGGGGTCGGTGGCTGGGGTGGAGAGCAGCCGGCCTGGCAGACGTCCTTGGAGCACTGGTGCCCAGGCGGCTTCTCTGGTTGAGTGCCCTCGGAGAGGCGGGGAGCCCAGTGATGCCCCGGATGCCTCCTGCTCAGACAGCAGAGGAGCTCAGGGGGCCCGGCCTCCCAGAGGACAGGGTAAGAACAGGCATCACTGTGGGTTTTGGCACTCGGCCGGACAATGTCCAGTCCTGCCAGGGCCACAGCTGGGCCTGTGATTCCCTGGCCTGTGTGTGGGAGGCAGGTGGCATCTCCCCTGGGTGTAGCCACAGAGATGCCGTGAGCCCATTGGAGTCCGTAGTGAGCAGCCGTCCAAGGATGAGTGTCATCACCGTCAGAAGCCGGACCTCTGCCCTGAGCGTGGGGAGGGCTGCGTCCTCCTGCACAAGGCCTTTGTGGCAATGAGACTTGACCTTGTCCAAGCACAGAGGGTCCTGCCGTCAGCACTGCTGGACACCTGGGGTCCCACATGAGGGAGGCGCAGGTCATGAGGGAGGCGCAGGTGAATCGGGGTCTCCCTCGGCTGCTCACTGAGCGCTCCTGTCTACGGAGCTCCTGGCCACACAGGCATTACCTGTGAGGAGCTTCTAAGCAGCCTGATACAGGGGCAGGGGTGCTGTCACCCCCAGGTGAGGAAACAGGCTCAGAGAGGAAAAGCAACTTGCCCAAGGCCGCATAGAGAGCAGAGATGGGTCCGAGAGCCCCACCAGGGCTGCTGACTGGGAAGCCCACACCTTTACCCTCCGCCCAGACTGACTCTCCAGCCAGCACCCTTCAGGAATGCGACCCCTGCCCCGCCCCAGCCAGCTCAGCGGGTGGGGGGGGTGCACCCTCTCTGCTGGGGCTCTGAGAATGCGTGAGGTAGGATTAACAACAGCAAACCTCTGCCCCCTCTGAGTGGCCACTCCAGAGTGCCCTGGGAGAGTGGGTGGAGACCCTAGGAGGGCAGGTGCAGGCTCTGGGGGGCCTTTAGAGGGAGGTGGGAGTCCTGAGGGACAGGCAGGGCCCACAGTGCATGTCCATTCCCTGGATGAGGACATGAGGTGGAAGGTGGTCTGCCAGCCTCAGGCTCCCCATGGAGGGCTCTCCTGGGCCCTGTCCGGGGGATAAGAGGCACCCGTTTACTGGATGGGCTCTGTTCCGTTCTGGTGAGAGCAGCACGTCGCCCCTTGGTTTTAAGGAGCAGTCCCCCGAAGGCAAAGGTGCTGGCACCAGTAGCACCTCACTGCAGGAGGCGGAGCTGCCGGCCTGGGTTAGCTGAAGCCCAGCCCGGCTCTCACTAGCTTTGACCGTGGGCAAGACGCCACCTCTGGGTCGTGTTCTCAGTGGCAAAATGGAGCAGAGGGCAAGGCATGGTGGGGTGAGAGTGGTGTCGAGGGGGACAGACATGCGCCCCTCACACCTGCCCCCCCCACGGCCCAGCTGCAAGCAGCAGGTGGGACAGCGGCTCACTAGCCTGCCCTCCCCTTCCCCCACTCCTTCCAGGGGGCTCAGCACCCACAGAGACCCTCCAGCCTGGACTCCCGAGTGGGAGGGTCTGGGAGTGGGAGGAGTGGCTGAGGGTGACCCTGGACCAGAGCTCAGCTCTCTCACCCCAGCCCTGTGAAGCCCCCCATGAGCCTCAGCCCAGCCCCTCCCCGCCCCGGTAGGCTTGCTCCCCCATCACAGCCCCACTGCAGCCCCCACCCAGGCCTGGAGGAGACCCTCCTTCCGAGTTCCCCCAGCCCCAGCACCCCTAGCTGCCCTTGGCAAGCCCAACAAACCCAGAGAAGGCTGACTCGGGAAGAAAAAGCCAGCCCCACTGACCCCGCTGCTGACCCCTGGCTCAAGGCTGCGGGTGCGGGTCTGGGTGAATTTCTACAATCCTGGTTCATTTCTTCTCCCCAAAAGCACCAAGGCTTGCAACTTCCCTCCACCTCCCATCCCTTCCCCGGAGCTCTCCAGCACTCTAGGAGTGCTGCAGGTGGTTTCGGGCACAGAAAGGATCCTGTGAGTGGGAGGCACAGCAGAGGCTCCGTCCCAGCCTCTGCACCACAGTGACTTCACTGGGAAGGAAGCCCACCTCTCGTGTGGACCCCAGAGACCTCTCCCAGGCCCGCAGGCACCATGGGCTCCCTTGGGCGGCTCCTTTATGGGCGTCGGCCCAGCCCACATGGCAGATGCTGGGGGCCAGGGAAGAGTGGCCTGTTGGGCGGGTCTGGGGGGAGTTTCAGGAGCTGCAGCTCCGCCCCCTCCTGGCCCTCCTCAGCTGCTTGAGCCCAGGGAGGCCCCGGCTCTGACATCTTCCTCCCAGGGGCCCCCTTGGCCAGGAAAAGCCAGTGCAGCTGGGTGCACCAGAGCCATGGGGAGGACGCCCCAGTCCACACAGGCAGAGCATGCAGACCCACAGCCCCAGGAGCTGGGCACAACCCAGATCCCACTTCCCACTGGGTGACTGAGACGGGAGGCTTGATCTGTTTGAGCCTCAGTTTCCCCATCTGGAGCGAGGTCTTCGTGGTGTGGTCAAGATTCCGTGGGCTGTCAGGAAGGTCTCAGTGTGTACGGAGTTCGGGAAACAGGGTCAGAACCACTGATGCTGGCCACGTGACCTGCTTCCGGCAGGCTCCATGCTGTCCCCACCTCTGGAGCTCAGCGTCCTGTTGGTCCCCTTCACCAGCAAAGACATCCCTCCCAGCCTCCCACCAGGAAAGCCCCAAGTCTCCCTAGTCCCAGGATCCCTCACCCACCCAACACAGAGCCGCCAACTGTCACCCCCACTCCCTCCGAGGGTGGCTGGAGGCCCCAAAGCCCAGGCGGGTCTGTGGACTGAGCCTCTGCAGCCCAGCATCCTGGTGCTCCGCCCTCCATGCAGCCCCACTAGCCCTGTCAGGGGCCCCTGGGGACGCTGCAGCCACCCCCGAACACAGGCCACACTCTGTCCCACACCCCTTGCTGCCCCACCAGGCTCGGCACTAATGCTTGATCACAGGTGCAAGGGCTCGGCAAGAGTTAGGACACCCTCCTTCCAAGTGGCTCCAGTCACCATCCCCACCCCGGTCCCCATCCCCACCCCGGTCCCCATCCCCACCCCGGGCCCCATCCCCACTCCGGGCCCCATCCCCACCCCAGTCCCCGTCCCCACCCCAGTCGCCATCCCCACCCCAGTCCCCGTCCCCACCCCAGGCCCCATGGCCTCTCTCGGGGTCCCAAGGCCTCTCTCGGGGTCCAAGGCCTGCCACCCTCAGTTAGAGGCACCCCAGCCCCACCCCCAAAGACGCCCACCACCTGACTTCCAGGGCCCCAGGGCAAGTGCCTCTTTCTGTGTTCAATGCACCCTCAAGCCTGGCTTGGGTGGTTTGGCCACGCTGGGATGGGCATGGGGCTGGGCGGCCACCATATTCCACCCGTCATGGGATGGGGTTAGGCGGTCCTGTTCGGGACGGTTCTGTAGAATGATGTTGCACACAGGACCCTCACGTGGGCGTCTCCAGGCTGACCTTTGAGAACCCAGATGCAGCCATGGCTGTTCCGCTCTGTGATCCACTTGGGCTGGGCTGGCCGTGGCGAGGCCTTGGGCATGGCCTCCAGCTGCGAGCCCGAAGTTGGATTTTGAGCAGAGCGGTGCACATCTGAGCAGAGACCAGAGCTTCCCAGGGATGGCCACCATGGAGAGTGGTCCTGGAAGAGATGGGGGGAGGCAGGGGGTTCAGGGAAGGTTGAGCAGGAGGCCAGGCAGGGAGGAGGCCGACACAGTTGTTCAGGTGACGCACCAGTGGTTCCACAGTAGGTTGGGTATGCACACACACAGCACACACACATGCACACTGGCTTGGGCACGCACACACAGAGCAAAAACAGATGCACACACATGGCACACACACATGCACACTGGCTCGGGTGTGCACACACAGCAAACACACATGCACACTGGCTCAGGCATGCACACACATGGCACACACCCGCACACTAGCTCGGGTATGCACACACATGGCACACACACATGCACACTGCCTATCATGCACACATGCCACACACATGCACACTGGCTTGAGCATGCACACACAGCACATACACATGCACACTGGCTCTGGCACACACACATGCACACTGCCTATCATGCACACATGCCACACACATGCACACTGGCTCAGGCGTGCACACACATGGCATACACACATGCACACTGACTTGGGTGTGCACACACATGCACACTGGCTATCACACACACACAGCACACACATGCACACTGACTTGGGCATGCACACACACGGCACACACACATGCACACTGGCAATCACGCATACACGGCACACACACGCACACTCACGCACACTGACTTGGGTGTGCACACACATGGCACACACACATGCACACTGGCTCAGGTGTGCACACACATGGGACACACACTGGCTCGGGCGTGCACACACATGGCACACACACACGCACACTGGCTATCATGCACACACACGGCACACACATGCACACTGGCTCGGGCGTGCACACACACGGCAAACACACACACTCCCCCACCCGACCGCGTGAAGCACAAGCCACCCGGTGAAGAAGTCTGAACTGCAGCGGTTTGTGTGCCACAAACACTGGCTTGCAGAGGCCCAGCCACTTGACCGGTATCCCAACCTCCCAGGCCTGGAGGCCAATCTGTGGGAGGAGGGGGAAGGGTCAGGGGAGGACAGACAGACAGTCACAGCGCCCCCAGGCTCACTCCGCCCAGCCCTGCCTGGGAGCTCTCCAGGCCACTGGGAATTTGGAAAGGTCTGGGAGGGTTTGACGATGAGTGCTCCAGCCCAGGTCCCCAGGCCCAGCCTGCAAAGGCCCCACGGCCCCTTAATTCTGGCCTTAGTCCGTGAGACCACAAGATACCCACTGCCTACCAAGGACCTCCTGAGACCTGTGGGTAGGGGAGGCAGGCAGGGAGGGAGGGGGCCTGTGACCTCTTCAGAGTGGCTCCTACCTCTTCCTGGAACCTTCCAGCATCTGCGTGTGGGAGCCGCTTCCGGGCAGAGGGGGCTGCTGTGGCTGTGTGTGTTTCCGTGTACCTGCAACTGCATGTGTAGCTGTGTCTCTATGTCTGCACAGCTTTGTTGTCAGCATGTGTCTGCGTATACCCATGTCTATGTGTCTCTGTGTGTTGTGTGTGGGCATCCCTGTCTGTGTACATATGTGTTGTATGTGTGTAACTCTGGGTGTGTGCCTGTGTGTTGTGTGTATACATGCTGTGTGGTGTGTCTGTCTTTGTGCATGTGTGTTATGTGTGTACATGCTCTGTGTGTGTCTTTTGCATATATGTGCATGTGTGTTGTGTGCACATGCTATCTGTGTGTGTGTGTGTGTGTGTGTGTGTGTGTGTGTGTGTGTGTGCCTGTGGGACAGGATTGAAGCTGCCACGGCATTGGAGGGGGACAGAGATCCCAGGAGGGAACTGAGTACAGGGCTCTGGTGAGAGGGAAGGAGGTGCTGTGACAGTGGTGTTGGGGCCGGGGTGTGGACAGTGGCATGGTAGGGTCTGTGGGGCTCTTACTGGTGAGGTCTGACTCCCAGCTTCACAGCTGGGCAGGTGCCACCAGCACCATCCAGCTCTTGCCAGGCTTCCCTGTCCCTCCATTGAGGTGCCAGGGGAAGGGCTTATGTGGGGACAGGCCAGGCACTGATGGGCTGGATACCTGGGGAGAACGGGGTGGCTCAGAGGTGCCGGCACTCACCCCAGATGCTCCCTGGCCCCTCCAGCCCCTCCCGCACGGCAGCCAGCACCCTGCCCTCTGGCCCCCGGCCACATACGTGTGGGAGGAAGCCACACAATGTACTATCTCTGTGCCTGCCCGTGGGGTTCGGGAGCCTCCAGGCCACCTCCCATGAGTAGCCCCTACAGCATGGCATGGGGTCTGCTCCATACAGACACAAGGAGCCCCAATCCTCTCCTGGACTCCACAGCCCACAAGCCCTTCCTGAGCGGATCCCTGTCCCCTCTTCCTCCTCTTCAGGATGGACACAGAGGGGCAGTAGAGGCTGCAGGCGTCTCCACAACCCCAGCGCAGAGGGGCCCGGGCCAGGGCCACAGGGAGCCATGGAGAGCTTCATGGAGTCGCTGAACAGGCTGAAGGAGATCCACGAGAAGGAAGTCCTGGGTGAGGGGCCAGGGACAGATGCCAGGCTAGGGAGGGGTCTCCACAGCCCTCACCTAAGGGTCGGAGCAGGCCACTGTGCACCCATGATCACCTCCAATTCCCACCAAGTCAGGGAATGGACCCCGTCTTTTTGGCCCAGGCAGGGGAGTCCTGACCCAAGGCCCAGAGCTACAACGTGGCAGACACCCTGCCTGGGCCCGAGTGCTGACCTCAAGCGGGGATGTCCTCGAGCCACTCCCAGAGTGTGACCCCGAGGGGGAGGGGCACTTTCAAGGGTTGCCACCAACACCTCATGGCCACCTGCCACCCGCAGGCCCCATGCTGCCCATGCTTTGTTCTCCCGTGGGCCGGCCTCCAGCGTGGCAGAAAGAAGTACCCACCCTGGCCGGCCTGCTGAGCTCACCAGGGCAGAGACAGCCACTTCCAGAAACAGGAGCTTATGGCTCTCTGGACCCATCCAGAACATGTCAAGGCACTGAGCTGCAACTCTTCTCTTCCTTCTAGGACACGCCCCAGGCCCCACCCCTGTCCACTTCCCCCACGAGGGACAGGGCCGCAGCCCCCACACCACCCCCAGTCCAGTCCCAGGGCCAGCACCTCCCCGTGGTCTTTCCACTGAGCACCCACACCCACCTGGAGGTCCAAGGACCCGGCTGCCTCCTAGGCAACCCAGAGAGGTGGGGCTGCTGGGGCTAGCCAGGCCCAGGTTGGATCCCCAAGATACGGCAAGGAGAGGGTCTGGTGGGGTCCGCCCCAGAAGCTTATCTTATTTCAACACTAGCTATGACACACACACACACACAAAATGGCCCCTCGGTCCCTCTACCTTTCACAGGTGGCTGGTCACTTGTGGCACCAGGGTCCCTGCTCACCCCCAGACACCCCCAGACAGATGCCGGAGGCAGAGACCCCAGGGGAAGCAACAGATGCTAGGCCGAGACCACCGAGCCTCAGGCAGCCCCGTGCCTGGGCACAGACAGGGGCTCACCTGGCAGGGCTCCCCCAGGGGGTGCAGGGGACAGGAGTGCCACATTGCAGCTCTGCCCAGACCCCGTGGTGGGGACACTGAAGGTGAAGCAGCAGCTGGGCCTGACCCCCCGCCCCTCTGCTTGCTCCCCCAGGCCTGCAGAACAAGCTTCTGGAACTGAACTCAGAGAGGTGCCGGTGAGTCAGGCCAAGCAGGGCCCCTCCTCACAGGGACCACACTGGCCACTTCATCCCCCTGAAGCCCCAGTGTGCCAGCACTACCACCGTCCTATGGTGCAGAAGGGAAACTGAGGCTCAGTGTGGGGGCGGGGGGAGTCACTTGTCCAAGGTCACACGGTGAGCAGGCAGCGAAGCCAGCACTTGAACCCAGTTGCGTCGGCCTCCCAGGGGCGGGGCAAGCCCCCTACTCGGGGCTTCTCCCACCCCAGGATCATGATCAGAATATCAACAATACGTTCACGGTGAGCTGGGGTCATGTCTGGTCAGACACTGGCGGGCGGGCAGGCTCCCTGCGTTCTGGCTTATAGACCCGGCTATGGTCCTGCCTGTGCTGTGGCACTAAAGTGGTGCGTGGACAGGACAGACGTCACAGAGGAGCGTGCAGATGACAGGGGGGGCGGTGTGTGGACAGGACAGACGTCACAGAGGAGCGTGCAGATGACTGGGGGGGCGTTGCGTGGACAGGACAGACGTCACAGAGGAGCGTGCAGATGACTGGGGGGGCGTTGCGTGGACAGGACAGACGTGACAGAGGAGCGTGCAGATGACTGGGGGGGCGTTGCGTGGACAGGACAGACGTCACAGAGGAGCGTGCAGATGACCGGGGGGGTGGTGTGTGGACAGGACAGACGTCACAGAGGAGCGTGCAGATGACTGGGGGGGCGTTGCGTGGACAGGACAGACATCACAGAGGAGCGTGCAGATGACTGGGGGGGGTGCGTGGACGGGACAGACGTCACAGAGGAGCGTGCAGATGACTGGGGGGGGTGGTGCGTGGACGGAACAGACGTCACAGAGGAGCGTGCAGATGACTGGGGGGGCGTTGCGTGGACGGGACAGACGTCACAGAGGAGCGTGCAGATGACTGGGGGGGCTGCGTGGACGGGACAGACGTCACAGAGGAGCGTGCAGATGACTGGGAGGGGGGCACCGGGTTAGGCGTTGCCCCCAGACCAAGGCTGCAGGTGCCGAATCGCGCTGCCCCCCCAGGCTGGATGGTGGGGACAGCGTGTGGCTTCCTGGATGGAACAGGACCCCACTTTAGCTGTTTCCCACCACAGGGACGCCCAGAGGATCGAGGAGCTCTTCTCCAAGAACCACCAGCTCCGGGAACAGCAGAAGACACTGAAGGAGAACCTGCGGGTGCTGGAGAACAGGTGGGCCTGGGAGGACACCTCGCAGCATGGCCAGGACCGGTGGGCTCAGGAGAGGAGGAGGTGACAGGGCTCCTCGGAGAATGAGTTTGGGAAACTCCAGGATAAACTGAACCAGGAAGGTTTCCCCACTGCAGGACATCTCAGAGCCTTAAGGAAATTGCATTTTCAAGATTTCTCCCCAAACTCAGTGGAACATGGGACACCTAGCCCACGGGGTGGGAAGAGGCCTGGGGCTCTACGGAATAGTTTGCAAAGGGCAGGGGCACTTCCCAGCAGTGGGGCAGTGAGTGTCCCAGGCCCTCTGTGGCTTCCGTGCCATCCCTCACACCCCCTGCGTCCCCATCCCTGCAGGCTGCGGGCCGGCCTGTGCGACCGCTGCATGGTCACCCAGGAGCTGGCCAGGAAGCGGCAGCAGGAGTTCGAGAGCTCCCACCTGCAGAACCTGCAGCGCATCTTCATCCTCAGTGAGCCCCACCCACCAGACAACCGGGGTCCTCTCCCACGGGGCCAGGCGACCCCAGGCCTGTTCAGCCCATGTAGGGGCATGGGGAAAGGAGGCAGGACGATCGGCCCCACACCACTGGGGGAACCTCACAACCCAATCTACAGACAAACACACAAAGCCCCCAGCCGGCGCTGGTGTGGCCCTCCCTCAACACAGCCTCCCTCCCCTGGGCTGGGGGCATCCCGGCCCCCACTGGGCGCGGCCTCCTTCCTGAGATGCGGAAGGTCCTGCAGTGCTGAGGCCCCAGTGGCCCTCCTGATGACCAAGGGCAAGCCCCCTTCCCTCGAGGCCGGCACTGCTCATTCAACAGCATCCAATCAGCCATGCACGCAGCCAGCATCCACGGCGCCCCTGCTGCCTGCCAGGCCCTGGGCTACGTGCTGGGGGCACTGCTGAGGGGCTTCCCTGGTGCTGTGACGACCCCACCCCTGCCCCTGTCCCCCCCAACCCCTGGCTGCTTTGCTCATCAGTGCCTTTTGCAGCCAACGAGATGAACGGGCTGAAGGAAGAGAACGAGACCTTGAAGGAGGAGGTGAAGCGGCTTCGGGGCCTGGGGTGAGTGGGAAAGGGTCCCAGGGCTCAGACACCCAACTCCCCAGCACCCCCCGAGCAGCACCCAGCACACGTCCCTGGGGGAACCGCCCATGGAGGACTCTCAGGCAGTGTCGGGACAGCTGCGTCACCTGGGGTCACCCAGGAGTGGGCCCGGCTTTTCTGATCATCTCCCGAGATGCTGCTCTCCCTCACCCTCCCTGTCTCTGCCTCCCCTCTAGAGACAGGCCCAAGCCCCGGGCCAAGGAGGGCACCTCGGACCCCCCCTCACCCCTGCTGCTCCCCTCCCCTGGTGGCTGGAAGGCCATCACAGAGAAGCCACCGGGAGGCCACGAGGAGGCTGAGGAAGACCACCAGGGCGTGGGCCTACGGGGAGAAGGTGCTGTGGGGACCGGGTGAGGCTGGGAGGCTGGGCCCCCGCAGGACCAGGGATCCTCCCCCTGGGGCTGGGCCGCTGCCCCTCTGAGCACCTCCCAAGCTCTTGCCCCTGGCTTCTCCTCCCACAGAAAAGCCAGCAGGGCACAGGACATCTCCAGTGGCCAAAATCTCCCCAGGGGCCACCCTGCCTGAGTCGCGAGCCCCAGACATGGTAAGGGCAGGGACCGGGAGCCCACCATGTGCAGCTGGGCCGGCGCAGGCAGGAGGCTGGAGGCAGCTGCACTTTCAGTATGCCAGCCTCTCATGCGCCTAACCCTGAATGTGCCCCTCCTTTGTCCCGGGCAGGAGCCACTGCGCTCCATTTGGCGTGGGTGGGGGTGCAGCTCAGCAGTGAGCAGGGGCAGAGTGGGAGCAGCCCAGGGCAGGCAGCAGAGGCTATGGCAGAGGCCACAGCAGAGGCCACGCATGCCCCCGCCCAGGCTGACCCACCCATCCTCACAGAGCCCCCAGCGCATCTCCAACCAGCTGCACGGGACCATTGCCGTGGTGCGGCCTGGGTCCCAGGCTTGCCCTGCCGACCGAGGCCCCGCCAATGGGACGCCCCCACCACTGCCCGCCAGGAGCAGCCCACCCAGCCCAGCGTATGAGCGTGGCCTCTCCCTGGACAGGTGCCCGCCTGCCCCACCCTCACCCAGAGTAGCCTCAGATGAGCTCTTCTCTCAGCCCCTGGTCCCAGGGCAGTCCCTCTGATTATCCCTCACAGCCCTGAACTTCTCTGGCTTGGCTTTTTCTGGGCACCCAGCCTGGAGCAAAGTTCCCACGTGGACACCTCCAGAGTGGCCAGGCCTGGG
This sequence comes from Homo sapiens, assembly GCF_000001405.40. Taxonomy (NCBI): domain Eukaryota; kingdom Metazoa; phylum Chordata; class Mammalia; order Primates; family Hominidae; genus Homo; species Homo sapiens. The sequence goes on along the minus strand of NC_000020.11, from coordinate 62,414,937 downwards.
GCGTGGGGGCAGGGGATGTGGACATTGTCTGAGAACAAGTAGGGTGTGGAGGGTGGACAGGTGGCTAGGACCCTCCAGGTGAGGAGCAGGGGGCCGATGTCCCTGCCAAGAAGACACGGAGGCCTCGGCATCTGGCCCCACCTTGGAGCCCAGACCACAGGCCACCTCTGGCCAGGTCCACACAGCATGGCCTCCAGAGCTGGGGGCTGAGCCTCCCCTCCCTCCACTACCTGCCATGGGACCCATGCAGCTTGCTGCACCTCTCTGGACCTCAGTTTCCTCGCCTGTGGAGTGGGTGCCTGTCGTCTCTCCCTCTCAGGGCTCGCTGGGACGGTCACGGCTCCACACAGCCATGGTCATTCGGCTTCTCCTCCCTCACAGCTTCCTGCGGGCCTCCCGGCCCTCCGCCATGACCCATGAGGCCCCGAAGCTCTCCCCGAAGGTGGACCGGCTCTGCCTCCTAAACCGCCCCCTGTCCCTGCACCTTCAGAGCCCCCACAGCAGCCCCCTGGCCCCTGCTGCAGCCCCCAGCGACCCCCGGCTCCAGGACCTGAAGGCCAGAGAAGCAGAGGCCTGGGAGGAGCCCACAGAACTGCTGGGGCTGCCCAGTGCCCTGGCGGGCATGCAGGACCTTCGCCTGGAGGGGGCACTGCACCTGCTCCTGGCCCAGCAGCAGCTGCGGGCTAGGGCCAGGGCAGGCAGTGTCAGGCCAAGGGGCCAGCCCACACCCGGGGAGATGCTGCCCTCCCTACCAGTCGGCTCAGACTCTGAGGGCCCTGAGAATGAGGGGACCAGGGCAGCTCTGGCCGCAGCAGGCCTGTCTGGAGGGCGGCACACACAGCCTGCAGGCCCGGGCCGCGCCCAGAGGACAGAGGCTGCAGCCACGCAGGACTGTGCCCTAGACAAGCCCCTGGACCTCTCGGAGTGGGGCCGGGCCCGGGGCCAGGACACTCCCAAGCCGGCCGGCCAGCATGGGTCACTCAGCCCTGCCGCTGCCCACACTGCCAGCCCCGAGCCACCCACCCAGTCCGGACCCCTGACTCGCAGTCCCCAGGCACTCAGCAATGGCACCAAGGGGACCAGAGTGCCAGAGCAGGAGGAGGCTTCCACTCCCATGGTAAGGAGCCCGGTCCTGGCTCAGACCCGGTCCTCAGCCTCCACGTCCCCCACCCCGGGCCGGCCTCCCCCCAGACCTCGGGCTGCTCTTTTCCCTCTGCCCACCAAGTTGTTTCCCAGGGAGAAAGCGAGGCTGCCTCATCCACACTATAAAGGGAAAGGCAGGCCCCTCCACCAGCTGCAGCCTCAAGAGGGGTCCCACCGGCTGTCCAGGGCTGAGTTGGCGGCAAGGAAGTCTCCCAAATAAACTCAAGCCACCTACTTGCCTCCCCCCAGGACCCCTCACGCCCACTTCCAGGGTCCCAGCTCAGCCTGTCCTCTCCAGGCAGTACAGAAGATGAAGACACAGGGAGGCCTCTGCCACCTCCCCACCCACAGCCGCCTCCCCACCCACAGCCGCCTGACCTGGACGGCCACCCAGGTACAGTCAGCACCTGGGGTCAGAGTCCAGCTGGGAGGTGTTTTCCCCACGGAGAGAGAGGGTGGTGGTCAGTGCCCACCAGGAGTGGGTGTCTCCAGGCCCAGCTCTGCCCTGCCGATCTGACGGGGCAACCCCAGGCTCCAGGGCTTGGCTCTTCCACCTGCAGACACCGGAGGAAGCCGAGGGCCTGGCAGGAGCCTCTCTAACAACACTCAGTGAGGGGGAAAAGCACCTTAGCAATTAGGGCTGGCAAGCAGGCTGTGAGTGCCCCATCATGCAGCATCCAAGCCAGGGGCGGGAACCCCAACTGATGGGGACACTAGGCCTGGGCCCAAACCCCAGTCGGCCTCCTGTCAGCCAGTGCCCTGGGGCAGGTCACTTGGCCCTCCGTGCCTCAGTTTCCCCATCTGCAGAGTTGGCTCCACCCATCCTAGTCTGGCAGGCTCGGGAGACTCCCGGTGCCACCAGCCTGGCCTGACCCCACACTCTGCATCCTTCAGAGCCCAGCAAGGCTGAAGTGCTGAGACCAGAGTCCGACGAACTGGATGAGACAGACACCCCAGGCAGCGAGGTGGGTCCAGGCCACACACTCAGCAGGGCAGGGCCAGGAGGCAGTCCTCCTCGTGACCACACCCCCTTCTCCCCAGGTGGGCCTGAGCTCCCAGGCGGAGGCCACTACGAGCACGACCGGGGAGGGGCCTGAGTGCATCTGCACCCAGGAGCACGGGCAGGGTCCACCACGGAAGAGGAAGCGGGCCTCGGAGCCTGGGGACAAAGGTACAGCTGGCATGGGGCAGGTGCAGGGAAGGGGGCGAGGGGAGCCACAGCACCCACCTCTCCCCAGTGCCACCTCTCCTCCTGGCTGCCTGGAGAATGGCAGCCTCAGAATGATGGAGCCAAAAATGAACCTCAACCCTCCCCAAATGAACCCCACAGAGGAGGGCGAGGGTGGCCGGAGTGAGTCCTTCCTGTGCAGCCTCTGACTGTGTAGGTTGGTGTCAGGTCCTTCCAAATCTGAGCCTCAGTCTCCTCGCCTGTAAGGGGGCTGACATTAGGGATCGTAGGAGATTTCGGTGAGAGAAGGAGCCAGGGGATGGTCATTGTCCCCACCATCATCCTGGAAGGAAGGGTGTCCTGGTGCACAGGATAAGCCGCTGCCACAAGGAGCAGATCCCCAGGGCCCCTTGTCCACCTGCAGACAGGGTCAGCGCAGAAGGCACAGCCCCGAGGGGCATGGGGGCACGTTTGCTCCCCTGGGGAATTGCGGACGGCTCCAGTGTTTGCCAAGGGCAGTGTCCTTGGACCCAGCTCCTCCCAGTAATGCCGGCAGGAGCCTCGGCCCTGGTCCGAGGGTATCGGGACAACTTTTCACTTCCTGCTCTGGGCTCAATGGCAGCTCCAGCTGGGGTCCAGGAGCCCATGAGAGACTTTGAACACCTAATTGTATGGCCCTGGTTTTTCTCCGGGCAAGGCCCGCAGGCAGCAGGCGGGGTGGTGCCGCCACTGTGTGCCATTGTTGCCGGCAGGTGGCCATGGCCTGCGTCTGCCCGGAGCGGCAGTAGAGACCAGCACGGCCCTTATTTGAGGCACTTCCTGCTGAGTGGGTGGAAATGGCCCCGGGGGGTGCAGTCTGTGAGCCAGCACACCCTTGTGCTCCTACCTGAGCCGGGACCAGGGACGCTGGCAGGGGCTCCTGAGAAACTGCTGTGGCGATCAGTGAGAGCAGGTCCCTGCCCAGCATGAGCACAGCTCAGCGCCAGAGCCAGCATCCTCGTGCCTAGTGCCCCAGAAGAGTGGGTGCAGCTGTGGCTGCCTGTGAGCCTTATGACCCTGCCCAGCAGGTAGGATCATCACTGTTTGGCTGGTGCAGAAATTGAGGCTGAGAGGGGAGAGGTCACTTGCCCAAGGTCACAGGTCTGGGACTTGTGTCAGGATTCAAACCTGACCCATTCAACTCAGAGCCTGAGCTTGCTGTGCCTCAGAGATGGCCTAAGCCCAGCATCTCGGCAGGATCCCCGTCCCCGGACCATCGCAGGAACCAGGCGCCCCTCCCATGTGGCCCTAGCCCGGGGGCAGGCCTGCTGAGGCCCGCAGCCAGTGTCAGGCCAGCCAGTATGGCCTGGCTCCCTCCAAGGCAGGAAGGGGGCCACTGGGGTCAGTGCCGTGTTCGGGGTCACACAATGGGGAGAGTGTCCACCCTCCACCCAATTCTCAGGGTTCACCCTCAGATCGGGCTACCCCTGCTCTGGGCACCGGTTTCTGTAGGAACAAGGGTGGCCAGCAAACTTCCCCAAGCACCCAGCTCCCCGTGCCCAGAGGAGACCCAGGAGGCCCTAGGTGAGAGCCAGTGTTGCCTCAAAGGAAGGCACACAGCTCCGGCCTGACCTCCGGCCACTTCCCATAGCCTCCAAAAAGCCATCCAGAGGGAGAAGGAAACTGACAGCCACTGAGGGGCCCGGGAGCCCAAGGGACGCCGAGGACCACAGTCCCTCCCCCAACAGCAGCCCCTGGGAGGAGACCTAGCCAGCCTGCACCAGGGTCCACAGCGAGCCCGGGGCAGCCCTCCACCTGCCCACCAGGGCCTGGAGAGGGCACACCATCCAACCAGCAGGCAGCCCTGCACAGAACCCTGGGAGAAGACCTAGCCAGCCTCAGCTGAACCCACAGTGAGCCCAGGGCAGCTCTCTGCCTGCTCACCACAGCCTGGAGAGGGCACACCACCCAACCAGCAGGCAACCCCGAAGAGCCGGTGACGGGCACATCCTGGCCCACTTCAAGAGGGGCTGGAGGACCGAGAGGGGTCTCAGGCTGGCGATTCACCCCGTCTCCACCCACCTGGGAAATGCTCTGCGGCCCCTCCCACAGCCCAGCACCTGCTCCCTGAGGGGTGTGGGGACTGGAGGCGGGATCACTCAGGCTCCAGCCCAGCCCTACCCCTGCTGTGCACTGCAGCCGTTCCCAGGCAGTGCCCACGCTCTGGGAGGCAACGGACCACTCGGACCCCCACCCCTGCCCGCCAAGCTCCAAGCACAATCTTGGACGCCCCCTCGTGGGCTGACAGCAAACAGATGTCTGGCAGTGAGGGTGGAGGGAGACAGTGGGCGGCAGCACCCTCGAAGACCGGGTCCCCTGAGTGACGGAGAATAAACACTTGAAGAACCGTGCATGTGTCTGGCAGGGCCCCAGGACACCACTGACTGTGCCAGGGACTGGAGGTCACCCCCTTGCGGGAGGGCAGAATAAAACCAGCTCCTCTGCAGAGTCTGCAGCGGGAAGGGACCAGGGCACCCTCGGGGAAGTGCCTGGCCACAGCGGCGGCCGTGTGCACCTGCCCCTCCTCACTAGTCCCTGGCCTGGCAGCCACAGGGCAGCTCGCCAGGACTCCACCGGGAGCACTCAAGGCTGTCTGCTCCTCGGGGGAGGATGAGTATCAGTCCCTCCCAGCTTCGTGGGAGGAGCTTAAGAAATAGATTCTTGGGCCCAACCCCGGATCCACTGAACCAGGACTTTAGAGGTGAGCCTGGAGTCTGTGTTTTAAGAAGCTCCCAGAGGTAATTCTCCTAAATGTGAAGTCTGAGAACTGCCCCTTACAGGGCAGAGACACTGGGCACTGACACCTCTGCTGGGCATCAGGGAGCGGTGGGCAAAGGAGCAATGGCACCAAGTCATGGCCAGTGTTGGGGGACGGGGAGGAGAGCAGGTGTCCCTGGGAGGTCAAGGCAGGTGGCACCTGCAACCCAAATTTGGGTTCTGAGGGATGAACAGGAGTGTGCCAAGTAGGCAAGGAGCTAGGATGTTCTGGGAAGTTTGCTGAGACCCCAACTCTAGAAAAATGGACAAGGATCAGGCAGAAAGGAAAGGTGGGGGCCACGGAGGGGTGCCAGGGCAAGGGGGAAACTAAGAAGTCAGCCCAAGGGCCAGGCCTGCAGTCAGGAGCATCCAGACAGAGCCCTGCGCTTGACACCTGCTCAGAGTTCAGGGTGAGAGCCAAAGAAAATAAGGAGCGAAACTCATGAGCAGGGCCCTCTGCAGCCAAAGCACCAAGGTGAGCTGGGCATTTAAAACCACGCATCACAGGGATGGCAGGACACGGGCCAACGACTGGGCTGGGTGAGGCCTGGGCCAGACTGGGGTGCGGGCCTGACTCAGGGGGCACTGCCTCCCACCTGCAGCCTGTGACATGTCTGCCTGTTGTCCTGAGAGGCCAGAGGGACTGAACTCCCAAGAGGGAAGTCCAGGTGTGTTAAAGGTTGCTTTAATTTCTCCAGAATCACACGAAACAAAAGCCGTGTGTTCCCTACACACTGCCCGCAGGCCAGGTTGGCTTTTGGCCACCCATCGACACCCTGGGGAGGGGAGAAGACTGGCAGCGGGAGCCTAGCAAGGGGGTTCACCAGACCCAGGAAGAGACCCCGTTCCTTCCTCAGCATTCCTCCTTGTCCCTCAAAGTCTAGCTTAGCGCCAGCAAAGAAGAACTGGCTAGGGGCCCCCCTACTGCACAGCCGATCCCCAGGACCCGGCGCTGCAGCCAGCACGGACAGCTGCCTCCTGCCTCCTGCGTCCTGCCCTCCACCCTCACTCGCCCCTTTCTGTTCTCATCTGACACCAGATTCTCTGCAAGCTGCTGGTGTATGGCCCACCCTCCCCTGTCAGGCCCCTCCTCCTGGTGATAGCCAGCAGGGATGGAGGGCCCACTGTGTGCCTGCCCCAGCCTCAGCACCCTACAGCGCTGGACACACTCACTCCCCGCTCACGGGAGCCCCCAGGCACACAAGTCAGCACCCCATTCTGTGGATCCAGAATCCGCAGCCACCCCTCTGCTATGCCACCCAGCCCCGCGTTCTCCTAGACAGGACAGCTGCCCACCTTCCCCTAGGCCTGGCAGAGGCCTTGGAGGCCAACTTGGAAGGGCGGAGGGAAAGGAAATGGAGGTGCTGCATGCTGCGTGAGCCCCAATGGTGGCCCGTGAAGGCCCACAGGAGGGAGCAGGCAGGCGGGAGGTGGGTAGGGGCCTGAAGGGCAGGGGCCCATGCTAGGGGTGGTGATGAAGACCCTGTCTTGCCCACTCGCCCACTGCCTTGTTGGCCATCATGCTGCCTCCCCACACACCAGGTGCTCCTAGGGCCAGCGCTGTGCCTGTCGGTCCCACCGGGTCCCCAGCACCCAGCACAGGAGAGGCTGGGCGCATGCGGGCAGGTGCGAGGTACTGCAGCGCATTCGCGGACTGACCACTGCATGTGCCTGGCCTCCGGCCACAGCCCGACCCCCTCACTGAGCCAGTTTCATCCTGACAGTACCCTGAGGCTGAAATCATTGTCCCCTCTTTAAAGATACGTAAACCCATGAAAGAAAGCTGGACAGAGCAGGCAGGTGACACAGAGGTGGGTGCAAGGTCCTGAGTCCCTCCACAAAGATACAGCGGGTTCCCCTCCAGACTGCAGACAGGCTCCCGGGCTCCAGAGGCAGGCCCTGACCATCCCGGTGCCACGGGCTCACAGGTTCTGAAGTCAGGGGCACCCAGGCACAGAGAGGAAACAGGCCTGGGCACAAGGCAGGCTCAAGGTCACTTTGCTACTGCAGGAAGTGCAGGACTCTGCCTGGGGCTTTGATCCCAAGCAGGTGCCTTCTCCACTCAGACCCTCGTTCCCTTCTGTCAATGAAGGAGGCCAGATGGCACGCGGGCCCTTCCGGGAAGCGGTGGGGCTCCTCCAGGGGCCGCCCTGCGCCCGCTGAAGCGCCGCCCAGACACACCTCCGGACAGGGAAGTGTGCTGGGGCCTCACCCACGCCGCCCTGGGTCCGGAGCCTTAAAATGTGCGCTCGATGGAGGCCATCCGCGAAGGCCGCCATACAGCAAAGGGAACAGAAAGCGAGAGCCCCGCGGCCGCAGGTCCCAAGACGGGGACTCGAACCGGCGGGGAGGCGCGCAGCTCCCGACTCCCTGCTGCTGCGTCCGACCGCCTCTAGGACCCAGGGGAGCGCCCTGAGCGCGGCACCTCGCTGGCCAATGGGAGAGCGCGACGGCGATACATTTGCATGTGGGCGCGCCGCGGCCAATGGGCGGCGGGCGCGCGGGCGCGCGGGCAGGGGGTGGGGCGCTTCGCGGCGGCGGGCGCAGTCTGAGGATGGCCGCGGCCGCGGCCGGTGGAGCCCCGGGCCCGGCCCCCGGCCCCGCCGGGCCCCCGCCACCCGCCGCGCCGACCTCGGCCGCTCGGGCCCCGCCGCAGGCGCTGCGGAGGCGCGGGGACTCGCGGCGCCGCCAGGCCGCGCTTTTCTTCCTCAACAACATCTCCCTGGACGGGCGGCCCCCGAGCCTGGGCCCGGGCGGAGAGAAGCCCCCGCCGCCGCCCGCCGAGGCCCGCGAACCGCCAGCGCCGCCGCCGCCGGAGCCCCCCACCGGGCTGCCCGCCAGGACCCCCGCGCCCCAGGGCCTGCTCAGCCCCACGCAGGTGCCCACCGGCCTCGGCCTGGATGGGCAGCGCCAGAGGTGAGTGGGGGCCCGGCCAGGTCAGCCCAGGACGCGGGGTACAGGGACGGGGACGGGGGCCGGATCAGCCCAGGACTAGGGGTCAGGATTACTTGGGGCCTCATCAGCCCAGGACAAGGGGGTCAGGTGACCTGGGGCCTTGTCAGCCCTGGACAGAGGCCAGGACAAAGGGGTTGGGTTCACCTGGGGCCTTGTCAGCCCTGGACAGAGGTTCAGGTGACCTGAGCCCCTGTCAACCCAGGACACAGGGGTCAGGGTCAGTCTGGGCCCTCATCAGCCCAGGACACAGGGGTTGGGTTCACCTGGGACCTTGTCAGTCCTGGATACAGAACTGGGGGTTCCTGGGCTGGCTGAGGGTTTCCTCAGGCCCTGTCACCCCCCACACATAGGGTTCATTGTCCCCTGAATTCTCCCAGCCCCTGAATACGGGGTCTGGATCTCCACGTTGTCAGTGCTCTGAAATGGGTTTTAGGGTTCAGCCCTTATTACCCCTGAGACCCCCAGCCCTGTGGGTTCTGGACATGCCCCCACCCCCATCCACTGGTACCAGTGCCCGGGACACAGGGACACATGGACAGCCCTGTGCATCTCTTCGCATTCTTTGAACCGGGCCACACCGTCCATGCCCACCTCCTCAGACCCAGCATGTGGGCCGGGGTCCTCCTGGCACTGTCACTGACACCTGTTCCCAGAGGCCCCTGCACAGCCACATCTCCCATCCCACAGCCACTGGTCTCTGGCACCCCTCCTCTCCCTGTCACTTCCCTGCTGAGCCCCGCCCTTCCCCACATCACTCTCAGCTCGGTATCTTTGGGTCTGTCACACCCTGGGTCTCCACTGCTCCCCCTGCCTTGATTCCATTTCTGGGAACCACCTCAGCCCATCCCAGGGCAACCCCAACCATGAGCCCTGCCTGTCCAGCGTGTGCCCCCTGCCCAGATGGCCCCTGGCTGCCCGACACCCTGTGTCCTTCTCCCAGAGACCACAGGACCTGGGTGACCCTGCCTCCCACAGCCCTCACCTCCAGGAGTGACTGTGGGCTCTGGGCCCAGGACTGGCTGCTTGTTGCGGTTCCTTCTCAAAGGGAGCCACTGTCCACAGGTCCAAGTGCCTGCTGGGCGGCTGTTCCCAGAGGCAGCCCCTGCAGGTGTGCAGCAAAGGGGCCGACACAGAGCTCTTGGGTCAAGGCTGGCACGTGCTCCTTGCTTACCTGGAGGTCATCAGAGTTGCCCCACGCCCCTGGCCTTCGGGCAGGTGGAGGCATTGGGTTCCTCTAAGGTCTTTGGTTGGGGAAGTTTGGGCCCAGAACACAGCACTCTGTCCTCAAAGACTATGACGTCACATGCAGGTTGCGTCACACGCAGGTCGCGGTGCACTCCATCCTTGGAAGTGTTCCTGGCCGTAGCCAGGCTGAGGGTGCCTGCAGACCCAGGCCTGTCCACAAGATGTCCCCCCACGGACATGCCTGGCCGCTGCTCCAGGGAGGGTCAGAGGGATGATTGGGGCAGAGGGATGGATTTGCCCAAATGTGGCAGCCAGGCCCCATGCATTTGGCATGGCCAGCTCCTTCAGGAAGGCGGGAGAGATGGAACAAGGTGGTGACTCTCCAGGGCAGAGCGGCAAGGCCCTAAGGTGTGGACTCCAGGGGAAGCGGGCTCACCCCAACGGGCCGAGCTCCGCAGGTGTGGTGGGCTTTTCCCTAACCCCGGGCCCTGTTGTTTGACATGGAAACAGCTTTCTCCCTCAGTCCTGCATGTTGAGTGTCCAGAACCGGATGGTGACACCAGGCAGACTGGGTGCTGTCATAGGCCCTCCTTCCACAGAGTTCATGCACCCCTGTGTGCACCAGGCCTGGCGTGGAGTGGAGCCCACTTGAGTGGAGGGAGGCAGAGCGTGGCGACGCGCAGGGAAGTGCCTGTGACTGAGAAGGCACCCCCTGCAGGCCCAGAGCCTCCATGGTGACAGTTCTGAGCGCAGCATGCTGCCCACGTGCAGCACATCCCTGCCCTGTGGGATTGTTAGAAGGTGCGCTGTGGCCGGCATCCCTGGGACAGGATGGGACGTGGCATGGGCTGGGTGCCTGCAGTCCTCCTGCCGTACCCACCATGGGCCCAAGCGCCACCACCCCTTGCCTTGCCCAGGGCTGTCTCCTCCCTTCCCTCCTCCTTGGCCCCCATGTCCCTGTTCAGGTCTTTCCTGAACCCCACTCTGTTCCTGGAGGGGGAGGCGTCCCTCCTGGGGCTCTGCTGCCAAGTTCGTGGTGCTGACCTTGTTTCTGAGGGCCATGGCCCCTCCCTGATAGGTAGACCCCAGCGTGAGGACGTCCATTTCACCCTGCGTTCCCTGGGCCTGGCTGCTGATCGAGGGAAGGGTGGCTGCCCCGGCAAAAGGGGCTGCTAGCTCCTGGCTTGAGAGTTCTAGGATGAGTTGGTTTCAGGAAATGGAGAGAATTCTGAAAGTCCTGAAGGCAGCCCTGATGTTGGTCTTGTGAGTGTGGTGGTTTGACCTGGGCTCTGGGAACAGACTTGGCTTGGAATCCCAGCTGCACTGTTCAGTACCTCTGTGACCTTGAGCAGGTGACATGGCCTCTCTGAGCCTCAATCTCCTCTGAGAAGCGGGTTCACACTAAGCACTAAGCATGGCCTCCCTGAGGTCAGAGGTCAGATGCGTGCCCAGGGCTTGGTGAGGTATGTGGCAGGAGTCAGTGTGAGATGAGCAGAGCCTCTTTTTTTTTGAGACAGGGTCTCTCTCTGTCTCCCAGGCAGGAGTGCAGTGGCGCAATCACAGCTCACTGCAGCCTCTACCTCCTGGGCTCGAGTTATCCTGTCTCAGCCTCCCAGTAGCTGGAACTATAGGCACACACCACACCCTGCTAAGTTTTTATTTTAGCAGACATGGGGTCTCACTATATTGTCTAGGCTGGTCTTAAACTCTGGCTCACGTGATCCGTCTTGGCCTCCCAAGTGCTGGGATTTCAGGTGGCAGCCGCCACACCCAGTCAAATGGAGCCTCCTGTTACAACAAGGCTGCTCAGGGAACAGTAACTTCTCGGTCCTAATACTTATTCTTTCCCAGGGAGGCTCAGCCTGGTGTGGCACTTTGTGTTGAACCAGTGAGTGAATCATTAGAATCCTTGTTTTCCTCATAGAACTTCCAACCAGGTTTATTTTCACTTTTAACTTTGCCATTGCCTAATGCCCAAAAGCAAGTGGGAACTCTGGGCCTCCCCAGCTGGGTTTGAGCAGGTGCTGGGGTGTTCCGCCTGCAGCCTCCTCCCCGCCGCCCCCTCCTCCCAAACCCGGTGGCTTACGGCACCAGCGTGGCCTCTCCCAGCTCTGGAGGCCAGAAGCCCAACCTCAAGGTGTGGACAGACCCACGCTCCCTCTGCAGGCTCCAGGGAGGATCCTTCCTGCCTTTTCCCACTTCTGGTGGCTCCACGCACTCCCGGGCTTGTGGCTCCAGTTTCTGCCTCCGCCTCCGTGCCGCACTGTTCCTGCGTGTCTGTGTCTCCATGTGGTGATTTCCTCACAGGGACACCAGTCATTGGATTAGGACTTAACCTGTGACATCTTAACTTGATGACATCTGCTAAGACCCTCAGGGGGCGACACAGTTCAACTAAGACCCTCTTTCCATCCGAGGTCCCATTCACAGGTACTGGGGTTAGGACTTCACCCTGTCTTCTGGGGGCGATACCCTTCAACCTACAACAGCCCTTGGTGAGTGTCCACAACGCTAATGAGGTGAGAGTGGCATCCCCTCAAGCGAACAACTTTCCCCAAATTGCAGCCAGATGTGGCCCAGCAAAGAGCCAGGGTGCAGCCATCAGCAAGCAGAGCCCCCCAGTTCTGGAGGGTGTGTGCCGAGATGCTTCTGGGGAAAGGCCTGGGCCTGGGGCTGGGCTGCAGCTGTGGGACAAGCTGCTGTCTGGGCCAGGAGCCACTCAGCGTCGCCAAGCTGCTGTCCAAGTTAAACCAATTCAGCATCTGGCACCTTGTTTACAAGCGTGATTTGGGGGTTTCTTGCTCTCCAGCTGGCAAGCAGCTGGCAGTGGTCAGCTGAGGCCAGAGCCTGGGGGCACATCTCCCATGGCAGCCCAGAGGGCAATGGACACCCCCCACTCCGCCCAGCCCTGTGACCCCATATGGATGCTTTCGCTGGGTGAGGCTGCAGCCCCCGCAGGGAGTGCTGGACTTGGGCGCTTTTGCTTTACCTGGGACTTGATGAGATGGGGCACCCGAGACCAGCCACGCATTCCACAGCTGTGCCCCAGGGTCCAGGGGATGGGGCTGGGGGTGGTCGGACAAAACCACTGCCCACACTTGGAGCTGGGGGCAGCCGAACAACACCACTGCCCACGCCTTCCTGGCGAGAGACGGTTCCAGTCTCCCCGGTGCTGGCGTGGGCACGCCGTGGGACAGAAGCGCAGTCATTCGGCAGAGGCTCCCGGCTGTTCTCACATTGTCAGACCCACCGTCAAGGTCATTTCAACGGCCCCTTTGCCCGGCCGGGCCTCCTGAGTTCCCTCTGAGCCTCAGAGCAGCTCGTACACACAGCTTTGGGTTTCTAATGGGGATGGGGTCTTCAGGCCTCAGCCCCTTCTGGGCATTTCTTCCGTTACAAAGGAAAGGAAATGTACCGAACACTAGAAACAGTGTTTAATAAATAGCAGATTTCTCTTCCTGTCTGTGAGCATGACTTTGGATGGAGGCTTGGTGGCCCGCCATTTAGTGCTGAGAGTGAGTGAGGTGTGTCAGCAGACTGGGGGGGCAGACTCCCCACTGCCCCAACCCCCAACCCCTTCTTCCCAAGTCAGATGCAGGCAGCTTTGAGCTGGTCACTGCCACGTGGGGGGAACCACGAGTAGGCACCGCCAGTGTAACTCTACGGTGGCTGAGCAGGAGCGGGGCCTCCTGGGACTCAGCAGAACTTGCATTTGCCCCAGCATGTGGGGTGTGGGGCGTGGGCCTTGCCGAGGGCCTCGTTCTTTCTGCTTTGCTCGCTTGTTCCTTGCATGTTTTGGACGGAGGGGTCTGGTGCACGCAGGATGAGTGAAGCACATGGAAGGTGCGTGCAGCTCAGTGCATTTGCCTGGGCACACCCCACGGAGCCACTCCCCTGCGGAGACACAGGCCAATCCCCCAGCTCCCTGGTGCCCCTCCTCAGCCCCTCCCCCACACTGAGGGGACCTGTGTCACCACATGACGAGCCTCTCAACCCGTGTGGCGTCTGTGTGCACCTGCAGCATGCTGTGCATGCCGTCCCCTGATTGCGCATGTCCCGCCTCCTGCTGACCGGCGTGTGTGCTGCTTCCAGCTAGGCGTAAGGTGGTACATCTGCACATGCGTGATCCTCTCCATGTCTGCCGGACACACCGACACCTCTCTGTGGGGCCCGGGGCGAGCAGGGGTCCATCTCATGGGTTCCCAGCCCATCCTCCAGAGGCACCAAGCAATGGACGCTGGCCTGGGTCCCATCTGCACTTGCCAGTGCCCGTCCCGTCAGCAGCAGCGCCCTGCTGCGGTGATGCGTGGAGTTGCAACAGCCCTGGTTCTGGAAGGGAAGCACCTCCCTCGTTCTCCCTTGACACCAGCTCCCGTGGAGGCAGAGGGGAAGGGAAGGCCAAAGCGGCGTCCTCCCCACTTGGCCGCCCTGCCCTGCACCCATGTGCAGGCACCTCCTTCAGCATTGTCAGAGTCTTGTGGACTCAAACCAAAAAACGTGACCTGCAACGGGGCCAGGTTCACAAAATGAGCCCCTGAGAGACAGTGGAGAGCGGCCACCATTCCAACTGACACAGTGGGAGCGGCGCCACTGGGTGCCAGAGCCCGGCCGTCCACGTGGGCTCAGGTCCCCACTCTGTCTCTTACCAGCCATGTCATCTTGGGCAAGTTGCTAAACAGCTCCTTGCCTCAATTTACCCACCCATGAACTGAGCGTCAGAATGCTGCCTCCTTCCTAGAACTGTGCAGATCTAGTTTACTAATAAGATGCTTACAAAAAAAGAAAAGAGAAGGAAATTACAGAGAAAGATCTGTAGAAGAACCTGCTGGGAACAGATTTTAAAGCATAGTGGAGAGAAACCCATCATTCCTGCAGCGACCAGAAAATCACGGAGGAGCCAGGCCAGCCGGCAGCAGCGTCAGCCTCCCTGCTGCAGCTCCTCTGCGTCCTGGGCCAGAGGATCCAACGGTACCACCAGGCAGGCTGCCGCGGGGCCTCAGGCTTCTGCTGGGACCCCCACGGGCCTCCAAATGAAGTCCCAGGCATGCAAATACCCAGGCATCCCCTGGTAATTACCCGTGGGAAGGAGCTTCCAGAAAGACACACAGGCTGGTCCTCAGGGCCTCCAGGCCCAGCCTTGTAGGTCAGGACACACAAACACCTCTCTGGGGACAGTCCCCAAATCTCCTCCTTCACTGGCTTCTTTCCCCAGTGTGGGCCCTGCCCATCCAGCCTCCGCTGGGCTCCTCTTGGGGCAGTCTGTCCGCCGTCACCCATCACAGGCCAGCACTCACCTGGGCCTCTCGGGACAGCCGGCGTCTGCCACACACCCCCTCAGCATGCAGCTGGGTGCTCTGCCCCTCCCACTGCCCTCAGAGCCTGCTGCCTACCCCAGCCCCTTAGCTCCTCCTTCCCCACCCACCCCACTGTGCAGGCCAGCCCACCGCATCCCCAGCCCTTCCTGGTCCCATCATCCAAGTGCTCTCCTCTGGCCAGCTGCTCACCCACCTTCTGCAGCCATCCGGCTGGTCCCCTGCCCCCACCTCCAGCTGGGACTGGGCAGGTGCACAGCTGTGTCTGGTGATGGCGCCAATGTGAGGCACCAGGCGTTTTAGTGGATTTTCTGCTTTCAATCCTAGCTTGTTTTCAACAAGCTCTTGTTGACTTTGCCTTTTAAAAGATTTTAATCACATCTTAAGTTCCTGACTTCAAACTGTACTTGGTACCCCTACAACCATGTTCTTTTTCACTTTCAGTACAGTATCCAACAAATTACAGGAGCTATTTCACACTTCGTTATACAATATGGTGGCTCACGCCTGTAATCCTGACACTTTGGGAGGCCGAGGCCAGCGGATCATTTGAGATCAGGAGTTCGAGACCAGCCTGGCCAACATGGTGAAACCCCATCTCTACCAAAAATACAAAAACTAGCCAGGCATGGTGACAGGCGCCTGTACTCTCAGCTACTCGGGAGGCTGAGGTAGGAGAATTGCTTGAACCTGGGAGGTGGAGGTTGCACTGAGCCAAGATTGTGCCACTGCACTCTAGACTGGGCCACAGAGTGAGACTCTGTCTCAAAAAAAAAAAAAAAAAAGGACCTGACCCCATCATCAGTCGAGCATCTGTTCAAAAAAAAAAACAGGCCGGGCGTGGTGGCTCACGCCTGTAATCCCAGCACTTTGGGAGGCCGAGGCAGGTGGATCACGAGGTCAGGAGATCAAGACCATCCTGGCTAACAGGGTGAAACCCCGTCTCTACTAAAAATACAAAAAAATTAGCTGAGCGTGGTGGCGGGCGCCTGTAGTCCCAGCTACTCAGGAGGCTGAGGCAGGAAAATCACTTGAAGCTGGGAGGTGGAGCTTGCAATGAGCCAAGATGGCGCCCCCTCCACTCCAGCCTGGGCAACAGAGTGAGACTCCATCTCAAAAAAATAAATAAAATAAAATATGGTGGCTCACGCCTGTAATCCCAGCCCTTTGGGAGGCCGAGGCCAGCGGATCATTTAAGGTCAGGAGTTTGAGACCAGACTGGCCAATATGGTGAAACCCCATCTCTACTAAAAAATACAAAAAAAATTGTCGGGCATGGAGGCAGGCACCTGCAATTCCAGCTACTTAGGAGGCTGAGGAGAGAGGATTGCTTGAATCCAGCAGGCGGAGGTTGCAGTGAGCCAAGATGGCGCCATTGCACTTCAGCCTGGGTGACAGAGAGAGACTCCATCTCAAAAAAAGAAAAAAATGACAGCATCAATGTTGGCGTCAAGGTGACAGCCTTGGTACCAACCAGGACTACACTGGCTGTGTGACCTGGGCAAGGGCCAGGCCTCTCCGTACCACTTGATAAATGGGTGTGGTTGTCACTGTGAGCCGTCGAGTGTTGGTGAGGTGGTGGCTGTGGCACTCTCGCTGGCACAGGTGGCACCCACCATGGGACTGTGGCTGTGCCCAACCCAGCGCCTTGGGACAAACACTGGCTTTCAGTGGGAGGCTCCTGGCAAGGGCATGGTGTGGGGACCTGGACTCCAGGCCGGCTCCACCAGAGAGGGGGCCTGAGTGCACCAGGTCTTGTGTGTAAGCCGGGGTCCTGCTGGGGGAAGGCCCATGGGACCCTGAGGACGGCGCTGGCCTGGAGCCTGGAGAGTTCCCAGAAGTGACCCCCAGCAGTACACCTGCCCTTGGCCCGGAGTCCAGATTGGGTGACACTTAATAAAAAGGCTACTGTTGACACGCTGAGAATGCCCCATGCCAAGCCTGGGGGCCAAGTTGCTCCATTTAATAAACCACACAGCACCCTGCAGAGGGCCCCATCACCATTACCACCACCGCCATCACCACCGTCATCACCATCACCACCATCGTCACCACCACTGCCATCACCACCGTCATCACCATCGCCACCATCACCACCACCACCACCGCCATCACCATCACCACCACCATCACCATCATCACCACCGTCACCACCACCACCATCACATCACCATCACCACCATCATCACCATCACCACCACCACCATTACCACCATCACCGTCACCACCACCACCACCATCACCACCGTCATAACCACCACCACCACCACCATCACCACCACCACCACCGTCACCACCACCACCACCGTCACCACCACCATCGCCATCACCACCATCACCATCACTGTCACCACCACCACCACCGCCATAACCATCACCATCATCACCACCACCGCCATCACCACTGTCACCACCATCACCACCACTACCGTCACCACCATCACCACCACCACCATCACCACTGCCATCACCATCACCACCACCGCCATCACCACCACCAACTGCTCCCTTCTGGGGGCCAACAGCCCTGCAGGGCAGGCAGGATCCTCAGACGTGCCACGCCACATCGCCCATCATTGTCATCGCAATTGGAGTGGTTTTCCAATACTGCAACGTTGTATCAACTGGCATGGGACCTTATCTCCTAAGCTGTGCTTTTGGAATGCCTTGGTGCTCAGGCACACATTCATGGCTCCCGGTATAAGGGAGAGAACAAAGCTTTGGAGTCCCCGACAGACCTGGGTTCAAGACCCAGCTCTGCACTTGGAGTTGCGTGACCCTGAGAGTTACTGAACCACGTCATGTCTCCGCATCAGGATGGCCTCGCTTGGTCCCGAGTGTTGAGGGTCTGAGGAGCAGTGGGCATTGTGCCCTGAGGGGTCTTCAAGGAAGTGCGTTGTACAGTCATTCAGCCAACAAATATTTGCCTGCACGTTTCGCTTATGGGAAACACCTGGGAGACTCCTGAAGTCCAGGCAGGAGGGCAGGCACTAAGGACAGCAGTGAGTGGGGACAGACCCTGCCCCATCCATGGGGCCGGCACTCTGGAAGGGGAGGCAGACGGCAGGTGGGTGGTGAGGCAGGGATGCCTCCTTCCTGTAGTGACCAGTGCCTTGAGCAAGTCACAGAATAGCAGGATCCGGGCAGCCTCCCTCAGCGGGCCACCTATGAGCCAAAAAGTTCAGAAAGAGGTGGCCACTGGAAGAGCAGGAACAGAATGTTCCAGACGGAGGAGCAGCCCCCGTGACGGCACTGAGGTGGGAGGTTGTGGCTGGTGCAGGGAGCTGCAAGCCAGGGGAAGGTGGCCTGAGAGCAAGGGGTGCCCGGTGCCCACCCCGCCTGCCCATGCCATGGTGCCCCAATGCCCAGCTGTGCTTCAGGGAGGGGCAGGCAGCACCAGTCTCAGGCAGCGCTGGGTGGGATGGGCCTGTCAGAGTTGGTGGTGCCCCCAGCAGGGTGTTGCTTGGGGCCGAGCGACCCTCGGTGGGCAGGGCAGGTTGGCGTGCTGTGCTGTGCTGTGCTATCCTATGCCTGAGGAGCCTGTCCCCCAGGGCTGCTGGTCCCCAGAGAAGAGCTCAGTGCCTCCAAAACAGGAACCTCTCAAGGCAGGAGGTGCCCCTCCTCCCCGCCTCAGTCTGCATGGGCTCTGGAAGCCCCTCGGCCCATGGGTGCGCCGCTGGGCTGGAGAGTGGCCCTTCCCTGCACAGCGGGCGGCACTCGGTTTCTGGCCACAAAGGCGGCACCCGGGCTGGTGGCCTGTTTTGAGGCTCCATTGTCATCTTGCAGGAAGCGAGTCACGTCCCAGCGCTGCTCCCTGGAGTTTCTGGAAGATGCCGTGGGATGCGCTCCAGCACAGAGGTACACGCCCCCGTCCGCCCCGAGCTCTACGACTCCGCTCGGGCTGCCACTGACCCCTGCGGGGCCAGAGGGTCCTGGGAGGAAAAGAGTGACCTGTGTCCTTTGCCTTGCAGAACCAAACACACATCTGGATCACCGAGACATAAAGGCCTGAAGAAGACCCACTTCATCAAGAACATGAGGCAGTACGACACCAGGAACAGCAGGTATGAAGCGGAGCCGGGAACCGGGCCAGGGCTGTGGTCTCCATAAGCCCACGGGGTCCTGCCCCTGTCAGCCAAGCAATCTTCCCTCCACTCCCAAAGCTCCCGCCCACCCCACACTCCACACCTCTAGAGGTGGGCCCTCCTCCCCACCACACTGCTTGCTCCACATCAGCCGAGCACCCGCAGGTCCCTGGTGTCACCACAGCGAGATCACCCTCTCTGGGCTCCCAGGTGAAGGGTCACACGTGGACACTAGCCTCCAGCAACAGTGCTGACGTGAAGGAAAACTGGAGACACAGAAACGGGTGTGGCTGTGAGATGTGTGGGGAGGAGGGCTGGGCTTTGTTGGGAGCACGGAGGAGAGGCTGAATAAACCAAACACCTGGCTGCCCAAAGCTGGCGGAGGGCCGCAGCTGGCACCGGCTGCACCCTGAGAGGCTGTGTCGGGGAGGCCGCAGGGGCTGTTCCTGTGGCCCCGTATTCCCATCACTGCATGTCCTGAGGTGTCCTGAGGTCCAGAGTGCTCCCTTCCTTCTGGAGCTCCCCCTGCCGGGCACCCTCCTTGTGGTGACTGTGGGTCTGGATGGACCCTTGCTCCCCATCAGTCCTGTACAGCTCCCAGCAGACGTGAGTGCCAGCCCTGGCTCCCGTCATCCAAGCCAGAGAGGGGGAGAAGTTCTCCCACTGTTGTCCCCCTGGTGAGACCCTGGGCCCAGGCAGGGCAGAGCCAGCGTCCAAGGGAGGAGAAACAGTGGCTTCTGCCTGTGCTCTCTGGGCCCGGGGCCCGGCTGCTCGAGCGCCTTGGAAGGGAGCCTCCAGGCCAGCCTCTCTGTGGACCTGGATCAGGCCCTTTCTGGTGGTGTTGAGCCCCGCTCCACCCAGGACCTCTGAGGTCTGGCTCGAGGCAGCCCTTGGCCTCGCCATCCTGTCCCCTCTGGCTGCCTCTCATCTCTGAATGAGCCAAGATCCTGAGGTGAGGCCGCCAGCCCTACCCGCACTGGGTCAGGAAGGAGCCTTCGGGATGTCACTGCTGTGCCTGCCCACGTGCAGCGGCGTCCCAGGGAGGGGAACCCCGGTAGCTCCTGTAGGGAATCCACTCTGAGAGCTTGCGGGGGCCAGGCTTAGTGACGGTGGCCACCCGGCCTCCTGGGCTCAAGTCCCCTTGGACAGCATGGGCAGTTTCCCAGCACCTGAATTTAGGCAGAAGGAATTTTCCATGGAAATGTCTGTAGCTCTGGAAGCAGCAGTACCTTGAGCCCCGCTCCCCGGCCCCGTCTCCCCTGACTCCGTCCCCCTGCAGGATCGTGCTCATCTGTGCCAAGCGGTCCCTGTGCGCGGCCTTCTCGGTCCTGCCCTATGGGGAAGGCCTGCGGATCAGGTGAGTACTCAGCGCTTGCCTCGCATGCGGTGTCCATCTAGGCAGAAGGCAAGGCCTGGTCTCGGCCAGGCCCAGGAGGCATCAGCGGGCACTGCGCCCCCAGGTGCGGCTGCCCCCGGGCTCATGCGAGGCTCAGCATGTCAACCTCCAGCAAAGCTCCTCAGGAACCCGGGGCCGTTTCGGGTCCTCACTCTCCAGAGGAGCCGGTTTCTGTTCACGCTGTCGATGTACAGGTGGCTGGGCTGTCCCACCTCCTGTGGACAGAGCCACTTGGTGCTGTGACCATCCAGGCAGTCGTATCCGTGCGTAATTCAGGGAAGGAGGAAACAGCTATGGGGTGGGGATTATGTGTGGCCCTGGCTTAAAAACAGTGGTGGAGAAACCTGACCAGGCGTGGGCACATGTACCTAGTGGGCTAGTGAAGGTGGGCGCCACCCCGGGGGCTCTACCAGCCAGTGTCTGTACTGGGGAAGCGGGGCTCAAAAACCCCTCCTTCCATGAAAGCACTCCTGACGTGCGCCTTCCTGGTCACACCAGTGCCGCCTTTCTTTCCCGAGGGGCTGTGCTGACATTGTTCCCGAGAGCACCTCGGGCCAGCGGACAGGTGGGCTGGGCTGCCAGAGCCTGAGTTCAGCGCAGACCACAGCCCCTTGCCTCTCCCATGTTTGCAGTGACCTGAGGGTGGACAGCCAGAAGCAGAGGCACCCGTCCGGCGGCGTCTCTGTGTCTTCCGAGATGGTCTTTGAGCTAGAAGGTGTGGAGCTAGGAGCAGACGGGAAGGTAAGAGCCTCTTCGCTGGTGGACACCCAGCGCCGTCAGGGCCAGGCAGGCGGGTGGGAGCAGTCCCACGTCAGTGCCCACGAGGCACACGTGAAGCTGTGCTTCACTCCACGTAAAACGCAAGGGTGGAGTGGATGCGGGCCCGTGCAGCCCTGAGAACGTGGCCCTGGAGCCCGTCGGACTCCCCCGCCTGGCCGTGCCTGAGGTCTGCGCCACTGCCCCACAGCCAGGTGCTCCTGGACACCCCCCTGCTGCAGGGTGGGGCTCGCCAACCCTCTGGCCTCTGTGCTGGTGGTCAGCAGTCTTCAGAGGCAGGGAGAACGTTACAGGCTACAGAACCCAGATAAAGCACAGTAGTGTTCCGGAATGTTCTAGCTATGTGAGGAGCAGCGTCTAGCTCAGACGCAGCCTCAACGGCTTGATCTGAGTTGTTCCCTTCATTTTCCATGCAGGGCTCCTGGCATGTGCGTCTGGGCTTCCTGCAGCGGGAGCTCACTTTGCCCTCTGGTCCCGGGAGGCAGAGCTGAGGCCAGATGCATTTGCTTTTCCAGGTCGTGTCTTATGCGAAGTTCCTGTATCCCACCAACGCCCTGGTCACACACAAGAGTGACAGCCATGGCCTGCTGCCCACACCTCGGCCCAGTGTCCCCCGGACTCTGCCAGGGTCAAGACATAAACCTGCCCCCACCAAGTCGGCACCAGCCAGCACAGAACTAGGTAGCCCACGTGCCTTAACCACGGCCTGGAACAGGGTGACCCGCGTGCCTTAACCACGGCCCAGGGACTGCAGCAGCATCAGCAAGCCCCTTTCAATCTGTAGCCCTCCGTGCAGATGGAGCCTGGGGAACAGGGTCAGGAGAGGAACAGCTCCACACTGAATCGCTATCCCTGGGCTTGGCCTGAGCCAGGCAGTGGGGAGGAGCTGCATCCACCCACAGATGACTCCAGGGAGGGCCCCTCCTCTCAGGACATCCTTTTCTTGCCCTAAGCCCTGGGCCCTTCAGGAGAGAACCATGGCCTAGAGCCCCTCCCCTGCTCGGCCTTGCCCCGCCATGGCGCTGGCCTGCCAGGCCTTGGGGCTAGATGGGTACTGCTCAAGACTCCTGGTGGGTCAGGGGTTGCCTCTCTTACAGGGAGTGACGTGGGGGACACCCTGGAGTACAACCCCAACCTCCTGGATGACCCGCAGTGGCCCTGCGGCAAGCACAAACGTGTCCTCATCTTTGCGTCGTACATGGTGAGTGCCCTCTCCCAGGGCCTGGGTGCAGGCAGCTGCACACCTGTCCTGGCTCGGGGCGTGTGGGGCAGGCTGTGGGCAAAGCTGCCCCAGGGGCGTGACGTGCCCCCATCCCGGATCGCAGCAGCACAGACAGTGGCGGTGTGCAGGGCAGGCCAGGGAGCAGTGCTGGCCACTCCAGCTGGGGTCCACCCTTGCCCTTCCGCCCTCGGCACCTGGCAACCTGGCTCTCCCCACACCAAGCAGGCATGGGCTCTGGAGTTCTCTCTCTTGAGCCATTTTGTTCTCAGAGATTCGGGGCCTCTCAAGCCACACCGTATGCATGTTTGCAAACCCAGGACAGTGAGAAATCCATCGTACCCAGCAGGCAGGACCCATGGACTGTGCGAGGGGCCGGCCCAACCCTGCCCACTCTCTGTTGCAGACCACAGTGATAGAATACGTGAAGCCCTCAGACCTCAAAAAGGACATGAACGAGACCTTCAGGGAGAAGTTCCCCCATGTCAAACTGACGCTGAGCAAAATCAGGAGGTGAGGACACCCTCTCAGACCATCTCATCGTCCTGGGAGGCCCTGCCAGCCTCTCCTCTCCAGTTTCTGGTAGATTCTCTCCAGCTTGACAAGTCTAGCCGCTGCCCATCCCCAACCCCCTCTCGCCATCCGACCAGGCCCCCAGCAGCAGCTCCCCCACCTCCACCGCCCGCCAAGCCAGGCCCCCCGTGGCCCCATCACACTGCATCCCCCCACACACCACTGGGTCTCTCACAGCCAGACCCTCGCAGCAGCCCAGGATCTTTTTAAAACTTGAGTGGGACAAGGCCTCTGTTGTGCCCGGCCCCTCCCAGTGTGTGCTATTTTGTGAGTAGATTCCGTGGCCCTTCCCCTGGCCCACAAAGCGCCCCCATCCAGGCATGCTGGGTGCTCGCCAAGGCCGTCCAGGTGTGCCTCTGCTCTCACATTGTGCCACGCTGATGACCCATGACCGGAGGAAAGCGAGCAGAAGGCGGCGGAACTGCTGGGCTCACGTCGGGCTCCTGGCCACGGCCCTGTACTGGGGGCCTGCCCTGCCGGCCTCTGCCCCAGTGTTCCAGAGGGCAGCTCACTCAATACCCTGGCACCTCCCTTCAAGGCTCTTCCTAAAACCACCCCTCATCAGAGACCACTGCCCCCCACCGAGAGCAGAGCCTGTCCTCTGTGGCTCCACCCACCAGGCACAGGTGGGAGCTGCCATGGGTGCCCACCCACGGGACGGGGGAAGCCAAAACCCAGCCTGCCGGTCCCTGCCCATGCGCCCTGCCCTGGGCGTTATACATGGTACGGCGGAGGGTACCATCCCCTGAAGGATGCGGTGGTGTTTCTTGCGGCCCAAAGCTACATCGCTCCAGCCTCGGTTGGTGGTGGCAGGGGGCTGCCTCCTCAGCCCCAGCCAGAGCCCCCAGGGACATGGCTTCTGTCTTAACCCACAGCTTAAAGCGGGAGATGCGGAGCCTGTCGGAGGAGTGCAGCCTGGAGCCCGTGACGGTGGCCATGGCCTACGTGTACTTTGAGAAGCTGGTCCTGCAGGGCAAGCTCAGCAAACAGAACCGCAAGCTGTGCGCTGGCGCCTGCGTGCTGCTGGCTGCCAAGATCAGCAGTGACCTGCGCAAGAGCGGCGTGACGCAGCTCATCGATGTGAGTGCCCGGCTCGGCAGGCACTGCAGGCAGGGTCATGACATCGAGCCAGGGCCACTGCTGGGATGGGGCTGGCCGGGTGGGAAATGTGGAAGAGGGAAGGCTCCCGTGTAACCCTTCTCTCTTCTCCCCTGCAGAAGTTAGAAGAAAGGTTTCGATTCAACAGGCGCGACCTGATAGGGTTTGAGTTCACAGTGCTCGTGGCCTTGGAGCTGGCCCTGTATCTTCCCGAGAACCAAGTGTTACCTCATTACAGGCGCCTCACCCAGCAGTTCTAGCAGAGGCCCCACAGAAGGCTCAGGGCACCGAGGTGCACTTGCCGGCCTGGGAGGTGTCCCACTGAAGCCCCGCGCCTCCTCCTGCCAGCACCCCCAGCACCTGCTAGCAGGAGGCACCTGGCCTCCGCTGGTGCAGCTTTCCTTTTTGCCTCTTTGCCATTTCCTTGGAAAGAGACGTCGCTTTCATCCCCAAGTGCACCGTCCCTCCGAGGGGATTTCTGAGAATTCTCCTGCATTTTTACATAAACTAAATGTGAGGTTTGTTACTGGTATTTTTTTCACGTGCCTGAGACCAGCCTGGTACCAGGACCTTTTGTTCACAGCGTGCAGCAGCGAGCCGGCTGCAGTGTGTCTCCCCTGGCCTCGCCTTCTGCAAACCACCGCAGCCACCACAGCGTCAGGGTGGAGATCTGGGTTTCTAGACCTCACTGAACACACTGGAATGGCTGAGTTTAACTTATTTAGGCATTCATCTTGGAGATGTGGTTTTTCGGGTTCCCCAGCAGCATCTCCCGACACCAACTGTGCCGCTGGCTCCCTGCCACCTGAAGCCGAGCTCCTCCAGAGCTTTCTCCGCCCACCTCACTGCATCCCAAGTGGAGCTTTTGGTGTCCAGTTAGGCCAGCGGGAGCAGTCTCCTGATTTATTTTGATCTCATTCTTGGACTCTTGGACCTCTCTGTTCTTCAAGCATCGTGTCACTGTGAAATCCTAACGCCCCTGTGTCCTACAGACCGACGGCACAACAGACAGCTGCCCATCCCATGCCATGCTCTACCCTCTGCCTCTCACCAGGAGACACTCTGGGCCTCCAGGACAATTGCTGCTTGCCGGCTCTTATTTTTCTAAGCAATATTGTGATGGAGAAAAATAACATATTTATTGGGATTTGGTTTTTTGGGTCTTTTTTTTTTAAGGGAACAAAAAATGGTTAAATGAGGTCTGCTGAAGTTGACTTGAAAACACACTTGACCCTCAGGCAGGAGGGCACTGACCACACCCCACACAACCTCAAAGGGTCAGTGCGTCAGTGCCTTTTCTTCTGAGGCAGGAAACAGGTGCCATCTTGGCCACCTCGGCCAGGGCAGCCCACCATGCTAAAAGGACCCCAAATGGTGGTCGTTGTCCCTTCTGTGCAGGCCAGCAGGGCCCCATCTCTAGTTTTTCCACGTCTGTCTGAAGTTCTTGCAACAAATTCTGCATGGTCCAGCGCTCCAGCTAGCTGCCTCATCAAAAACACTGAATAACCAAGGACTGCTGAGTTTTTCTTCATGGGGGGTCAGCTGGTCTCAAAACTGGCCACTGCCTCAGCCACCAAGCTTTTTCCTACCACTACCTTATAAACCTGCCTGGCCCTGGAGGGGCTCTGGGACGACTTTGTCTCTAGCCCATTAATACAATACATCCTATGCTTTCTGTGCAGACTGGTGCTTCCGCAGAAAGGAGATGCCAATTCTGCTATCACAGAACTCCACCAGCAACTCCACCCGACCCCAGCAGTGGTGCAGGACAGCTGCCAGCACCCACCTGGCCCTCCTCCTTTTCCACAGCCACTCACTGGGGCCACCAAAACCCAGAGATGGCAGGTGTGTGGGACAGACTGGAGGATGAGGACAAACCAAAGCCTTTGTTCTTTCTTATTGTGGAGCGTCCCCTTCCATCAAGCAGCCTGCCCTCAAGCCAAGGATCATCCCCTGGAACCCAGTATGCACCCAGAGGGGACTCAGCTTCAAAGCTGCTCCACCATGCTGGGTCCCAGGCAGCTTTCCTCTGAAAAGCAACCTCTCCTGCCACCCAGATCCCATCTCAAGAGCTCGCCCATGTTACGAGCATGTAAAGGACTGACTTCCTAGTAACTGTTGCAGTTTACAACCTGCCCTCCAGGGACACGTCTCCATGGTTTTTCCTACACATGAATGCGAGAAATGGCTGATAAGCACAGTAATTTAAGATTGCGTATTCATGTAGTGAGATTTAGTCATTAACCAACCCGGTCTTTGTGATGTGTGAAGCCTTCCCTTCAGTTATGTCCCATTTTTATGATGCCAAAAGCTGCCACTGTGTGGTATTCGAGGATTATTGCAACAAAGCCAGTAGTTAAACCAAACTACAGTCTCAGCCTGTCATTCTCTAGAACACATCCAGGTGTCGGAGCTAAGGTGTTCAGCTCGGCTGTGACTATACAGAACCAGGCCTGGCGTTGCTTCCGCACCGGTAGCAGTTGTGGATGTCAGTGTGCATAAGCAAGTATCAGACCTCAGAATGTTTGAGTTATTTTGTCTTAGATATCTGTTTTTAAATGGATAATGTATTTGTCCTTTAAACCTCAGTTTTGCAATATGTTTCACAGCTTGTCTCCTTTCAACTAACTGGGTACCCTACCCCACCCGTCACCCACTGACAGCAAAACCTCAACCCTGGGCCTACAGACACAGAATGAACCTGCACAGGTAGGTTTTCATTATTTATTTATGACAAATATTCCACATCTGTGATTCTCTCCAGTCAAAAGTTCCTAGAACCAGGGGAAAAGGACAACGTTAAGACCACGCCTCTGGAGCAGTCCTAGTCCACTCACTCTGCCCAAATGTGAGCCCCCAACCTTACTTTGAGACGATGCCATCGGCCTTGGCCAATCGGAGAATGGAATCATCTGACTCACCCTTAAGAAAAAAAAAAAAGCACACTAAGAATATTTCCACTCCGGCTGCCTGAGATGGCAGAAGGTCAGCTGTGCCACCAGCCCACGTCTCTCCCCCGCTGAGCGAATGGAGACAGGCGCAGAAGGGGAGCCACCTCTCCCGGGGCAGCCTGCAGCCTGACTATGGTGGAGCGGGGTCGGGGGGGCACCTCCTAGTGAGAGGCAGAGTCTGCTGCCTGAGTGTCTTCTCAGAGCACCCCTCTTCCACCCTCAAGAAGCGGCAGGCGGCCAGCCCAGTCCAGCTGGCTCAAACTACTCTGCCAGCAGATCTACTCAGGCACCATCACACACTCCAATGCGCACGGTAAAGTCCACGATGTCCCGAAGTGATGAGCAAAGCCCAGGGAAACACTCACCATCCTACGAATGGCCCCGCAGATAGCATAAGTTTTAAACTGGCCATTAAACCTGCCTGTGACCTTGTCAACCTAGAAAGAGAAGAAGGGTCACAAACCACTCCCCCAGGTTTGGGAAACACCAATCCTCAAAGCCAGCCTCTGCCTGTACCTTCACCCCAGGGGCTCCTCCACAATGGGACAGCCTGCCTTTCCCGCACATATATCACAACCTTCCCGCCTCCCGGGCTCCCAGCTCACCTCGGCCACGTTCATCTGGATGGATGCGTGGTCCTTGGCACCGATGATGCGATTGCTAGCGGAGCTGTGGAGAAAGGGCGCAGTGAGCAGAGGGGACTTGGGCGGTAAGAATGAAAGAGGGGACGAGGGAGGTTGGGGGTATATGAATGGAAAAGAGTAACGTCGGGGGCAGGACAAGTTAGGGACGTGACGAGGTAAGGACGGGAGGGGTGTGGGGGAACAAGGGCAGGCGAGGGGACGTGGTGGTTAGGTAAGGACGGAAGAGAGGCATGTGGGGGGCGCTTACCATTTCCGCGGCACGTACAGGTCCACGAACTCGCCGGCGTCGTTCTGCATTTCGAGGCTGGGCTGCGCCTGGGGAGTCACCGCGCGGCGCCGTGAGTACGGCCGGAACCGTGCCCCGGCTCCCGGCGCAAACCGGCCCCTAGGGTCACGGCCCCAGCCGCACCCAGCACCCCGCACCCCGTCCCCCGCGTCCAAGCCCCCACTCCCGCCCCAGCCCCAGCCCTGAGCCCGAAGCCCGCGCCGCGCGCCACACCTGCTGCCACCACACCGCGCGCGAGAGAGAAAGGAAGCAGCTAGTCACCCGGCAGAGATATCGGCGGGCAAGGAGGGGCCTCGGCGAGCGCTTCCGGGTCACGCCACCACAGCGAGTCTGCGCGGTGCGTGCTTGCCGGCCGTCGCCGTGACGCACTTCCGCTTCCGGCAAGGAGGTTCTCGGACCCCAGCCTGCTGGCCCTGGGGCGCGGGGCGTCGTGGGGGTCGTTGTCGTTGAGGGTCGTTGCCGTGTGTGGCGTCTTAGCCTGGCCCCTGGGTTGTGCCCCACGGACGCAGTCGACCCCTCTGAGCGCCTCGGGAGCCCCGAATAGCAGCTGGGAGAAGGGGCGAGGACTGAGCCTCGCTGCCCGCTGCCGGCCGGGCTAGAGATACGGGCGTGCCCCCCATTGTGCGCCTCCCGCCCTCCGGTCCCCTCACCCTGCGGCCACCTGGGGCGTGGGGCGGTGCTCCTGCCCGTGCACGTAGCCGCTGCGAGCGGAGGCCTGCTCACCTGGTGCCTGCTACTCACTCCCCCGGGCCGGTGGGCGAAGGACACCCGCAGGAACTCGGCAGAGGAGAAATTCAGACGGCTCCCGAGGGTAGGAAAAGACCCCGGCCCACCGTGGAATCTGAAACACCCGACCACTCTGCCATCCCATGTTTCACCAGTCAGACCCCCAGGGCAGGGCAGGGGAAGCAGAATGCAAACTGGGGCACCGTTTCCCTGAAGCGTGTTGGCCGCGTTTGTCGTAGTGCTAGAGGTGCATACCCTTGGACCCCGAAAACCCATTCCTGGGAATTTGCTCCAAGGAAGTAAAGATGTTACAAAGATGGACCCACGAAGTATGGTCGTTGGTTATGGGTGGGGTCTTGAGGAAGGCCTTGTTAGTAGCCTGAACCCTGTTGCCAGGAGAAGCTCCAAACCGGTAGACGGAGGGAGCAGCGCGGCCTATGTTGGGGTCTTCTCTGGGCGGGGGACATGATCCTAGGATGTAGAACTAGCCTCAGAAAACTTAAGACTCAGTGGCCAGGTGCGGTGGCTCAGGCCTGTAATCCCAGCGCTTTGGGCGGAGGTGGGTGGATCACCTGAGGTCAGGAGTTCGAGACCCGTCTGGCCAACATGGTGAAACCCCATCTCTACTAAAAATACAAAAAATTAGCTGGGCGTGGTGGCAGGCGCCTGTAGTCCCAGCTACTCGGAAGGCTGAGGCAGGAGAATGGCGTGAACCCGGGAGGCGGAGCTTGTAGTGAGCTGAGATCCCGCCACTGCACTCCAGCCTGGGCGACAGAGCAAGACTGCGTCTCAAAAAAAAAAAGTTTTTTTATGTTTAATTTTTTGGGTACATAGTGGGTGTGTACATTTATGGGGCACATGAGATATTTTCATACCGGCATGCAGTGCGTAGTAATCACATGGGGTATATGGAGCATCCATCACCTCAAGCATTTATCCTTTGCGTTACAAATAATCCAATACTATACTCTTTTAGTCATTTTAAAATGTGCAATTAAATCATTATTGACTGTAGACACCCTGTTGTGCTATCAAACACTAGGTCTTATTCTTTCTGTCTTTTTATACCCATTAACCATCCCCATTTGCCCCCCTCCTCCCACTGTTCTACCCTTCCCAGCCTCTGGTAACCATCTTTCTACTGTCTGTCTCCACAAATTCAATTGTTTTAATTTTTAGCTCCCACAAATAATAGTGCTGTGATAAACATCGTAGCACATGTATCTCTTCCTTTCTTTCTTTTTTTTTTGAGACAAAGTCTCGCTCTGTCACCCAGGCTGGAGTGCAGTGGTGCGATCTCGGCTCACTGCAACTTCTGCCCCCAGAGTTCAAGTGATTCTCCTGCCTCAGCCTCCTCAGTAGCTGGGACTACAGGCATGAGCCACCACACCCGGCCAGGTATCTCTTTCATATACTGATTTCCTTTCTTTTGGGTATATGCCCAGCAGTGGGATTGCTTTATTTATGGCAGCTCTATTCTTAGTTTTTGTTTGTTTGTTTGTTTGTTTGTTTGTTTGTTTGAGACGGAGTCTTGCTCTGTCTCCCAGGCTGGAGTGCAGTGGTGCGGTCTTGGCTCACTGCAACCTCCACCTCCCAGGTTCAAGCGATTCTCCTGCCTCAGCCTCCAGAGTAGCTGGGATTACAGGGGTCTGCTACCACGCCTGGCTAATTTTTGTATTTTTAGTAGAGATGGGGTTTCACCATGTTGGCCAGGCTGGTCTTTAACTCCTGACCTCGTGATCTGCCCGCCTTGGCCTCCCAAAGTGCTGGGATTACAGGCGTGAGCCACTACACCTGGCCTACCAAACATTTTTTAAAGAACTAATACCAATCCTACTGAAACTATTCCAAAAAATAGAGGAGGAGGGAATGCTTCCAATCATTTTATGAGGCCGGTATTATCCTGATACCCAAATCAGACAAAGACACATCAAAAAAAGCAGATTAGAGGCCAGGAGTGATGGCTCATGCCTGTAACCCTAGCACTGTGGGAGGCTGAGGCAGGCAATTGCTTGACCTCAGGAGTCTGAGGCCAGCCAGCCTGGGCAACATGGTGAAACCCCTCTACAAAAAAATTTAAAAATTGGCCGGATGTAGTGGTGTGTGTCTGTAGTCTCAGATGCTCAGGAGGCCGAGGTGGGAGGATCAGTTGAGCCAGGAGGTGGAGGCTACAATGAGCCATGATCATGCCACAGAACTCCAGCCTGGGTGACAGGAGACCCAGAAAAAAAAAGAGAGAGAAAGGAAGGAAAGAAAGAAAGCCACAGACTGGCAGAAAATATTTTCAAAACCTGTATCTGATAAAAGACCTGTATCCAGGCTGGGTGCAGTGGCTCACTCCTGTAATCCCAGCACTTTGGGAAGCCAAGGCGGGTGGGTCACCTGAGGTCAGGAGTTGGAGACCAACCTGGCCAACATGGCAAAACCCTGTCTGTACTAAAAATACAAAAATTAGCTGGGCCTGATGGTGCACGCCTGTAATCCCAGCTACTGGAGAGGCTGAGGCAGGAGAATCACTTGAACCCGTTGGGCAGAGGTTGCAGTGAGCCGAGATCTCGCCACTGCACTCTAGCCCGGGCGACAGAGCGAGACTCCGTCTCAAAAAAAAAAAAAAAAAGGAAAGAAAACATATGTCCATTCGGAGACTGGTACTGAAATGTTCATCGAGGCTTTATGTGTCATAGCCAAAAATGGAAACAATCCACACATACACCAACAGGCAGATGGATAAATAATGGTACGTCCCCCTCGAAAGACAGCATACTGTGTGATTTTATTTGTATAAACTCTAGAAAATGCAAACCAATCAAAACTGACAGGAATCATGTTGGTGGTTGCCTGGGGTGGGGTGGTGAGCAAGTGGGATTACAGACGCACACAGGAAACGCAGGGAGTGATGGGAGGTATATGCTGTCTTGATGATGGGATTACAGACACACACAGGAAACGCGGGGAGTGATGGGAGGTATATGCTGTCTTGATGATGGCAATGGTTTCACAGTTGCATATAAAAGTCAAAACATTGGCCAGGTGCGGTGGCTCATGCCTGTAATCCCAGCACTTTGGGAGGCCAAGGCAGGTGGATCACAAGGTCAGGAGATCGAGATCATCCTGGCTAACATGGTGAAACCCCGTCTCTACTAAAAATACAAAAAATTAGCCGGGCATGGTGGCGGGCTCCTGTAGTCCCAGCTACTCAGGAGGCTGAGGCAGGAGAATGGCGTGAACCTGGGAGGCGGAGGTTTGCAGTGAGCTCAGATCACGCCACTGCACTCCAGCCTGGGCGACAGAGCAAGACTCTGTCTTAAAAAAAAAAGTCAAAACGTCAAATTGTATCCTTTAAAAAGTGGATTTTATTTTGCATCAATTATAGCTCAAAAATTTTACAGAGACTATAGGTGCTATTTGGCAAGACTCTAGGACGCACTCACTCACACAAAGCTTGAAGTCCGCTCTCTGGGCGCCGGGTCTCCAAGGCTGAGTTCTTCAAGGGAAACCTCTGCAACCTAAATCTCCTGAGCCCACGAAATCTGGATGAGCACTTCTTTAAGAAAACCTTCTGTACAAAATCGCAGACCCCCAAAACAGAGAGGGGAGTGTCCTCCCGAGGGAAGCCGTCTGGGTCGCTCCATCAGGAGAGCCTCCAGGGGCCTGCAGAGGAGGTGGCACTGCTTACCTGTCAGGAGGCTTGGGGCCACCAGCACTGTCCCCAGAAGCCACTAGGTGGTGTCTGAGAGCAGTGCTGGAGCAGGGACGGGGCTGGCTGAAGGGAGCTGAGCCCCTCCCCTCCATCCCTCCACCCGCTGTCTGTACAGTAAGTTGTTTACTGGGCCTCCAGTGGGTCTCGTGGGAAAGGGCCAGAGGGCAGGTGTGAAGGAGGGATTGAGGAGGCAGGAGGACCTAGCACTCGAAGACACCGTCGGCCTGAGCCTTTTTTGCAGAATCCTAGAGCAGCCCCCAGCGGCTCAGAGCAGTTGCTGCCTTTGCAGGGTGATCCCAGTCAGGGTCTCTGAGTGCCCCTGCATCCACCTGAGAGCACACTCACACCTGCTTCTGCCCCGCAATTGCTATATATAACTTTGACTGCCAGTGTCACCCCAGGTTTGTGCCTCTTTAGCAGTGTGACCTGGCACAAATTCCTTAGCTGCTTCTCCCTCTAGCTGTAAAGTAAAGCGACTGTCATGGAGCCACCCAGCCGTGCTGCAGTTGGCTGCTTTCAACAAACCAATGCCTGTCCAGTGCTCAGAAAAAGGTGTGGCACCCAGCATACTAACACTCACCATCATCACCATCATCATTGCTACTACCATCATTGTCACCATCACCACCATCGCCATCACTATCACTATCATCACCACCACCATCATCACCATCACCACTATCATCACCACCATCATCATCACTATCATTATTGTCATGATTGTCTATCACCATCATCACTGTCAGTATCATCGTCACCACCATTGTCATCACCATCATCATCATCTTCACCATCATCTTCACTATCACCGTCATATCCACCATCATCGTCACCATCACAACCACCATCACCACCAACACACTGTCACCATCATCACCATCATCACCATTATCAACATTGTCATTGTCACCATCATCATCATAACCACCATCGTCACCACCATCATTGTCATCGTTATTATGCCCAAGATCACAAGACTAGGTCTGGATTTGGGGCTGTTGACTCAGGAGGCCACACTATAGCCACCCCAATCTCACACGGGCCCCTATTCAGGATGCCTGGGCAGGTATCTGTGCACAACAGCCCTGGCTCTGCTCTCCAGCCCCTCCTTCAGGCTCACCTCACAGGCAGGTAAACATGTTCTCAGACATGCTGTGGTGCGGGCTGGGAGAAGAGCCTCCCTCCTCCTTCCCAGAGCAGCTGTTTCTGGGCCAAGCAGGGCCCAGGCCAGCCCCAAATGCATTGTGTGTAGAAGGGAACAAGCCCAGAACAAGGAAATCCTCCTTCCAGGCCAGGGAGGTGGGTGTCCGG
The DNA here is from genome assembly GCF_000001405.40 of Homo sapiens. Classification (NCBI taxonomy): domain Eukaryota; kingdom Metazoa; phylum Chordata; class Mammalia; order Primates; family Hominidae; genus Homo; species Homo sapiens. Next base: position 62,381,612 of record NC_000020.11, on the reverse strand, counting down.
GTGAGTGGCAGGTCAGGGCCGTGGGATGGGCCTTCTCCTGCAGCGAGCCCGACACTGAGCTACAGCCACCAGCCCCCACTCCTGCCCCAGATAGAACCCGCTCTTGGGTGAAGGCTACGATAGCCAGCCTCAGAGTGGGACTTATGGGGTGTGGGGAGAACACGGACCTGGCCATGAGCTGTCAGGGGATTCCTGGGGCACTGCCTCCTAAGCCATGACTCGACATCCTCTCGTCTTGGAGAGACAGAGGCAGTAACAGCCCCGCCCCAGGTTTGCAGAGGCTTAAGTGAGGTCACCAACGTGAGGGGGAGGCCCAGCTGCCCGGGAGCCCTGGAGACTGTCACGGCATTTGTCACAGGGACCCTGGGAGTGTTGGGCCAGCGCATCTTTCCATTTCGTGCCATTCAGTTTTACTTTAACTCACTTTACTATTTTGTTTTTTGAATTTATTTTACTTGATGAGACTTTAGAATTTTTACATTGAGGGAGAACCTACCTATGAGAAAGTGCCCAGATCCTGAAGGTCCCACCCCTGTGGTCACGGCAGGCACTGGGTCAGAGCCTGGGGGTCCAGGGTACCTTCCCCACCCCCCTCCCCAGAGGCTCCTCATGCCCCTTTCCAGGACATGGTGAAGACAGGCAGAGGGGCTGGGCTGGCCGGGCCTGGGCACTGGGTACTGGGTCCCACCGTGAGTCTCCCTGGAGTACAGGCTGACCCAGCAGGGAGACCCGGAGAAGTCCTCTCCCCACACCTCCTGGGGGCTGGCTGAAATCTGAGCCAAATGACAGGAAAAGAGGCACTTCCATCCCAGTGGACACACCAAGGGCTCCCACGCTGGCCAGGCGCCAGGCCAGCTCAGCCAAACTGGTTCAAAGAAAGGAAGCTGAAGGGGAGACCAGAAGCAAGGCCCACTCTGCCTCCAGGACCAGGCCCACCTGGGGCAGAGACTGGGGTCTGTCCCCACCCGGGACCTGTGGGCCTGTATCCTGACCTGGGCCCAAGCTGACCTCTGACCCCAGCATAGACGGATCCCCAGTCTCGGCTCCAGGCCAACTTCTTTTTTTTTTGAGACAGAGTCTCGCTCTGTCCCCCAGGCTGGAGTGCAGTGGCACGATCTCAGCTCACTGCAAGCTCCGCCTCCCTGGTTCACGTCATTCTCCTGCCTCAGCCTCCCAAGTACCTGGGACTACAGGTGCCCGCCACCACGCCCAGCTAATTTTTTGTATTTTTAGTAGTGACAGAGTTTCACCATGTTAGCCAGGATGGTCTCGATCTCCTGACCTCGTGATCCGCCCGCCTCGGCCTCCCAAAGTGCCAGGATCACAGGCATGAGCCACCACGCATAAGCCACCACACCCGGCTTTTTTTTTTTTAAGACGAAGTCTCGCTCTGTCCCCCAGGCTGGAGTGCAGTGGCGTGATCTCGGCTCACTGCAAGCTCCACCTCCCTGGTTCACATCATTCTCCTGTCTCAGCCTCTCGAGTAGCTGGGACTACAGGCACCCGCCACCATGCCTAGCCAATTTTTTTTTTTTTTTTTTTTTAGCTGGAGTTTTGCTCTTGTTGCCCAGGCTGGAGAGCAATGGCGCGATCTTGGCTCACCGCAACCTCCGCCTCCCGGGTTCAAGCGATTCTTCTGCCTCAGCCTCCCTAGTAGCTGGGATTACAGGCATGTGCCACCACGCCTGGCTAATTTTGTATTTTTTTTTTTTTTAGTAGAGATGGGGTTTCTCCATGTTGGTCAGGCTGGTCTCGAACTCCCGACCTCAGGTGGTCCGCCCACCTCGGCCTCCCAAAGTGCTGGGATTACAGGCGTGAGCCACCGCACCCGGCCTCCAGGCCAACTTCTGACCCCAGGCCCCAGCATTCCGGAGCCAGGGCAGCACCGTAATTAAGGCAGAGACCTGGGAATCAGGCCTGTTTCTGGTGCCACCTCCACACACACCCGGCCCTTCTCCTCCCTGAGCCTCAGTTTTCCCATTTGGAGGCAGGACCGTTCCTCCTTCACCGTGGGTGGAGGGGAGGATCCACAGGGAAAGGGACTGCCAGGGACACCGTGAGGGGTGCACTATGCAAAGGCAGTGTCGCGTCCACACGGGGTGCACCTGCAGACACAGAGAAAAACTAACTTTTACTTTTGCTGCTGTTTTCCTACTGAAAATGGGCCACCTCTGGCTGGGCGCGGTAGCTCACGCCTGTCATCCCAGCACTTTGGGAGGCCAACGGGGGCAGATCATGAGGTCAGGAGATCGAGACCATCCTGGCTAACACGGTGAAACCCCGTCTCTACTAAAAATACAAAAAATTAGCCGGGCGCGGTGGCTCACGCCTGTAGTCCCAGCACTTTGGGAGGCTGACGGGGGCGGATCACGAGGTCAGGAGATCAAGAGCATCCTGGCTAACATTGTGAAACCCCGTCTCTACTAAAAATACAAAAAATTAGCCGGGCGTGGTGGTGAGCGCCTGTAGTCCCAGCTACTCGGGAGGCTGAGGCAGGAGAATGGTGGGAACCCAGGAGGCGGAGCTTGCAGTGAGTGGAGATCGCACCACTGCACTCCAGCCTGGGCGACAGAGTGAGACTCGTCTCAAAAAAAAAAAAAGAAAAGAAAAGAAAAAGAAAATTAGCCACCTCTGTCTGCCTATGTGTCCAGGAAGGGGCCTGGGACTGGCTCTCGGGGCCTAGCTCCTCCTGCCCTCTGGGAAATGTGCAGAATGTCTAAGCCAGCAAGCAGGCATGGGAAGGGAGTGGCCGGCCGGATGCAGGGCTCCATGGAACAAGTTCCCCAGTGCCAGGGCAGGACAGCAGGGCCTGGAGAGCCATCATCAGCAGGCTCCATCCTTCCACCTGTGAACTGTGACCTGAGAGGAGCCACCTCCTGGGAGGCCCACGAGGGGTCCTGACCAGCAGCCTGGCACCTGCTGGGGCCACGCAGAGACCCCATGGCAGCCTGCGGGAAGGGCAGTTATCATCCCATTGACAGAGCAGTGACTGAGGCCAAGCGGGACGGAGTCGCTTCCCTGGAGTCATGGAGGATTCGAGGGCCCGGCATGCCCAGTGGGAATGGCGGGATTTCGGGCACGGCACGTCCAGAGGCAACGGTGTGAGGCCCCCTCATTTCTGGAGCCCTGCTGGCGCCCAGCCGGGAGCCTGGGATGGGCCCCAGAGGAAGGCGGCTGGGACTCCTGCTCCACCCCCACCTCCCCGAGCCCATCCCAGCTGCTTCTGAGAGCGTCGGGCTGGACGTGCCCGCACGGCAGAAACAGGCCCAGAGACGAGGCTGTGTTTTGCTTGAAAGCCTCTGCGGAGTGATGGAATCCACATTCCTGCCCCAGGTGAGTCGCCCAGGCTTGTCTTGCTCAGCCTGGCTCTCCCAGCTCCTCAGGGTTCCCAGCCACTCAAGGTTCCCAGCTCTGTGGCCCGGCTGGAGCTCCGAGGCCCTGGAAGTTCTTGTGGGACCCAACAAGCCCCTGAGGGGCAGCCAGAGGCCCTCATCTGCTGGGACTCCTGCAGGTGGCTCCGCAGGGTCACAGGTCGCCCTGGGCCCTGGGGCCACAGTGAATGGATCCTAAGGCTGCCCTGCAAAGGGACCCCAGAGAGGGGATGGGGTTGCACCCCCGGGCCGGCCACTGCGTGCCATGCAGACCTCTCAACCGGCCATGCTGGTGGGAGGCGCCCAGCAACTGGCAGGGCCCAGGAGGGTTCCTGCCAAGAACCTGGCACCCGGCCTGGGAGTCAGGCAGAGCCGCGGCCCCCACCTCCCTCCCACAGCGCCACCACCTCTCAGCGCTTCCTGGGGCCCCTGCCTCGGGGTGCTTTTGCCCACTCCCCTCAGGGGGCCTCACGGCCACCCAGCAGGGAGGCACCATTGTCCCTGCTCAGCACTTGAAGCCCTAAGACTCTCCCAGGCTCCCAGCCAGGGAGGCACTGAGCCAAGACTGGGCAAGGAATGGGCCAGGCCCACCAGCTCCCCAACCATCCGGCCAGGACACAGGGCAGCCCCTGCCTGACTGCTGTCCCCAGGAGCCTGCACCAGGAGCCAGGAACCATCTGAGCTCCAGGCCTGCATGACAAGGCTACATGAGAACCAGTATTGATTCATTTCATTCATTCACTCCACAAACACAGGTGCTCCTCGACCCTCCGTGAGGCCACGTCCTGATAAACCCGTGGTAGGTTAGAAATACCGACAGCTGAAATGCTCTAATACACTTAACCCACGGAACATCACAGCTGAGCCTTCTTGCCTTATACACACTCAGCACACTTCCATTAGCCTACAGCTGGGCGAAGTCATCCCCCACGAAGCCTCCTTTATAATAATGCATCAAATGCCTCACGTAATTTGTCCAATGCTATAAGAAGGAGAAAAACAGATTGGTTGTGTGGGCACTGGAAGTACGGTTTCTACCGAACAATTGCAAATCAGAAGCCGGGAACCGTAGAGCACAGAACACCCGTCATGTCCACCCGCCATTTCCAAGCCCCGTGCTGGGTACAGGCGCTCCTTGGTGCGTGGAACAGACAGCCCTGTGCCCAGGGAGCTCGCAGCCTAGGACGGGACAACTGGCATCCCAGGAGGGTGTAGGGCTGTGAGTCTCACCGGGGAGATTCAGCCCCGGGACATGGGGCTACTCAGAAGATATTTTTGGTTGTCACGACTGGAGGGCAAGTGCTTCTGGCCTCTTGGGAGTGGGGGCCAAGCGGCCCCACCTCAGGTCAGTGTCCAGCCAGACTGTCTGACCAGCGCCTGTTGAGGGGCTCTGAAGGGCCATGGCCCGGATGAAGGGGCTCCAGGGGCAGGGTGGCCAGGGAAGGCCTCTCTGAGCAGGGGACTTTCACAGAGTGAGCGGAATTGAGATGGCCCGGTTCCTCTGCAGGTCCCCACAGCCTGGGAAGAGGAGAATCTGAGAGCACGGCCGCCTGGGGGCAGGCCGAGGCAGGCGGATCCTGAGGGAGCAGCCGCCTGGTGCCAGGCCTGGGGAATTCCAGGAGGCAGAGGCCTCAAAAGCCCTCCTCCAGGCTCCGAGTTCCCAGCAGCCCCTGCCACATTCCTCCACCTGGGTGGGCAGGGGTGCAGGGGCTCAGTGCATTCCTGGTGGAGATAGGGAGGCCAGCCTGCGGCCTGCGCCAGCCTCCTGCGGGGCCTGGGGAGCCCTGTCCAGGCTCTGCCGAGCTCAGCATATTGGAGCTGAGCCAGTCGGCCTTTGCTGGAACACTCAGGCGGAGGTCGCCTTTCGCCTTTCTGTGTGGGGAGAAGCCACTTGCAGATAAGGCAGGGATTCACCAGCTCCGGGGGGCTGGCAGGACATGGCCACACTTCACCTGCAACCAAGCCTCCCCATCTGTAAAATACAGATAACAAGGGGGCCAGGCGGTGGCTCACACCTGTAATCCCAGCACTTTGAGAGGATGAGGCCTGTGGATCACTTGAGGTCAGGAATTCGAGACCAGCCTGGCCAACATAGTGAAACCTTGTCTCTACTAAAAATACAAAAATTAGCTGGGCGTGGTGGCGAGCACCTGTAATCCCAGCTACTCAGGAAGCTGAGGCAGGAGAATCGCTTGAACCCGAGATGCAGAGGTTACAGTGAGCCGAGATCGCGCCACTGCACTCCAGCCTGGGCGACGAGCAAAACTCCATCTCAAAAAACAAAAAAAAACAAGAGCAGGTCCCTCGCAGGAGATGGGAGCCAGCTCCGCGCCCGGCCTGATGTCGGCTGCACGGGCTGCCTGGCTCTCCTGCACAGAGGTGGGAGGGAGGCACGGGGGGGCCCAGGTCAAGAAAACACAACCCCCACATGTTCAGGGGGCTGGAGGTGGGGGCTGCGCCTCTGACCTGAAGCTGCCCAGCAAGCCCTTTGTGGAGCCAGGAGCAGGCAGTGGGCAACTGGGCCGACAGGCCCTACCCTGGCCGCCAGGAGGCTCCGTGGCAGCTGCTCTCTTGCACGCCATCCCCACTGCCACTCCCGGGTTCTGAGAGAGAGCCCCATGGGAGGCCACGCACAGACCCCTGACCTGGCTGCCGGGGGTGGTCCAGATCCCTTGCGAGAGGAAACGTGGGCCCCCAGTGGACCCCAGCACCATCTGTGGTCAGCGGGAGCCTTCCAAGTCTCCGTGTGTTTACATTCCCCCAGGAAATAGCTCCCCAGAAGAGCTGCAAATATTTTCTTAATGTTGGAACTTGTGGCAAACAGAGGCCTGGAGTGGGCCCACCCACACTTTGCCCCTCCACACATCGGGGGCCCAGTGGGATCCTGGGGTTACCTCCTCACCTGGCCCACCCCCTCCCCCTCCCCCTCCTGGCAGGGGACAGGCACATGGGGGCCCAGCTGGGGCATCTTCCTGCCGGAGCTGGGGCAGCCAGCCCAGGGGATTCAGTGGCACTGCCATCCTCCCACCTTTCAGCCTTCCTTTCGTGAAACTGGGCTGGCAATAGGTGGAGGTGGCTGAGGTGTTGCTTGGCGGTTTGAATCAATGAAGACCCTAGGGGACGGGGGTCAGGCCCTGGACCTGCCTAGTAACTCAGGCTCCTGGCAGACCGGGCTGAAGACAGAGGCAGCTGCGGGGCTGTCTCTCCCGCCCCAGGCTGAGTCAGTGTGTAGGGCTGGGTGTCCTGGGTATGTGATGGCCCTAAACACAGGCCCCCACCTCTCTGTGCATGAGCACAGGTCCAGCTGGTGTTGGCAGGCTGTGTGGGTGGCCCATAAGCACCAAGAAGTACCCTGCTTCTACTGACCTCCACCTGAAGACTCCCAGGCACCTGCCCGCCTGAACTGGCTCTGCAGGCTCACTCAGCATCCACGTGCTCCTCCCTCTCCCCCTCCACACTGGCGAGGGGCCAGTGGCCATGGCACATCCCAGGCCTCCGGTCCCTGGTCCCTGGGCAGCCCCTCCAAGAGCCTGCCTGTACAGAGTGCCGCTCCTGTCCACTGATGTCTACTGTGTGGATGGACCACGTTTCTCTCCCCAGTCGACCCTGGATGGCCGTTCGGGCTGTTTCTGCCTGATGGCTCTGGTGCCTGGCGCTGCCGTGCGTGTTTACCCACGAGTGTCTGTGCAGAGACGTGTTTACGCTTCTCTCTGCAGCTACCAGGTGTGGAGCTGCTGGGCCGTGTGCAACTGTGTTCAGTCCTTTGAGGAACCACCAGCTGGTGTCCTAGCAGCTCCCACACTGGACACCACACTGGTCCCCGCAGGATCCTGCCTGTAGTTGTTATTGTCTTATTTCCTGATTCTGTTGGTGGCTATAGAGTGAGGATCACGGTGTGGGCCTCAGGCGGGCATAAAAAGAGGCTGGAGTCTGGGCACTGGGCCCTTGCCTGCCACGCCTGGTGTGGGAGGATGTGGGTCCCGGGGCAGTGGGAAGGTGACGGGAGAGGGGCGATCGGTCATTCAGCCACCATCGTCCAGCAGCCCAGCGCTGGGCTCGGACGCAGCAGTGAGCACACGGAGCTGCCTCTGCCTTATGTGCTTTGTCTGGGGGGCTGATGTGGGTCAGGAGATCTCATCCTGGACGCCCAAGGACACGCTGCACTGTCCTCTGTGAGCCGGGGGCAGCAACATGCCTCCCGGGCAGAGGGCGCAAGGACAGAGGGCCCATCCCTGTTGTGGATGGCACTTTCAGTGTGGAAGTGCGCGGCCTGGGAGCCGTCACTCCTGGGATCCTGGTTCACTGCAGAATCTGGACCAGCTCCTGGGCAGGAACCGTGGCCCGTTGTGTCCCAGTGATGGCACCAGCCCCCAGACTAAGCCAAGCCCCACGTTCGATCCAGTCAAATAAAGTGACCGAGGCGCACACCCGCGATCCCTAGTGAACGTGACCGAGGCGCACACCCGCGATCCCTAGTGAACGTGACCGAGGCGCACACCCGCGATCCCTAGTGAACGTGACCGAGGCCCACACCCGCGATCCCTAGTGAACGTGACCGAGGCGCACACCCGCGATCCCTAGTGAACGTGACCGAGGCCCACACCCGCGATCCCTAGTGAACGTGACCGAGGCGCACACCCGCGATCCCTAGTGAACGTGACCGAGGCCCACACCCGCGATCCCTAGTGAACGTGACCGAGGCGCACACCCGCGATCCCTAGTGAACGTGACCGAGGCGCACACCCGCGATCCCTAGTGAACGTGACCGAGGCCCACACCCGCGATCCCTAGTGAACGTGACCGAGGCTCACACCTGTGATCCCTAAGACCCTTGGCTGAGCTTGGCAGGGCTAGGGCAGCAGCGGGGGGAACACAAAGAGAGCAAGAGAGACAAAGAGAGATAGAGAGACACAAAGACAGAGAGATACAGAGACAGAGAGAAACAGAGACAAAGAGACAGAGATCGAGACAGATGGAGACAAGCAGAAACGGAGAAACAGAGATAGACAAAGAGATAGAGACAGAGACAGAAATAGAGATGGAGACAAGCAGAAACGGAGAAACAGAGATAGACAAAGAGATAGAGACAGAGACAGAAATAGAGAGAGAGATGGAGACAAGCAGAAACGGAGAAACAGAGAGATAGACAAAGAGATAGAGACAGAGAAATAGAGACAGAGAGTTGAAGACAGAAACAGACAGAGAAAGAGATACAGAGATAGAGACAGAAACAGAGACAGACAGATGGAGACAGAGAGGCAGAGAGTCAGAGGGAGAGAGTCAGGAGAGGGAGGGGTGGGAGGGGGACGCTTCCCTCTGCCCCAGGGACCCTGGCTAGCCAAGGCACACACCAGGGCGCAGGCAGAGGGGATGAAGCCCCGTGGGCGTCCATGAGGCTGGAAGCGGCTGACTGTGGGGCCTGGGGAGTTGCCCTTGCAGTGCGGGAAAGCCAACCCGGATGAGGGGAGGCCTTTGTCCTGAGGAGGGGCCTTTGCAGAGCTGCAGGTGTTCCCATCCATGTGGGACCCCCAGCCAGATGTCCCAAGGTCGGTGAGGGGCCGGGCCAAGCTGCCTCCCTCTGAGGGGTTCTCAGCCCAGGAGGCTGGGTTCATGGGAGACATTTGAGGGTGGGCTCGTGGGGGCCCTGGCCTCGCCCAGGGCGCAGTCCCAGGTTCCTGCCCAGGCTCTGGCTCTGCCCACTGGGCCCTCCTGGGAAGTCAGATTCCTCCTGGGCTTCGAGGCCTTCTGGCCATATAAGGCCGTCTGTGGGCACCTCCTGGAGAAGCTCAGAACCCTCACCCCCCACCCGCCCCACCCTCTATGAGAACCAGAGCTCAGCCAGGCAAGGACAGAGGCAGGGGAGGGCCTGCTGGAGCCGTGGTCCTGTGGGGGAGGAGGGCACAGGCAGGCCAGGCCCCAGGGGTAGAGGCTCAGGGTCCCGAGTCACCCTGCCCAGCATGCTGGGGCGCCCCCATTCCGCCTGTTTCCCCTGGGGTTCCTGGCCCCTGGAGCTCACTAGGGCTCCCCAGTCTAGGCCTGAGGCAAGCAAGTGGTAAGAATGGGGGTACGGGGTAGGGGGACCGCAATTAAATAAGATTAAGGTGACACGTGGAAGCGTAGGTGCCCGGCCTCGGGGTGGACGCTGCAGCCGTGTGCCACTGCATGTTTACCCCGGGCGATGCCTTTTCTGGGGCTCCCCAGAGATCTGGGGGCAGGAGTCCTGGACTCTGCCTCACACCCCAGCAAGGTGCTGGGAGGTGCCCTGACAGGGGCCCCCACTTGAGGGAGGGGATGGGTTGGGGTCCTGGGAGCAACCTTGTTACTGGACCGGCCCCTTCCCTGCCAAGTTGTAGGTGGTTAGATCCCAGGGAGGTCCCGGGCCCCCTCCCTGGGAGTTCCCAGGGCCCCCTACTCCTTCCCTCCTAAAGGCTGGCAGGGTGGAGGCTCCCCTACACCCAGCTACACAGGCCCAGGCCGGGGCAGGGGCATCCAGGTGGGATCCTGGACTCTGGACTTTCGGTCGCCACGCAGACCACCCCACAGAGCTCCATGAGGCCCCCCCATTTCTGAGCACCCCAGGTTTGCCTGCTTGTCATGGGGCTGGGCCCGCCTGCACAGGGCACCAGCCCAAGCGCTTCTCCTTGCCACTTGGGAAGAAAAGGAGCTGGGTGGGCAAGAGGAGCCTCGGGGAGCATCTGTGGAGAGCCCAAGGAGCCCGGATGCTGACCCTCTCCAGATCTCCGACACTGGGCACCACCTAAGCCTGTCTGCACCCCCTCTGGCATGGGGGCCCACCTGAAACCCCCCAGGTGTGAACCCAGTGGCAGCCTTTGGGTCGGGCCTCGGGGAGTGGGCAGGCGTGAGGCATGTCACCTGCACGGGTGACTTGTCTCCTGGAGCCCTAAGGCGGTGGCCATGCTCCTGGCATGGTGCCTGGCCTGGAAGGCTTTGAAGAGCCCCAAGTCTGTGGAGGGCCTGCCCCGTGAGTGGTGCCTGGGGCTGCGTGGCCTGTGAGCTGGGCACACACAGCAAGTGGCAGAGGGGCCAGGGGCCAGGCAGCGGTGGGTCAGAGTCCTTCATTCCTGGTTAGTGTCAACCCGGAGCCTGGTCTCTGTGCTTTCCAACAACCACATGTCCCAGAGGCCGTCAGGAGCCCAGCAGTGGCCCAGCTGGGGTCACAGCCAGGGAGGAAAAAGCACCACTCCTTCCAAACGGGCTGTTTCCAGACCCTGCCTAGGCCAGGAAGGCCGGACTATCCCTTGGCCCCATCCTTCTGGCAGCAGGAACCTGCAGACCCTCGGAGGCTGGAGGCAGGTGGCAGCCCTGGGGGAAGGCGGGCTCCAGGCCTGGGGGAGGGGTCTGGCTATGGCTCAGGGTCTTCCTGGGCTCTGCCTCCATTCCTTTGAGGCCAGCCCCCCAGGGTCTGCAACTCCGGGCTGGCTCTTACAGCAGTCTGTCCAGGCTGAGGGCAGTGGGGGCCTCCTAGGCCAAGAGGCCCAGAAGCTCTCCCAGTCCGCTGGGTTTATGCAATCCTGATGAGACCTTGTCTTCCCGGCACCTGCTGTTCTGTGTCCTCCTCCCAGAGGACTGAGCTGGCCCACGCGAACAGTTCAGAACCAGCCTTGCTGCCCGCTCCCAGCTTCTCTATTTCATGGACAGGGATGGAGGTTCTTACCAGCCGGCTCCACGGAAGGGCATCCCAGCAGCCCTGAGAAAGGGACTGTGGCCTCCGATATCCCAAACCACAGCGCTGGCGTTCCTCCAGACCTCATCCCGCTGAGACAACATTCCCAGTTCTGGAGTGGGAGCCACAAGGCCTCACCCGCAGGCCCGGCCCTAGCAGGAGCCCAGCCTCCAGCCCTCCTTCTTGCTCAGCCCCCGCTTCCTCTTGGGGGCTTCTCCCGAGGGTACAGCACCCACTTGGACCCTGGGCTCTGGGACAGGAGGGTCTGCAGAGTCATCTGTTACTGATTGTGGCTGCCTGTGATGCAGCTGAGTGTGGGCGTGGGGGTGCCCCATGTCCTCAGCACAGCGGTGTCCCCAGGAGGCTCCCAAGGTCAGGAGTTCACGACTCACGGCTGAGTCAGATGTGCCTGTGGCCTACCCTCAGGGTCCCCCACAGCTGCCTGCAGGTGTGGCCGAGTAGGGTGGGGGCATTCTCAGGAATGCCACTGGAGTAGCACTGGGGGCTCAGGTGAGGTGGCTGCCCCCAGGGCTCCGCAGCAGACCTTGTCCCAGGGCTGGGGGAGGATCTGAGACCCCTTCCCCAGGGCCAGGAGTGCCCCTACTTCTCTCGGGCTGCCACTGACCCCTGCCCCCGACCCACCTCCTCTGGGGCTCCATCACCCTGGAGCTGGGTGGGCAGGGGCTCTGGATCTTGGATTGTCCCTGGAGGGCAGCCAGAGCCTGGTGGGACAGAGGCTCCTCCACGGCCCTCCCCTGGCGAGCCACCTCCTTTTACCCTCCCCTCCACTCCCAGACTGGGCAGCTCCCTCCTGTGGATTCAGGACAGGACGTGTTTGGGGGTGGGGTGCCGTCTGACCTGTTGCAGGGAGGAGGACTACGTCACGGGCGGGTGCCCGAAAGATGCCCAGTAAATAGGAGTAAGAAATGAATGATGGACAAACTTCCTCTTGCTTTACTAACTTGTGTGCTCTTGATTGACCCTGGCCTTTTTGGCCTCAGTTTCCCCATTTGTAAATAGAAGAGGTGGCTGGGCTGCGCAGGACTCAGAAAGACAAGGAGACAGGCTCGCTGGTCCATTTGGTGATGACTCACTGGAACCATGACAAAGACAGCAGGGGTGGGGGTGTGCAGAGATGAGCTGCCCCTCTCCCTGCTCACCTCCCCAACCCCCTGTGTGTAGCCCGGCTGGGACAGCCCCCCCGCCCTCCATACGCTCAGCTCCTGCCCCAGCTGCCTCCTTCCCAGTCCGTGCACCAGCAGACACAGGGTGGGGGCAGAGTGTGGGCTCTTTACCCAGCCCCTGGGCCACATTCTCTTGTCCACTGCGCTGCCCGCCTGCCTGCCAGTTGCTCCCGGGGCAGCTGTCTGCCGGGAAGCAGTGAGCCCGGTGATTAACCCTGCTGGTGCTGGCAGCTCCGGCTGACACAGCGCATTCTCAGGGCCGGCCCCCGCTCCCCTCCTGGCCAGTGCCGGGGGACAGCGGAGGCCTGGCAGCTTGGCCTGATCTGGCCGCTAGGAGGCTTAAAGTGCTCTCCCCACCCCCACCTCTCCCCCTGCCCCGCCACTCGCAATCCCACCCCTCCAACCACCCGACCCTCCAGGGATCCCAAGAAGCCCTCAGGGTCTCAGGAGTCTCCACCTCCAGTCCCCCAGGCTGTCAGAGCCCCAAGCTGTCAAGGGGGAGCCCAGAGCCAGAGCACACTGCCTGGGGCCAAGCCCCCACCTGGGGACCCGCTACTGCCCAGAGGCCACTCTCTGCCTCACACGGGATCTAAAGCAGCTCAGAGCCGGACTCTGCGCCTGGACTGCAGATTCCTTGATGTCTCCGCCCCCTCTCCAGCCAGCCCCTCCCCCACTTGGAGCTTCTCCTGCCAAGGGGAGCCGCCTCCTCTCCCCCCTCCCCCAGGTGGGAGAACTAATAGTGAAGTTATGGAAGAATTGCCGGGCCGGAAAGTAGGAGGAGGGAGAGAGGGTCCCATCGCCCTCCCGACTCCGTAGAGAAAGGGCCATACACCCTCTTGGGATTTGAGATTTGCAGGAGGCCAGGGCGCCAGGAAGGTGTGCAAGGAGGTGCACCCTCCAGGGACAGCTGCTAGCTCAGAACCCCCACCAGAACCGGCTGGCCAGTGCCCCACAAACCCACCCAGCCCCCCGGGACTGTCCAGGGAACCCAGCGAGAGATGAGCCCCACAGCCCATCTGGGACCATGGCCCGCCCAGCTGGCCTGGCTCAGGGATGGGGGTTTGCTGCCAGCTCGGCAGCTGCAGCCCCACCCCGCCGCCACCCCCTCGGGGCTTCCCTGGAGGCAGATTTGGCCCCGGAGCCCAAGGGAAGTAGGAGACCCAGGGCCGCAGCCACCCAAAGGCAGACGAAGACCTGATCTCGGCCTCTAGGTCCTGTGCTGTTTGCCAGGCGTCCTCGAGCCGCCGATCGTGGCAGGAACGCGTGCGCGGCTGTGCAGCGGGTTGGAGGCCAGGCCGAGAGAGCTGGTGGAGTCCACCGGGCCCCGGAGCACAGGTGCTTCCAGGCACCCAGCAGGTGCTCAGCAGCTGTGACCAGAGCCCCCGACCTCCTTAAGAGCCAATTTGGCGGCTGTGGGGCCATGAGCACCGCCCCCGTCCTCTAAAGGGGGCTGCAGCTGCAGGCCAGTCCCTCCTGCCCCTATTTCCCTATCTGAGAGTATTTTTAAGCCCTGCTGGGGCAGGCGGGAGCCAGGCCGAGTTGAACCTGACCTGGCTGCCCCAGGAAGCAGGGGGTTCCCACCTAGGCTGCCCCGTTCCTCTGCAGATGGTCATTCGCGGGTGCAGAGGGCACCTTCCCGCAGCCAGCAGGACGGACGCTGTTGGGGGAGGAGCGGGGGCAGCCGAGTGGTGCACCCAAGTTAGGGGAACAAAGAGTGGGCCCCTGGGCTGGGAGGAGCTGGTGGGCGCTCTGGGGGCCAGGGCGTCGTGGGGAGCGCTAGGGTCCCACCCGGGACCCGGAGCTACGACCTGGGCTGGGGGCCCGGCGGCGCCGTCGTCCCACGGCCTGGCCCGAGGCCAGCAGGTGCCCCTTCCGGGAGGCGGCCGGGCCGGGGTCCGAAGGGTTAAGGCCGCCCGGCCGCCCCTCCCCCTCCTCTCTCCTTCCCCCCCCCACCCCGCCTCCCCGGACCTCTCCCCGGGGCTCGGGGCTCGGGCGCTCGGGCGGGCCGGGGCGGGGCCTGACGTCCGCGGGCGGAGCGAGCCCTGCCGGCCGCCTGGCTTCAGACCCGCCGGGCTCCCGCCGCGCGCGCTGTCCCTGGAGCTCGGGGACGCGGCCCGGAGCCGGGAAGATGGCGAAGCGGCTCTGCGCGGGGAGCGCACTGTGTGTTCGCGGCCCCCGGGGCCCCGCGCCGCTGCTGCTGGTCGGGCTGGCGCTGCTGGGCGCGGCGCGGGCGCGGGAGGAGGCGGGCGGCGGCTTCAGCCTGCACCCGCCCTACTTCAACCTGGCCGAGGGCGCCCGCATCGCCGCCTCCGCGACCTGCGGAGAGGAGGCCCCGGCGCGCGGCTCCCCGCGCCCCACCGAGGACCTTTACTGCAAGCTGGTAGGGGGCCCCGTGGCCGGCGGCGACCCCAACCAGACCATCCGGGTGAGCGCAGGGGCGGGCCGTGGGGCTTCCTCCCGGGGCACTCGGACCCGGAACACCGGCCCGACCCCAGGGGGAGCGCCGTGGCCCGGGGCGAGTCCAGGTGCGGACTCTCTGGTTCCGCATTTTGGGGGCCCAAGAAGGCACCCCGACCCGGCCGCTCCGTCTCGGCCGGGAAACTTCGCGTCCCTCCGGGAAGGCGGAATTAAAGTCCCCGGCATGGACCCGGGGGCGGCTGGGCGCCGGTCCAGTTCGACTGCGGTGACCGGGGCGGGAGGGGGGCCGGGCCCAGTCCCTGGCGGCCCCAAGTCCGGGATCCCGGGGAGGGCGGGACTTGGCCTCCGCCGCCTGCTGCCGGTGGGGAGGGGGCGCAGCTCCGCCCTACCCGGGACAGGCTGGAACCTGTTGGCCTCTGGATGGGGTGGGAGGGGCCAGCCACCTGAGGCTCCCACTAGCCCCTCTCGGAGGAGTCTAGGGACTCGAGGAGACCTCCAAAGTAGGGGAGGGCCAGCTGCGAAGTTTTGACTGGGGCTGGGAACACGTGGCTCCCAGGAGGGGCAGCATCTCTGCCCAGCAGGTGGTAGGGTCCGGGGGCTTCAGTCTCCCTGGGAGATGTGGGTTCAGGCCCTGAAGACCCCCTGGGGTGCATGTCCCCTCCCCAACAAGCCTTAAACCTGTAGGCGGGTTCTGTTGGTGGACTCCATGCATGGACACCTCACCTGAAAACCAAGGCTCTTGGGGCCCTGTAGACTTAGGTTGGGCCTGGGGTCAGCCTTGGGTGAGGAGCAGCAAAGTCAGCTCCAACGGCTCCCAACCGGCCGCTCTAGGCCCATTCCCCACCTCAGCCCCACCTTAGGGAGAGTCTAGGGGCCCTGAGGGCCTGTGTAACCTGAGCTGTCTCCTCCCTGGTACCTCTGCCTTCCCGGAAGGAGAGGCTGGGGCAGGGGCGAGTAGCTGGAGATTTGCTGGGTGGGGGCAGAGGGCCCTGGAGCAAGACGTTATGGGGATGAATGGAGGAGCCTGGGCTGGGCCCGCCCCCTCTGCCTGCCCCACCCCCTTGGCCCTGGTGGAGGGGGAAGGAGCCTCCCCAGGCTTCTGGGCTCACCGTTCTCTCCTTAAGCCCAGCACAGTCCTCTGAGATAGGAGGTCTCAAGCCCACACTTCAGATGGGGGATCTGAGCCCTGGAAAGCTGCTGACACCTGCTTGGAGCCCCCCAGCCAGAACAGGGTCCAGCGGGGGTTAGCTGTGGGAACCTGGGTGCCTCCTGGCTGCCCCCTTATCTGGTCAACTCAGAGGGGCCGGGTCTCAGGACGGAGGGCCTGTGACTGTCTCCTTACCTGCTGCCACACCTCACCACAGAGGGCCTGGCTGAGTGTCCCCAGCTGAGATTTTGCCGTTCTGGCAGGGGAGGCTCCAGGTGCCCTGTGAACCTCAGACCACCCCCCCACAGCCTGCCCATGCTGCGTGGCTGGGGGCCACAGGCCCCCTCTCAGATCTGTCTCCTCTGTGGGGGCTTATTACCCCCGTCTCGTGAGTAAAGGGCCAGCCTGTAGTCAACGCCCCTCTCCTCTGCCTCAGCTGTGTGGCTTCCCTCTGTCAGCCTCAAGCTGTCTTTAAAATGGGCACAGCGTGCTGGCCCCCCTCACCTGAGACTGTGAGCTTGGCCCGAGGAGCCTGGGAAGTGGCCACAGTTTCAGTGGCAGCTGTGGGCTGTGGTGCTCCATGCCTCAGAGCCAGCTTGGATGAGAAACCAGCCGGCCTCGCCCAGCTCATGTCTAGCAATAGAGGTGAACCCTTCGCTTCCAAAGTCTCGAGCTCTGAGCAGTGAGTGCCCGCTGAGGCTGCCAGATATGTAGAAAGATCAGCTGGTAGACGTGAGCTGGACGGGTATGACCTTGGATGCCTCCTTCATCTGAGAGCCGCGGGTCTGCTGACCGCCCTGGCCGCGGATTGGGCGTGTGAGAAGTCCTTGCCGGCCGGTCTGGAGTGGAGCTGCGGTTGGGGCAAGGCAGGCAGGCACAGGAGGTGCCCAGGCGATGAAGCCGCAGCTCCATCTGAGGGGGCTCACTAAGGCTATGGGGCCTGGGGCTGGGCAGTGTGTTCTCAAGGCTGCAGGCCAGGGGCTCTCAGGGACCCTCTGTAGGAGATGCACATTAGCTGGGCATCCCAGATGGGGGTCGGGGTGAACCCTGCTGGGCAGCTGGAGCAGGCAGAGGGCAGGGGGAGGTTGTGGCCCTCACAGCCCCAGGTGGGCATCAGGGGATCCCTGGCCGGCCCAGCCTGGGAAGGTGGGGACTGGGCAGCCAGGCCAGCATGGTGACTCATTGGAAGGGGAAGTCCTTATCGGCCCTTCTGCTGTTTCCTAGCTCTGTTCTCACGGGACCCTCCGCAGCGGAGGTGGGGGAGCCTGGTTTTCCCAACCCTGTCCTCTGTGGCTCAGTGAGTGGCCGAATGGGGACTGGAACTGCCTCCCAATAACTGGACCAACGCTGGCCCAGGCAGGGACTGAGCAGGTGCTTCCCTGACCTCCTGGAAGAGTAGAGGCTGACCCTTGACCCGCAACCTTCCACCCAGCTTCCCTCTGCTGCTCGTGTGTCTGGGAGGGTCTTGACCAGCAAGCAGCCTTCCCTGGGAGGTCCGGCTGTCCCAGCCAGAGGGCGCCGCCCACACCTACCTTCTCCAGGAGCCCCTGGCCCCACCCTGAGCAGGACCTGTGTGCGCCGTGCTGTCATTGAGCTCTTGAGTTTGGGGGCCACCATCAAAGCTTGCAGTGCGGCCTGCGGGTAGGGGTCGTGGCGCTTAACTGGGTGTCTTCAGTTGCTCTAGCCCCATCCACGAGAATGCTTAGGTGGTGAGCTGGGGACACAGCGGGAATAAGGAGGGTGTGGACCCTGCCACTGCAGAGCTCTGGGGGACCCCGGGGAGGCCCCCAGATAATTCCAGGTCTCATACATGCAGTAAAGGAAATACAGCAGTGGCCACACTGGGGGCTGCAGAGCTGCATCTTGGGTGGTCTGGGGCAAGGTCTGAGATGGGGCAATCCAAACACCAGGGCGGGGTCTTGGGAGCCTGTGGGAGGGGTACCGGGTGTTGCCCTGGTGCTCAGTGGAGGCAGAGGGCACACTCTGGGCGAGGGGGTTGGGCCCTCTGTAGGTGCTGGGCCTGGGGGTGGGGAGAAGGCATCTCCCCAGCTCCTGCCTCCTCCTCCTAGGATGAGGTCTGGCCCCCCAAGGGAGGCTGGGCGGGGTAGGGCCGCTGACTTTCTCAAACTCAGATTGAGGCCTCTGGGGCCTCAATCAACCCCAAGCCTGGGAGGGCGCCTTTGTGTGGACAAACAGCAGATCTGGTTTCCTGGGGGGGCGGGGGAGCAGCCAGGACCCAGCTCTGCCCCCTCTCCTCATCCCTGCCCCGGCTCCCAGCACTACCCCTCCCCTGCCAGGATGCAGGCCAGGATTCTGCTGGGAGCCTCCTCTCTTCCCCACTCACCCATGCAGGACAGGCCCCCAGCAGATGGCAGGCCCGGGACAGAAGCGGCTGCCAGGCTGTGTGTGTGAGCCATTACTCCTCACGGTGGCCCCAGGCAGGTGCAGCCTTATCCCCACTCTTTGGATGGGGACATTGAGGCTCAGCAGTTACTGTGACTTGGCCTCTTCCCAGGACTCGGAAGCAGCAGCCAGGAGGCCCAGGCCCACCTGCCGCTGTCCACACGTCCACTCTGGGGCCGGTCCCCACAGGCCTCCGGAACAGCTTAATTCTGTCTCTCTGGAGACCCTAATCCAGAAGGCTGTGGGCAAGATCTGGAGGTGGGGGGGGGTCTGGCCGCCTGGATCCCGGCCCTGACGGTCCTTCTGTCTGCAGCTCCCCCTTCCGCCCCCTGGCTTGCTGCATTTTGTCCAAGCCTCTCTGGAGCCCCTGGCAGGGCCAGCAGGGAGGGGTAGCCATGCTTTGCCTTACTCCTGCCCCTTCTTGCTCCCTTTGGCTCTAGACACATTGATCCACCTTGTGGTTTACTGTGAGACTCTTCCTGCCCCCAGGGCTCGTTGCACTGGCACCCCCTCTGCCTAGAGCACACCCCCCCCCTTACCACGTAGTGCTCAGACGCCACCCCGCTAGAGAGGCCCACCGAGATTTTCCCACCCAAGGCAGATGCCCCTCTCCACCCTGGTCTTCCTCTTGTCCTTAGCGCCGTGAGCAGCTCACATGAGCCACATCCCCTGAGTCGGAGGAGCAGCAGGTGCTTGGCGCATGTTTGCTGAGCAAGTGGATGAGGGGCGCAGAGGCTGGGCGTGGAACCAGCTCAGTGGGACCAGGACTTGTCTCGGGGCAGCAGGGTGACTGTGGAGGAGGAAGGGGGCCCCGGCCCTTCTCGGCTATCTGACCCTCCCGTTCCCTCTGCAGGGCCAGTACTGTGACATCTGCACGGCTGCCAACAGCAACAAGGCACACCCCGCGAGCAATGCCATCGATGGCACGGAGCGCTGGTGGCAGAGTCCACCGCTGTCCCGCGGCCTGGAGTACAACGAGGTCAACGTCACCCTGGACCTGGGCCAGGTAGGGACCCTTCTTTGCGTGCTGCAGCCCCCATCTCTGTGTCTGTGCCCGTCGGGCCTACCTTGGGCCACAGGACCAGAAGGCGAGGTCTCCACCGTGAGCGAGACCTGGGGCCTGGGAGGCTGGACACGAAGGACTTGGTGGGGGGAGTCCCCACAGGGACAAAGGCACGGCAGTGGTCACCTTTTGTTTGTGCTTTCAGCGTCCCCATGACACAGGGAAAGCGGGTGCTCATGGGGGTGTTTCCAAAGGCCACAGAGTTTGGTTGCGGGTGCTGAGTAGACAGCTTGGGGCTGGGAGGGCGGAGGTGCTGTGAGCAGTGCGGTGGTGCCCCCTGCGTCAGGCGCCCTGCTGTTTAAGGAATTCCTGGCAGGTGCGGGAGGGGCTGCAGGAATGCAGAGGAGGCTGGCGCAAGTGGACATTCCTGGGATACCTGTGCCGAGGTGGCGGCCACTGAGGGTTAGGTGGGGTCGGGTGCCTGCTCTCCAGTCCCCAGCTCTGGGCTCTCCTTGGCCTTGGAGGCCCCTGCACAAGCAGGAGGCTGCAGCTGGGTGCCTCCAAGCGAAGAGTGAAACCCCCAAGGTGGGCCTGCCTGGCTGCCAGCCCTGAGCACCCCCAGATTGGGGGCGACTTGGCCCGGGTACCCAGCCTTGAGGTCCTGGCCTGTAAAATGGGCCAGTAATCCTGGTGCTTCTTAGGTCAGGGACAGTGGTGGGGCAGGTGGAGGAGGCTGGGCCTGAGAGCAGCCAGTGCCTGGAGTGGGGGCCCCAGGGCTGACCCAGAGGCCTGCATCCCAGCCGGCTCCGCCGCTGCCCCAGTCCCAGTGTGTGACACATCGGTCTTCACCCCTGTCTGAGCCTCTGTCCCTGCCATTGTCCCGAGGGTGTTAGAGATAGAGGAGGTCTCCCTGGAGCCTGGCTGGAGGGCCGGCCCCAAGGGGCAGGCACCTTTGGCAGCCTTGGTGGTCTGCAGGCCTGGCCCGGGCTGGGCAGGCAGTGAGGGGAGGGCTCAAGCTCCAAAAGTGGCCTGGAATTTCCAGGGGTTCCTGAACTTGCAGAGCCCTGTGGAGAAGGGCGGGGAGCTGGGGAGGGGTTGCCTGTCCTGGGCTCCCTGCCTGCCTGCCAGGCCCCTAGCCCTGCCCTGGCCTGGGTCTGGGTGTGGCTTTGCCTGTTTACCTTCATCTCACTGGGTTTCCCCGCATCTGACTCCCCTGTCCCCTGGAGCCTGGGGGTCCCTCATCTCTCTGGCACAGCAGCAGAGGCCCCCACCTTGGCTGTAGCGTACGTGTGAATTCTCAGCTGCTCGGGGCGGGAAGCTGGGCACTGGCGAGTTCTTCCCGCCTCTCCTCCTTTGAGAAACTAGGGGGCTGGGCTGGGGGAGGGGAGATGGCCCAGTCTCCACGGCAACCCCAGGGTGGCTGCAGAGCCAGTGGGCGCAGTGCCCGATGTGCCTGGGTGGGGCAGGGAAGCCGGGACTGACACTCGGACCCACGAGCCTGGGCTCCACCACCCCTTGGCTCTGGGGCTCTCTCGGCCTCGGTGCACATGTATGAACTGGGCTGGAAACTTCAGGCCTGAAGCCAGTTTGCTTTTAGATTGTTCTGGGCCAGAAATCAGGTTCCGCCATGTGAGCGTCTTGCCTCTCACAGCCTCAGTTTCACCAACTGTAAAATGATACGGAGGGAAGAGGAACCCTTTCCACTCCACCTGGGAAGTGGTCCCTCCACCCACCCACCCATCTATCCCTCCACCCACCCACCCACCCATCTATCCCTCCACCCACCCATCCACCCACCCACCCACCTACCTATCCTTCTACCCACCCATCCACCCATCTATCCCTCCACCCACCCACCACCCATCTATCCCTCCACCCACCCACCCACCCATCTATCCCTCCACCCACCCACCACCCATCTATCCCTCCACCCACCCACCACCCATCTATCCCTCCACCCACCCACTCACCCATCCCTCCACCCACCCACCTATCCTATCCCATCCCTCTGCCTGCTGACCCACCCACCCACCCACCCCCAACGTATCCACCCACCCACCCCTACCCATCCATCCACCCACCCACCCCCCTACCTATGCAGCACCCACCCTTTATTCCTTGTTTCCATCCATCTGTCCACCTGTCTGCTCATTCCTCCCTCCACACCTGCACCGTCTTCCTTCCTTCTCACCCACTTTCCTGACCACGTGGATGTATCTACCAAGGCCCCTGTCTCGGCCTAGGCCAGGGGGCTGCCAGCCTTGGTCAGGGTGGGGGCAGGGACTCCCTGGAGTGGGGTGGGGAAATGTCCTTCCTGGGCTTCAGGGCTGATCCTGGGGCGGGGCTGGGGCCTCCATCAGGAAGCCAGGCTGAGCGGCGGGTGGGTCCGGGCACTCCCCCTGCAGCGGGCTGCCAGCAGCCTTTGTTCTGGGATCTGGAGCGGATGCCCTGGGACGGGGGTGGGGGCGGCTGGCACTGGGCATCGGGAAGGCTTCCTGCTCCTGGAAGGCTGAGGAGGGCGGGGTGGGCTGCATCACGGTTCGGATCTCATACCCCTGGTGTGCGGTGGGGCAGGGGCTGGCGCAGGGGAGGGGAGACTAGTCCCTGTGGTGTCCACCCAGAAGCAGCTGAGCCTGGGCCCCCGGGAGTGCCAGCTGGGCTCCTGGCCTGGGTCCCGCTGCGCCCAGCCGTGGAGGGGTTCTCTCTCCAAGGGTGGGGCCTCAGGAAGAGGCTCCAGCGCTGGTCACTGGTGACTCAGGGGGCAGTTTCCGAGTTCCAGACGTGACCTTCCCCAGGGGGTCCTTCTAGGGGGTTCTTGCGTATCTCCTTGCATCCTCCGGAAGCTTCTGGAACTGAGCGGCCACATCACTGGCCTCAGGCTCCTTCTTCCGAGAACCACACCCAGGCCCCAGGCCCCAGGCCCCAGGCCCAGGGAAGGGTGAGCGCGTTCATGACTGCCCAGGCACATGGCCAGCGGGTCCTGGCTTGAGCTCCCCCACCCCCTGGCTCTGCCGCAGGGTCCAGGCCCTTGCCCCACTACACCAGCACGCTAGCCCAGCGGGCCCAGGTTGTAAGGAGCTGGGCAGGGTGAGTGGGGCTGGCTCTGGCCTGTGTCCCCTCCCTCTCCAGTCGGCCCCTGGGTGGCCTGACCGTGGGGGCGGGGCTCTCCCCAGCAGAGGAGGGCATTGCCTCCCGCCTCCCTCAGATGAGGAGTGAGGACGCACGGGCCCCCTTCCGGTAGGGAGGCCCCTGCTTTGTTCTCTGTAGAGCAGGCCACGCTGCAGGTGCTACAGGTGGGGTAGCGGCTTTGTCCCAGTCCCCGAGGCCCAGAGCTGCAGGGCAAATGGGGAGGCCCAGGTGGGGGTCAAGGTGTGGGGGAACTGGGGCTGGCAGGGTATAAGGGGGCAGTTAGGCATGAGGCTAGAAGTATTGGTTGGGGGCGAGCAGTGCCAGGTGAGGGCCTGTGCCCCTGGGGATGGTGGAGACCCATGGGAGGGCAGAGTGGACAGGTAGGGCCGGAGAGGGGAGGCAGTCAGCTGTCCCCTCCAAGTGGGGGTACAAGGAGGCAAAGCTCTGCTGAAGTCATTGGCCACTGGAGTGTGAGTTTCCCTAGGCACTTGGGGAAACTGAGGTGGGGTTATGAGAGGGTCAGGGCCAGTGTGGAGTGCCCAAGGTCCCAGTGCTGGGGTCTGGAGGACTGTGGGGTTGGCCATGCTGTCTGCAGTCTGGGTTCCCGGGCTGGTTCCTCCTCTGTAAATGGGAGGAGCACCGCAGGAGGAGGACCTGCCGGAGGCCCAGCGCGCCCAGGCTGCCTCACCCTTCAGGACTGCCTGCTCTCTGGCTGGCCGGCTTGGGCCCTGGGCAGGCCTACTGGTCCAGGGTGCCACTGGCTTGGCTCCCTGGGCCTGGTTGGGCACTCAGCCATGTGGCCAGTGCCCCAGGACGGTCAGTGGGTTGTCCAGGGAAGGACAGGAAGTGCAGCTGCGGCCAGGCTCTAGTTACAGAGCTCGGCGGCCGGGACAGGTGCACGGGCTGAACCAGACGCAGCCACTTGAGCAGGGCTCCCTGGGGGGTACGGCGGGGGTCCTGGGAGGCACCACTCCCCTCCCCTGGCACAGGATAGACGGCAAAACCCTCCCTCTACGTGTCCTGGAAGGAGGACACGGCCCAAGGGGCTGCCATGCCAAGGTGGGGATGGGGCCGCTCCTCTCCCCGCACCCCCGCGCCATGCTTGCCCTTGGTGGCTGCACGGCCAGACCTGGCACTCAGGGCACAGAGATGCCCCAGCACCCACCTAGACCCCCCAGGCCCTGGTGGTCCCCAAAGGCTTCCTGTTTTCTGTCTGTTTCTAAACAAGAGCCACCACATTGGCCTCTGACAACACAGCTCAGTGAAGACGAAACTGTTTGGGTTTCAGGCCGAGGGGTCCCCTTGGGATAATCTCCACTTCCTGTGTCCCCGGCTGACCATCTGGCCTGACCTGGGCTGGGCTGCAGGGAGGGAGCCTGGAGCTTGGGCTGCAGTGGTTGGGGTCCCTGAATCCACCCCAGGCCCAGCTCTGTTGAGGTGCGGGCAGCCCCCTGGCTGGGAACCCATCCTCTCCCTCCAGCTGGGGAGCTCCTGTCCCCCCGCCCACTCCTGGAAGTTTTCCTGTCCTGCTTAGGACATCTGTAGTTGGGCATGGCGGCGTCCAACCCCAGAGTTGGGGGTTCTGGCCTCAGAGTTGTTATTTTTCTTCCCAGCGGTGGGCTTGCTGTGGAAACCCCCGGCTTTTCCACTCCACGTCCCTCTGGGAGAGGTGTCTGTGTGGGGCACGTTTCCGGACCCCTGATAGGTTGTGTGGCCGCCGTGCTTATTCACCCAGCTGGGGGCCAGTGGAGATGCTCCCGGCTGCCGCCCCGCCCCTGCTGTGGGGCTTATCTACGTTTCCAGATGGGGTCTCTTCGAGGGGAGGCACACAGCAGGAGCGGGCAAGGGCTGGGCTGGCCCAGGACTCTGGGCATCGAGGGGGCTGGGTGCCCCGGTGCCCTGTCCGAGCAGTGCGATCAGGGTGCTGGCCCGGACGCCTGGGGCTAGGAGGGGCTTTTCCTGCCCCGGGAATTGGCACAACGCCCTTCTTCCTGCAGGGCGGGGGCTGAGTCACAGACCGCTGTGATCCAGGCTGCCGGGGAAGGCTGACTGGCCCTCACCCAGCACAGCGGGCACCTGGACCTGGCCCTGGTCTCCCCAACCCAAGATGGGTCAGGGCAGAGCTGGGTTTGGGCACAGGACAGCACCGCCTCCCCTCCTCTGGAGGTTCCAGCCACAGCCCACCCCATGGTGAGGTGGGTGCCTCAGCCCAGGAGGCTGCTAGCCAACAACCCCACGCCATCCCCAGGGTCCCCGAAAGCCCCACCAGAGTTTCTCTGTAGTCCTCACCGTGCTGCCCAGACCCTAGCACCTACTCAGTCCCCTCCGCAGCTTTGCCTTCGGAGCGCCAGTGAGTGGGGCAGCTCCAGTGGGGGCCTCTCAGCGTCTCTGCGGGGTGGCTGCTGCCCTCCAGGAGCAGCTGGCGTCCTCCCTCCCAGGGCGCTCAAACCTTCATGCCCTCATGAAAGGCATTTTATCCTGATGCCCCTCTCTGCAGCTCTTCCCACTGCCCTGTGCCCAGGAAGGGGAAGTGTCCGCTCCAGGGCCGCACAACCCCTGAAGCCTGGAGCCGGCCTGGGCCCTGGGTCCTGGGCCCCGTACTCCTGGGGCTCTTGCCCACCCCCTGTGAGGCAGTGGTCACCGGGCAGAGGCCTCCTCTGGGAACCGTGGCCCTCCCAGGGCAAGCTGGGTAGTGGGGACTGGAGGGTGCAGTGGCTGAGAGGCGGGTCCGGCTGCCGTCCTGGAGACGTGCCTGCCCCAAAATAGCCGATTTTTAAAAATAACTCAGGCAGCTTTTGTTTGGCTTTTGCTTTAAAAGACTTTTTTTTTTCTTTCTGCACAGAACCATGTAGCAGCGGAAAGGTCAGCACTGGCAGCTGAGCTGAGCGGGGCGTGGAGGGGGAAGGGCGGTCCCGAAGCCAGGGGTCTGCGCTCGCTCCGGGTCATGGCGAGGGCGGCCGGTGTGGCCCTGGGAGCCGCGACCAGGTCAGAGACAGATGGGAGTCCTCCAGCGCGGGCTTCCCTTCCTGTGACCATCTGTGCAGCCACCAGGCCCTCGAGGACAGCTGTCCAGGGCCCCTGTCTGACAGACAGATGGTTGGGATGGGGGACAGACAGGAGGCCAGGATCTTCCTGTGCATCCCAGGGGTGGGGAGGGCGAAGTGTCTGTGTCCCCCTCATCCTGCTGATCAGTGTCTTCAAGTCAATATTTGTGCAAGTGCTCTCAGCTGGGAAAAATGTGACTGGCCTGCTGAAGGGGAGGGAGGAGGACAGATCGGGCCGAGGAGAGCGCAGCCTCCATCCAGGCACTCAGGGAACAGCGGGGGCGGCTCCCAGGGGGCTCAGTCGGGACCTTTAGTCTCCTTCGGAGCCTTTGGTGGGAGGGGCTGTGTTGCCAGCTCCCCGAGAACAGCCTGTGTCCCTGCCCCTGTCCACCTCTAGCGGGTCCTTCCCTGTCCAGGCACAGGGGCCACTGGCCCCCACCTGGGGCTCTCTGGAATGCTTGTGGTCAGGCCCACAGGGGGCTGCTGAGGCCCGGGTGTGGGGCTGGGTATAGGGTCTGTCCCTGAAGAGGCTCATACCCCTCCCTGCTGGGCAGGGCATGTCTCCCTGCCCCCCACCCACAGGGAGGTAGACGATGACCTCAGAGCCTGGCAGCCGGTGAATAGGCCTGTGCCCCGCCCCAACCCCGGAAGGCTGCGCTTGGCTCCCACAGTCCCCGCAACGCCAAGCCCTCCGAGAAGGGTGGGATTTGGACCTGGGATGTCTGGAGTCCTGGAACCTTGCCCCCTACCTGGAGTCTGGGCAGCTGGTGCCCCCAAGGGCTGAAGCTATGAGGGGTCTGTGGTCTTTTCATGGGGGACCCCACAGCAGTCTCAGTCCGGCTCAGTCCAGTGGGGTGACTGTAGGTCTTGTGCAGCTCTGGGGGACCCCACTCTCCCCCTTGGGGCCCTAGGCTTCCAGGCCTACCTGGCCAACAGCACCCAGCTGTTCCCGGGCGTACCTGCTGTGGGGAGAAACTCTCCGGAGGAGTGGGCACTGGCGGGTCAGGGTCCCGAGGAGGTGTGGTGGGTGGCCCTGGGGTGTGGCATGACCCTCGGAGGCCTGCTGGCCTTTTTAGGGCCCACCTGGGTGCCCACCTGTGAGCAGAGGAGGGGCTGGTCCCCACTGCCGCCCACAAAGAGTTGGGCTGAGTACTGAGGTCTCCCAAGGTCTCCATCGTGGACCCTGTGGGCCCGTCAGGGGAGGTGTGGGCCGGGACAGGCAGGCCACACCTGTGCTGTGGGTCCATGAGTTGCCTCTCTCCCCCGGCACCCGGGCCTCCTCGCACAGGCGGGGGAGAGGTTCGTGTTTCCTCCGCCTCCCTGCCAGGTCCCTGTGGAGCCTCTGCCTGGGAGAGCCCTTTCCCCTTTGTTTGAGAGGGGCTGGGGAGGGGCTCACCCTCCCTTGGAGCCTCCAGGCTTGTGACAGGGCCTGGAGACAACTTCCCTCCTTTGCCCCCAGGTAGGGGGAGCCTAGGGCTCCCCTCAGAGGCTATGGCGGGTGGGAGCACTTGGCTGCAGCAGGGGCTGAGCCCTGGCTTGCATGAGTGTGAAGGCGGGGTGCTGCTTGGGCACCGCCCCCTCCTGTGTGCCTCGGGACCCCCCCTGCTCCTGGGTGCAGCCTCTTGCCATTGAGGCCATGGGCTGTTTTTAGGGACCAGAGACCTTTTCAGAGGGGGCCTGTGGCCTGGGTCCATGGAGGAGCCACCCCCACGGTGTTTCACTGTTGGGCGGGTGTGTGTGCACCCCCAGGTGCAGGCATGGAGGCCCACGGTCATGTCGGGTGGGTGCAGATATGAGGCTGGGTAGCACTGACTGCTGGGGGCAGGAGAGGCTCAGGCCTGGAGTCCTGAGGGCAGGGTGTCAGGGGATGGGTAGGGAGGGAGGGAGGGAGGGAGGGAGGGAAGCCCAGGCTGATCAGAGGCCTGAGGGGAGTCAGCAGGCCTGGCCTGTGCGGAGAGAAGGGCCTGGGCCTGGGGAGATGTCCGCAGCTGAGGGTTAGGGGGAGGGGCTGCAGTCAGGGAAGGCTTCTCTGAGGAGGTGTACAAAGCGTCCTGTGAAGACTGAGCCAGGCTGTCCCCCAGCCCCGAGGCACAGACACATGGGCTGTCCCTGGGTGGAGGTCAGGCTGACACACGGGGAGAAAGTAGGCAGAGCCAAGGTGGGGCTGGGGCAGGGGCTTGGGGTTTCGGAGGCCTGGGAAGGAGCAGCTTTCCTCTGCCCTGGGCAGGGCTGCCCTGACGTGCACCGGGCCACAGCAGTGCTACTGCCCCAGTGCCTGGGCTGGTGGAGTCTCCGAGGCAGACTCAGCTTCAAGAGGGCCCCCAGCCTGCAAGGCTGAGCCCCGCTTGCTCCCTGCAGCCCAGTCCCTGGGGGCTCAGTGGGCCCCTGGCTGTGGGCTGGTCAGCATGGGACTGAGCAGAGCCTGGGGAGGGGTGCCCGGTGTGAGGTGGGGGCAGGGGCCCCATCTTAGGAGCTGCTGACCTGTCAGAGGGACTAGGGGGTTGGACCTTTGGACCTGCCTGGTGGCAGGGACCACTGTCTGGCCACCAGGCCTGGCTGGACGTGAGGGCTGTGGGGACACTGGGGTGTGTTCCTGCCTCCACCCTGGCCAGTCCCTGCCTGGGCCGCAGGTAGGCCTCTCCCTAGCTTGCTCCATCTGCAGCCACAGAGCTTGCAGGACCATGGGGGAACCCCAAACTCCTGCGGCAGGGAAGGGGAGGAGGCAGCGCGTTGGTCCCGAGCCCAGGCGGGGAGCCCTTCCAGGAGGGCTGGTTCCCGGGGGCTCATCTCCATCCCTGGGGAGCCCTCTCCCCTGGGTTCGTCTGCCCCACACAGGCAAACCCAGAGGTGCCCCCTGTGCGGCGAGGGTGCCACATCCCCTGCTGTGGCCTCACCTGAGGGGCAGAAAATGAGCCAGGCCCCTGGGAGCATGGGAATCCAGGCGCCCCTGGCTCCCCTGACGCCCTCTCGGCCCACAGGTCTTCCACGTGGCCTACGTCCTCATCAAGTTTGCCAACTCACCCCGGCCGGACCTCTGGGTGCTGGAGCGGTCCATGGACTTCGGCCGCACCTACCAGCCCTGGCAGTTCTTTGCCTGTGAGTCTCTGCCGCCGTGGGGCCTGGGGGGAGAGGCAGGGGGGTCCCTGGGCAGGCCCTCCGTGACCAGGCTTCTGAAGGTCTCCGAATACCCAGCCCTGCCCTCACACCCGGCTGCTGCGGTCATGACTGTCAGACGAGGACCCGAAGGCTCATGGGGATTTATTGGCTCCTGTCCCTGGCGTCGGGCACAGCCAAGTCCAGGGGCTGTGGCGCCAGGAATCTCTGGTGCCATCTCTTGGCTGCCTCTGGATGGCTTCATGCACCGGCAGCTCCCGTGGTGACAAAAGGGGCCTGGCAGCTCCCACCTCACCTCCTGCCAGCCTAGCCACCTGCGTCAAGAGTACTGGAGTCCTAGCCCGGATGCTGGCCGTCCCTGGCCCCGTGCCACCCTGACCAGTCATGCTGGTGGGAGTGGGTGCTCCTCCCCAATAGGGCAGGCCTGGTCACGTGTCCCCCAAAATTCCCTGGCCTGAGAATGGGGGAGGGGCGGGTCAGTGATGGGCAGTAGGCGTCTGTCCCCAAGGAAGGGGGTGAGGATGGTCGTCGAGGGGGGTCACTCGCACTCAAAGCGTGCAAGGGAGAGCGGTGGGGGGCAGTGCAGTCCAACGGGCCAGGCCCCTTCAGCCAGTGAGCTGTGGTCTCTGTCACGCGGCCTCTTGGCCTGTGGGAGCCTCAGTGGCAAGGCCCGGAGACGTCAAGGGGCCCGGGCACCGCGGGGACCCAGGCTTTTCTGGTGATCCAGCGCCCTCCCCTCCCGCCATTCCCCGCAGCCTCCAAGAGGGACTGTCTGGAGCGGTTCGGGCCACAGACGCTGGAGCGCATCACACGGGACGACGCGGCCATCTGCACCACCGAGTACTCACGCATCGTGCCCCTGGAGAACGGAGAGGTGGGCCGGGGAGGGGCAGGGCGGTACGGGGGCTGGAGAACGGAGAGGTGGGTAGGGGAGGGGCAGTGCCGAGCGGGGCTGGAGAAGGGAAAGGTGGGCCCGGGAGGGGCAGTGCTGAGCAGGGGCTAGGGCCACACTGGCGTCACCGCATACTGCCCACAGATCGTGGTGTCCCTGGTGAACGGACGTCCGGGCGCCATGAATTTCTCCTACTCGCCGCTGCTACGTGAGTTCACCAAGGCCACCAACGTCCGCCTGCGCTTCCTGCGTACCAACACGCTGCTGGGCCATCTCATGGGGAAGGCGCTGCGGGACCCCACGGTCACCCGCCGGGTGAGCTGCCCATGGCGCAGGCGGGGGAGGGGGACTGGCCGGGTGGACCCGGGACTCAGGGTGAGTGAGGCCTGGCCGCCTGGTGCTCACGGGGCCTGCGGGTGCAGTATTATTACAGCATCAAGGATATCAGCATCGGAGGCCGCTGTGTCTGCCACGGCCACGCGGATGCCTGCGATGCCAAAGACCCCACGGACCCGTTCAGGTGAGGCCCCATTCAGGTGAGGCCCCGTTCAGGTGAGGCCCCCCCCAGCTCCCTGCCTGTCCTTGTCACCCCTGCCTAACCTGAGGGTGGGTGACCTGGTTCCATGGCCCACCACAACCCTGCTGTCTGTGTGACCTGCACTGACCACCGCCGTGTGTGCCTCAGTTTCCTCATCTGTGCAGTGATGTGGAGGCCAGGGCATGTGCAGCCTCCCCAGGGTGCCCTATCTTGGTTTGGGGGGCCTTGCCCTACTGCCAGCAGAGGTGGGGCTCTCCGGACCCCCAGGCCAGCTGGCCTTCCCACCATAGTGGACACCTGGGGCCCTGTGGAGGGGAGTCAGCAATGGGGATGATTGATCCCCGACTCCAAGACTGCATCCCCCGGAATGGACAGGTGCCCACTACCTGCCGAGGCAGCCCTAATTCACTTTGGGGGTGCCCGCCCAGCTCCCCCAACCTTTCAGGACACAACAGACAACTTCCCTGCTGCCCCAGCCCTGACCTTCACTCCAGTCAAGCAGGGACCAAGGCCCAGGACGGGGATGGCAGGGTGGGGGCAGCCAACACCCCACATCTGCTGTGCCCTGTGTGCCTGCTTTCGGGGGCAGCCGAGGGCACTGCAGAGCATCCACCTCCCGGGAGCCCCTCACAGGATGGGCAGCAGCCCTGGTGCTGGCACCGGCACATTCCTGGGCCTCACCCAGAGTCCTCAGTAAGGTAGGGCCGGGCTCATTCTGCGGAGAAGCAACCCCAGGGCACGTCCGTCCTTTCCTCCCTCCCTTCGTTGGTTCTTTCAGCCAGCAGCTGTATGTTGAGCGCCTAACACACGCTGGGCCGTTTTCCTGGGAATGGGAACACAGGGTGGGACCCCAGCCCGGCCTCAGGAGCACCTGTTCCGGGGGAGGCAGCTGGGAAACACGCAAACCAGTACTCAGCGTGGTGCCCGGAGGGTGTAACACCCTAGGGTGGCAGTGCAGGCATGGGGCTGGACAGAAGCCACTCAGAGTGGTGCAGCTGAGGCTGAGTGTGTGACGAGGCTCCTGGACCCCCAGCAGGGAGCTGGCAGGGCTCATCTAGTGCCTGCAACCGAGCAGCCCAACTTTCATGCGCTTGGATTTGGGACCCGCCCTTGCCTTCTGTGGGGCCTTACTGCTCTGTCCACGCTCCAGTTTACAGGGGAGGTGGGGAGGCGGGTGGAGCTCAGACAGGACAAAGGTTCACTCCCATTCTCACGGCCAGTGCCGAGCAGAGGCGGGAGCCCTGGGCCCCTTCGGATGTGGCTGGTGGGTCTGAGGGGAGGAGTGGCACAGTCACCTGAGCCGGAGGACTTGGGCTGTTTGCCAGGAGCTGTGGGCCCTGGGGACCCACCCAGGCACTTGTTGCTGCCAGCACAGCTTCAGGTGCTGAGCTCCAGCAGAGCTAACTTGTCCTGGGAAATTAAGTGCCAAGTGGGGACGCAGCTCGTGACAGCAGGGAGTGGAACCCACCAGGCAGCCAAATGGGCCTCCAAGGAGAGGAAGGGCGCGGGAGCCGGGGCTTGCCTTGGCCTGCAGGGAAGACATTGCCATCCCCTGACTCACCGCACCTGGGTGTGGACTGAGCTCAGCTCTCCCTGCAGGTGCAAGCAGGGGTGACTGGGAATCTTTCATGGAACCACAGCCTCTGTTACCAGGACCTGGTCACCCACCAGTGTCCCAAAACATTAGCCTGCCCATGTTCTCCCTGCACCCTTTACCCGCCACCCCACCTCTCCTCCAGGGAAGGGGGCTCCATGTCATCAGCCAGCAATTTTCTGCCTCTTTACCTCCACCATCACCTTACTCCCACCCAAACCATCACCCCCACTACCAGCCCACTCCCACCATCATCACCCCCACCATCACCGTCATCACCCCCACCATCACCGTCATCACCCCCACCATCACCGTCATCACCCCCACTCCCACCGTCATCACCCCCACCCATCACCACCCCCACCATCACCATCACCATCACCATCACCATCACCATCACCATCATCACCCCCATCACCCCCACCATCCCCATCCCCATCCCCATCCCCTGGGTTGCTGCTTCCTCCTTCCTGAAATGCACCCTGTAGTTTTTCTATTCCATGACAGTCTATCCGGAATTGTCTGAAAACGGCTGTTTTGTCCTCCCTCTTGAATGATAGTTGAGCTGACTGTAGGATTCGTGGTTGATAGCTGCATCTCTCAGCACTTTGGAGAAATGATTTGACTGTCTCTTCACCTCTCCAGGTGCTTGGGAGAGTCCATTGTCCTTGCAGTTGCTGATCCTCTGTGGGTCATCTTCTTCTCCAGGACTTTTTATGGTCTTTTTGCCATTGGTGTTCTGCAGATTTATTGTGATGTGTTGAGGATTGGGATTTTTTTCTTGCTCAGGACTCACGCTTTTTTTTTTTTTTTTTTTTTTTGAGATGGAGTCTCACTCTGTTGCCCAGACTGGCGTGCAGTGGCACGATCTCGGCTCACTGCAAGCTCCGCCTCCCGGGTTCATGCCATTCTCCCACCTCAGCCTCCTGAGTAGCTGGGACTACAGGCACCCACCACCACGCCTGGCTATTTTTTTTTGTATTTTTAGTAGAAACGGGGTTTCACCATGTTAGCCAAGATGGTCTCGATCTCCTGACCTCGTGATCCACCTGCCTCGGCCTCCCAAAGTGCTGGGATTACAGGTGTGAGCCACTGCGCCTGGCCATGTGTTCATTATTAATTCAAGACCATCCTTGGCCATTCTTTCTGACTGTTGGCTCCCTTTCCTACCTCTTTTCCCCTGGAGTCCCCATTAGATACAGGAGCACCTTCTGGTTTCCTTCTCATAATTTCTATTTCCTCTCTCTTTATCTTCTGAGGTGTCTTCTGGATAGCTTCCTTTGCTCCTCTTCCACTTCACTAAATCTCTCTTCCACTGTGTCTGTCTGCTGTTTAGCCCATCCATTGAGTCTTTAATTTTATAGTTTCATTTTTCATTTCTAGAAGTTCTGATTGGTTCTTTTTCACATCTGCCTGTTTTCCATAGTGTTATTTTTTTTATTATTATGTTTTAGATTTCTTTTTTATTTTATTTTATTCTTTTTTGAGACAGAGTATCACACTCTTGCCCAGGCTGGAGTGCAGTGGTGCAATCTCGGCTCACTGCAAGCTCCACCTCCCAGGTTCGTGCCATTCTCCTGCCTCATCCTCCTGAGTAGCTGGGACTACAGGCACCTGCCACCACACCCGGCTAATTTTTTGTATTTTTCTTTAGTAGAGATGGGGTTTCACCTTGTTAGCCAGATGGTCTCGATCTCCTGACCTCGTGATCCACCCGCCTTGGCTTCCCAAAGTGCTGGGATTACAGGCGTGAGCCACTGCGCCCGGCCTATGTTTTAGATTTCTTTATGACCATTTTTAACATTCTTCCCTGGCTTCTACTAGATTACTCCATTTTGTGAGGTTCTTGGGGCTCTTTCTGCTGACCTGCCACATTGTTTCTCTGCAAGGTCTTTAGCAGGGTTTATCTTTGTGCTTCTGGCGTGCCCTGGGATTGGGATGGTTTTGGGAGAGCTTTTGCTATACACCCCAGGGTATCGCCAGCCCGGCACCACTTTTCCTATCAATTTCTTGACTATGTGGATTTTTGAAAAATGGAACACCAGTTCAGGCCCTTGCTTATAGGTACTTGGGGCTGGTGTGACGACAGAGCAGCTTCTTTGTTGATCACCTGTGCTGACGGGCAGTTTATTTCCCAATTCCTCTCATTGAGGGTATGGCCCTCCCAGATGTTTCTGGATTCTGAGGGAAAGCAGTATTGATTCCCGAGGCCCTGTGAGGTGGGCCCCGTGGAGGACAGGACTAGAGCTGGACCATTTGAGGCTCTGGGTCTAATCCTCATGGACTGGACTGACTTCTGGGGTCCTGCTCAGGGAACGCACGGCCCTGCAGCCTCCGGCAGAGCCTGATCTGGGGCAGGGACTCCCGCTGTGGTCTGGCTAATACTGAGCAGTAGGTGCTTCCAACCTCAGGCCTTGTCTCTCTCCAGCTGTCACCCTGCCCACGGGACGTAAGGCAAGATTCCAGCCCTGTGACTTAGTGTCCACCCCAGCTGGAAGAAGGAAGCAGTTCTTGGCCACTTGGCCCTAGGGAGGTGACCAGGATGCCTAGGAGTCCTGCCTGCTAAGCGAAATCTGAGCCTTGGGGGGTGCAAATGGACCCCTTTCCCTTCTGGCTCAGGGAGGTTTTGGGCTTACGCTCGAGTCCTGGCCGAAGTGGAAAGGGCATAACTCAGTTTTGGAGAACGCAGGTCTCCATCCTGACCTGCAGGCAAGGGGGACTCTACTGACCCCTGAGGTGCCCTGTCCTAGGCCCCACCCGGTCAGTGCACACCTGCTCCCCAGTCCCGCCTCCACAAAGGCCCTGTGAGACCCTGTCCTCCACCGCCTCTTTCCTTGTGTCCATTCCCTGAGCCTGGGGAAGTTGCGTCAGAGCCACAGGCTCGGGGACGCTGAGTCTGGGCGAGCGCTTGCTGCCGGACAGCTGGAGAAACAGCAGCGGGGGGCCGTGTCCATGTGGCAAGCCAAGCCATCGAGGGGATCACAGGCCCCTTCAGGGAAGGGACTGAGCACCTGCCACCTGCCTCCAGGATGGGCCTGATCCCCCCTCCTGTGTACCCCACAGGCTGCAGTGCACCTGCCAGCACAACACCTGCGGGGGCACCTGCGACCGCTGCTGCCCCGGCTTCAATCAGCAGCCGTGGAAGCCTGCGACTGCCAACAGTGCCAACGAGTGCCAGTGTGAGTGCCTCCTCCCACACACGTGTGTCCTGCCCACACCCTGGCCCATGAGAGGGCCCCGGTGCCCGGGCCTGTGGAGGGCGTGCCAACAGCTGCGCTCCCCTCTCTCTAGCCTGTAACTGCTACGGCCATGCCACCGACTGTTACTACGACCCTGAGGTGGACCGGCGCCGCGCCAGCCAGAGCCTGGATGGCACCTATCAGGGTGGGGGTGTCTGTATCGACTGCCAGGTGGGCTGGGCTAGAGGGCTGGGAATGGGCTGGCCCTGAGGTGGGGCAGGGACCTCCCCAGACTCAACGGCCATTGCACTCCCAGCACCACACCACCGGCGTCAACTGTGAGCGCTGCCTGCCCGGCTTCTACCGCTCTCCCAACC
Organism: Homo sapiens; assembly: GCF_000001405.40. NCBI lineage: Eukaryota > Metazoa > Chordata > Mammalia > Primates > Hominidae > Homo > Homo sapiens. The sequence goes on along the minus strand of NC_000020.11, from coordinate 62,346,535 downwards.
ACCCTCTCGACTCGCCCCACGTCTGCCGCCGTGAGTGGGCTCAGCTGGGCGGGTGTCCTGGGTCTCAGGGTCTGCCTGGAAAGAGGTGTTCTTGGGCCTTTGGGGCTGCTTTGGAGGGGATGTCCTGAGCTTCCAGGCCAGCCCAGGAAGGAGCCTCCCAGGCCACGGGGCGGGTCCCCAGCCCTCATGTCCCCCCAGGGGGCCTGGCTGTAGCCCTCATCCCCATGGCCCTGGCTGGGGAGGTAGAGACTGCCACATCTTGGAGCCCACCCCTTGAGTCCTGGTAGCTCCAGGCTTACCCGGCTCCTGCCCCTGCCCAGGCTGCAACTGCGAGTCCGACTTCACGGATGGCACCTGCGAGGACCTGACGGGTCGATGCTACTGCCGGCCCAACTTCTCTGGGGAGCGGTGTGACGTGTGTGCCGAGGGCTTCACGGGCTTCCCAAGCTGCTACCGTGAGCACCTGCCAGGGGCATCCAAACAGACACCACTGCCTGCTGGACTCCGGGAGCCCTGCAGGGGGTGGAGGGGTTCCCCGGGATGGACCATGTTATCCTGCCTGCATCTCCGATTGTGCTGAGAGACCAAGGGTGGCAGGGGGTGTAGGGTGCTAGGGTTCTGAGCAGACCTGGCCAACATGCGTGTCTCTTCCCCTCAGCGACGCCCTCGTCCTCCAATGACACCAGGGAGCAGGTGCTGCCAGCCGGCCAGATTGTGAGTAAGTGTCCTTGAGGCCCCCAGGTCCCCGGCCTGCCCTGGAGCCATGGGGGCGGCTTCACAGAAAGTTCCTGGAGAAAGGGAGGATTTTCATTTGGTCACTTTATTTTTGGCTTATTTCTTTTTATGCAAATTATGCCTATTCACACTGGAAAACCTTCGGAAATATAGGTCAGCATAAAGCCAAAGAAAAAAGTTAGCCCAGGCAACATGGTAAAACCCTGTCTCTACAGCAAATACAAAAATTAGCTGGGTGTAGTGATGTGTGCCTGTAGTTCGAGCTACTCCGGAGGCTGAGGTGGAAGGATTGCTTGAGCCTGGAAGGCCGAAGCTGCAGTGAGCCATGATCACACCACAGCACTCCAGCCTGGGCAACAGAGTGAGACCTTGTTTCAAAAAAGAAAACTGGGCATGGCACATGTATACATATGTAACTAACCTGCACAATGTGCACATGTACCCTAAAACTTAAAGTATAATAAAAAAAAAATAGAAAAAAAAAAAAAAAAGAAAATTGGTTGGGCACAGTGGCTCACGCCTGTAATCCCAGCACTTCAGGAGGCCAAGGCAGGTGGATCACCTGAGGTCAGGAGTTCAAGGCCAGCCTGGCTAACATGGTGAAACCCCGTCTCTACTAGCTGGGCATGGTGGCGGGCACCTGTAATCCCAGCTACTCAGGAGGCTGAGGCAGGAAAATCGCTTGAACCCGGGAGGCGGAGCTTGCTGTGAGCCGAGATTGCACCACTGCACCCCCGCCTGGGCAACAGAGCGAAACTCCATCTCAAAAAGAAAAACAAAAACAAAAAGTTATCCACAATTCCCCCAGCTCTGCACAGCGCTTGAATGCTCTCTGTACACAAGCACTTCTCTTTCACAAGCTTCGTCATGCGCTCTGCACCCTGTCCTGTGATTACATCCCAACCACAATCCTGTAAACACATTGTCTTGTGGTCCATTTCATAGGGACTAATGAAGTATTTATTTAAACAACCCCCAGTGGTTGGAAATCTAGGTTCTTTTTTTTTTTAATTATGCTGTGATAAAGCATTATTAAGATGAGGTAGAAAACTGGCCGGGCACAGTGGCTCACACCTGTAATCCCAGCACTTTGGGAGGCTGAGGCAGGTGGATTACCTGAGGTCAGGAGTTAGACACCAGCCTGGCCAACATGGTGAAACCCCATTTCTACTAAAAATACAAAAATTAGCCAGGCGTGGTGGTGCGTGCCTGTAATCCCAGCTACTTGGGGGGCTGAGGCAGGAGAATCATTTGAACCTGGTTGCAGTGAGCTGAGAACCACCATCACACTCCAGCCTAGGTGACAGAGCGAGACTCCATCTCAAAAAATAAATTTAAAAAAAAAGAGTCTCCCAGCATACAGTCACAGCCACAGAGCAGCATGGCACCTGCTGACCAAATCATTGCCATTACCACATAGCAGTCTATCACTCTTGGCTTGATAGACAAAAAATATTCTCAAGTCAGAGCCATGTTCCCTTGCTTTTTAGTGTTTCTGGAATTGGGATGCGTCTTTTGCTTGATGGCATATCACAGTCTAGTTGGTAGGGTTTTTCCCTTTCATGACGGGACATACAAGCATGGCATCTTTCCCAGTGAGTGGGGTCTTAGACTTAGATTGTATTTGATATGACGTCTTTTTTTTTTTTTTTTTTTGAGATGGAGTTTCGCTCTTTTTACCCAGGCTGGAATGTGATGGTGTGATCTTGGCTCGCTACCACTTGTGCCTCCCAGGTTCAAACGATTCTTCTGCTTCAGTCTACCGAGTAGCTGGGGTTACAGGCATCCGCCACTAAGCCCAGCTAATTTTGTATTTTTAGTAGAGACAGAGTTTCTCCATGTTGGTCAGGCTGGTCTCGAACTCCCAACCTCAGGTAATCCGCCTGCCTTGGCATCCTAAAGTGCTGGGATTACAGGCATGAACCACCATGCCTGGCACGATATTGTGTCATTTTTAGCTGCACTTTGACTACTCTGTAAGCTTGAATCTTCTTGACTTTTCGAGTGCTTTCTTTTTTTTTTTTTTGATGGAGTTTCACTCTAGTTGCCCAGGCTGGAGTGCAATGCTGCAATCTCAGCTCACTGCAACCTCTGCCCCCCGAGTTCAAGTGATTCTCCTGCCTCAGCTTACCATGTAGCTGGGATTACAGGCATGCGCCACCATGCCTGGCTAATTTTTGTATTTTTAGTGGAGACGGGGTTTCTCCATGTTGGTCAGGCTGGTCTCGAACTCCTGACCTCAAGGGATCTGCCCGCCTCAGCCTCCCAAAGTTCCGGGATTACAGGCGTAAGCCTCTGCGCCCAGCCTGTATCACCTATTTCTTATAAGTTGTGTGTTTTTCTCCTGATGGGTCATTTGCCCCTTATTTTGGGGGGGAGCTTTTTTCCGTGTCCTGATTTTGTAAATTTTGAGGTGAATCTGCCCACGTTGTTCTACCGAATCTCTGGCTGAGTCGGATGTAGATGCTCCTCCCTTACCCAGGAATTCTCTTGTCTGCTGGTTCTGTGATGGTTTTTTTATGTGGAAATGTTTAGTTTTTCATCAATAGTGTAAACCAGGGGTCAACAAACTGTCGGAAAAGGCCCAGACGGTAAATGTCATAGACTGAGGGCCGTGTGGTCCCTGTGGGGAAACTCCTCAGCTCTACCGTTACCAGCTGTAGCTTGCAAGCAGCCATAGAACGCGTATTCATGAGTGGGGTTGGCGGCGTTCCAATAAAACTTTATTTACAAAAGCAAGCGAGGAGTCCATAGACTAGTTTGCTAATCCCTGGTGTAAACTGACAATTTATCTTTTCGCTACTGGGCCATAGTAAGCACTCAGTAATTACCTGTGGCTGTACAGTATTCACTTTCAATGTGTTCATTACAATGAATTGTATTGTCTTTCCTAATGGGGACACAGTGTTGAACATCAATATTTTATTTTGTCTAAATTCACAAGTGAGATTGTTTTGGTTTTGTAAAATACTTGGGAAATCATCCACACTTTTTTATGCTCCCAATCAGTTTAAAAATCACAGAAATTATTTACTTGTTAAAAGTCTGGTCAAACTTACAAAACCCTTTAGTCCTGATACCTGTTTTTCTTTTCTTTTTTTTTTGTTTTTTTGTTTTTGTTTGAGACGGAGTCTCGCTCTGTCGCCCAGACTGGAGTGCAGTGGCACGATCTCGGCTCACTGCAAGCTCTGCCTTCCAGGTTCACGCCATTCTCCTGCCTCAGCCTCCTGAGTAGCTGGGACTACAGGTGCCCGCCACCACGCCCGGCTAATTTTTTTGTACTTTTAGTAGAGATGGGGTTTCACCGTGTTAAAGCAGGATGGTCTCGATCTCCTGACCTCATGATCCACCCGTCTTGGCCTCCCAAAGTGCTGGGATTACAGGTGTGAGCCACTGAGCCTGGTCTCTGATACCTGTTTTTCAACAGAGATCTTAAATTAAGGTTTTAATGTATTCTGTGGCTATTGTATTCAATTTTCTACCTCATCTTTTTTTTTTGAGATGGAGTTTCACTCTGTCGTCCAGGCTGGAGTGCAGTTGCACGATCTCGGCTCACTTCAACCTCTGCCTCCTGGGTTCAAGCGATTCTCCTGCCTCAGTCTCCCGAGTAGCTGGGATTACAGGCACCTGCCACCACGCCTGGCCAATTTTTTGTATTTTTAGTAGAGACGGGGTTTCACCATGTTGGCCAGGCTGGTCTTGAACTCTGACCACAAGTGATCCACCTGCCTCGGCCTCCCAAAGTGCTGGTATTACAGGCATGAGCCACCACGCCTGGCCAGTTTTCTTCCTCATCTTAAGTCAGGTTTGATTATTTGTATTAGCAAATTGTGTATTTTGTTTGGATTTTTTAATGTATTGACATAAAGTTATGCACAGTGGCCTGTTATAAAGTTAAAATTTCTGTTCATTTCTATTCTCGTCTATTTTTATTTTTATTTTCTTTCTTCTTCTTTTTTTTTTTTTTTTTTTTTGGTTGATCAGACCTAACAGAGGTTCGTTGAGTTTATTGGTCTGTTCGAAGTACAGGTGCAGTTCTCTTGATAAGACCTGCTGAGGTTTTTCTTTCTTTAGTTGGGAGGAGAGATTTTCCTTTCTAATATTCAATTTCTTTAATCCACTTTCTTTGATTTATCACTTTTTTAAAATAGCTTCTTGAGTTATTATTTTTAGTCTGTCTTCATTCCCAACAAAAAGGCTTAAAGCAGTGGTTCTCAGCCAGTGGTGACTTTGATGCACAGGAAGCATTCGATGATGTCTGGAGACATTTTTGGTTGTGACGATTGATGGATGTAACTGATCCAGTGGGTAGAGGCTAGGGATGCTGGGAACCTCCTACAACACAGGACTGCTCCTGCACACATAACAAAGAGTTATCCAGCCTGGACTGTCAGTAGTCCTGAGGCTGGGAAACTCTAGTTTAAAGCTATAAATTTTCCTCAGAGTATACCTTTGGCTAGGTATCTTGTAGTTTGAGATGTGGGGTGTCCTCATTGCTGTGTTTTTTTTAAATAGTCTATCATTTGGGGTTTTATTTTCTTTCAACCCGTCACTGTTCAAGGTGCTGAGGTTTCCCTCCTGTCCTTTTCGTGGTGTGCAGTTCTGGTTTTGCTGCATCGTGGTTAGACTTGGCACACTGATAGTTTCTGCCTTTTGTCTTTGGAATTTGAGATTTTCTTTGTTTCTAACCTAGAATGTGACGACTTTTATTTTTTAATTTTATTTATTTATTTATTTATTTATTTATTTATTTATTTATTTTGACACAGAGTCTCACTCTGTCACCCAGGCTGGCGTCCAGTTGCACGATCTCGGCTCACTGCAACCACCACCTCCTAGGTTCAAGCGATTCTCCTGCCTCAGCCTCCCGAGTAGCTGGGACTGATTATAGGCGCCCACCACCATACTTGGGTAATTTTTGTATTTTTAGTAGAGATGGGGTTTTACCATGTTGGCCAGGCTGATCTCGAACTCCTGACCTCAGTTGATCCACCCACCTCAGCCTCCTAAAGTGCTAGGATTACAGGCATGAGCCACTGCGCCTGGCAGTTTCTGCCTTTTGTTTTTGGAATTTGAGATTTTCTTTGTTTCTAATCCAGAATGTGACCACTTTTAGATTGTTCCAGGAACATTGGACAGGAATGTGTGTTCTCTATGGAGTACCGATTTGGCATGTTAAAGCAGACTTGTGGCCAGGTGCGATGGCTCACGCCTGTAATCCCAGCACTTTGGGAGGCTGAGGTGGGCAGGTCACCTGAGGTCGGGAGTTCGAGACGAGCCTGACCAACATGGAGAAACCCCGTCTCTACTAAAAATACAAAATAAGCTGTGCATGGTGGCGCATGCCTGTAATCCCAGCTACTCGGGAGGCTGAGGCGGGAGAATGGCTCGAACCCGGGAGGTAGGGTTTGCAGTGAGCTGAGATGGCGCCACTGCACTCCAGCCTGGGCAACAAGAACGAAACTCCATTTCAAAAAAAAAAAAAAAAAAAAAAACAAAGGAGGCTTGTTCATTATGCTCTTCAAACCCACAGTACCCTTGCTCAATTTCTGTCCCTCTGAGCTGTCACAGTCTACCTATGTATCTCCATCCAGTCTTTGTCTCTCTCTGACTCTGGTTTGCCAAATTCTCCTTGCCATTTTAATAGTTTTAGCTTCCCTCACCTCCAGGACACGTTACCTGCTCCTAGAGATTCGTTTCTGCTGCCCGTTGGGTGACATGCCTGAGCTTCCCTCTGTCTCGTTACCGCTGTGCCTTCCGTCCTCACTCCTCTGTGTTTGCGTCCACCCCAGCTCCCTGCACACAGCTCTCGGTTTACCACCTGTCTGAGGCGTTGGTTTAAGGTACGCTCTTTCAAGAGGCTATGGCTGGAGTTTCCTCTTGGTCACGCTGACGTCTTCGGTTTTTATCTCATGAAGGAGACAGCGCAGCCCCACGATCGTCCTTGCCTCTGTCAGTTCTGGCTGGCTCCTGCCCTTGTATCATTTCTCCTTTTCTGCTGAAACATTTCCTTTCCTGACTTTCACAAGTTAGAGCAAGAAAACGTGCTTTGATTTTGGTTTTTGCTACTGTTTCCTCTCTGGGGAGGGTTTGCAAGCTCTCTTTCTGTGTTCTGGTCTGACCAGTGGTTACTCTTACATTTTTGACAAGTATTGAACCTTTATTTTTCTATCAGTAACAAAACTGAAGCGTGCTCACAACCCTCCTTTCATGCGTAAGTTAAGACATTTGATACATTCTTTCTACCTTCTTCCCAACACCTGACATTGTTTCTAAAGAAACTATAATTTTAATCCCAGCACTTTGGGAGGCCGAGGCAGGCGGATCACGTGGTCAGGAGATGGAGACCGTCCTGGCTAACATAGTGAAACCCCGTCTCTACTAAAAATACAAAAATTAGCCGGGCGTGGCAGCGTGCACCTGTAGTCCCAGCTGCTGGGGAGGCTGAGGCAGGAGAATGGTGTGAACCCGGGAGGCAGAGCTTGCAGTGAGCCCAGATCGTGCCACTGCACTCTAGCCTGGGCGACAGATCAAGACTCCGTCTCAAAAAAAAAAAAAAAAAAAAAAAAGAAACTATAATTTGTTTTGCAGCTTGTTTTGAGTTTTGATTTGTTTGTATTTTCTCTTTGTGTTAATGCTTGCAGCTAACTAGGAATCTACGTAAGAAATAACTAATGAAGCGTTTTGATAGTTGGCCTGACTTTGTTGCACATCACTGTTTTCCCAAACACGCCTCTCCCTTGTTGGAATTTTTTTTTTTTTTTGAGACGGAGTCTCACCCTGTCGCCCAGGCTGGAGTGCAGTGGTGCGATCTCGGCTCATTGCAACCTCCGCCTCCCAGGATCAAGCGATTCTCCTGCCCCAGCCTCCCAAGTAGCTGGGATTACAGGGGTGCACCACTACGCCCAGCTAATTTTTGTATTTTTAGTACAGACAGGGCTTCACTATGTTGGTCAGGCTGGTCTCGAACTCTTGACCTCATGATCTGCCCGCCTCGGCCTCCCAAAGTGCTGGGATTACAGGCGTGAGCCACTGCACCCAGCCCTTGCTGGGATTTTTATTATTTTATTTTCTAGTTAGTGTTGTGTAAAAGTGTAAGAAAATGAGTTTGTGGAGAGGGAAGGTTTGCCAGGAGGGGCGTACTGGGGTCTGCAGGGCATCTGAGACTCCCCTGCCTGTCCCCACCCTCCAGATTGTGACTGCAGCGCGGCAGGGACCCAGGGCAACGCCTGCCGGAAGGACCCAAGGGTGGGACGCTGTCTGTGCAAACCCAACTTCCAAGGCACCCATTGTGAGCTCTGCGCGCCAGGGTTCTACGGCCCCGGCTGCCAGCGTGAGTCCCCTCTCCCCGCTCAACCTCTACCTGCGCTCGAGGTGGACACCTGAGGCCTGGTGCCTCTGACCAAGCATGTGGGCCACCCTTTCCTGCAGCCTGCCAGTGTTCCAGCCCTGGAGTGGCCGATGACCGCTGTGACCCTGACACAGGCCAGTGCAGGTGCCGAGTGGGCTTCGAGGGGGCCACATGTGATCGCTGTGCCCCCGGCTACTTTCACTTCCCTCTCTGCCAGTGTGAGTGGTGCCTCTCCACGTGGGCGTGGGTAGGGGAGGCCCGTGGGCCTGGCCTACCGTGACACCCGCTCCGCTCTGCAGTGTGTGGCTGCAGCCCTGCAGGAACCTTGCCCGAGGGCTGCGATGAGGCCGGCCGCTGCCTATGCCAGCCTGAGTTTGCTGGACCTCATTGTGACCGGTGCCGCCCTGGCTACCATGGTTTCCCCAACTGCCAAGGTGAGCAGAGGGTCAGGGCAGGAAGGGGTTCTGCCACCCACATGGCGCCAGGGCCTGACCCCATTGTCCCTCTGCAGCATGCACCTGCGACCCTCGGGGAGCCCTGGACCAGCTCTGTGGGGCGGGAGGTTTGTGCCGCTGCCGCCCCGGCTACACAGGCACTGCCTGCCAGGAATGCAGCCCCGGCTTTCACGGCTTCCCCAGCTGTGTCCGTGAGTGCCTAGGGAGGAAGTGGTGGGGAGGCAGGTGCAGTCTCCACTGCGTGCCCACAGCTATCCTTGTCTGCAGCCTGCCACTGCTCTGCTGAAGGCTCCCTGCACGCAGCCTGTGACCCCCGGAGTGGGCAGTGCAGCTGCCGGCCCCGTGTGACGGGGCTGCGGTGTGACACATGTGTGCCCGGTGCCTACAACTTCCCCTACTGCGAAGGTGAGCAGGCAGGTGGCTGTGTGCACCAGGTGCCGGGCCTGTGTGTGGGTCTGTGCTGTTCACACGCTGCCTGCCTTCCTGTGAGGCTGTTCACGTGCATCTTGCTGTGTGTACTGCGACTGCGTCCCCACGCTCTGTGTTCGCACCTTGTTCACATGCCGTGCAGGGGTGTCCGCGTACTGCCCGTGTCTGCGTGCTGTGCATCCGCGCCTGTCGTGTCTCGTATGGGTGCATGTGTTGCGTTCTGTGTGTGTACGGGTGTCATGTGTTGCTTGTGTGGGTGTGTGTGTCACCTAAGTGTGGGTGCCTGTGTCACGTAAGTGGGTTTGTGTGTCACGTGGGTGCATGTGTTGCGTGTCGCATGTGGGCGCGTGTCGCATAAGTGGGTGCGCGTATCGCATAAGTGGGTGCGCGTATCGCGTGTCTCAAGTGTGGGTGTGCGTGTTCATGTCCTTTCACGGGCGTGTGGGTGTGTTAGTGCACGTGTAGTGGGTGCATCTTCACGTGCGTTTGTGTGCTTGTTCAGACGTGTGTCACACACTGCGTGTGGAATGTACACGGGTACCCCACGCGGTGCACGTTTGCGTGCATGTCCATGAGCAGGTGCTGTGTGGTGGGATGGCACGTCCGTTGCTGCGGAGGGAGCAGGGAGGTGCGTGTTTTCAGGCCGTCCATGTGGATGAGAGGCACCTGTGCTGGTCCTCAGCTCCTGTGGGACCGTGGGTTCTGGCTGGGCCTGGGACACCCTTGGCCTTCCGGGTTGGTCACTGGGAAATGACCGAGGCATGGTCCTCTCTTCACAGCTGGCTCTTGCCACCCTGCCGGTCTGGCCCCAGTGGATCCTGCCCTTCCTGAGGTGAGCCCAAGTCTGCTCGTGTGTGGGAGATGGGTGAGGACCCAGGCCAAGCTAAAAGTCCCGAGTCCGGTGAGACCAGGGCTTCCTGCCTGCTGCTCAGTTGCCATGGCAACCCCAGGGCCTGTCTGCTCCTTAGGCTGGTCCTCTGCCCCCACTGCAGGTGACTCCTGTGAGTCACAGGTGAGGGCCCTCAGCCCTCACCACCCCTTGTCAGGGCTCTATGGCTCTATGGTTTGTGGGTGGGAGAGCAGGGCGCCCGCTCTGACCTGCAGTCTTGTCCTCTCCCAGGCACAGGTTCCCTGTATGTGCCGGGCTCACGTGGAGGGGCCGAGCTGTGACCGCTGCAAACCTGGGTTCTGGGGACTGAGCCCCAGCAACCCCGAGGGCTGTACCCGTGAGTGTGCCCTGGAGTATTGGGGTACAGGGGTTCCTTGGGGAACTGTGCCCACAAGTATATCCTGGAGGGAGTGTTGGGGTGCAGGGTTCCTGGAGGGGCTGGAGCCAGTGAGTGTGCCCTGGAGGGAGTGGTGGGATATGGGGTTCCTCGGGGATTGTACCCATGAGTGTGCCCTGAAGGGAATGTTGGGGTGCGGGGTTCCTCAGGGGGGCTGCGAGTGTGCCCTGAGGGAGTATTGGGGGTATGAGGGTTCCTTGGGGGGCTAGAGCCTGTGAGTGTGCCCTAAAGGGAGTATTGGGGTATAGGGGTTCCTCGGAGGGGCTGCACCTGTGAGTGTGCCCTGGAGGGAGTGTTGGGGTGTGGGGTTCCTCAGGGGATGGCACCCATGAGTGTGTCCTGGAGGGAGTGTTGGGGTGTGGGGTTCCTCGGGATTGCACCCATGAGTGTGTCCTGGAGGGAATGTTGGGGTGCAGGGGTTCCTGGGGGGGTACTGGAGTCCATGAGGGTGTCCTGGAGGGAATGTTGGGGTGCAGGGGGTTCCTGCGTGGGACTGGAGTCCATGAGTGTGCCCTGGAGAGAGTGTTGGGGTACGGGGTTTCCTCGGGGTGCTGGAGCCTGTGAGTGTGCTCTGGAGGGGGTGTTAGTGTGTGGGGGTTCCTCGGAGGGGCTGCACCCGTGAGTGTGCCCTGGAGGGAATGTTGGGGTGTGGAGTTCCTCAGGGGATTGTACCCATGAGGGTGTCCTGGAGGGAGTGTTGGGGTACAGGGGTTCCTGGGGGGGGGCTGGAGTCTGAGTGTGCTCTAGAGGGAGTATTGGGGTATGGGATTTCCTTGGGGGGCTGGAGCCTATAGTGTGCTCTGGAGGGAGTGTTGGGGTATAGGGGTTCCTTGGGGAACTGTACCTGCAAGTGTATCCTAGAGGGAGTGTCAGGGTGCAGGGGCTCCTGGGGGTGCTGGAGCCTGTGAGTGTGCCCTGGAGGGGGTGTTAGGGTGTGGGGGTTCCTCGGGGGGCTGGAGCCAGGCTCTCCTGCCCCACCAAGCATCTGAGTCCTGCCCTGCTCTCCCCAGGCTGCAGCTGCGACCTCAGGGGCACACTGGGTGGAGTTGCTGAGTGCCAGCCGGTGAGTCTGAGGACCAAGGTGTGGGGGATTTGGGGGCACACTGGTCAGGACCCTCCCCTGCCCCACTTCACCTCCTCCCTTGGCCCCCAGGGCACCGGCCAGTGCTTCTGCAAGCCCCACGTGTGCGGCCAGGCCTGCGCGTCCTGCAAGGATGGCTTCTTTGGACTGGATCAGGCTGACTATTTTGGCTGCCGCAGTGAGTGCCCACTCGCTCGTCCCAGACCACAGCCCTGCCTCCCCTCGGTTTATGCTGGGGAACCCAAGGCCCGGAGGGACAAGTGCAGCCTGGGCAGCATGAAGCCCGGGTGATGGATGGCTGCCCCTTGGTGCCAGCCTGTGCCAGGGTGTGGGAGAGGGGGTGCAGCTCCCACCCAGATGCGTGGCTTCCTCTCCCCTGTCCTACACCTGGGCAGACGGCACTAACAGATCCCAGCGCCCTCACCCTCGCCCTCGCCCTCGCCCTGAGCCCTGAGCCCTGAGCCCTGACTCTCCATCATCCAGAGAGCCCCAGGCAGGCTTCTCAGTCTGGCTGTGAGGGGCCCCTGAGGCTGGGTGGGGGCCAGGCAGCCTCTGACCTCCCACCTTCTCCCTGCAGGCTGCCGGTGTGACATTGGCGGTGCACTGGGCCAGAGCTGTGAACCGAGGACGGGCGTCTGCCGGTGCCGCCCCAACACCCAGGGCCCCACCTGCAGCGAGTGGGTACCCCTTCCCCACTGGGTGGTGGGGAGCGGGGCAGGCAGCTTGTCCTCCGGGCCTCTCCGTGTCCCTCACCATGGGCCCACGTGAGGCCTCACCCTCCCTGGAGACCCGGGGCCGCTGTGCAGGGCTAGGTAGGATGGCCAAGCTGCACCTGACCAGCCCCTGCTGTGGCCAGGCCTGCGAGGGACCACTACCTCCCGGACCTGCACCACCTGCGCCTGGAGCTGGAGGAGGCTGCCACACCTGAGGGTCACGCCGTGCGCTTTGGCTTCAACCCCCTCGAGTTCGAGAACTTCAGCTGGAGGGGCTACGCGCAGATGGCACCTGTCCAGGTGGGCGCTGTGCTCCCCCTCCCAGGCTCAGCCTAGAAGTGGAGCCAGGCGTGGCTGGCAGGGAGGGGTGGGCAGGCCCCTTGAAGGCCCAGGCCTCAGGCTGGCAGTGGTCAGGGAGAGTGACCCGACGCTCCATGCCCACCCAGCCCAGGATCGTGGCCAGGCTGAACCTGACCTCCCCTGACCTTTTCTGGCTCGTCTTCCGATACGTCAACCGGGGGGCCATGAGTGTGAGCGGGCGGGTCTCTGTGCGAGAGGAGGGCAGGTCGGCCACCTGCGCCAACTGTGAGTGGGGTCCCTGGGCCACAGCCCCTGCCCCACCAGCCCAGCCCACCCCACCCCACCCCACTCCCAAGCCCCGCCACCTTCCTCTGGCTCATGTGGGTGGTAGGACCAGCCTATCCCCAACCCTGTAGGGGGTGCAGCCTGGGGTGGCCCCAAGGGCTGGGCTCAGGAGTCTCACCCCTGCCCCCGCCCAGGCACAGCACAGAGTCAGCCCGTGGCCTTCCCACCCAGCACGGAGCCTGCCTTCATCACCGTGCCCCAGAGGGGCTTCGGAGAGCCCTTTGTGCTGAACCCTGGCACCTGGGCCCTGCGTGTGGAGGCCGAAGGGGTGCTCCTGGTGAGGCAGGGGCCAGAGTGAGGGCTGGGGGCCGGGTCAGGGGGTGGGGCCCACCACTCTCAGCACCACCTCCACCCTGCAGGACTACGTGGTTCTGCTGCCTAGCGCATACTACGAGGCGGCGCTCCTGCAGCTGCGGGTGACTGAGGCCTGCACATACCGTCCCTCTGCCCAGCAGTCTGGCGACAAGTGAGGGCCATGCGTGCGGTGGGACCGGGGTGGGGGCTTCCTGGACCCCCACTGTGCCTGGCTTCCCCCACTCAGGCTGTCTCTGGGGACCTGGGTGGACCTGGGGCTGACCACGGCCTGTGTCCCCCCAGCTGCCTCCTCTACACACACCTCCCCCTGGATGGCTTCCCCTCGGCCGCCGGGCTGGAGGCCCTGTGTCGCCAGGACAACAGCCTGCCCCGGCCCTGCCCCACGGAGCAGCTCAGCCCGTCGCACCCGCCACTGATCACCTGCACGGGCAGTGATGTGCGTGTCCTGGGACCCCACGGAGCAATGGGTGTTGCAGGACCTTGGCCTGGGGGCTGGGGGTCCTGTGGCGGTGGCAGGTTATAGGAGCAGGGCGCTGCCTCAGGCAATGGAGCCCAGCACCCAGGCAGGGCGCCCCTGCCTCCTGCCTCCTGCCTCCTGCATGTGTGACCTCAGTGCCTGTCTGTATGTAGGATTGGCTGTGGCCTCCACATACAGCTCAGCCCCCACCACTTGCCTGGAGATGTCCGGGCCAGGGTGGGACTCGGCTGAAGGGCAGGCCCTGGGGTCAGGGAGGCGCTGGAGTGGGAGGGGAGGGAGGTGGGAAGGGCGAGGGGTGGCGGGCCTCCCGTCACCCTGCCTTCCCTGCAGGTGGACGTCCAGCTTCAAGTGGCAGTGCCACAGCCAGGCCGCTATGCCCTAGTGGTGGAGTACGCCAATGAGGATGCCCGCCAGGAGGTGGGCGTGGCCGTGCACACCCCACAGCGGGCCCCCCAGCAGGGGCTGCTCTCCCTGCACCCCTGCCTGTACAGGTGAGTGGGAGCCGGTGGGGCTGGAGTAAGGGCACGCCCGGGGCTGCCCCACCTGCTGACCACCCTCCCCCCACAGCACCCTGTGCCGGGGCACTGCCCGGGATACCCAGGACCACCTGGCTGTCTTCCACCTGGACTCGGAGGCCAGCGTGAGGCTCACAGCCGAACAGGCACGCTTCTTCCTGGTAAGGACCCCTCAGGTCCCCACCCCAAGGGGTCAGCTTCTTTCAGAAGATTTGAAACATGCATGAGAGGGGAGAGGACAGTTGGGGTCCCAGGTCCCCAAGGCGGCCACACTCGCTCATGCCCAGCCCAGCATGTTTCTTCTGGAACCCCTCCTGCAAGCGTTTTGTGGATTCAGTCCCTTTTGACGTACCCCCGAGCTGTTCCATGTGCTCAGGAAAGCACCTGCAGTCACAGCTCCCTGGCCCCAGGGCAGCCACCTCCTGGCACAGACAGCGTTGGTTGCCTGTTCTGGAACTTTCTTTTCTTTTTTTTTTTTTTTGAAATGGAGTCTCACTCTGTCGCCCAGGCTGGAGCGCAATGGCAAGATCTTGGCTCACTGCAACCTCCACCTCCTGGGTTCAAGCGATTCTCGTGCCTCAGTCTCCCAAGTACCTGAGACTATAGGCACTCACCACCACGCCTGGCTAATTTTCGTATTTTTAGGAGAGACAGGGTTTCACCATATTGGCCAGGCTATTCTCAAACTCCTGACCTCAGGTGATCCGCCCTCTTGGGCCTCCCAAAATGCTGGGATTACAGACAGGAGCCACCATACCTGGCCTGGCACTTTCTATAAATGCCACACAACATGTTCTGTGCAGCCGCGTCTCCCACCGTTGTGTCAGCGGATAAGTTGCCGTGTTCCGAGACACCAACCTCACATGGCCGCACGGAAAGGGAGCACCCATTTGCGGCTTGTGCCTGCTGAGTGCCTGCCTGGGTCAGGTCCTGGGAGAGCTGGGCCTGGCCCGGCCTGGTGGCACCAAGCAGCACTCGAGATAAGAGTGGGGGAACAGTGACGGATGGGAGGGCGAGGGGGAGGAAGAGGGCTATGGGAGGAGCCGCATAGGCCTGTGGGCCCAGGAACTGGCCAACACGCTGGTCTGCGGTTGGGGTTTGTGCAGCTGGAGGAGGAGCAAGGGCATCTTGGAAAGAGCAGGGCTCGGTCGGACGCCTGGGTTTGCAGTTTCCTGGGTCTGAGCTGTGTGACCGGCCCCCCCATCGTACCGCCTGCACCCCCCATCGTACCGCCTACACCCCCCCATCGTACCGCCTGCACCCCCCCCATCGTACCGCCTGCACTCCCCATCGTACCGCCTGCACCCCCCCATCGTACCGCCTGCACCCCCCCATCGTACCGCCTGCACCCCCTATCCTCCCCGCACCACGGGCGTTGCAGCATCTCGTCCCTCTGCCTGCAGCACGGGGTCACTCTGGTGCCCATTGAGGAGTTCAGCCCGGAGTTCGTGGAGCCCCGGGTCAGCTGCATCAGCAGCCACGGCGCCTTTGGCCCCAACAGGTAATGGCAGGTAATGGGGCTGGGAGGGGCGCGGCCGAGGGCCCGGCGGCAGGGCCGGCTCTGACTCACCCACTGTGCTCTCACCAGTGCCGCCTGTCTGCCCTCGCGCTTCCCAAAGCCGCCCCAGCCCATCATCCTCAGGGACTGCCAGGTGATCCCGCTGCCGCCCGGCCTCCCGCTGACCCACGCGCAGGATCTCACTCCAGCCATGTCCCCAGCTGGACCCCGACCTCGGCCCCCCACCGCTGTGGACCCTGATGCAGAGCCCACCCTGCTGCGTGAGCCCCAGGTGAGGGCCATAGTCTCTAGAGGGACGGGGGTGTCAGGGCAGGACTCCGGGTCCCAACCCAGGGCAGGTTGTCCAGGGGGCAGCAGGGGCTCATAGCTCAGCCTGCTCACTAGGGCCTATCCCTGCAGGCCACCGTGGTCTTCACCACCCATGTGCCCACGCTGGGCCGCTATGCCTTCCTGCTGCACGGCTACCAGCCAGCCCACCCCACCTTCCCCGTGGAAGTCCTCATCAACGCCGGCCGCGTGTGGCAGGGTGAGTGTCTGGTGTGGGGGGTGGAGAGGCTACCACACACGATGAGGCTGGAATGCCGGCGCCACAGCGTGGCCTGTGCTACCTGCTATGAGCGACAGGCAACATGACTCTGTCCTGCCATCAGTTCTCAAACTAGCTGCCCTTGCAGCCCGCAGCCCCTACCCGCCCGCTCCCGTTCCCAGAAAAGCCTGGGTCTCGCCTCTGTCTCGTGCGTTGGGAAGCCCCGTTGTGCTCCATGGCACGTGGCGAATTGAGGGCTTGCCCCAGGATGCCGCTGGCAGCACATGTGGCCCTGTGTGTTTGTCTGGTTCCTGGCTCGGCCAAGCCTGGGGTCCCGCACATGGAGTTGACCGGTACCTAGAGGTGTCCCGCATGACATCTGTAGGTCATGATGCGGCCAACCCCCGTGACATGAGGGGCCGGCCTTGCAGACCTCTTGGGCACGTCCCGTGCCTGTGGCCGTTGGCCAGCGGGCACTCCTTGGCTGCCCCAACGCTGCCATCTTCAACCCTCTGGGTGTCTTGGGGGCGCTAGAGATGGGGGCCTGACCCTGCCTTTCTCCCCCGCCCAGGCCACGCCAACGCCAGCTTCTGTCCACATGGCTACGGCTGCCGCACCCTGGTGGTGTGTGAGGGCCAGGCCCTGCTGGACGTGACCCACAGCGAGCTCACTGTGACCGTGCGTGTGCCCAAGGGCCGGTGGCTCTGGCTGGTGAGTCCCAGCTGATGTCCTGCTCAGGGACCAGCTGTCCTTATACTTGTCATTACCACTGTGGTACACTTGGGCTGGGTCTGTCTCTTCTGGGCCTGCTGAGGCCTGGCCTTGTGCCCAGCAAAGCAGCTCCTGCCTTTGGGGACCTCCCGATCCACCTTGTGAGGCTCCAGAGGGGCCCTGGACCCTGCACCCTGCACCCTGCTGGTCAGGGTGGCCTTCCTGGAGGAGGTGGGGCCTCCAGGAAGGAGAGGGAAGAGGAAGGCGTGGCCAGCAGACAGAGATGTGGGAGACACCAGGAGGTCTCATGAATGCTGCTGCCTCCTCATGCCCCCGAAAGCTGCTGTTTGGCTTGGAGTGGCCTCCCCTGAGCAGCCAGGGCCCAGGGCTGGGCTGGGCTGGGCTGGGCTGCTGCTGCCAGGACTCTGAGCTGCCTGCAGGACCCTGGTCCCAGCCAGCCTCTGGGGGCCTCCCCGCTGCAGGCTCTGGGCCCGCGGGAGAGTGACCAGGCCTCACCCCCTAGGATTATGTACTCGTGGTCCCTGAGAACGTCTACAGCTTTGGCTACCTCCGGGAGGAGCCCCTGGATAAATCCTATGACTTCATCAGCCACTGCGCAGCCCAGGGCTACCACATCAGGTGGGCAGGGCTCTGGCAGGTCAGGGGTCCGGGGTGGGGGTCTGGGCCGGGAGCTGGCCTCACCACGTGCCCCTCCATGTAGCCCCAGCAGCTCATCCCTGTTCTGCCGAAACGCTGCTGCTTCCCTCTCCCTCTTCTATAACAACGGAGCCCGTCCATGTGGCTGCCACGAAGTAGGTGCTACAGGCCCCACGTGTGAGCCCTTCGGGGGCCAGTGTCCCTGCCATGCCCATGTCATTGGCCGTGACTGCTCCCGCTGTGCCACCGGATACTGGGGCTTCCCCAACTGCAGGCGTGAGTACCCCAGTCCTTGGGCGCCCAGTGGCAGGGAGTTGGTGCCAGAGCCCAAGGTGGACGGGTCGACCAGAAAGCAGGGTCAGGAGAATGTTCTAGAGCCTGGCAGGGCAGCATTGCTGCCCCATCTGCGGGCCTGGGCCCAGGACTCCAGCTTGCGGGCCATGCAGAAGGTTTCAGGGACCAGCAGGTGGTCCACAGTCTCTGACGATGATGTTGATTCTGAGCAGCTGCCTCCATGTCAGGAGCTGTCCAAGGCTCAGCACCCGGGGCAGGGGTCCCTGTTCTTGTCTCCCCCGCCCCCGTCACACTGCCACATCCCCTAGGGCTGCATTCTGGGCCTCTGAGAGGGGCGGGACTGGGAAGAGGGGTCAGTAAACCCTGTACCCGCCCCACAGCCTGTGACTGCGGTGCCCGCCTCTGTGACGAGCTCACGGGCCAGTGCATCTGCCCGCCACGCACCATCCCGCCCGACTGCCTGCTGTGCCAGCCCCAGACCTTTGGCTGCCACCCCCTGGTCGGCTGTGAGGAGTGTAACTGCTCAGGGCCCGGCATCCAGGAGCTCACAGACCCTACCTGTGACACAGACAGCGGCCAGTGCAAGTGAGAGCCCAGAGCGGCGTCAGCGCGGCCCCTGGTGGCCTTAAGGACAGCATTTCCTCTAGCCAGAGGGTCCTGGCACCCACCCTGCTCCCATTTGTGCTCCCTGGGTGCAGCAGCGCCCTCTCCTCCACTTCTGGGAGGATGCTGCCTGGGTGGGGGGTGCCTACGAGGTCTCACTTTGGTGTGAGTGACCTGGGGTGGAGGGGGCTCAGCTCCCGCCCCTGCCACAGGTGCAGACCCAACGTGACTGGGCGCCGCTGTGATACCTGCTCTCCGGGCTTCCATGGCTACCCCCGCTGCCGCCCCTGTGACTGTCACGAGGCGGGCACTGCGCCTGGCGTGTGTGACCCCCTCACAGGGCAGTGCTACTGTAAGGTGAGTGAGGGCTGGGCCCAGATCTGGCCTCTCCCTCCGGCCTCATCAGCTGAAAGTGTCCTTACGGGCCTTTCGGGGCAGCTGGGGCTTCCTAGAAGCTTTTGGGAGAGTCATCCCCATTGGCAGGTGGGTACCAGGAACCCGGGGTCAGGCACCTGGCACCTGCCGACCACTCTCACTGTCCTCTCATCCCTAGGAGAACGTGCAGGGCCCCAAATGTGACCAGTGCAGCCTTGGGACCTTCTCACTGGATGCTGCCAACCCCAAAGGTTGCACCCGCTGCTTCTGCTTTGGGGCCACGGAGCGCTGCCGGAGCTCGTCCTACACCCGCCAGGAGGTGCGCCTGCAGGACTGAGGGCATTGCCTTCTCGGGGAGGTCTTAGGTGGGACTGGATGCAAGATGGGGCCCTGTGATGTGTGGGCATCCACCCGTGTGCAGCCACACGTGTGTGCCCACAGTTCGTGGATATGGAGGGATGGGTGCTGCTGAGCACTGACCGGCAGGTGGTGCCCCACGAGCGGCAGCCAGGGACGGAGATGCTCCGTGCAGACCTGCGGCACGTGCCTGAGGCTGTGCCCGAGGCTTTCCCCGAGCTGTACTGGCAGGCCCCACCCTCCTACCTGGGGGACCGGGTAAGCAGGGCATCAGGTCTGGGGGAGGCACTTTGAGGATGGCCAGGACGCCTGAGAGGGTTGGGAGCCAGGAGCGGGGTCTGTCCAGGGAGGGGGAGCTCCATGGGGGTCCGTGAGGGTGCCCAGGCCCTGTCCCGGTAGGGAATGAGCGCAAGTATCCAGGCCCAGCACAGGGCTCTGTGCTGGGGGTGCCCAGACCACTGCTGACGGGCTCTGAGCCTGTGGCCAGAGTCTGGCCAGGTCACCTCTGTCTGTCCTGCCTCCAGGTGTCATCCTACGGTGGGACCCTCCGTTATGAACTGCACTCAGAGACCCAGCGGGGAGATGTCTTTGTCCCCATGGAGAGCAGGCCGGATGTGGTGCTGCAGGTGAGGGAGCTGAGATGATGTGGCAGGGTGGTTGGGTGGGCGTGGCGCAGTGGCACCGTGGTCCAGGCCCGTGCCAACCCTCACCTCCCCATGTGCCTTCCCAGGGCAACCAGATGAGCATCACATTCCTGGAGCCGGCATACCCCACGCCTGGCCACGTTCACCGTGGGCAGCTGCAGCTGGTGGAGGTGAGGGGAGCTGGCTTGGGCACCCAGGTCCCTCATGGACCTCAGCTCATCTGGGAAGGCCGGAAGGGGTCCCAGTGCTGCTGTGCCCATTCTCCGTGGTGGAAAACAGCCCAGGAGCAGAAGCGGGGTGGGGGCTGGGGAGGTCCCCACACCCATTGTCAGATATCTTCTGTGCTGGTCACCCTGGGGGGTGTCATGCTGTCTTCCCACCTGCTTTGTGAGTCCCTGATCCCTGAGGGGTGAGCAGCTGCTCAGTAGCTGTTGGCTTCCTCCATGCACTGCCTGTTAGCATCTTTTGCCCATTTCTCTTTGACTTGCAAATCTTTTTCCATCCTTTTAGAGTTCTTTGTTATTCTTGGTGCTTACCCTCTGTCAGACTTCAGAGTAACAACCGTCTTCTCCCCTCTCACAGCTCATCTGGTTTTTCTTTGTTTTTTTTTTTTTGTTTGTTTGTTTTTTGAGACAGTCTTGCTCTGTCGCCCAGGCTGGGGTGCAGTGGTGCAATCTCGGCTTACTGCAGCCTCTGCCTCCCAGGATCAAGCGATTCTTCTGTCTCAGCTTCCCAAGTAGCTGGGACTATAGGCACCCGCCACCACACCCTGATAATTGTGTATTTTCAGTAGAGATGGGGTTTCGCCGTGTTGGCCAGGCTGGTCTCGAACTCCTGACTTCAGGTGATCCTCCCACCTCAGCCTCCCAAAGTGCTGGGATTACAGGCATGAGCCACCACACCCAGCCTGAGCTGTCTTCTGATGAACGGCCTTATAGTTAATGTACTTGAATTTATCCTTTTTTCCTTGGCAGCAAGCGTTTTTGCATCTTGTTTAAGAAAGTATTTGTCACTACTTGATCAGAAAGGACCTGCCTATGTTTTCTTCTAGAAGCTTGGCTGTTCTCTTTGTGTATTTCAATTCTTAAGGCATCTGGAGCTGGTTTGATGTGTGGTGTGAGGCAGGGATCTAGGTGCTGGCTGGCCTCATGGGAGACTGGTTTTTCTACCTGTGTGTACCTCCTCCTGCCCCATGGTCTTTGTGCCCCTCCATCCCCTACAGGGTTGGGGGGTCTGTTCTAGGCTCCCTGTTCTGTCCCATTGAGTGTGGCCCCACTGAGGTGCCATCCTGGACCCACAGGGGAACTTCCGGCATACGGAGACGCGCAACACTGTGTCCCGCGAGGAGCTCATGATGGTGCTGGCCAGCCTGGAGCAGCTGCAGATCCGTGCCCTCTTCTCACAGATCTCCTCGGCTGTCTTCCTGCGCAGGGTGGCACTGGAGGTGGCCAGCCCAGCAGGCCAGGGGGCCCTGGCCAGCAATGTGGAGCTGTGCCTGTGCCCCGCCAGCTACCGGGGGGACTCATGCCAGGTGAGGTTAGGACAGCACCAGACTGCGAGGCGGCTCACCTGTGCACACCCTTCCCTCCAGCATCCTCCCTGTGTTCCCTTCCTTGCTGCCTCCACTTCCTGTCACCCTACTCACCTCTCTTCCTGCCCCTGCTTTTCACAGGCTGCTGGCCAACTCATGGGCCTGCCTGTCCCCTGCTGCCTGTCTGCCTGCCCCTCGTCCGCCTGCCTGCCCCTCATCCGCCTGCCCCTCCATGCACACACCCTCCATACCCCTTTCCCACCTACCCCAGCCCCCACCACTGGGTCACCTGGACATCCCCCACCGACCATCCTGGCGTCTGCCTGTCATTCTGCCCATCCCTCGCCCACTGTGTGTCTGTCCAGCTGCTAATCTGCCCTGCTAATCTGTCTGTCTGCTGTAACTTTGCTCCTTCTGTATGAGGAGGTTTGTGGTTGAATACCTCCTAGAAGGAGTGGAAAGAGTAGGCCCTGGTCCACATGGAGTGGGTGGTCACCAGCCCCAAGGCCTGGTCATTCCCGAGACAGGACATCCGTGTGGCTTTGAGAGCTATGTCCTCAAACAGCAGCCAGGTGCTGGCCCACCTCCAGCCGGCCGAGGCCAGGAGTTCCTGACCAGCCTCTGACCCAGCGGTGACCATGCTCCACGGGTTCCCAGTGCCTCGTGCCTGCAGGATCCCTGAGGGTCTGACTTGTGAGCTTGCAGGGTGGGGCCCCTCGTCCTCTCAATCGCTGATGCCACCTGCCCCCGTACACCCTCAGGAATGTGCCCCCGGCTTCTATCGGGACGTCAAAGGTCTCTTCCTGGGCCGATGTGTCCCTTGTCAGTGCCATGGACACTCAGACCGCTGCCTCCCTGGCTCTGGCGTCTGTGTGGTGAGTAGGGGCTGGTGGGGCCAGGGGGGCAGCATTCACTGAAGGCACAGTCAAGTGTGCCAGGGAAGACCAGGGGCTGCACTTCCAGGTCAACTGAGGTCTGGGGAAGGGTGTTGCCCAGTGGGGGACCATCTGGCCTTGGGCACAGAGTCTGAGGCAGGGGTGGTGGGAGCTGCACAGACTCGGCAGTAGGATGTGGGTGTCCACCATAGCTCTGACTGTCCACTCTGCCCCAGGACTGCCAGCACAACACCGAAGGGGCCCACTGTGAGCGCTGCCAGGCTGGCTTCGTGAGCAGCAGGGACGACCCCAGCGCCCCCTGTGTCAGCTGCCCCTGCCCCCTCTCAGTGCCTTCCAACAAGTAAGCCAGCCTCCTCCCGGGACGAGGCCCTGATGGTGCCAGGCTCCCTTCACCCAGCAGCGGGGTGGGTTCCCACTGCCCTCTGCAGAGGCCTGGACAGCTGGAGGTGTCCGTGAGGTCTGGGCCCCCGACGCCTGGCGTGTGTTCCAGCCGGAGCACAGTGTGCTCGCCCGGGCCCGGGCACTGCCAGGGGCCTAGTGACTGACGCTGCTGGTCTTTGCAGCTTCGCCGAGGGCTGTGTCCTGCGAGGCGGCCGCACCCAGTGCCTCTGCAAACCTGGTTATGCAGGTGCCTCCTGCGAGCGGTGAGCTGGGGCTAGGGCAGTGGGGCAGGGCCTGAGTGCTGACCCCAGGATATGCGAGGGTGGGCGCCACGGGCCACTGACGGCCCCTCCCCACCCTGCTCCCAGGTGTGCGCCCGGATTCTTTGGGAACCCACTGGTGCTGGGCAGCTCCTGCCAGCCATGCGACTGCAGCGGCAACGGTGACCCCAACTTGCTCTTCAGCGACTGCGACCCCCTGACGGGCGCCTGCCGTGGCTGCCTGCGCCACACCACTGGGCCCCGCTGCGAGATCTGTGCCCCCGGCTTCTACGGCAACGCCCTGCTGCCCGGCAACTGCACCCGTAGGCGTCGGGCTGGGAGGGATGCACCCTGGGGAGGGTTGCGCGGGGAGGAGGGAGGCCTGCTGGGCGTACCCCGTAAGTAGGCTGTGTGCCTGATGCTGGGGCCCAGCCAGGACAAGTCGGAGCCAGCCTTCTGGGTTCATGGTCAACCCTTTCTCCCCCGCTATGATCCGGTCCTCCCGCCCCAGCGATCAGGCCCTCCCGCCCCAGCGATCAGGCCCCTTCACCATCAGGCCTCCCCCGGACCATCACACCCTTTCTCCCTACTACAATCAGACCCTCCCCATACCAGGATCACATCCCCCCTCCCCTACCCATGATCAGGCCCCCACCTTCACCATCAGACCCTCCCCCCAACCCATGACCAGCGCCCCCCCCACCTCACGATCACATCCCCTCTCCCCCCACAATCAGTCCCCCCTCATGGTTAGACACCACCACCAATGCCCCACCACTGGCAGCGGACACCAGCCGTCAGAGCAGGGCAGGCCATGGCAGGGAGTCTGCAGGTCCCTCGGGCCCAGGGGAGGCAGCTGGGGAGTGGGGCCAGGCTGGGACACGAGTGGGTAGCCGGGTGGTCCGGGCGGCCTGGAGGAGACACAGCAGGAGGCAGTGAAGTGAGGGCTTAGGAGGGTGCCTAGGGGCTCCCTGGGGGGGTGAGAGGGCCCAGGGCTGCAGTCACGGACCCCTTCTGCAGGGTGCGACTGTACCCCATGTGGGACAGAGGCCTGCGACCCCCACAGCGGGCACTGCCTGTGCAAGGCGGGCGTGACTGGGCGGCGCTGTGACCGCTGCCAGGTAGGGCTGTGGGGTAAGCAGGGCTGGGTGGGTGGGGCCTAGGGACTAGAGTTGGGGCCTGGGGAGAATCTGATAGGTGGGGCTGAGGGGCAGTGTTTGATGGGCAGAGCCTCAGGGGGTGGGGCCAGATGGGCAGGACCCCTGGCTTCCAGGTTGGTCTGGGACAGTCTTGAGGGCTGGGCAGGGCAGTGACCAGCCTGTGCCACAGGAGGGACATTTTGGTTTCGATGGCTGCGGGGGCTGCCGCCCGTGTGCTTGTGGACCGGCCGCCGAGGGCTCCGAGTGCCACCCCCAGAGCGGACAGTGCCACTGCCGACCAGGGACCATGGGACCCCAGTGCCGCGAGTGTGCCCCTGGCTACTGGGGGCTCCCTGAGCAGGGCTGCAGGCGTGAGTGCTGGCCGGTCACAGGAGGGCGGATGGGGACTTCTGAGTGGGGTACGCTCCAAGGTCCCAGGCCAGCCATGCTCACCCAAGCCCCCCACCACAGGCTGCCAGTGCCCTGGGGGCCGCTGTGACCCTCACACGGGCCGCTGCAACTGCCCCCCGGGGCTCAGCGGGGAGCGCTGCGACACCTGCAGCCAGCAGCATCAGGTGCCTGTTCCAGGCGGGCCTGTGGGCCACAGCATCCACTGTGAAGGTGTGTCCTCAACACCCCACTTCCCCACACCTGATGGAGTAGGAATCCAAGTCCCACACAGCCTGGTGACCCCAGTGTTAACGTCGACCTCCCAGAGTGGTCCCAGCTGCCTTCCATTTCCCGAGAGACCCATGCCTGTCCAACTCCAACCACGCTGAGGAGCGCTGCAGCTCCACTGCTGGCTGCACCCCTCTACTGTCCCTAGCCTTCCTGTGTGCCCTGGCCCCACCCCATCTGCTGGCCCTTCCTCCCCCACTGACCCCACCCCTCCACTGGCCCCACCCCTCCACTGACCCCACCCCTCTGCTGGCCCTGCCTCCCCCACTGACCCCACCCCTCCACTGACCCCACCCCCATTGGCCCCACCTCTTCCACTGGCTGCACCTCCTCCGCTGGCCCCACCCCTTCACTGACCCCACCTCCACTGGCCCCACCCCTCCACAGGCCCTGCCTCCACTGGCCCCCTCTTCCTCCACTGGCGCCACCCTTTCACTGACCCTGCCTCCACTGACCCCACCCCTCCACTGACCCCACCCCTCCACTGACCCCACCCCTCTGCTGGCCCTACCCCTCTGCTGGCCCTACCCCTCCACTGACCCTACCCGTCCTCTGAACCCACCCGTCCTCTGACCCCACCCCTCCACTGACCCCACCCCCACTGGCCCCACCTCTTCCACTGGCTGCACCTCCTCCACTGGCCCCACACCTTCACTGGCCCCCTCTTCCTCCACCGGCCCCACCCCTTCACTGACCCTGCCTCCACTGGCCCCACCCCTCCACAGGCCCCGCCTCCTCCACTGGCCCCCTCTTCCTCCACTGGCCCCACCCCTTCACTGACCCTGCCTCCACCGGCCCCGCCCCTTCACTGGCCCCACCTCCGGCCCCAACCCCTTGTGCTGGCCCTACCTTCTCCCTGGGTGACCCCATGCCCTTCACTCCCATCTGACTCCTACCTGACCCTATGACTCTGCCAGAACTCTGGGACCTCCCCACAGGTCCTGTGTCCCTAAGCTGACCTCATGACCTCTGGCTGAGCCCTCCCCACCCTAATGACCCCAGGGCCCCAGCTGATCATTCTCCCCTGGCCTGACCCAATGACACTGACCTGTGACCCCACATCGCCTGCAGTGTGTGACCACTGTGTGGTCCTGCTCCTGGATGACCTGGAACGGGCCGGCGCCCTCCTCCCCGCCATTCACGAGCAACTGCGTGGCATCAATGCCAGCTCCATGGCCTGGGCCCGTCTGCACAGGCTGAACGCCTCCATCGCTGACCTGCAGGTACTGAGCGTCCTGGCCTTCCCTCCCCAACCCGGGCCAGTGCAGGCCTTCACCTTTCGCCTCCCACAGAGCCAGCTCCGGAGCCCCCTGGGCCCCCGCCATGAGACGGCACAGCAGCTGGAGGTGCTGGAGCAGCAGAGCACAAGCCTCGGGCAGGACGCACGGCGGCTAGGCGGCCAGGCAGGAGCCCCAAGACCCCCCAGGGCCCCGGGAGGCTTTCACCTGTGTTCCCCGCGGTTCGCTTGTCCTCATTCAGCAGATGTTACTTCATGCCTCGTACATGTGTCAGTGCAGGGGACAGGAGCTCGAGAGTCTTAGGGGTTGACCAAGTCACTGAATTACTATCTAAACTACCTAATACATTTGTTTACAGTGTATAATATCACTCAAATGTCTTTTTTTTTTTTTTTTTTTTTTTTTGAGACACAGTTTTGCTCTTGTTGCCCAGGCTGGAGTGCAATGGCTCGATCTCGGCTTACCATAACCTCTGCCTCCCGGGTTCAAGCGATTCTCCTGCCTCAGCCTCCTGAGTAGCTGGGATTACAGGCACACGCCACCACGCCCAGCTAATTTTGTATTTTTAGTACAGATGGGGTTTCTCCATGTTGGTCAGGCTGGTCTTGAACTCCTGACCTCAGGTGATCTGCCCATCTCAGCCTCCCAAAGTGCTGGGATTACAGACGTGAGCCACTGTGGCCGGCCTCAAATGTCTTAATGAGTAACTATTTCATTAAATTGACAGGAAATAACAAATGGCAAGTTATAACCAATAATTTTAGGTAACTAACAAGTGATAAATAACAAGTCATCAGATAAGAGAGTTAAATAGATAAGGGGCCCCTCTTCCCTGGGACCCTCGGCGCTCCCCCAGACCCCAGGCCCTCCCTTGCCACCCCGACCCTCGCCTACCAGCAGCGTGGGCTAGTGGGCTCTTCCTCCACAGGCCGTGGGGACCCGAGACCAGGCGAGCCAATTGCTGGCCGGCACCGAGGCCACACTGGGCCATGCGAAGACGCTGTTGGCGGCCATCCGGGCTGTGGACCGCACCCTGAGCGGTAGGGGCCAGCCCAGCCAGGCTCAGGGCTCAGAGCCAGGAGGGCTGCCTGGGGTAGGGGTGGGGGTGCCTGGCCGAGCTTGGCCTGGAAGAACAGGCAGGATCTGTCTTTTAGATGGGAGACGACGCCTCTGGAGTGAACAGTAGGGCAGGGTCAGGAGGTCGGCGACACAGCCGTGTGGCCAGACAGGTGGCCCCGGGAGACGTCAGACCCCTCGACAGCCTCCCCAGGAAATGTGCCGGTTAGATGTTCGCGCTCACAGATATCCCGTAGTGCACACTGAGACATGGGACTCAGGAGAGATTTGGCTCCCTGAGCCTGCCTAACAGGACCTGCCAGCCCAGCCTGGGGGTCGGCAGGGGGTGCCATGTCAGAGAGAGCTGGCCAGGGAGCAGGGTGGGCCAGGCGGAGAGGGGCAGGACGAGAAGGCTCAGAAGCTGGCTGAGCAGACTGGTGTCAGGGTGTTGGAGGCACTGCAGGAGGTGAGGGCCGGGCAGGTGAGGCAGCTGTGGCCTTTCGCCAGGTGCTCTAGGGGCCACCCAGGTGCGCTCAGGTTCCGGGCCCCTGGCCTGCCAAGGATGGCAGGGCTGGGGTCTTGGGCTTGGAAGCCAGCAGGCAGAGGTGCACTAGTACGGGCGGCCCCAGGCTCTGACGAACCCCTGCCCCACAGAGCTCATGTCCCAGACGGGCCACCTGGGGCTGGCCAATGCCTCGGCTCCATCAGGTGAGCAGCTGCTCCGGACACTGGCCGAGGTGGAGCGGCTGCTCTGGGAGATGCGGGCCCGGGACCTGGGGGCCCCGCAGGCAGCAGCTGAGGCTGAGTTGGCTGCAGCACAGAGATGTGAGTGGTGTTGTCCCTGGCAGGCGGGGTGGGGAGAGGCAGGGACCTGGGAGCTCCAAGGGGGAGGTCAGCATGGAGTGGCATCAGGTGGGCATCACGGGGCAGATGGATCTGGCGGGCACCAAGTGGAGACCAGGGGTCATGAAGGGGCCTGGCTTCCAGAGTGACCACCCTCACCCTGGTCTCGGCTAGTGCTGGCCCGGGTGCAGGAGCAGCTGAGCAGCCTCTGGGAGGAGAACCAGGCACTGGCCACACAAACCCGCGACCGGCTGGCCCAGCACGAGGCCGGCCTCATGGACCTGCGAGAGGCTTTGAACCGGGCAGTGGACGCCACACGGGAGGCCCAGGAGCTCAACAGCCGCAACCAGGAGCGCCTGGAGGAAGCCCTGGTGAGGACCCCGGACTTGTTCTTCCTCCTGCTCCTCTTCCCGCCTCCTCCCTGCAATCCCTCTCCTCTCCGGCTCCTCCCCTCCCCTCCCCTCGTCCTCCCCTCCCTCCGTCCTCCCCTCCCTCGTCCTCCCCCCCTCCTCCTCTTCTTCCCCCCCTCCTCCTCTTCCTCCCCTCCCCTCGTACTCCCCTCCCCCTCCTCCTCTTCCTCCTCCCCCTCTCCCCTTCTCCTCTCTCCTCCCTCTTCTCCTGTCCTCTTCTCCTGTCCTCTCCCTCCCCACTCCCCATCTGCCCATCATCCCCCTCCCCCTCCTTGTCCCTCCCCAATCCTCATCCCTTTCCCCACCTCCTCTATTCTCTCCTTCCCCTTCTCCTCCTCTCATTTCCCCATCTCTCCTCACCCCCTCCCATCCTTTCCTCCTCTTCTCCCCCTCCCTGTCCCCTCCCCCTTTTGCCCCCTTCCGCCTTCCTTTCTCTTCTTCCCCACTTTTCTCTCTACCCCTCCATCCTCCTCCTTCCCTCATACTCACACGTTCTAACCCTCCCCTCCTCCCCCCTCCTCACCCCCCATACTCCCCCTCTTTTCTTCTCCCTTCCCTGCCCTGCTGTCCACCCCATCACATCCTTTATTCTTTTCTTACCCCTCATTGTCCCCAACTCCCCTGCATTGCCTTCAGCAAAGGAAGCAGGAGCTGTCCCGGGACAATGCCACCCTGCAGGCCACTCTGCATGCGGCTAGGGACACCCTGGCCAGCGTCTTCAGATTGCTGCACAGCCTGGACCAGGCTAAGGAGGTGAGTGCAGCCCCTGGCCCCTGTCGCCACCCCATCCACGGCCAACTCCCTCCCAGGCCCGTGGGCAGCTTTGTGTGCACACTTGCGTGCAGAGCCCGCCCTCAGGGTCGTGGATCAGGTGGCTGTGAGCAGGATGAGGGGCTAAGTCCACTCAAATTCCAGGAGCTGGAGCGCCTCGCCGCCAGCCTGGATGGGGCTCGGACCCCACTGCTGCAGAGGATGCAGACCTTCTCCCCGGCGGGCAGCAAGCTGCGTCTAGTGGAGGCCGCCGAGGCCCACGCACAGCAGCTGGGCCAGCTGGCACTCAATCTGTCCAGGTGGGTGGCCAGGAGAGGAGGGGCCCTGGGCCCACCCTGGGGATGCAGACAGGGCCTTGGGAGGGCCAGCTGGTCTGGGAAGGCTCCTAGGGGCTGAGGCCGTTGTCCTCAAAGAAGCCAGGCCTTCCTCAGCTCCACGGCAAGCTGGGGCCCAGAGTGACAGGAGCAGTACACCCAGCAGGCGACAGGCACGGGCAAAGACCTGGAGGCGGGACTTGGCGGGCAGGCACGGGCACGGCTGGTTGTGAGCGCAGGAGGCTGGAGAGCCAGGCCGAGGGCGTCTGCGCTTACCCACTCCTTCGACCCTCCCTTCCGCTGCAGCATCATCCTGGACGTCAACCAGGACCGCCTCACCCAGAGGGCCATCGAGGCCTCCAACGCCTACAGCCGCATCCTGCAGGCCGTGCAGGCTGCCGAGGATGCTGCTGGCCAGGCCCTGCAGCAGGCGGACCACACGTGGGCGGTGAGGCCCCTCACTTCCCCTCAGCCCCAGCAGGAGCGCCCCCACT
This sequence comes from Homo sapiens, assembly GCF_000001405.40. Lineage (NCBI taxonomy): Eukaryota > Metazoa > Chordata > Mammalia > Primates > Hominidae > Homo > Homo sapiens. The sequence continues at coordinate 62,316,835 of NC_000020.11, read as the reverse complement.
GCCTGCACCTCCCGCAGCCCCGGCCTGCGTGTCTGAGCCACGGTCTGCCCTGGCATCCACAGACGGTGGTGCGGCAGGGCCTGGTGGACCGAGCCCAGCAGCTCCTGGCCAACAGCACTGCACTAGAAGAGGCCATGCTCCAGGAACAGCAGAGGCTGGGCCTTGGTGAGTGCTGGGCTCCGATGGGGGCCCTTAGGCCTGCTGGGCATCTGAGCTCCCAGGGACCCTCAGCCCCCAGCCACATGCACACGTGGGGTTTGTGGGTCACCGCAGCATGGTTTGGGGTGGGAGAGCTTTGGAGATGGCTCCCCAGCTGCTTGTGTGTCAGCCCCGGGGAGCCCTGCAGGGGAGTCCAGGGAGGAGCAGCCTCCTGCGAGGCACTGGCTGCCACTGAGGCACCAGCTGAGCCACAGGGCACAGGGCAAGAGATACGTGGCCTCTGCTCTGCTGACCCGAGGGCTACACGCGTGCCAAGCTGCGCAATGAGAAAGGTGTGAGCTGCTAGGACCAGAGGGCTGTCTCTTCTGAGCCTCTATTGTTTCATCTGTACAATGGGGACAGCTATGCCTGCAGTGGGACCAGAGGCCTTCAGGGAACAGAGGCTACGCTGAGACTCAACACCTCCCCACAGGCTAAGGGACTCCATGTCTGAGTGTCCCTGTCCATCTGTCTGCTGTGTGTCAGCCTTGGTCCTCCTGGGGTCAGAAGGGTGGAGGTGGGCTGCAATTGTATACTGGGGGTGAAGCTGCCTGGGAGCTGAAGCTGCCTCCCCCGCAGTGTGGGCTGCCCTCCAGGGTGCCAGGACCCAGCTCCGAGATGTCCGGGCCAAGAAGGACCAGCTGGAGGCGCACATCCAGGCGGCGCAGGCCATGCTTGCCATGGACACAGGTATGCGGAGCCTGGGCCCGGCTCTCGCAGCCGGCCGACCATGAGGCTCTGTGACAGTGGCGCTGGCCACATGTGGTTGGTGAGCACTCACTGTGCTGTGGAAGAGACCCCCACAGTGGGCAGCTGGGGCCAGACACAGAAAGCCTACCAGGGAGGTGCCAGGGCTGCAGATAGCACAGACAGCCCCAGCCGTCGGGAGCCTGGCAAGCTTGGAAGTGCTTTGGGTAGAAATGGAGTTATAGGTGGGAGGGCTGTAGGCCTTGGGGGGGATTGGGGCACACCCTGCAGGAAGGGCACCCAGGAGGGCACAGTGGTCAGCGTGGCTGGAACCAAGGGGCTGGCAAGACCTTGGGCGGTGAGGACCAGGGCTCCCACCCTGAGAGGCTTGGAGCAGAGGACGATGTGCCTCACCCAGTTTCTGAGGGACCCCTGTGGCTGCGGACTGTTCCCAGCAAGCCCAGGAGAGATGGTGGGGGCCAGGTGGTGGGAGGTGACATGGGGCACATGTCCAGGGACCAGCTGTGGCCTGAGAGGCTGGGTGCCTGTCCTGGCATGGAGGGGGCGTCTGGTGGAGGCATTTAGGATGGGTTTGGATTGCACTGAGCAGCGGGGTGTGAGGGTCTCACACGATCCATAGGGGGTTGGATGTCCCTGTTGCTGGCCCAACAGAAAGACTTGGGGACATGAAGCCAGGATGGTCCCCGCTGGCCCCTGCTGAGCCTGCCCTCTGCCCACCACAGACGAGACAAGCAAGAAGATCGCACATGCCAAGGCTGTGGCTGCTGAAGCCCAGGACACCGCCACCCGTGTGCAGTCCCAGCTGCAGGCCATGCAGGAGAATGTGGAGCGGTGGCAGGGCCAGTACGAGGGCCTGCGGGGCCAGGACCTGGGCCAGGCAGTGCTTGACGCAGGCCACTCAGGTGCGCCCATGGCCCTCGCGGTGCCCCTGATGGAGGCGGGCACGGTGGGGGGCAAAGGTCTCAGGTCTCCCTCTCTGCAGTGTCCACCCTGGAGAAGACGCTGCCCCAGCTGCTGGCCAAGCTGAGCATCCTGGAGAACCGTGGGGTGCACAACGCCAGCCTGGCCCTGTCCGCCAGCATTGGCCGCGTGCGAGAGCTCATTGCCCAGGCCCGGGGGGCTGCCAGTAAGGTGGGTGAGAGTCCCAGGGGAAGGTGGACATCAGGGAGGGTGGTGGTGGACGCTGATGGACCGTGCCCCGCAGGTCAAGGTGCCCATGAAGTTCAACGGGCGCTCAGGGGTGCAGCTGCGCACCCCACGGGATCTTGCCGACCTTGCTGCCTACACTGCCCTCAAGTTCTACCTGCAGGGCCCAGAGCCTGAGCCTGGGCAGGGTACCGAGGATCGCTTTGTGATGTACATGGGCAGCCGCCAGGTACCAGGCTGGCTGGGTGGATGCGGCCCGAGCTCAGGCTCTGTTTGGAAATGAGCGGTGCCTGGTCCCTGGTCCCCGGTCCCCATCCCGACTGTGTGTCTGTCACTGCCGCAGGCCACTGGGGACTACATGGGTGTGTCTCTGCGTGACAAGAAGGTGCACTGGGTGTATCAGCTGGGTGAGGCGGGCCCTGCAGTCCTAAGCATCGATGAGGACATTGGGGAGCAGTTCGCAGCTGTCAGCCTGGACAGGTGGGAGGCCCAGGAGAGAGGCCGGATGCCTCCAACTGCAGGGCCCTTGCCCGTTCGCCATCTCTCCCCTCTCCGTGTGCACCCACCACCCTTCACCTCTCCATGCCCACTCGCCACCCCTCGCCTCTCCGTGCCCACTCGCCACCCCTCGTCTCTGTGCCCACTCGCCACCCCTCGTCTCTGTGCCCACTCGCCACCCGTCTGTGCCCACTCGCCACCCCTCGTCTCTGTGCCCACCCGCCACCCCTCGTCTGTGCCCACTCGCCATCCCTCGTCTCTCCGTGCCCACTCGCCACCCCTCGTCTCTGTGCCCACTCGCCACCCGTCTCTGTGCCCACTCGCCACCCGTCTCTCCATGCCCACTCGCCACCCCTCGTCTCTCCGTGCCCACTCGCCACCCCTCATCTCTCCGTGCCCACTCGCCACCCCTCATCTCTCCGTGCCCACTCGCCACCCCTCATCTCTCCGTGCCCACTCGCCACCCCTCGCCTCTGCCCTCAGGACTCTCCAGTTTGGCCACATGTCCGTCACAGTGGAGAGACAGATGATCCAGGAAACCAAGGGTGACACGGTGGCCCCTGGGGCAGAGGGGCTGCTCAACCTGCGGCCAGACGACTTCGTCTTCTACGTCGGGGGGTACCCCAGTACCTTCACGGTGAGCCCGCCCGGCCTGGGGCAGCCTGGGAGGGGCTCCGCAGCCCCGAGTCGCTTGTGTCCTGGAGAGCCGCGGGTTCTTTTGGTATCTTGCCTCAGTCCGTCCTGCTGTAGTCTGAAGTCCCCTTGGTCCATCCTGGAGGGGAGGCGCCTCAGGCCAGGTGCCCTGACCCAGCCCTGTGCCCACAGCCCCCTCCCCTGCTTCGCTTCCCCGGCTACCGGGGCTGCATCGAGATGGACACGCTGAATGAGGAGGTGGTCAGCCTCTACAACTTCGAGAGGACCTTCCAGCTGGACACGGCTGTGGACAGGCCTTGTGCCCGGTGCGTGTGGCCTGCCCTCCCCGTCTCCACCCACCCCACCCCACCCTCCGCTGACCCCAGAATCTCCGACCTGCAGCTCCAAGTCGACCGGGGACCCGTGGCTCACGGACGGCTCCTACCTGGACGGCACCGGCTTCGCCCGCATCAGCTTCGACAGTCAGATCAGCACCACCAAGCGCTTCGAGCAGGAGCTGCGGCTCGTGTCCTACAGCGGGGTGCTCTTCTTCCTGAAGCAGCAGGTGCGCCAGGCACACCCGTCCTGCCATCCCCACTTGCACTGACCCTGCCCCACACTAACCCTGCCCTGTTTCTGCAGAGCCAGTTCCTGTGCTTGGCCGTGCAAGAAGGCAGCCTCGTGCTGTTGTATGACTTTGGGGCTGGCCTGAAAAAGGCCGTCCCACTGCAGCCCCCACCGCCCCTGACCTCGGCCAGCAAGGCGGTAGGGCCAGGGTGGGGACCAGGGTGGCAGGGAGAGGAGATGGAACGATGGGGGCGGGGCAGGCCGCAGGGACACAGCTGGCCCTGGAGCCCCCACTGGTCCTGTAGATCCAGGTGTTCCTGCTGGGGGGCAGCCGCAAGCGTGTGCTGGTGCGTGTGGAGCGGGCCACGGTGTACAGCGTGGAGCAGGACAATGATCTGGAGCTGGCCGACGCCTACTACCTGGGGGGCGTGCCGCCCGACCAGCTGCCCCCGAGGTAAGCACTGTGCGCAGCTGGGGCTCCGAGGCCAGGCTGTTGGGGCGGTAGGCTGGGCTTGGAGGTGGCGCCCTGACCCGCATCCCCGCTTCCCCACAGCCTGCGACGGCTCTTCCCCACCGGAGGCTCAGTCCGTGGCTGCGTCAAAGGCATCAAGGCCCTGGGCAAGTATGTGGACCTCAAGCGGCTGAACACGACAGGCGTGAGCGCCGGCTGCACCGCCGACCTGCTGGTGAGCAGCCCTCCCCGGGCTGGGGGTGGCATCTGTGGACATGCAGGGGCACCCGCGGGCACTCAGGGATGGCCTCCCCGCAGGTGGGGCGCGCCATGACTTTCCATGGCCACGGCTTCCTTCGCCTGGCGCTCTCGAACGTGGCACCGCTCACTGGCAACGTCTACTCCGGCTTCGGCTTCCACAGCGCCCAGGACAGTGCCCTGCTCTACTACCGGGCGTCCCCGGTGAGACCTCACACCCGTGCCCATTCCCCACCCCGCGGTGGCCGTCGGAGCAGTTGGGACTGGGGTGTCTGGAATGAGTCTGGGTCCCCAGGCCGGCCGGCTGACCTGGCTGCCGTCCCCAGGATGGGCTATGCCAGGTGTCCCTGCAGCAGGGCCGTGTGAGCCTACAGCTCCTGAGGACTGAAGTGAAAACTCAAGCGGGCTTCGCCGATGGTGCCCCCCATTACGTCGCCTTCTACAGCAATGCCACGGGGTGAGCCTGGCCGCTGGGCCCTCATCGTGAAGGTCTGGAGGGACGCCCGCCTGCACTTGCCTGGACCTCTGTCTCCTCTGAGGTGGGGGTGGGCAGGGTGGGGAAAAACCGAGCCTCCGGCCTCCCGCCCCCCAGAGTCTGGCTGTATGTCGATGACCAGCTCCAGCAGATGAAGCCCCACCGGGGACCACCCCCCGAGCTCCAGCCGCAGCCTGAGGGGCCCCCGAGGCTCCTCCTGGGAGGCCTGCCTGAGTCTGGCACCATTTACAACTTCAGTGGCTGCATCAGCAACGTCTTCGTGCAGCGGTGAGCCTGGTGGGCGCTGGGGGACAAGGTCCCAGCTGGCCTTCCGCAGCTGCTGACCGCCTGCCCGCCCTGCACAGGCTCCTGGGCCCACAGCGCGTATTTGATCTGCAGCAGAACCTGGGCAGCGTCAATGTGAGCACGGGCTGTGCACCCGCCCTGCAAGCCCAGACCCCGGGCCTGGGGCCTAGAGGACTGCAGGCCACCGCCCGGAAGGTGGGCACCCCAGGGGTGAGCAGGCAGAGCTGGGGTGGCTGGAAGGGTGGCCCCTGTGTGGGCGGCCCCTGCATTCACCATCCACGCCCCCAGGCCTCCCGCCGCAGCCGTCAGCCCGCCCGGCATCCTGCCTGCATGCTGCCCCCACACCTCAGGACCACCCGAGACTCCTACCAGTTTGGGGGTTCCCTGTCCAGTCACCTGGAGTTTGTGGGCATCCTGGCCCGACATAGGAACTGGTAAGGCCAGGCCCGGCTGGGGTGGGCTGAGAGGGGCCGCGCAGGCTGACGCCAGCTCCGCTTCCAGGCCCAGTCTCTCCATGCACGTCCTCCCGCGAAGCTCCCGAGGCCTCCTCCTCTTCACTGCCCGTCTGAGGCCCGGCAGCCCCTCCCTGGCGCTCTTCCTGAGCAATGGCCACTTCGTTGCACAGATGGAAGGCCTCGGGACTCGGCTCCGCGCCCAGAGCCGCCAGCGCTCCCGGCCTGGCCGCTGGCACAAGGTGAGGGCCGAGAAGAAGGAAGGTGGTGGGCAGGGCCTGGCAGCCCTACCCTGACCCATCTCCTGCCCCCAGGTCTCCGTGCGCTGGGAGAAGAACCGGATCCTGCTGGTGACGGACGGGGCCCGGGCCTGGAGCCAGGAGGGGCCGCACCGGCAGCACCAGGGGGCAGAGCACCCCCAGCCCCACACCCTCTTTGTGGGCGGCCTCCCGGCCAGCAGCCACAGCTCCAAACTTCCGGTGAGAACCATCTTGCCCCAGCCCCCACTCCCCACCCACTGTTCCCTTTCAGCTGCCCTGGGCCCTGATCCCTGCCCGGTCTGCTCCTATAGGTGACCGTCGGGTTCAGCGGCTGTGTGAAGAGACTGAGGCTGCACGGGAGGCCCCTGGGGGCCCCCACACGGATGGCAGGGGTCACACCCTGCATCTTGGGCCCCCTGGAGGCGGGCCTGTTCTTCCCAGGCAGCGGGGGAGTTATCACTTTAGGTCTGTGGGTGCTGGCATCCCAGGCCTCAGCAGGGCAGGGCAGGGGGCTCCAGGAGGTTCTGGGGAGGGGCCCCCCCTTTCTTCTCCATCACAACCCCTCCCCGCAGACCTCCCAGGAGCTACACTGCCTGATGTGGGCCTGGAACTGGAGGTGCGGCCCCTGGCAGTCACCGGACTGATCTTCCACTTGGGCCAGGCCCGGACGCCCCCCTACTTGCAGTTGCAGGTGACCGAGAAGCAAGTAAGCCTGGCAGAGGTGGCGTGCCAGGGCAGGGTTTGCCTCCCCATTCTGGTGACCTCGGGGGCATAGCCTGACCCTCCCTTCCTACCCCGCCAGGTCCTGCTGCGGGCGGATGACGGAGCAGGGGAGTTCTCCACGTCAGTGACCCGCCCCTCAGTGCTGTGTGATGGCCAGTGGCACCGGCTAGCGGGTGAGGCCCCTCCTGTGGCCAGGGCACTCTGCCACCCCCACCCTTCTGCAGAGCGGGAGCCAGGCGGGACTCTGGGTGGGGTGGCTTCTTTTGGGGCTGGAGAGAGGCTGGGCTGAGGACCACCTGGCCTCAGGAGTCCCCCTTTCTCCCAGTGATGAAAAGCGGGAATGTGCTCCGGCTGGAGGTGGACGCGCAGAGCAACCACACCGTGGGCCCCTTGCTGGCGGCTGCAGCTGGTGCCCCAGCCCCTCTGTACCTCGGGGGCCTGCCTGGTGAGTGCGGCCTTGATCAAGGGTGGGGGAGCTGCCCCTCAGGACTAGGTGCTGCGTAACCTACCACCCTCCCCCCACCCCTCCACCCCCTGCCCCCTCCCACCCTCCTCCCACCCCCCTACCACCCTCCTATGATGTGGAATGAGACAGGGGCTGGGTGGGGCACTGACGTTTGGGAAGGGCCTGTGGGTCTCTAGCTGCCCACCAACCAGCCTTCTTCCATCTTCCCTGTGCCCCCAGAGCCCATGGCCGTGCAGCCCTGGCCCCCCGCCTACTGCGGCTGCATGAGGAGGCTGGCGGTGAACCGGTCCCCCGTCGCCATGACTCGCTCTGTGGAGGTCCACGGGGCAGTGGGGGCCAGTGGCTGCCCAGCCGCCTAGGACACAGCCAACCCCGGCCCCTGGTCAGGCCCCTGCAGCTGCCTCACACCGCCCCTTGTGCTCGCCTCATAGGTGTCTATTTGGACTCTAAGCTCTACGGGTGACAGATCTTGTTTCTGAAGATGGTTTAAGTTATAGCTTCTTAAACGAAAGAATAAAATACTGCAAAATGTTTTTATATTTGGCCCTTCCACCCATTTTTAATTGTGAGAGATTTGTCACCAATCATCACTGGTTCCTCCTTAAAAATTAAAAAGTAACTTCTGTGTAACCGAATGAATGTTGACTTAAATACGGAGAGAGTGAGTCTCAAGACAGATCTGGAACCGGCCTGGACAGAGGCACCAAACTCTTCCTGGGGTGACCGTTTTCCGTTGTTAGGTCAAATAACTAACTGTCTCTGGGACCCTACAGCAGCTCCCCACGCTAGCACCTGTCCAGCCGAAACTCCCTTTGGGCAAAGAAACTAAGCATTGGCAGGTAAAAGAAAAGACTTTATTAATAATCAGTGGGTGGGAGGTGAGGGTGTGCAACGCACTGCAAGCGCCCAGTTCCTCGGAGGACGGCGCGTGGCTCAGTCCAGGCTCATGTCCTCCTCTTCGTCCTTCTTGTCCTTCGTGTCGCCCTCTTTCTGCTCGGGCTTGGCGTTGTTCTGCATGGCTTTGGCAAACGCTTCCACATCTAGAACACGTTAAAGACACAAGGTGGTGTCTAACCCTTGCCCAGAACTGGGGATCAAAGCGATGGGATCAAGGGCAGAAGGGCTGTGACCTTTACCCCCTCAGCCCCACTTCTGCAGATCCAGGGGGACAGGAATGGACCCTGCCCCTGGCTCTGGCCTGGAGGTGCAGGCGCAGCCACTTACCGCCCTTGTTGGCGGCCTCCACAGCCTCTGCAGGCAGACCGAACTGGCACATGAGGGGGCCCAGCTGCCCCGAGGCCAAGGCTGCGCTGAACATGCCCAGGGCCTGCAAGAAGAGCCAGGCGAGGGCTGAGCTCCAACCCGGGCTGCACCCCAGAGCCACACTGCTCAGCTGCCAGCTCTGCGGGTCAGGCACATGAAGCACTGGCCATGGTGAAGGTGGGGCAGGGCCTCCTCCTCCCCCCTGCCCACTCCCTGAGCACACAGTGGAGGACACCCTGGGCCCGGCCTCTACCTGCTGGAACTGGGGCGAGGTCAGGGTATTCTGGATCTCATCCGCGGTCTGCGGCAGCGACTCCCCAGATGGCAAGTAGGGAAGCAGGCGCTCCTGGACATCCGCGTTGGCGAGGATGGGAGCCATTATCTCCGGCGTCAGCACACTGGCCAGGTCCACTGGGGCACAAGAACACGGCCATCAGCTCGATGACAGCCTAAGTGCCCACATGGAAGGCATGCAAGCAGGGACTCAGCCCATGGCCCCAGCACCCCAGGCGCGCACACTAGGCAGATGCCTTGGAAGGTGAGCGTGCGAGGGTCAGCAGGCCCCATGCCCCCCACCCAGCTCCAGGCGACAGCACACGTTACCTTGCTGGCCGCCTGCTGGCCCGGCTGGTACGTTCATCGTGGCCAGGATGCTCTGGAGGTCGCTCAGCTGGATGGGCTGGGTCGGGCTGGCTGCTGTGCTGGCTCCATTCCCGGAACTGGGCGCGGGGCTCGGGCTAGTTGCTGAGGCAGCTGCTGGAGCAGAAGGGGCTGGGGTGGCACGGGTGGAAGAGGTGGTGGATGACGGGGTGACCGCTGCCGACTGGCTCCGGGAGCTGCGAAGAGAGAGGGCACCGCTGGAGCGGACACGCCCCACACGGCAGGGCCTACTCGCAGGGTCCAGGGTGCTGGGCCAGGATTCCCCACTGCCCCTCCCTTAACACCGTGGCACCTGCGTGGCAGGAGCGATGAGGCTCACCTGGAGGAGGAGCTGCTCCCTGGAGGCCCACTGCTCCCCAGTAAGCTGGCCAGGCCAGGTCCAGTCAGGGCCCCCAGCCCACCTGCGAGGGGCAAGGAAATGCGAGCTCAGGATGCCCTCTAGCCCACCAGAAAGAGCCTGGCCCCTCCCCAGGCCAGAGGAGCAGGAATTCCCAACACCAAAGCCAGGAAGAAGCGGGGCGGTGGGGACCCACAGGCCTGGAGGAGCGGCGTGGGGCGGGTGGACACTTGCGGCTGTGTTCTGGAAGCAAGGTCATTTCTGTTCCATCCCATTACACAATTCATGTGCTTAGATTAGAAGATTCAGTCCAGATCCCACCCAAAGGGACAAGCATTTCTGAAGGGCCAAGCACACGGGTCTGCACTCCATGAGCTGGCAGCAGGCAGGCAGCCATGTAGGGCCAGGGGACCCAGGGCGCAGGAACCCCAGCTCCCTCCAGTCCTCCAGCCCCACCGCTCGGCCAGCCACCCTCCTCTGAAGTACCCAGCTGGGGTCCTCACCAGGGGCCCAGAAGCCCTCGCCTACCCAGCTCTAGCCACAGGCAAACAAGCGCATTCCCAAAGGGGAACCAGCTTGCGGACACACAGGCTCCCCGACACTACGCAGACAGAGCCAGCAGAAGTTTAAAGGAAACAGAGACCGGGCCTCAAAGCATTCCCAGCAGAAGCTGCCCGAGAGCCCGGGTGGCGCACGTTACCCAGTCCTCCAAGGCCGGCTGGTCCGATGAGCTGCATGAGCTGGCTGTGGCTCATGTTTCCCAGCAGGCTCTGCAGGCCACCCTCACCTGGAAAACACTGCAGCTCAGGCGGGCCTGCCCCAGCCAGATCCACGCGGGCCCCACCGCACTGCCTGCGCCTCTGCTGAGCACCGCACTCGGCTGCCCCTGAACCCTACAGGGGGCACCACTTGAAGTGAGGCGACGGTGGGATGCAGACCCGTCCTACCCCGTGAAGGTGGGAGTGGGGAGTGACCCAGGGAGCTCACAGGGTCTCTAACTTTTAGAATCTTCTATTTCCACTTCCAAACAACCTGTGCTGAGGGGGCGAGTCATCCACAGTAGACTCTGGCCTCCCAGGAAACCCTGAGCTCACGTGACACATGTGACAGTTACCGCCTAGCGCAGAGAGTTCGTGGCCGCTGCTTCCGCTGGCCCCCAGCGCCCCAGGCATCGGGGGGTTGTTCAGATACTCGTTGACTTTCCGGCAATGCTCCTCATCCTGGTCTGTCTTGGGTTCCTGCAAGAGGAAGGGCATGTAAGGGCAGGAGCTGGCGCCAGCTCACCCAGGGCCACCACAGCCATCCTCTGACCTGGCTTCCAGGTGAGGGACCTGAGACGCAGAGGCGCGTGTGCCTGGCCACACAATGCTGAGGAGACAGGACCCGGCCCAGCAGGTGAGGGGACGGCAGTGGCGCCTCCTGAGCACGATGCTCTGCGCCCTGTCCCCATCCGCCGCAATCCCGGGTGTGCCCTGTCCCCCTCCGCCCATTTCACAAATGGGGAGCCTAGAGCTCCGAAGGCACTTAGCTGCTGCCAGACCAAGCCCTCTCACCCTCCTGCCCTCTGGGGTGCGGTTCTTTACACACCCGTCTCCTTCCTTCAACCAGTGGAAGGCAGCGAACTGGCCCGCTCAGCACACCGCGGCCCAGGGCCACGGCAGGCGCTCACAATCGAGCACACGCGTGTGCACACACATGTGCACAGATCAGTGTCAGAAGCATCGACCTGCGAGCTCACAGAGCTGGGAGCAGAGCACCCACGCACACCCCGAATGGCTATGGAAGCTGCAGGGCGCCAGGGACACTGGGAGTCCCTGCTCTCATGGCAAAGCAGGGACGGGGGACTTAAAAGCCACCAACAGGAAAATCGGGGAAAAAAGGGAGATGGTGGTAACAGTTGGACACTATTTCTTGGCAAAACCGTGGAAAAACACGTTCTACACCAGCAGGTGGCAAATTGTGGCCGCCATCTGTGTTTGCAAATAAAGTTTAACTGGAGTTTGGCTATGCCTGTTCATTTTCTCAGGCCGCTGCACACTACTTGCACAGGTGACCAGCAACACAGACCATGTGCTCCACAGAGACCTCAGCCAGGGCCACCCCTGCTCTTGAAAGTGCCAAGGGGGGTGGGGTGGGGACAGCAGCTCCACCTCTGGCAGAGAGCATGGCCTTCTCTCTCCACACTGCAAACGCATGCACACGCTTCCTGACCACAGGCCCGCCACCAGTTTTCACCTACAGATGATACTGGCTTATGGAAAATGATCTGTGTACCGGGAAATTCTTTGCAACACTGCCTGTAACAGCACAAAAAACGGCAACAAGCTCAATGGTCACTGACAGATGGCAGAATGAGCAGCGGCCTCTAGACCCAAAAGACGCTCTGCAGCTGTGGGTAAGAGAAACCCTGGGCACTGACACCCCTGGCCTCCAGGACACACTGCCAGGGAAGGGGCAGGACTGTGGAAAGTGTGAGCAGGATGCTTCGTTTCTGTGAGCACCAGCAGGGAAGCCACACAGGGGCCTCTGCCTCTGCTGTGGGGGCCTCAGTGACCCACGGCAAGGGGCAGAGAGAGGGCACTGGGCATCGTTAGAACCAGGGCCAGCATGTCTGTCTGCCTGGAAATTTCACACCGCAATCGGTTGCCCGCAGCCCAGCCTGGAGCCTCCGTACTCTGGGAGAGGACCTCGGCCCCAGGTAGCATGCACCGCAGCCCTGAGGTGGCATCTCAGGCCGTGTGGCCGGGTGTGGCCGGCGCCTGCTGGTTTATAAAAGCCAATTGCACCACACTGTAAGCAAGTTCCTAACCGAATCGCAGGGCAACAAAAAGGCACAACCCCAAGGCCTGCCCCATACCTGCATCCAGAAGAAAAGCCGCTTGGACCCTGCCTTGAACTTCAGCACGTAGACCCTCCCGCTGGGGCACTGCGGCACCCGCTTGAACTCACAGTCGTCAGGGAAGATGATCAAGTCCTGGCAAGCCAGGGGAAGAGAGAGTCAGTGGCGCAGATGGCATCACTGTGCCCAGTCTCAGGAGAGCGTACTGAGCCCTGGGTCTAACCGGGTGGGGTGCGCAAGGGGCAGCTAAGCCGCCAGACCCCTCGCTGGCAGGGTCTCCACAAGGCAGAGAAGCCAGGGTCAGAGACAGCCCATGAAAGGCAAGGCCGGGGGAGAGAGCAGGGAAAGGGGCCTTTCAGATGGCAACGGGGTTTCTGAGACGTGCTGGAAACAACATTCCCAGAGTAGTTAAAAAGTCAACGCTGAACTGCTCTCAAATGTAACAAAGAACAACTAAGAGTTTGAAAAACAAAGAAGACTGAGTGAAGCCGCCAGGCACAGAGCTCCAGGCTCTCCAGGGCCACACCTCCAACCCCAGGCACCTCACACGGACAGTTCAAGGCCAGGCACAGAGCTCCGGGCTCTCCAGGGCCACACCTCCAACCCAGGCACCTCACACGGACAGTTCAAGATACACAGTGGCCGAGATGCCCCTGTCACCGCGGAAACCAGGACGACCCATCAGCAGGGCAGTCGATGACGGCCCCACGAGCGGTCCCCAGATGCGGCCAAGCCCCCACCGCGAACTCCAAAGCGAGGACTCCGAGGGCCCGAGAAGTCGCCTGTCCTGCTGCTGCGGCTCAGGGACACTCACGTCTTCCACGTTCCCGGACGTCCTGTCCTTCCAGCAGAAGTGAATAAGCGAGTCGTCCGTCTGCTGAATGTACACCAGCCCTTTCCGCTTATCCGGAGTCACGGTGGTCCCCTTCAGGGACATCTTTCCCGCCCGAAACTCCACCAAGTACTTGTTGGAGGCGCCCCGAGAGCCTGGCACCAGGCTTGGAAAGAGCGCGCCTGAGGTCGTCATCCTGAAAGCGCGGAGAGGACGCTGAGACGCGGCGGTCACTGTCGCCTGCGGTCCGGCAAGCTCCCGCCCCCTGGGGTGTTTGCGAGCAGGGGGCCTGCGCCCAGAGCTGCCTAAGGCAGACTCAGACACGCCGGGCTGCCTTTCCGCGTTTGCCCCGCTCACGACGATCGCACCGCCCGCACTCGGCGCTGGGCCGGGGCAGCCCCGCCAAGCCTAGTGGGGCCGGCCCTAGGCTTGACGCCGTCTCCGCGGGGCACCAGCCTCGACGCGCCACCCCGGCGACCCGCTCCGCGGGGCAGACCCGCCCGAGCTCCCGCCGAGCCCCACGTTCAGAGCCGCAGGCGGAACCGGGGCGGCGCCCGAGACCCCAGAACCCCCGCCCGGCCCGGCCCCCGCAGGCCCCACCCGCCGCGCCGGCCACCTTCTCGTCTTGGCTGCCCCCGCCCCATCCTTGGTCCAGCAGCCCCTGCCCCCGCCTCCGGTCGCCCCCGGCCGCCCCAGGCCCGGCGACTCCCGCACCTGCCTCGCGCCCACACTCGTTCGAGAGGCGCCGTCCGGGCTCGCTCTTCCTCCTCGGCGCCTGCCGGGCCCCGCCGGAAACCCGCGTTCGGCCCGCCCCGCCTGCCGCTCTCGCCGCCGATTGAGCCCCGTAAGCCGCGCAGCCGGCTCTAACCTGCCAACGATTGGCGAGGGCGACCGTCCATCGCACTCGCTCCTCCCCGGTCCGCCCCCGCGCCGGCGGCTCTTTTCCGGCGGAAGCGCGGGCCGCAGGGCGCTTGGACCAGAGCGGCCCCTATTGTTGCTGTGTCATAGGGGAGCGGCGGCGGCCCCTAGAGGCGGCGCCAGGGACCACAGGCGGGTTTCAGAGGGGCGCTGGGGAACTGCTCAGGTGGGGCCGAGCCCACCCCTCGGCGTCGCCCGCCCGGGCGGGCAGAGCTGTCACTCGTGTGGCTGAGCCAGGGGTTAGGCGGAGGCCGAGGAGTGCGGTCCGGCTGTGGGCGGCGGGCACCAGGGCTACGCATAGAAGTGACCATGGGTTCAGCGCTTTGGGGACCCAGGCGGGAGCTGGAGTCCACGCGTCCGGGAGAGCAGGGGTCCGGGAGGGTAGAGCGAGGGTGAGAACCGTGATATGGTCTCAGCTGTATACATCTAGTCCCGCAGGGGTCCGGGAGGGCAGGGGTCAGGAAGGGGTGGGTCCGGGAGGAGAGGGGTCCCGAGAGGGGAGGGGCTCCTGGAGGGGAGGGATCTGGGAGGGGTGAGTCCGGGAGGGGAGGGGTTCCCGGAGGGGAGGGGGCCCGGGAGGGGAGAGGGTCCCGGAGGGGAGGGATCTGGGAGGGGTGAGTCCGGGAGGGAGGAGTCAGGGAAGGCCTGAGTCCCAGACGGGTAGGGTCCTGGAAGGGAGGGGTCCTGGAGGGCAGGGGCTCACCCTCTGGACGCCTGGATGGGAAAGGCCACAGGGTAAAAAGGCGGCAGTCGCCCGCCAGTGTTGTGTAACTTTGAGTCACTTTGACACAAACTAAAGCGAAGACAACAGATAGTGTTTGTGGCGCCCCAGCCGGCTGCTGAAGGGACACGTTCTTTGGGATTTGCCTACAGCGACGCCAGGCGGGGGCTCTTAGAGGGCTCAGGCGCGGTGGCTCACGCCTGTAAACCCAGAACTTTGGGAGGCCGAGGCGGGCGGATTACTTGAGGCCAGGAGTTCAAGACCAGCCTGGGCAACATGGTGAATGAAACCCCGACTCTACTAAAAATGCAAAAATTAGCCAGGTATGCTGGCACATGCCTGTAATTCCATCTACTCAGGAGGCTGATGCACGAGAATCGCCTGAACCCGGGAGGTGGAGGTTGCAGTGAGCCGAGATTGCACCACTGCACTCCAGCCTGGGCGACAGAGGAAGACTCCTTCTCAAAAAAAAAAAATAATAATAATAATAGTAATAAAATAGAGAGGTCAGGCGCTTCGTGAGAACCCTGAGGTGCAGTGGCCTCTGCACCCCAGTTAAGCAAGACTAGATGTTTGCAGCTGAGACTGTGCCAGGGTCCTCAGGTTCTCCTTTGCCCATCGCTCACTTCCTTCTTTCCTTCAGATACTTCACTCCCTTCGGGCGCTCCCCGGGGTCACCGTGTGCTTGGTGGCTCACCCTCAGAGTGGATGCACAGCTGTGTGCTTACGTGCTCTCTGAGGTCTTTAGGTGTGTGTTTTCACTCACCCTTGTTGGGAGATGCGTTGGTGTTGATGCTGGCAGCTCCAGTCCTTTCATTCTGCAGGGAGCCTACTACTCAGGCCTCCATTGTCTCGGTGGCAGAGCTTGTGCCAGTTATGTTTAGTTGCCAGCTTTTGACTGTCATAATGCTTCCATTTGAAACATTGATTGAGCTAAAGATTCACGTTTTTTGTTTTGGAAAATGTAGCCACTTTTCATTTTAAAATGTGTGTTAACAGGTAGTAAGTTTGTTATTGTTATTTTTATGTAGCTAAATAATTTTAAATGTCCTCTTAATTCCTAGTATGGTAAATGTCAATAGATAAAGCTCACATAAACAAAAGCTCTTTGGGGTCCTGTATAATTTTTAAGAATTTAAACGGTTCCAGAAGCTAAAGGGCTTGAGAGGGGCTAACACAAAGCTCTGTGGCCCGCTGGTGACAGGTGCGTCACTGATACTGCAGCCCCATCCTCGTGCCCTCGTGTAAAACAGGGAAAAGGTGGAAATGAGAAAACCCAGCCTGGCTTTCCCGGCAAGAAGGTGGCAAGCGTCACTTGTTTATGTCACAGACAGTAAAGCAGAAGCCCCAGGGTCCGCAGGGGCCAAGTGTGCAGAGGCCAACGCAGTGGCCAAGAGGACCCTGGATTTACCATTTCCTCCACTTCCTGGAGGCCCTGTGGCCTGGGATGGCTCAAACAACCCCAGAACTCTTTACCCACACTTCAAGCGAAACTCCCACATTCCTATGAGCATGCTGCAGTGAGGAAACGAGCCGCAGCCAGGCAGGCTTTGCAGAGGCCACTGTGGGTGCCCGCTGCCAGCCCACGGGCTCTATGCGTGTGTGGGGTATGGCACCTGGAGCACCCAGCAGCCCAGGACTCCAGCTGTGGCCACAGAGTGGGTGGGGGGGCACACGCTGCTTTGTGTCAGGAATCTCGGACTTGAAGCACACACAAGGTCAGAAGGGCTGTGTGACATGTGCAGCTGTCCCTATCTTCTAATTGGTCGCTGATGGCAGTTGGTGGGACGTCTGCAAAATGCCCGCAGCATCTAGAGGAGCAGCCTCACCGGGACACGCGCATTCAGCTAAAGGATTTGGACTAAGAGATCCCCCAAAAGAGATTTCTATTCATCCTGTTTAGCAAAAAAAAAACAACCCCAGACTTGCATGATGGCTCACACCTGCAATCCCAGCACTTTGGGAGGCCGAGCTGAGAGGGTCCCTTGAAGCCCAGGAGTTCCAAGACCAGCTTAATCAAGACAGTGAGACCCTGTCTTTAGAAAAAGACAAATTAAAAAAGAGCCAGCCATGGCGGTGCATGCCTGTAGTCTCAGCTACTTGGGAGGCTGAGGTGAAGGTCAAGGCTGGCGGTGAGCCGTGATGGCACCACTGCACTGCAGCCTGGGTGACAGAGCGAGACCCTGTCTCAAAAAAGCCCCAAACTGTAAAGAAAGCACACCCTGATGCTCTCCACGTGCTGCAGGCTCCTCGGGTGAAAGGTGGGCGGCAGAGCCCAGGCTGCGCCTCCACGTGGGCAGAAGACACCTCCGGATGTTTCACCAAAGAGGTCACAGGCAGCAAAGGCACCATGGCAAGCTGCTCAACACCATTATTCATGAGGGAAATGCAAATGAAATACACCTGCTGGAACTTAGCAAACGATGGAAGGTGCCAGGCAAAGTTGGAAACACCAATGGCACGGCTACTTCGGAAAAGCATTTGGCAGGGGTAGGGTTTTTTAAACTTTTTTTTTTTTTTTTTTTTTTTTGAGATGGAATCTCACTCTATCCCATAGGCTGGAGTGCAGTGGCTTGATCTCAGCTCATTGCAGCCCCCGCCTCCTGAGTTCAAGCAGTTCTCCTACCTCAGCCTCCTGAGTAGCTGGGATTACAGGCATGTGTCACCAGACCCGGTTAATTTTTGTATTTTTATTAGAGACAGGGTTTCACCATGTGGGCCAGGTTGGTCTCGAACTCCTGAGCTTGAGCGATCCACCCGCCTCAACCTCCCAAAGGCTGGGATTACAGGTGTGAGCCACTGCACCTTGTGGGTTTTTTTTTTTTTTAACATTTTAAAAATAGACAAGTCACAACTGAGTGGAAGGCAGAGAGTTCTGGTCCCCCTGGGTGTTCGGTGAGCTACGCCGCCACCGGGTCAGCGCCCAGAGCCCGCCATTCGCGTCGAGGTCCACGTCGGTCCATCTGTGCTGCCACCACTGACCAGGCAGTTTACAAAGAAGCGAAACGTACTTTCTCACAGTTCTGCAGGTCCGGAAGTCAGCGTCAGTGGGGCGGCAGGCCTGGTTGTCTGGTGAGCGCTGTCCTCACCTGGCGTGGCACTGATGCTCTGTGGGGCAGACCAGGCAGTGTGGGAGGAGCCTCTGGCTCCGGGCTCAGGCAATGGTGGTGGAGCCCCACAGCCAAACCCCTGGAGCATTCCGAGAGCATGGACGTCTTGTGGACCGTGTGTCCCTCTGCCCCAGCCACACTGACCACTGGGACGACTGAGTCTGCTCAGCTTACGCTCCTGAAAAGCACGAAGGTGCTGGGGCAACTTACGGCAGAAGGCAGGCAGCTGAAACCTGGGGCACCGGGCCCTTCGCTGCTTCTAGCAGTAGCGTCCCCCCGCCAGGGGAGGGGGGTCCATCAGAGCCTCCTGCTGCTTGGAGAACCTGGGTGCTCCACCCATCACATGTGCCGCCCGACAGGTGTCACGAGTGTCCCCCAGCCCCCTCTCCACAGGGCAGTTTTTGGAAATGAGCCATTTGCTTGGCCAATCCTCAGGAACACGCGGTCCAAACTTCTGATAACCAGGCATGAGGACTCATCCTTAGCAGATTTGTAGCCCTTTTCAAAATGGCCAGAGCGGCTGAGATGGTGAAAAATTGCTCAGTGTAAAACAAAGGTCACCTGCTGCCCATCTTCAGAGAATCTTCATTCAAATCTTAGAGGTTAACATTTATTTTCACAGATGTGTACACAGCCCTCTGAAAAATCTGAGGATGACTGTGTTAATGCAGTTTGGCACTGACAGTTGTTAAATATTATAAAATAAGTGCGTTCTGCTGGCATCTTTTCTCAGCTGCCATGTCCTTGCTGCCTGCTGGGATGAATGGCACTGGAGGAGGAGCTGGGTGAAGGCACGGGGAGGGGTGAGGGCCTGCAAGGTGTGGGCGACAGGAAAGCCCGGCTGCACACCATCGCCCTCTGCAGAGCCACCGTCGTGCTCCTAAACATCTGGCCACGGCAGCCTGGCTCCCAAAGCTCACCAAGCGAAGGACCGACTGTGAAGTGAACTTCGTACCCAGAGCTGGCAAATGTGGCTTTCGCCTCACAGAAATTTTACATCAGCCTGTAGAAGACGGTGAGGAACCATCTTTTGAGGGGTCCGAGGGAGACCCAGCTCCCGTGCTGCCTGGCAAGCAGCAGGAGCCACCGCCACGTTCTCGGCCACGGCAGGGGCCCCGTCTTTTGTGTCCACTTTACACACAGGCAAGTCCAGATGTGGCCATCAAAGAAAACTGGGACCATCAGGACTTCCTGCAGATGGATCGAACTCTCCTCTGGGGTCCAGCTGCGCCCCTCGTCCACATCTGTGCTGGCTGGAGGGTCAGGGCTCCACTCTGCCCGACAAGCAGTCTGGTGCAGGGGACGCAAATGTCACACCCAGCAGGGCCCGGCACTTGGAGACCTGAACTCTGTCGCCCAGCTCAGTGGGAAGCTCACCAGAACTCGTAACTGTCTTTGCTTTGTTTTCCTTCACGGAAATGACAAGGACCTGTAAAACTTGTAAATCCCCATTTCTGCTGGGGAGAAATTTTCCCCAAAGAGCAGGATGCCTTGTGAGGAGGCCTCCAGGCGTTTCTCTTGTCCTGTTCTAACCTCCTGACCTTGTGTTCAGATGTGCCTGGCAAACCGGGGCAGGTCCTTGGTGTTCAAGGCCAATGCCCCAGATGGACAGCTCCATGCTCAGACACGTGGACAGTGGGGTGCCCGGAGGCCACCAGGGTGGCATGTGGCACTTCTCCAAGTGCCGGGCCCTGCTGGGTCTGACATTTGCGTCCCCTGCACCAGACTGCTTGTCGGGCAGAGTGGAGCCCTGACCCTCCAGCCAGCACAGATGTGAGCTCTGGGGATGGCGTCTGGAAGGGGTGGTGGTGACCGGGAGCACCTGCAGGCACCACTCTTCCTGTACCGGCTTTCCCACTTGCCGCCGGAGGCTGGGAAACTCACGGTACACACAGGCACCTCCCCACGACCAAGGCATCTGGGCCGCTGGCTCGCTCTCCTCCCAGACAGCAGTCTCGGGAGGGTCTGGCTTCAGGACAGCCTGCACCAGCAAAATGCCGGATGTCCATCAGGGCTGGGGACCAGGGCCAGCTGTCCCCCACTTCCCACAACCCAAGCCTCGCCCGGTGAGAAGGCTGCAGGTGTTGGTGACACCCGACCCTTCACCGTCCTTGGACACTAGGGCAGGGCAGACGTCGCCACGTGGCCAGCGACTCAGATCCACACCGTCATCCCAGGTGAGCCTGGTGAGCAGCAGCATGTGCTATGTTGCCAACACGTGCTTTGCATGTGGCTCTCCGTGCTTTGCATATGGCTCTCCGGGAGGCATGCCTGTTCACCGTTCTGTCTCCAGCAGCTCACAATACATACACCCTGAACCAATGACCATAGAACCGAATTCTCATTTCAATTAGCAATAGAATCCAACCAAGGTATTAGGTTCTGTTGGGGAATAAGCTTGCTAGGTTTTTCATTCTGTAAGGACATCCTACATGACAGGATTAATTTTTTAAAAGAACCAAGGGCCTGGCACAGTGGCTCACACCTGTAATCCCAGCACTTTGGGAGGCTGAGGCAGGAGGATTGCTTGAGCCCAGGAGTTCAAGACCAGCTTGGGCAACACAGTGAGATCCTGTCTCTACAAAATTGTTTTAAAAAAATAGCTGGGTTTGGTGGCATGTGCCTATGGTCCTAGCTACTTGGGAGGCTGAGGCTGGAGGACTGCTTGAGCCCAGGATGTCGAGGCTGCAGTGAGCTATGACTGCACCACTGCACTCGAGCCTGGGCAACTGACCCTATCTCTAAAAGTGAATAAAGCACCAAGACCCTTGGTCAAGGCCATACTCACACCCAAACGCGTGGCCCACGAGAAGGCCATCACTTTCCACACATTAAGTGGTGGCCATCTTTATTAGAGATGTTTAACATTCAATAGATATCCAAGGTGACAAAAGTTAGGTCATGGTTTATGTGTTAGCATTTGCAGAAACAGTAACAAAAAGTAGTAAAAAGTTAAAATAACCTCGACACACAGCCGCTTTTGCCATCAGCCTTCCTACCGTTCTTCCTCCACCTCTGGTTTGGTGTCTGTCCTCAAGGACAGCAGAAGAGGGGCTGTCTGTGCAGCCAACCAGCCCCTGAAATACCAGGAGCCTGGTCCTAGAAGAGGACTTGGAAACAAACCCGTGGGCAAATTATCTTAACCAGTAACAAGTGGAATGATCAGTAAGAACTCGTTAAACCTCCCTAAATGCAGTCACTTTCAATGTGTCTGAGTCTCACCTCTGGATGTTCTCAGCTTGCAACCTTTCTTGGAGAAGGAGCCGGTTCACAACCACAGTCTGGAAAAGCAGATGACCCTCCACCAGAGGCACCTGGGCTCCACATTCCAGCCATCGGGGAATTTCAAAGTCTCCTCTTTGAATAACGCCACAATCCTGAATCCTCAGACCCAGCTACCAGTCACGGAGCGGTTCTGTTCAGACACTTTTGAGTGGCTGGTACGGAGCTCATAGGCCCCGAGGATGACACAGGACTCGGCACCAAACACCATCGCTTCCAGCTTCCAAAGCTACAAAATCAAGCTTTCAAAACGAGTGTTCACTTCCAGAAGTGCTTCCGTCACAGGTGTGATGTGGACGCCAAGACACACGCAGGTGGCACCTGTCACTCAGAAGTGCCGGCCTGAGTAACCTGGACTCCATGCAACCGCGTGTCAGCGTGTGCATGAGTGTGTGCGTGCGTGCACACAACCGACGGTCTTTCAAAGTGCTCCACTGTGATCTCTCGTGTTGACAATTCTACATGAAAAAAAATCAGTCACGGCCAGGCGCAGTGGCTCACGCCTGTAATCCCAGCACTTTGGGAGGTTGAGGCAGGCAGACTACTTGAGGTCGGGAGTTTGAGACCAGCCTGACCAACATGGTGAAAACCCGTGTCTACTAAAAATACAAAATCAGCCAGGTGTGGTGGCGCGTGCCTGTAATCCCAGCTACTTGGGAGGCTGAGGCAGGAGAATCGCTTGAACCCGGGAGGCGGAGGTTGCGGTGAGCCGAGATCATGCCATTGCACTCCAGCCTGGGCAACAAGAGTGAAACTCCGTCTCAAAAAAAAAAAAAAAAGGAAAGAAAAGAAAAAAAAATCAGTCACTTGATAAAGGTGAATGCTGAGATGGACACATACCTATTTTTGGTTAAATAACTTTAATTACACCACTGTAAGTAGATTCTGCCTCTGACCCTCCCACAGGACACAACCGGATGTGATTCTTGTCACTTCTATTTTAAACATGCATACTGGGAAAAACAGAAACACAAGAGTGCTATGGGTACACGCGACGTGTGAGAAGAAAGGAACCCCCTGGAGACACGGACGCGGTGTGCGGTGACAGCCAGGCCTCACTGACAACAGGGCAGCGAATCGCAGCCGGGACGCCTCTGAGGCGGAAGCAGTCTTGGGATTTCCTGTCACGCTCTCGATGCTTCTGCCCACTCTGGTTTGTCACGGGGATGCTTCATTTTGGACAGTATAAAACCGGTGATTAATGCATATCTTGCTCTTCAGCAAAATACTATTCAAGTAGTTTTAACTTAAATATTTTAAAAGTAATCTTTACATTATTGAAGATTGTTAAAAAATACAGAATCTGACAACTTTTCACTCAATCTGATGCTCTGAAACTCTTCACTTCTGTTTTATCATAATTTAGAAGGCAATCCCTGGCCTCTATAAAACTCTCTGCAGGATTAGCTTCAAGATCCATCTTTCCCCCACTGGTTCGAGTTTAAAAGGCTTTCAGAACCTTTTGCCACTGCATTATAAAGAGAACATGAACCCCTTCCCATTACTTCCTTTAGCTACACATGCTATGACTGAGAGTGTGCTGGAAGCTAAACAAGCCCCAGCTGATTTCTGCCACATAAAAGGGCGCCGTGAAGAATTTCCCTGTTGAAACCTTAATGAAGACGATGATCCCAAGTGAAGCTTTATGAAGAGACGGCACAGCAGAGTGAAATGTTTGGCAATCAACAGTTAATTAGAATTACATCCTTGATCAGGGATGATGCTATCTCCGCGAACTCAGTCGTTAGAAAAGTTGGTTTCTGCTGTGACGAGGCTCACAGTGGCCACTCGAGGAAGTCCAGCCTCGTCAGCCTCCGGTCCCGGGCCCCAGGCCCCTCCAGGCCCTCAGTAGATATCTGGGCAGTCGGAGAAATTCCGCTCAAAGTAATCCCCTGCATACAACCAGTCGGGGGTCCCAGTGTAGGGGTTATTGCCTGGGTAGAACCACCTGCCGGATACAAGGGAGGGGGGTCAGAAGATGCTCAGCCCAAAAGGAAAACGCAGCCCTGTTCTGGGTGCAGGAGTGTGTTCCCCCAACTCAGCACCATCACGGTAACGTGGGTTTTAAAATGCAGCCCAGCGTAACAACTTCAACGGAGAATTATTGATCACGTGGTCATGTGAATGCTGGAACCTAAAGATATCCAGCCACCCGTGTCAATTTCACTTCCCAACAAAATCTTGAGGGTTTAACTCAACACAAAATCCTCACACTGGGCCCTTATCAGAGAAGTTACTGGAGCCTAAATAATGCCTCTCCCTTTTCAAGGCAAAAGCAGTTACACTGTTCACATGTGCTGTCATTTAAAGCAAACCAAGTATTGGTTTTTTTAACTGAGGACAAAGGAAGACATTATAGGCAAAGAGAAGGTAGCACAGGGCCTGAGTGTTGGCGCTGGTTCAGCCGCCGTCCACAGCCCCCGGCTGGCACTCAGGGCCCGAGGGGTGTCCTTAGTGTTGGGGGTGGGGTGGGGGCAGCGCTCACAAAGGAGAAGACATTTTCTTCGAAGGACAAAAGATCATTATTTTCACAGTATATTTTTTTTAACACTTTAAAAAAACAATGAACAGGCCGGGCGCGGTGGCTCACGCCCGTAATTCCAGCACTTTGGGAGGCTGGAGGCAGGCGGATCACGAGGTCAGGAGATCGAGACCACGGGGAAACCCCGTCTCTACTAAAAATACAAAAAAAAAAAATTAGCCAGGCGTGGTGGCAGGCACCTGTAGTCCCAGCTACTCAGGAGGCTGAGGCAGGAGAATGGTGTGAACCCGGAGGGGCGGAGCTTGCAGTGAGCCGAGATCACGCCACTGCACTCCAGCCTGGGCAACAACAACAAAAAAAAAAAAAAATGAGGAAAGGTTAACTATTTTGAAGCTGATTTTTCTCTGGATTAAGGGCAAATTCCAAATATCAAACCATTCAAAGCCTAGTATCAAATTAAATTGGAAGCCCAAACAGTGAGAATTGGTTTCAAAACGCCAGCCACATGTAAGCCACCGGGTATCATTGTTGTTGGGCCTTGAGAACGAATCCTACCAAGCAGGTGGCCTACAGAATTAAGATGCTTCACAAACACCCAAAGATTTTTCTAACAAACTAAAACATTTTACTTATAAATACATTTTTAAATTATACTTATTACAGTACATTATTGATTGAATCCTTATTCAATGGTTCTTTTCTCTTATGACTATTATAGAACAAACTACAGCCAGCTTAGGACAGTTACAGAAACAGGAATCATGTCCCAGCAGCTGATGCTTCTGTGAGGCCCACGCAGCCCATGCCACCGTCCCAGCCTCCATGTGCACAGACG
The DNA here is from genome assembly GCF_000001405.40 of Homo sapiens. Taxonomy (NCBI): domain Eukaryota; kingdom Metazoa; phylum Chordata; class Mammalia; order Primates; family Hominidae; genus Homo; species Homo sapiens. The sequence continues at coordinate 62,292,415 of NC_000020.11, read as the reverse complement.
CCACGGCACAGCACACGGGATTTAATTTTCACAAAACCTTTCTGGGTCATGGGGTGAAGATCAGCCTGAGTGGCACTGACAGGAAGATGTGGTATCGGTGTGACAGGCGTGGCCTCCACACGGTGCCACCTCCCTACACACGGGCTGTGGCCCCTGGGGGACCTCACCCATACACTCACCAGCTGTGTTTTCCTAAAGGGAGCAGTCACATTCAGGCAACATTTTCTCTTTAACTTTGCCACAGTTGAAAAGAAAGCTTTGGGCCAACACACCATGAGGCCCGGCAGTAGACCCGGGTCTGAGGTGACAGGCACTCTGCACAGGCCACCCCCAGCCGGGTGGTCTCGGCAAAGTGTGCGCTAAGCTAGGATGGGCTCTTACCTGGGCAGTGGGAACCACATGGGTCAGGGGCAGCCACTGGTGTCACTACCTTAATGGAGCCATGGAACAGTAACTGCCCAGCCACAGGGGTGTGGGGGTGAGAGAAGGCACTCCCCGCCGTCCCCAGGTGTGTGTGGGGCCTCCCCGCCGTCCCCAGGTGTGTGTGGGGCCTCCCCGCCGTCCCCAGGTGTGTGTGGGGCCTCCCCGCTGCCCCAGCCTGCGTGGCTACCACAGTACTCACCTCGTCTGCCACTCTGCCTCCTCCTTGGCCCGCTCCCTCCGTGCTTCTCTCTGCTTCTCCTCCAGCCGCTCCTTCTCCTGGCTGGCCAGATCTAGGATCCAAGCAAACAGTTTAGGTCAGACAGAGACCTTAGAACCGCACCCCGCCACCCCCTATGCACCTAGATCTCTAGTTGGCATGTCTCACTGTGGCTGGAATGCCACAGACAACAGGTTCTGTGATCGGGAGACCAAACACAATCACAGTTGCCGAGGCCACAGCGGCCGGCACGCCAACAGGGCCCTTCCCAAGCGGAGCTGAGTAGAGCATGGGGGCTGCATGTGCTGCGTGTTCTACGACAGCACTACTCAAAGTCTGCGGGTGCAGGAGTCTGAAGGACAGGCAGGGCCCAGGCACCACCCAATGCCCTGGTGTGCGAGCAGGCGCTCAGGACGGGGAGCCAGCCCCACCTGTGCAACTCAGAGCCCATCTCCCAAAGACGAGCTCCCTTTAGCCTTGACCTTCCCGGGTAACTGCCATGTGGCTTCTGTGAAGGACTGGGCACACATTCTGAATACAAAGCATGAGAAGTTACATCCATTCCCAGGTCACACTCGTGAGCTGGGTTTCTCTCTGAAAACATCACTAATTCAAGCTGGGCGCGGTGGCTCATGCCTGCATCCCAGCACTTAGGAGGGCTGAAGCAGGCGGATCGCTTGAACCCAAGAGTTGGCAACCAGCCCGGGCAACATGGCAAAACCCCATCTCTATAAAAAATACAAAAATTAGGCCAGGCACAGTGTCATCCCAGCACTTTAGGAGGCCAAGGCGGGTGGATCACCTGAGGTCAGCAGTTTGAGACCAGGCTGGCCAACATGGTGAAACCCTGTCTCTACTAAAAATACAAAAATTGGCCGGGTGTGGTGGCGGGCACCTGTAATCCCAGCTACTCGGGAGGCTGAGGCAGGAGAATCTCTTGAACCTGTGAGCAGAGGTTGCAGTGAGCCGAGATCACGCCACTGCACTCCAGCCTGGGCAACAAGTGTGAAACTCTGTCTCAAAAAAAAAAAACAAAAAAAACAAAAAAAAAAACCTGGCCAGGCACAGTGGTTCATGCCTGTAATCCCAGCACTCTGGGAGGCTGAGGCGGGCGGATCACAAGGTCAGGAGATCGAGACCGTCCTGGCTAACATGGTGAAACCCTGTCTCTACTAAAATATACAAAAAATTAACCGGGCGTGGTGGCAGGGGCACCTGTAGTCCCAGCTACTCGGGGAGGCTGAGGCAGGAGAATGGCCTGAACCCAGAAGGCGGAGCTTGCAGTGAACCGAGATCGCACCACTGCCCTCCAGCCTGGGGAACAGCGTGAGACTCCGTCTCAAAAAAAAAAAAAAAAAAAAAAACCCAAAAAATTAGCCAGGTGTAGTGGCATGCACTTGTAGTCCCAGCTACTCGGGAGGCTGAGGCAGGAGGATGGCTTGAACCTGGGAGGTTGAGGCTGCAGTGAGCCAAGATCACACCACTATAGTCCAGCCTGGGCTACAGAGTGAGATCCCGACTCTAAACATAAATAAATAAAACATTACTAACTCAAAACCCAGGACACTTTGGATTTGCCTCCTCAGCCAGGAGTTTCACTGCGGATTCCATCTAGATGAGTGAGTGAGAAAGTTGTTCATCTGCCATGTTACAGATGAACGCTGCAAGCACAGAGCCCACCGGGAGAGTGTGAGGCTGCAGGACACGCCACACACGTGCCAGTGACTGCACTGATGGCTACACGGATCCTCACAGTGGAACACGTGCAGTTTTCTAAATGTAATCTTAACTTTTGTTTAATTTAATAATAACAAATTAGGAACTTGTACTTTGTTTTTTGTTTGTGTTTTTTGTTGTTGTTGTTTGTTTGTGAGGCAGGGTCTCACTCTGTCGCCCTGGCTGGAGTGCAGTGGTATAATCTCGGCTCACTGCAACCTCCACCTCCTGGGTACAAGCGATTCTCATGCCTCAGCCTCCCTAGAAGCTGGGATTACAGTCGGGCGCCACCATGACCGCCTAATCTCTTGTATTTTTAGTAGAGATGGAGTTTTGCCTTGTTGGCCAGGATGGTTTCGAACTCCTGACCTTGGGTGATCCACCTGCCTCAGCCTCCCAAAGTGCTGGGGTTATAGGCGTGAGCCACCGCGCTCGGCCTAGGATTTGTACTTTGTATGTATTTTTTCATTTCATTTTCTAGTAATGTAATTTTAATTTATTTACAAAAGGTTTGGTCTGAGGCAGGCGAGAGATCTTTAAAGCCCTTCACCACAGACGGTCTGAGAAGCCTAGTTAGAAGGCCTGCAGCCTGCCTGTTTGTTTAGGGAGAGGGACGGGGCTCCCCTTGTAGGCGAGAGCCTGGCTTCTGCCAGCGAGTGCTTTGTGCTCTCCCACCCTAGCCAGGGCGTCCTTGGCCCCAAGCTTCCTCCTCTGACTGCGTGGACGCACCCATGTTGCCATTCTCCATGCCGCGGATGTCAGGGCGCAGGCGGCAGTCCGTGGGTGGCAGGGTCTTCTCCATGCCTGTCTCCAGCTCGTTGAGGCTCACAGTGAAACTGGTGAAATTATACATCTGTGGAGCAAGGCACAGAGACACGACCTCAGCAGGGCCTCTGAACCATGGACTATGCTCCAAGACCCCCAGTGGGCCCCTGAAATCCCGCAGGTGCTACCTGACTGCCACCATGGGAACCTACTTCCGCTCACGTCTTCCACCTGCAAATTCAATGCCTCTGCCGTCTTCACTAAGCACGTATCATGCACTGCGGCTGTAACGTTTGCATTTTGAGGTATACCAGCAAAACTCACACACATTTCTTTTTCTGTCTTTACAATCTCATCAACAGATTTGTCACCAGCTTGCTGGAAACACTCCAGCCACGCCACCTGTCTCCCACTGCTAAACCCTCAGCTTGTACCTGCTCCTTTCCTGCCCTCAGCCACACCTGCCCACAGGTTCCTCCTCTTTACCCCTTCACCTGCCAAAGCCTCAGCCCTGGAGCAAGTTAATTTGTCACATTAACAACTGGAATGCTTAGGGTATGACAGTCCCCCCGTGCCCAGGACTCCCAGAGCCTTGCTCTGCCTGACTTCTGGCTCGCAGCTGTCTGCTCGGCGTCTTGTGGACAGCACACCCGAGCAGGCCTGCGGCAGCACCCTGCACCCACAGCCTTCGGCCTCTGCACCCACAGCCTCCCAGCCTCTGCACCCACAGCCTCCGGCCTCTGCACCCACAGCCTCCCAGCCTCTGCACCCACAGCCTCCGGCCTCTGCACCCACAGCCTCCCAGCCTCTGCACCCACAGCCTCCGGCCTCTGTACCCACAGCCTCCCAGCCTCTGCACCCATAGCCTCCCAGCCTCTGCACCCACAGCCTCCCAGCCTCTGCACCCACAGCCTCCGGCCTCTGCAGCCCTCAGGGCCCTGGCTCCACTCAGGTCCTCCCACCACAGCCAGGCCCTCCAGCCACCACCCGTGTCCTCCCTCTTCTGTTGCTGCCCTCACAGCATCTCAGCAAGCAGCCAGAAAGGCCACAGGAAACATCAACAGCACCCGTCACCCCCTGCTCAAATGACTCCTGGTGCCCCATGTCACTCACAGCAAATACTGAAGTCGTCTGGAGACCCCTGCACCCCCTCCACCCTCATCCCCATGGCCCCCTGGGCCCTCACACACTAGTCTACTCCAGGGGTCTCTGCCCTGACTGTCCCCTCCGCCCAAACGCAATCCCTAGACACCCCCACCCCTACCCCATGACTGAAGCCACAGCACTCAGATGCCCTCCCTGGCACCCAAGGCACCACCTGGCTCTCAGGTGTGAGTCAACCACCTGCCCCGCCTCCCTCCTGGGACCTCGTCTGCCTGGTTCTAGTGCCCAGGCCCACAGGGCCTGGCAGGCAGGAGGACTCAACACATACGCTGAGCCAAAGGCTGGAAGCATGAGTTATCTTTAAAGAGACTTCCCTGAAAAAAAACATACGCAATTTTCCTAATAATAAATTTAAAATACCAATAGTATCATTGGCAGGCCACAGTGTCTCATGCCTGTGGTCCCAGCAACTCAGGAGGCCAAGGCAGGAAGATAATGCTTGAGGCCAGGAGTTCGAGACCAGCCTGGGCAACATAGCAAGACCTCCTCTCTACAAAAAATAGAAAATTAGTCTGGCATGGTGGCACACGCCTGTGGTCCTCGCTACTAGGGAGGCTGAGGTAGGAGGATCACTTGAGCCCAGAAATTGGAGCCTGCAGTGAGCCAAGATCACACCACTGCACTGCAGCCTGGGTGACAGAGCGAGACTCTGCCTCTATTAAAAAAGAAAATAGCATTGTTAAACCAGTTCGTACTCTACTCAAATGATAACAGTGACTGTTGAGATAACGTGCTTAAAGTGAAGGTTTTGCTTCCTTTTCTGTATTTTACGCATGTTCTGCTCTGTTTATGGGACGTACAAAATTGCATAAGTTGCATAAATTTTATATACAAATAAGAATTTATAAAAAATACTAAGATATTACGTGTGATATTTATCATATAACCATATATCACATATTTTATTTGTCATAAAACATGTAGTTTATCATATATTTAATAAAAATTATAAGTGCAATTTTCAAAAATAAATATCACAAGGCATTTGAGCATCTAAATTGACAAGTGAGAAAGCAATCTCCCCAAACAGGCTTGGAAGCCTCTTTTGATAAGACGCACTTGGCCGGCAATGGCCACGTCTGTCTGATGTTCCCAGGGGAAGCACAAGCATGTGTGCCCGGCGGGCAGCTCTGACACGCAGCTGAGCATGCGTCCACACCTCGACCTGCATGTCCTATGGAGCAGCGGTGCCCAGCCCCAACAGCAGGCCCCAAGGCAGACAAGCACAGGGCCGGGACGCAGCTCCAGGGACAACAGAAGCCACTCCGACAATGGCGGAGGCCCCTGTCTGCTCTGGGACAACAGGCTGAGGCGAGGCGGCAGGCAAGGGCCCAAGGACAGGGAAGAGCCGTGGGGCTGGGCCCAGAGGTGGGTGTGACATGAGCAGGCAGAGACGTCAGGCCATGGAGGGACACAGACCTGGGCAGAGTTGGGGGGCCGGGTGTTGATCCTCCAGAGCAGCTTGCTGCCAGGAATGACCTGCACGGTCTCCTGGGCCACAGGCACGTCGTCAGCCACGTCGCTGTCAGCCTTCCCGGAGTCTTCATCCTGAAACACAGAACCCTGCTGTGTGGCTGCCCGGGGCCAGGCCGCTCTTGGCCAGGAGGACAGCTATTCTCAGAGCGCCTTTCAGACCAGTCACCTGAGCAGAGCCAGGCAGCCTTCTCCTTTTTTTTTTTTTCAGACGGAGTCTCGCTCTGTTGCCCAGGCTGGAGTGCAATGGTGCGATCTCGGGTCACTGCAACCTCTGCCTCCTGAGTTCAAGAGATTCTCCTGCCTCAGCCTCCCGAGTAGCTGGAAATACAGGTGCCCAAAACCATGCCCGGCTAATTGTTTGTACTTTTAGTAGAGACGGGGTTTCACTATGTTAGCCAGGCTGGTCTTGAAATCCTGACCTCAGGCAATCCACCCACCTCGGCCTCCAAAAGTGCTGAGATTACAGGCGTAAGCCACCACACCCGGCCTTTTTTTTCTTAAACTAAGGAGAAAATAGAATTTCCTCTCCAGTCTATGACACTGTCTGTCCATCACTGTACGGAGAGGAGCTGGGCCCCAGTCCCTAAAGCAGCTCACACTCCCTTCGTAGGGCTGTGCTGTCTGTTCTAACGGACACCCAGAGTGGAGACGACAGAGGTCAGTGGCCAGGCGTGTTTCCCTTCACAGAGACGACAGAGGTCAGTGGCCAGGCGTGTTTCCCTTCACGGAGATGACAGAAGGTCAGCGGCCAGGCGTGTTTCCCTTCGGGTGACGACAGGAGGTCAGTGGCCAGGCGTTTCCCTTCGCAGAGACGAAGGAAGTCAGTGGCCAGGCGTTTCCCTTCGTGGAGATGAAGGAAGTCAGTGGCCAGGCGTGTTTCCCTTCGGGAGAAGCGGTGCACGCGAAACAGCACTTCATGGAGTCTGAGTGCGACGACACAGCGGTGGCTTCATGGAGTCTGAGTGCGACGACACAGCGGTGCCTTCCAAACAGCAGGTTCATTCACACACATGGCGCCTCTCCAGAAGGCAGGTTCTGGGACTGAGAGCTTTCTAGATAGCGCAGCTTTGCCCCCATCAAGAAGTGGCTCCTGTGTGGGGGTTTCAGGCTCTCTACACCCTGATGAAAAGACAAAACCTGCCACATTGCTTCTCAAAATAAATGGGTCCTAGAAAAGGGAATGATTCCAGAAGCAGCTCTTCAGGGAGACCACTGAAAACAAGCGAGTCAAAGCCCAGGGCTTCCTGCACTAGCTGTATTCACACTGGCTGTAGGCACCATGGCCCGAGGCTGGGGCGAGGGAGAGCCGCAGCTCAAGGACAAGGATTCACAGAAAACTCCCGTTTCTAGGTCACCTCAAGGAGCAGGAAAGCATCAAAAGACATCGCTAAATGGATTTACCCTTCTAGGTCTGTCTAGTGTGTAAGCAGAATTTTCCTTTTTAAATAAAAGAGGGTGATTAGAAAAGGTGTCTAACAGCACAAATGAATACAACAACATAAAAAACACTTGGGATCCGGAGGAGGCTGAATGTTTCCGTTAAATAAATATTGAACATTTCAGGTTTGGTACATTCCAATTCATTATGTAGAAAATAGGACACCTCTTTTGAACTATCCCTTTTATTTTTAAGTTCAAGAACAACTAGTCTTAAGATAATGAGTATTCCAAAGCTTTAAGGGGAAAAGCCTTGCCAGTACTTTCTGGCTGTTGAATATATTATCTGGTACTCACAACTAAAAACAAAAAATTGAAATTCACTTGATTTTTAACAATATGTCTAGGCTAACTCAAAGAAAGCGAGAAGATTTATTAAGAAGGACCCAGAACTTGGAGCTTCCAGAAAAGAAACGGCCTTGCCTGAGGTTCCCTCAGATACTTCCAGCCATGGGGGCCAGCAATTATGTATGACTCGTGGGCACTGGTGCCCACGGTTTATAGCAGCAGCCTCCGTGCAACCAAAATACAGATATGCCGGCTGGGTGTTGTGGTTCATGCCTATTAGTAATCCCAGCACTTTGGGAGGCCGAGGTGGGAGGACTGCTTAAGCCCAGGAGTTCAAGACCAGCCTGGGCAACATAGCAAGACCCCATCTCTAAAAAAAATAAAAATTAGTCAGGCATGGTGGTACATGCCTATAGTCCTAGCCACTTGGGAGGCTAAGGAGGGAGGATTGCTTGAGCCTGGTAGCTGGAGGTTGCAGTGAGTTATGACTGCACCACTGTACTCCAGCCTGGGCAACAGAGGGAGACCCTGCCTGGAGGGGAAAAAAAAAAAAAATGGAAAGAAATACAGATAAACCCCCTCACTGATACTGGAACCCACAATATATGGTTCATCTGGACAGACAAATTCTGCACATTCATCTCTCCTGGTGGGGCCCAAAGGTTCCCTGGGACCCCAACAGGTGAGCTAAAGGCAGCAGCGGCCTGGCAGCCCTCAGCACCCAGGGCTCAGCTCTGCCCGGGGACGCCCCAGCCCTTACCAGCTTGGCCTTTCTCAGGTGGTCACCTCTCCTCTCCTGCTTCTTGAAGGATTCATACGAAACAGGATCTATGCCCCACAAACATTCCGTCCATTTGCCATAGATCATAAAGAGCTTCTTTTTGCTGTAATTAAATGGGATTTTTAAAGACAAGTCTTAGTCATTACAAACCATTTGTCTAAACATGTGGCACCCTGGAATAAATTCCCCTCAGGTATGTTTTCTTATGCATCTTGGGACATCTCTGGACATAAATGCGAAGGTGAAAATTTGCATTCTGGGACCATTCGTAGCCCCGATACACACCACGGAAAGGAAAATGAAGGGCCGGAAACCTAAAGGATGGACAGCCCACCGGGCTGCAGGAGATGGGAAGGGACAGAAACCCAAAAGAGAGATGGCCCATGGGACTGCAGGAGACGGGAAGGGATGGAAACCCAAAGGATGGTTGGTCCAGGGGGCTGCAGGAGACGGGAAGGGGCAAAAAAGAGTGAGCGTTTTAAAATGTAAAGCTGCATGCGCCCACTGATCATTTTCAACACACTCAATGTGTTGTGTGTGTGTCCTTCAGCCCTTTTCTATCAATCAGTGCAGTCAATGCTGCTTGCTTGATCTTTGGTTCCCCGCCTGCCTTTTTTCATCAATAACAACCCAGAGACCTTTGCAGAGTGGCCACCAGAGCTCTCGATTCTAAAAGGGATGAAGCCAAATAGTGCCAGACTCCATTTTCTTTCTCCTTTCGCCTCTTGCTGGGAAGAGTCAACCGTGACCACAGACTCCCGGGAAGTGCAACTCTGACAGACTCGGGACCCAGGAGGGGACGGTGTCACTGCAGTGCCTGCAGAGCCAGCACACAGACGCGGGGAACTGGGCCAGGCCTCACCTAGTAGACAGCCTGGGGACAACTCTGTCTCCAAGGACAGAGCACCCTTAAATTTAGGATGGAAAACCAGACAACCAAAACACACTTTACATGCACTCACTGAAGGTCAGCGAGTCTGGCCTCGGGGTCCCTGCCCGGTTCTGGAAAAACATGTTTTACATGCACTCACTGAGGGTCAGCGAGTGTTGGCCTCGGCGCCCCCGCCTATTTCTGGAAACAGACAGCCAGCTGCTCCCTGGGCTGAGTTCCAAGGGGGAGAGGTGTCAAGGCACTGATGACTGCTACCCTGTTGTAAGACTGCTGTCCCTTCTAGGTCCACATGTTGATCCTCACATGTTTTATGGGAGAAATGGTCAGTCATAAGCCTGGCCATTTTATTTTATAGGCTGTTCAAACGGGTGCATTTCTGGTCTACCATAGAGGGTGGACAGAGCAGAAACACCAACTGTCTTATTTTTTTGAGACAGCCTCTTGCTTGGCTGCCCCGGCTGGAGCGCATTGGCGTGATCTTGGCTCACTGCAACCTCCATCTCCCAGGCTCAAGAGATTCTTGTGCCTCAGCCTCCTGAGTAGCTGGGATTACAGATGTGCGCCATCACACCTGGCTAATTTTCGTATTTTTAGTAGAGACGGGGTTTTACCATGTTGGCCAGGCTGGTCTCGAACTCCTGACCTCAGGTGATCTGCCCACCTCAGAAGTGATGGGATTACAGGCATGAGCCACTGCACCTGGCCCTGACTGTTTTAAATTGGGGACTAGTTTCTAATGGGAAATGTCTACATTTTTGGAACTAGAAGGAACTTCATGACATTCTATGGCTCAAATTCCTTACGAAAAAAACAAATGTGAGACCCAGATTACAAAGTAATTAACCCAAATGGGGAGAAAAAAACTGAAAAATTTGTTGGAACAGTACTGACCATTTCTCTGCTCACAAAAACTTGCGAAAGTCCCTGATTTAAAGACTGGAGTGAACTGGTCACGTGACACTGACGCCCCTCAAGCTAACACATTTGAGTCTTGCCTGACAACGTGCATGGGGTGCTGGTAGAAGGAAAACGCAAGGCCACACTTCCCACCCACCTCAGCTCTGCTGCGAAACAGTCCCCTCTCATCTCCCAGTGGAAATAGCTGACTTCTCAAGACAATTTTATCAAAAGAAGATGGCCCCAGTAACAAGCCACCTAGAAACTACATTCAAAAATACCCTTTATTTCCTTTTATGCTCAATAACAAAATGTCTTTCCAAAACAAAAAAGAGTCATACTTCTGGACCATGAACAGATGGCACTGGTGTACCCGCGTCTCATGCACGTAGGCACACGCAGGCCCAGGAGCACCTGAGCCCTTCTAACGTGGACACACAGGCTGTAGTGGTGCCCCATGAACACTTGGCAAGGACCTACTTTTTGTCTTGAATGTGTCCTTCCACCTTGTGAAGTTCTTTTCCAAATAATCCACACGGTTTAAAGTGAAGCACACACTTATGTCCAGTTCTGTGAGAAAAACAAACACAGGTTTCTGCTGCAAGACAGCAAACAGCCGGAAAGGGTAACTCTGTAACAGGAGAAGCGCGGTGGAGGCCCCTGGGGCAGGCGGGGGGTGACTGCAAATGGGTGTGGTGGGCCTTTGGGGCGATGGAAGTGTTTGAAATGGGCTGTGGGGACGGCTCCATGATTCGGTCAATTTACTAAAAATCACTTAAGTGTCCATTCAGAATGGGCGAGTCTTATGATGCATCGATTATACCTCACTAAAGTGGTGAAAAGGCAAAGCCCACCAGTCATGAGCTTCCAGGAATAGGGCATTCAAGCCTAGACAGTGGCCAACGGCCGTGGACGGCCACTGCGCTGCACCTGGCAATGACACAGCTCTTCAGCATAGCTCAAAGCCTTAAAGTAACAACCGTGACGAAAAACGAGGTCTTGAACGAGGAGCATTCATGGCCAACACCGGTCAGAGTCAAGTCTAGGCAGCTGCTATGCCTGGGCTGGCGGGGACACGGCAGCAGCTCGTGAGGCTGAGCTAAAACCCACCAGGAGCACGGATGCTCACGCTCCCCGGCTCGCCCATCCCCACCCGGAGCCTCGCGCTCTCACCCAACGGTGGGGTGCTGTCACCTGTGGTTTAAAATCTCCACTGTCCCATACTGCTCTATCCACAGCTTCCCGATGATGACGTTGTGGACGCAGCAGGTGGGGTTGGTCCAGGTGTAGGCTTCATTATGTCTGTGAAGACACCAGAAAACAAGCAGTGAGAGTCCAGAAAAGCCAAGACACGACGTGACCCAAGACGCAACGACCAGGCGGGGCTGGGTCACAGCAACCGGCACCCGCGGGAGAGCAGCACGCTGCTTTGAAGCCCCTGCGACGGAGGCTGTGTATTTAGCATGCGTTTGAAATGTACTTCTTCTTTCCTTTGTAGCATCTACAAAGCTTTCTACTTAAATGTCAAGACAAGTTAATAAGCAATCAAAGAAGACTGAACAAAGACAAATGGCTTTCCTGTGAAGTCGTCAAAAGAAAGGCCACCTCACGAAACACACACGGCAGTAATGCAGGGTCCTGGGCATGCGGCCCTGGCTTTCTGGGGAGCTGGCACATGGCTGTGGAGGGGTGCAGGGTTTTCAACCGCACTCCACATACTTGTTTCCTTTACTCCTCATCCTCCCAAATGGCCCTGCCCAAGAAGAAAACACCCCACCAATGTGAGGCAGCAGATCAGCAGCCCTATGTTCTAAGGTGCTACGTGGGGGAGCCACAGTGAAGGCAGAAATCTGCTCAGAGCAGGGTATTTTGCCACACGTCTGGAATTCTCTCAATTTCCTGGGGGTGGAACCCAAACTGGTTCATCAGCAAGGTTATCAGCAAGGTGTGCAACTTTATCAGCAAGGTGTGCAACTTCTCATTTCTGCATGCCTCTTAATTAAGCAAGGCCACTGCACAACAGGCACTCGGCCATACCAGCCCCAGGACACACTCTCAGGGGCTTCTCCAGGTCCTTGTGGAACCTTCTAGCCACCATCCAGGCAGGGCCAATGTGAAGCAAAACCCAAATCAAATGCTTCATCAGGCAAGGTGTCGTTTATTACTTATTTCTGTATGTATTTGTTAGGACCTGCTGCCTACAACAAGACTGCAGGCAGTGGCTTGGCAAGACTCACGTCTCAGAACTGGTGGCCCAGGAGGACGCCAGCATCCGGTCTGTGTCTGTCGGGTCTTAGCGGCCGGCATTTGTTGGAGACTTGTGTTTTGCTCTGAGGTGTCTTTGGTTGACACTGGATTGGGGAGCATTTAGGCTGAGAGTGAAGAGGGGTGGCAAGCAGCCTCTCAGAGGGTCCCCTCCCACGCTGTTTCAAATTCCAACCCTAAGTCACCCCTGCCACATGAGCACAGGGTGGGGGAGTGTGCAAAGGGCCACTTCCCTGGCTTCCTTCTCAGCTCTCTCCCCCTGTGGGAGGCAGTGCCCTGCAGCAAGCAGCCCAGAAGGGGAGCCAGGACACAGGCGCCATGGGCAACCCAACCCTCATTGCCACCGCAACCTCACGGTCCCCGGCCCTCAGACACCTGCCAGCCTGGTGTGGAAGCTGCTAAGTTTGGGACAGTTATGCAGCAAAAGACAAGAAATACAATGAATGATGCCGGAAAGCGGGGTGAGTTCCAACTGCAGACGTGAGGATGCACCCCAGCAACATGGGACCCTGGTCATACAATGAATGATGTGACCGAAAGGGGGGCGAATTCCAACTGCAGACGTGAGGACGCACCCCAGCAACACGGGACCCTGGTCAGGAAGCTCATCTGAAGACGTTTCTGCTGTGGGGAGGTCCCCACCTCAGGAGAAAAATGACAGGGTTTCCTCCTGAAGGAAGCTTTCCCTCCACATCACCAGCACCCATTTCAGTTTCTGCAGGAAGCGGATCTCAGCAGGACGCACCGACACTCACTTGAGCAGCTCCAGGGTGATGGTGCCTCGGGGCTCCGCCTCCACGCTTTTGCCCCAGAACTTGAGCTTGGGGTAGATGGAGCCATGGAACAGGAAGTCATGGTTGAGACCTTCCGAGTGGAACGCACTGATGGGGGGGTGGTGACTGACCTGTTCCGATATAAATCTGAATCCTAAATCTTCCCTAGGTCAAAGAATAAAAAAGAGAGACACATTAATGGCAGCAAAATAAAAGAAAGGGCAGCTCAGACATCATGTGGAGCCCCTCACAGGACGCTGGGAAGCAGGGGCCCTCCATGCCACAACATGTGGCGGAAACACCCAACACCACCTCTCCGACATTGCACTTGGCCTAACGTTGGCAACAGACACACACACAAACATGACATCGCACTTGGCCTAACGTTGGCAACAGACACACACACACAAACATGACATTGCACTTGGCCTAACGTTGGCAACAAACACACACACAAACATGACATCGCACTCGGCCTAACGGCAACAGACACACACACAAACACGATATCGCACTCGGCCTAACGTTGGCAACACACACACAAACATGACATCGCACTCGGCCTAACGTTGGCAACACACACACAAACATGACATCGCACTTGGCCTAATGTTGGCAACAGACACACACACACAAACATGACATTGCACTTGGCCTAACGTTGGCAACACACACACAAACATGACATCGCACTTGGCCTAACATTGGCAACAGACACACACACAAACATGACATCGCACTCGGCCTAACGTTGGCAACAGACACACACACAAACATGACATCGCACTCGGCCTAACGTTGGCAACACACACATAAACATGACATCGCACTTGGCCTAATGTTGGCAACAGACACACACACAAACATGACATCACACTTGGCCTAACGTTGGCAACACACACACAAACATGACATCGCACTTGGCCTAATGTTGGCAACAGACATACACACAAACACGACATCGCACTTGGCCTAATGTTGGCAACAGACACACACACAAACACGACATCGCACTTGGCCTAACGCTGGCAACAGACACACACACAAACATGACATCGCACTCGGCCTAACGTTGGCAACAGACACACACACAAACATGACATCGCACTTGGCCTAACGCTGGCAACAGACACACACACACATGGCTTCCAGAGCACATCTGACCCACCCAGAGAGCGCAATGGTGCAGGAGAGGCCTCCACCCTGATGCCCCGCTTGCTCTCCACCTGAGCCACAGCAGTGTCTGGCTAGAGGTACCCAGAGACGCAGGTGGAGAAGCAATCCTTACACACCTCTGACTCCAAACCCTCAACCCCGAGGGACTCCCATTGCCCAGGAACTCAGGACCCTAAACCCTTTCTGAAGGGGGTGCCCCTTCCTTGTCTTTCTACAAGGCCCCTGAAATTTCCGAGATGGAATGGCTTATACCCCAAAATACTCCTGTCCAGGAACAGGATTTTTAGTGTACTCTCTTTTTCAATCAAAATGTCAGCTTTTAATTGTTCCGGAACTGTGAATACACCTACAGTTGTAGTCATTAAAAATTAGAAAAGCTAAACCACATAATTACCAACTTAACTGGAATCAGAATTTCCAATCATTACAGAAGAAAGAAAGTTGAAAAATTAGATTTTAAAAGGTTGACTACCAAGGTATGTAATTTACAAAATGAATACTTGTCTGAGAAAAGAATGTGTATTTTTAGCTATAACAAGGGATCTGTAGGGATCCAGGGTATCAGGAAAGGACTTGGTCCACGTCCATGGCCCCTAACCTGACAGACTGCCAGGGTCTCACAGACACACAGCACATGGCAGACACTGGCAAGGACGATCTGGAAGTGAACTCATGACAGACGACGTGTCTCGGCGTTGCGAAGGTGCATAGCTTGCTTCTGGCTGTGCAGCAGGAGCTCCGGCCCCGGGTGCAGCCCCTGGGGAAGGGTGCTGGCGGCACGCCCCGCTCTACCCAGCCCAGGCGGCTTGCATTCCTTTCACCCACAAGGCTTCTTCTCTATCATCTAGAACTTCTTTCCTCTTCTGATTTATCTTTTTCTTTTTCTTTTTTTGAGATGGAATCTCAAAATCTCTGTCGCCCAGGCTGGAGTGCAGTGGCGTGATCTCGGCTCACTGCAACCTCCGCCTCCAGGTTCAAGTGATTCTCCAGCCTCAGCCTCCCGAGTAGCTGGGATTACAGGCACCCGCCACCACGCCCGGCTAATTTTTTGTATTTTTTAGCAGAAACGAGGTTTCACCATGTCGGCCAGGCTAGTCTCGAACTCCTGACCTCAGGCAATCTGCCTACCTCAACCTCTCAAAGTGCTGGGATTACAGGCGTGAGCCACCACGCCCGGCCTGATTTATCTTTTTCAAGACATTTTAATAATTTTTTAAGAGCCAATCCCGTCAATGCCTCTGACAGTGGCACAGCACGCTGACCAGAGGACGAGAAGGCTGGCAGGCAGCAACAGGAATACTGCTCAAGAGAAATATCTAGAAAAGGAAGCACACTCTACATGAATTCAGAACAGAAGACTCCCTCACAAGTGGTTCTCGTGGCCAGTCTTTCCCTTGTCCAGGCCTCAGCCTCCCCTTTCCCAGAAGCAGAAGCAGGGCTGCTCCCTGCAGCTTGTGCCAAGACCGACAGTTGCCTGCTGGACCCTGCTGTCACCACGCCACACTCTGTCCAAACTAGTCCTACTTGCTCAAAGGCAATGACATCTTGAGAACAGGTGCTCGGCTGCCCAGTGCCAGCCAACTTCTAAATCAGACAAAAAACACAAAGTTGGCATTCACGCACGGGCAGCATGTGGGTAAGGACCAGCAGCTGACCCAGCCAGGATGAGCCAGGAACAGATTAGAATTTGAAGCTGTGACATTTATGTTGCTTCTCCAAACTGCATAGTGATTTATATACAGAAGTGCAGGAAAGCTTGTACTACTAACAACGCATCCTCCCAAAATGGTCTGACAGGCAGTGCTGACACACCTTCTAGGACAAACATGGGCACGCACTTTTAAACTCTTTACACACTGGAAAAGAGTCCATCTGAAGCAAACCAAATCCCACAACCATTTGCTCACTATTGATAAAAATCTCAATCATGGCCAGGCGTGGTGGCTCACGCCTGTAATCCCAGCACTTTGGGAGGCCAAGGTGGGCAGATCACCTGAGGTTGGGAGTTCGACACCAGCCTGGCCAACAAGGTGAAACCCTGTCTCTACTGAAAACACGAAAATTAGCCGGGCCTGGTGGCGTGCACCTGTAATCCCAACTACTCAGGAAGCTGAGGCGGAGAATCAGGAGAATTGCTTGAACCAGCAGGCGGAGGTTGCAGCGAGTGGAGATCATGCCACTGCCCTCCAGCCTGGGCAACCAATGGAGATTCCGTCTCAAAAAAAAAAAAAAATTCTCAATCATTAATAACACATAAAATACAATAAAGGGCCCCAAAACAGCGGCCTTAAGTTTCAAAGGAACTGCACTTCTTGGAACCCAAGATGCCATTCATTGCACTGCACACCATTATTTTATGAAAGAAAGAAAAAAATGCTGCAAATGAAACTATGACTTGGACTGGGCACAGAGGCTCACACCTGTAATCCTAGCACTTTGGGAGGCTGAGGGAGGCAGATCACTTGAGCTCAGGAGTTCAAGAGCAGCCTGGGCAACACAGCAAAACCCTGTCTCTACTGAAAATACAAAAATTAGCTGGGCATGGTGGCGCACGCCTGTAGTTCCAGCTACTTGGGAGGCTGAGGTGGGAAGATAACTTGAGCCCAGGAGGTCGAGGCTACAGTGAGCTGTGATCATATCCAGGAGGTTAAGGCAGGAGGTCGAGGCTACAGTGAGCCGTGATCATGTCACTGAACTTCAGCCTGGGCGACAGAGTGAGACCTCGTCTCAAAAAAAAAAAAAGGAACAAGAAACTGACATGTAGAAGTGCTGCCACGTGAACAAGGCGTCTTAGAATCGATGAAACACTCTAATTTAGAAAAAGTTTTTAATGTCACAGGAAAATTATGACATGTTAAAAAGGGATACAAATTAAATTATCATATTTTGAAACACACACAAAAGAAAGTCTAACAAAATGCTGACAGTTCCTCTCATTTTTTTTAAAGAGACACGGTCTGGCTCTGTAGTCCAGGTTAGAGTTCAGTGGCACGGTCACTGTAACTGAACTCCTGGGCTCAAGTGATGCTCCTGCCTCGCCTCCTGAGTTGCAGGTATTCCAGGCGTGAGCCCAGCCAGCTATTGTCTTGTATGGGATTATGCCTGATTCATCTTTTCTACCTTTCTCAATGTTACACATTTTCTATAAAGAGCACTCTCTCGTAATTAAAAAAACAAACAGACTTCATAATAAAATAACCCAACAGAATCTCAACTAACCCAGAATCCAAATAAGAGGCTAATTGTTTTGGCTCAACTCCCTTTTTCACAGAAAAATAATAAAACAAGATGATAAAGGAGCCCGCCTTCCCTCCCGTCTGCACTCTGTTCCTGGGCAGGGAGGCGTGCAGCCCAGCAGCCTGTGGCAAACAGCTTGCATTCTGCACAGCAGACTTGTCTAGATAACCACCCACGCCCCTCCAGCTCCTTCTCCCCAGGCAGGCGGAGCGAGCTCTGTGTGCTGGGCTCCACTGACAGTCAGAAGAGTGAAGGGTGTCCCACCAGCAAGCTCCTTCTTCCCAGAGTGAGCTCTGTGTGCTGGGCTACCTCGACAGTCGGAAGACTGAAGGGTGCAGCGAGAGTGCCCTGCCCCTCCCTCCTTCAGAACCACAGCTTAGCCCTGTCACAGAGACAGCAGCTGAACTGTGCTCTGCTGACTCTCCCTACACATCTGCCCATGGGCACCTGCATGCATCTACAAGAGAATGACGGGGTCCACGGGCAGTGGAATAAAAATCATTTTAGACATCACCAAACGGCCCTGAAGGAAGCCACCCACATCCCTCTCATCCACAGCTCCCCGGAGCCCCAGCCAGGCTGCTCAATGGCTGAGGAATTACCACACTGCCACATACATGCCATGGTCTGGCCTGCTTTTGACTTCATTTGTTGGTGTGGGTGGGCACTGTCACCTGGGCAGAATCCCAGGATGATTCTGTGAATAACCACAGCAGTCCCCAGGGCAACCAGGTGGGTGAAGAGAACCCCAACCAGTCCTTCCAGAGGCCCAGCCACAAACAACGGATCTGGGGCCCGGCTGGACCTCTGGGGTCAGAGTTCTAGGACTTGGAGTCAGTCTCACGTCTGTGAGGTGAGGGCCACCAGAGACAGGAGGGAAGCTGGGGAGACTCTAGGAAGGGATGGCAACGCTGCCTAGAAGAAAGTTCCATAGGAAGAAGTTTCAGGGATGTCTGGAGATGAGGCGTGGTCTGGTTAACTCTCCCTTGGCCAGAGCCGTCTGACCCTTCCTAAAACTCTGGGGAGGCTGTGGTGGCAAACGTGGCCTTGGGAGTGAAGCTCCTCTTTGCAATCATTCCTGTGTTTGGATTTACCTGCTTTTTCAATAGCGTTCACTAAATGCTTTAGTGAAACAGCCTAGTTTTGCTCATTAGTACCTATTTCCATTTTCGGTGAAGCTCACAACAATCCTACACATTTCACAGACGTCGCACACACACACGGAAGCGTCTACAGTGCGCGCTATCTCCACGCTTGAGTCGAACACACTAAAATATCTCATTGCCAGCGCTTTACACTCACTCAGACGCCGTGGCACGCTAGCACAACACCCCGTGTGTGTGAAACATCTCGCCTACAGCATCCAAACGCTTTCGTGAGCTCTTAATTCAAACAGTTTATTCTCAGAGCAGAGGAATCAATGCTAGTGAAAGAATCAAACTTATCTGTCATCCAAGGAATTCCATTTACAAGATATTTATGATGGGCCTTTCCCCCCTTACCTGATTAATTCATACGTTTCTCCCAAGAGTGGATTAAATGGTTTGCCGGTCCTCTCCCACTGGGAAGCCACAGCCGAAACAGCAAAAGCAGCCACAGACTGTAAATAATCCACGGGGGGGACAGGCACAGCTTCAGTTAGGAAACGCGCTGGAGAAGATGGCCTCTTGTGGAGGGCGGTGGGCACCTGGTTTCTGTCACTATTTGTTCCGTGTGCGTTTTCAGTTTTCCCCGAGCAGTGTGTCTGAGATTATAGGACTTCCAGGGAATGCCCTTCATCACCCGCCACTCCCCCGACAGCACAGAAAGAAGGAACTGGGTGCTGCCTTCCACCCCCGGAGCCAGGCCCTTCTGGCAGATGCTGCAGCAATGTCAGCCACTCCGTCTGATATGCACACACAAGGCCACACACTCAACACACACACCCCAAGCACTCATTCACAGAGGCATGCGCACACACGTGCACACGTTATGTGCACCCACAGTCACACACTTGTATTTTGTTATTTTTTAGACACAGGGTCTCACTCTGTCACCCAGGCTGGAGTGCAGTGGCGTAATCGTGGCTCACTGTAGCCTCTAGCTCCTGGGCACAAGCGATCCTCTCTCATCAGCCTCCCAAGTAGCTGGCATTGCAGGCATGCAACACTGCACCTGGCTAAGTTTTAAAAAATTTTTGTAGAGATGCGGTCTCACTGTGTTGCCTCAGCTGGTCTCAACCTCCAGGAGCAATTCATCCACCTCAGCCTCCCGAAGTGTTGGGATTACAGGCATGAGCCACCGTGCGTGCCCAGCCCACAGTCACACACATGCACACACATGGGGTGCGGTGGTGCAACAGGACCCAAGAGAAGCCCAAGGGCAGAGCCCACCGCCACCTTCAGCTCCAAGAGGCGGAGTCTCCCGGCAGGAGGCGGCAGCAGGGAGCTCTTGGGGCCACTGAGAGCTCAATGGCATTTCCGGCAAGTTCTGTCATCACACACCTGTGGTGACAGGACAAATGCCACGACCGCCAGGCAGGATGGCACTGAACACTGGGGGGAGCTGTGCGAGTCCTCACAGATGCCTGGGGCCCCAAGACTGTGTGGCCAGACATGCAAGGGGCATCACTTTCATGACAAACTCCTGCCTGGCACCCCTAAGGCCCACCTGCATCCTCTCCAGGGGCTGGGGCTGGCAGGAGGCCCTGTGGATGAGGTACACGTGCTCCATGTACTCCGTGATCCGCTGCAAGAAGCTCAGAGGCTCGTTGAAGGCGATTGGCATCGTGATCTTGGACAGCTCCTGGAAAGATGGGGAAGACTCGCTGGTTACTGCTGCCTTCCTGACACCGCTGGGCTGCCCGATGCCCCTGCTCTGAGCATCCCTTCATGGAGCCGCAGCCTCTGGGGTTGAACCGGATCTTCAAACCCCCCATGGGTGAGCCACTCCCTGCCCCATCGGCCCTGCCCTGTGAGCCTCAGCTGCCATCAGACCTGACACACAATCTGTGCTGAGCCTGCAGAGGTCTCTGGCATGACACCCCTGAATCCTCTCTGCCTCCCCAGCCCACCGCCCCATTCCAGACACAGAGACTGCCACAAGGGCTCTTGGGCCCACCTGCGCCCCCTCCCCTACTCCACATCTTCTCCACCCCACTTCCAGAGTAGTGGTCCCAGGCTGGGCACGGTGGCTCACACCTAAAATCCAAGCACCCTGGGAGGCCGAGGCGGGTGGATCCCTTGAGGTCAGGAGTTCAAGACCAGTCTGGCCAACACAGCGAAACCCTGTCTATACTAAAAATTCAAAAATTAGCTGTGCATGGTGGCGCACACCTGTAATCCCAGCTACTCGGGAGGCTGAGGCAGGAGAATCGCTTGAACCCAGGAGGTGAAGGTTGCGGTGAGCCGATATTATGCTATTGCCCTCCAGCCTGGGAGACAGAGCCAGACTCCGTCTCAAAAACAAAAAAACAGAGTAGTGGTCCCAGGCAGAGCCACCCACGCCGTTAAAAATAGTCCCTGGCTTCCCGTCCCTCCAGGATGCCTCGGACACACCTGAACCTGGCAAATGAGGCCTCCCATAACATGGCTCCATGTGGCTTTCCCCTAAGGCCTTCCGAGTTGGCAAAGGAGTCTCAGGTGTCTGCTCCCAGGCCCTGGACGGCAGGGCGCATGGCTTAGTGGGGGAAGCTGGGAAGGTGCCAAGGGGACGAGTGCCCACAGGGGCCACTCTTCCCACCGGGCTTCCAGGAAAGGGATCCCAAGGGCAGTAGGCATTCCAGGGAAACACAGCTGTCACCTCAGGGCAGGCTCTTCAGGAAGGAGCAGGGTCTGGGGTGGGCAAAGCAGAGGCAGAGGGAGAGGGACAAGGAGAGAAGGAGAGGACCAGAGAGACCAGAAAGGGACAAGGAAAGGACCCAGAGAGGCCAGAGAGGGACAAGGAGAGGACCCAGAGAGGCCAGAGAGGGACAAGGAGAGGACCCAGAGAGGGACAAGGAGAGGACCCAGAGAGGCCAGAGAGGGACAAGGAGAGGACCCAGAGAGGCCAGAGAGGGACAAGGAGAGGACCCAGAGAGGGACAAGGAGAGGACCCAGAGAGGCCAGAGAGGGACAAGGAGAGGACCCAGAGAGGCCAGAGAGGGACAAGGAGAGGACCCAGAGAGGGACAAGGAGAGGACCCAGAGAGGCCAGAGAGGGACAAGGAGAGGACCCAGAGAGGCCAGAGAGGGACAAGGAGAGGACCCAGAGAGGGACAAGGAGAGGACCCAGAGAGGGACAAGGAGAGGACCCAGAGAGGTCAGAGAGGACCCAGAGAGGCCAGAGAGGGACAAGGAGAGGACCCAGAGAGGGACAAGGAGAGGACCCAGAGAGGCCAGGAGGGACAAGGAGAGGACCCAGAGAGGGACAAGGAGAGGACCCAGAGAGGCCAGAGAGGGACAAGGAGAGGACCCAGAGAGGGACAAGGAGAGGACCCAGAGAGGCCAGAGAGGGACAAGGAGAGGACCCAGAGAGGCCAGAGAGGGACAAGGAGAGGACCCAGAGAGGTCAGGGAGGGACAAGGAGAGGACCCAGAGAGGCCAGGAGGGACAAGGAGAGGACCCAGAGAGGCCAGGAGGGAGTGGAGGAGGAGGTGCTAGTGGCAACAGGGACATGGCAGGCTTTGGAATCCACTTGCTGTGGGTTCCCAGCTGACACACACATGAGCTGCTAAGCCTCTCAGGCTCCTCGTCTGCACCAGGGACTAGGACGGCCCCACCAAGGCCTCAGGACACCACAGGCACTGCATGCGCAGGGTGGACGGAGGGTGGGCGGGGTGTGCACAGCACCACAAGGACGCGCTCTGCCTGGGCCGCGAGGTTCCCAAAACTCAGCGTCCGTGCTGGGAGGGGGGCTCTGCTCAGACACTGGGTCAAGGACGAGTGCAGGGACCGAGGCTGAGAGCACAGGGCAGACGCACAGAGCCTGCGGCTCAGGCTGCTGCAGGGGCGAGCAGGCCCCAGATGGCACTGGACACACGGGGACTGTGGGCTTAGGAGGGGCTAGAACTGGATTCCAACTGAGGCAGCCCCGGCACATGGGTGTGGCCAAGACTGCACAAGGGAATGTGGCTGCCGAGGAAAGCAGGAAGAGAGGTGACCCTTGTGATCAGAGCTCGGCACTGCAAGAACACGTGGCAGAGAAAGAAGGAAGCCCCGAAAGAATGAGCAGAAAAGCAGACAGATGGGGGAGCATTTGCAATTTACATTCCAGACCAGGATCAACAGCCTCCCGTGCTCTAAACGCCTGGTAAACTAGAAGAGGCCACAGTCCACAGCGGCCAGAGATTGGGACCAGGGAGGCCGGGAAGTGCGGCCGGTGGCAGCCCTGAGCATGGGGGAGACGCTGCCTTGCTCAGGAGAGGAGAGATGGTATCGCAACTGTGTGCAACTCCCACCCAGGGAAAGCCCCCCGGCTGCTGTGGAAATGCACAGTGATGCAGCCCCACGAGGGGACTGGGCTGCTTCTAGCAAACTCTACGGGTATTTGCCCCTGACCCAGCAGCCCCACTTCTAGGAACCTATCCCACAGAGCCTCGGCCAAACACACATGCAGGGCTCTTTGCTGCCGCACGGCTGGATCCATGAAAGATCAGAAATGACCCGTATGTCCAACAACAGGGCGCCAGTCCAATAAGCTAGGTGGCAGCCATGTGAGGGAGCGCCGCGCCATTAAAAGATTCAGAAGTCGGCCAGGCGAGATGGCTCACGCCTGTAATTCCAACACTTTGCAGGGCCAAGGCGGGGAGGATCACTTAAGGCCAGGAGTTTAAGACCAGCCTGGGCAACAAAGTGAGACCCCGTCTCTACAAAAAAACATTTTTTTTTTTTTTGAGTTGGAGTCTCACACTGTCGCCTAGGCAGCAGTGCAATGGTGTGATCTCGGCTCAGTGCAACCTCTCCGCCTCCTGGGTTCAAGCGATTCGCCTGCCTCAGCCTCCCAAGTAGCTGGGATTACAGGCATGCACTGCCACACCCGGCTAATTTTTTGTATTTTTAGTAGAGACAGGGTTTCACTATGTTGACCAGACTGGTCTCGAACTCCTGACTTCGTGATCCGCCTGCCTCAGACTCCTAAAGTGCTGGGATTACAGGCGTGAGCCACTGCCAAAAAATTTTTTAAAAGTAGCTGGGCATGGTGGTGGGTTCCTGTAGTCCCAGCTACTCCAGAGGCTCATGTGGGAGGTTCACTTAAGCCCAGGAGTTTGAGGTTACAATGAGCCATGATCCTGCCACTGCACTCCAGACTGGGCGACACAGCAAGACTCAGTCTCTAAAAAGAAATAATAAATAAATAAATAGATTAAGAAGTCACTGCATGTTGCTATGGATATACTATTGAATTTTAAAAGGTGGAGAAAGCCTCTCATTTATGTAAAGAAGTGGGGAGAAGTGGGGAGAAGATACATGTAGAATCAGCTGTGTGACGCATGAAAGACATGCCCTAAACTTGGCTCCTGGTCACCTGTGGGGAAAGCAGAGAGCACCAGGAGGGGACAGGGACAGGAAGCTGACTCTCCTGGAATATACCTTGCTTGATAAATTTGATGCAGGACCCATAATTTAAAAAGAAAATTAAATTTTAAAAAGTCATCTCTCAATATCAAAAATGAAACAAATGAACCTATGTCATTCCTTTGGTGGCACAATCACCCAGCGAAGAAGCACCCAGGTGGTTTTAAAATGCAGTCATTTGGCCGGGCGCGGTGGCTCACGCTTGTAATCCCAACACTTTGGGAGGCCGAGGTGGGCGGATCACAAGGTCAGGAGTTTGAGACCAGCCTGGCCAATAAGGTGAAACCCCGTATCTACTAAAAATACAAAAAAAAAAAAAAAAAAAAATTAGCCGGGCACGGTGGCAGGCGCCTGTAGTCCCAGCTACTCAGGAGGCTGAGGCAGGAGAATTGCTTGAACCCAGGAGGCAGAGGTTGCAGTGAGCTGAGATCGCGCCACTGCACTCTAGCCTGGGCGACAGAGCGAGACTCCCTCAAAAAAATAAATAAATAAAAAATAATGCAGACATTTGAGATATACCCTGAAGACAATGACAAGTGGCAACTGCAGGAGGCACAGACATGTGCTGTCTCAGCAAAGACACTGTCGGCAGCAGAGCTGGTCCCACAGGTATGTGGGGCAAAGTGAGTGAGTCACAACTGCGTGCCGGTCTAAATCTGTCCTCGCCAGGGCTGCAGAAAACTGGGACTGTCAGTGAGGGAGAAAAGAGACGCAGACATGAGGCCGCAGAGGTTAGGTGGAGCCTGTTGGCCCAAATTTGAAGCATCACTGAAACAAACAAAAACACAGTTCCTAGCTGTAGGAACAGACCTCGAAATAAGACTACCCCGGTGGCCTCCTGAGAGCCCGGCTGTGGTCCTGAATTCTCCTTCTCTCCCTGGACAAGTAGATGATGCCAGACCCCAAACAGTAAACGCACAGGATAGGCCTGAAGCTCCTTTTGTAAAGGACTCCGGGCCACCTTGAAGAGACTCTCACTGACCAAAGATGGAACAATTTGTGGACTGGAAGACATCCAGAACTATCCCCGGCAATCAATAAAGGGTGATCATGTTGGCACAGCTCCAACTAGCAACTCCCAGTGAGTTAGTGGACCCAGACTCTGAGCGCCCACAGCTTTGTTTGTTTGTTAGAGACAGGGTCTCACTCTGTCACCCAGGCTGGAGTGTAGTAATGTGATCACCAGTCACTGCAGCCTCAACCTCCCAGGCTCAAGTGATCCTCCTACATCAGCCACCCGAGTAGCTGGGAGCCCAGGCATGCGCCACCATGCCCGGCTAATTCTTTTTTGTAGAGATGGGATCTCACTTTGTTGCCCGGGCTGGTTCTGAACCCGTAGCCTCGAGCGATCCTCTCGCCTCAGCCTCTGACAGTGATTATAGGCGTGAGCCGTCGCACGCCTGGCCTGCCCACAGCTTTTAAATTCAGAGAAAGAGCAACAAAAAGGCTTCCTGACAGAGGGACACAAACAAGGTCCAGACACAGGACTGCAAACACCAGAGGGCAACACGTGAGACCACTGGACATTTGAACATAGATTGAGTATCTGATGATATTAAATGACTTTCTAAAGTTATTTTCTAAAGTATAATAATAATATCACAGTCACATTAAAAAAGAATCCTTACCCTTTAAATATACATAAGAAATATTTACAAACAAAAGATGTCTGGAATTTGCTTCAAAATACGAGGGAGGAGAGAAGTGGGGGGTGTGGACCAAACAGAAAGAGCCACAGCCCGTCACTGCAGATCCAGAATGAGCCACAGCCAATCACTGCGGATCCAGAACGAGCCACAGCCAATCACCTCGGATCCAGAACGAGCCACAGCCAATCACTGCAGATCCAGAACGAGCCACAGCCAATCACTGCGGATCCAGAACGAGCCACAGCCAATCACTGCAGATCCAGCTATGGGGACATGAGCTCACCACTGTCTGAGTCTGTCTATGTTGGGACTGTCCACGTTGCCAAGTGTGCTTGTGTTTTTTCAATACAAGCTGAGAAGTAGTAAAAAGAGTGGAGTGCCACCAAAGCCTCCAAAGGGGAGTGTTTCAAAGTGAAGTGTAAGGGGTGGAGCTGCCCCACAAGGCCCCTCCCAGCGCCTTTCTACTATGCTTGCCAGTCCTACGTGCTCACATGAAACTTTCACCTCAATCTCTCCACAACCCTCACCTAGGGAATGCAATATACATCACTTCATGTTGTTGAAAAGATGCTTTTGGTCCTAGAATCTTTATTTATTTTTTTTTAAGAGACAAGGTTTCCCTCTGTCATCTAGGCTGGAGCACAGTGGTGAAATCACAGTTCACTGCAGCCTCAAACTCCTGGGCTCAAGCCATCCTCCTGTCTCAGCCTCCCCAGTAACTGGATGACAGACATGTGCCACCATGCCTGGCTAATCTTTTAAATTTTTTTGTAGAGTTGGGGTCTCACTATGTTGCCCAGGCTCTGGTCTCAAGCTCCTGGCCTCAAGCAATCCTCTTCCCTCAGCTTTCCTGAGGGCATGAGCTACTACCACACCCAGCCTGTCTCAGAATTTAAGAGAGTCAAAATTAGGTGGTTTGTCAAGTTCACAAAAGACATTCCTCATCTATACCAAGACAGATATTTTTGTCAAGACCTGAATTATCCACATAGTCAAAAATGTACAAAAAACATTGCAGAAAAGAGAAAAAAAATCTCAAATGGTTTATTTTAAAAGAAACATACAGATATATACAGAAATACAGATGTGTATGCATGAGCATTAGCACACTCGTATTTTCCAGTGCTGTCTGCTGAGAGGGCCTGCAGGCAATGATACCTCAGCAGCAATGAGCTCACCCAGCACTGGATTGTGGTTTCTAAACACCATTACCCAGTGAATGGGCTCCCTGGGGAAGTGGCTGATTCCAGGGTTAAGGCAGGGAAAATATAAGCTGAACTAGAGCATTCTTTAGTGCCTGAAATAAGTGTTCAGAAAAGGATGGGGGTTCAGCAGAAGGGGGAAACCAACCTAGAAGAACTCTCAACACCAAAGGTAGAACACTTTGAGCAATTATTTATAGTCCGTAAATAAGGACTATACTGGAATTCAACTCACAGAATAAAATACATGCTCATGAGTTCATACTAATACAAATAAATAACTGAATAAATATATAATTAGGGGAGAAGGGACAGCTCTCCTTTACAGAACAATTCCAATTAATAAAGGTAGAAGAACGAACGAGAATGGAAAATCTCCATTAGAATGATTTCAGTAAAACCCACCAATGGATGCTACAATTGGCAAGCAGAATCCAAGTGTCTTCCCTAAAACATTGATTACAAAGAGAAATGCAGCAACTTTGCAGTGGAGACACTTGACCAAGTGATCAGGTTAACAGTCCCACTAACAAGACATGCGGCTATCACAGAGCCCCTCAGACAAGGCCCTGGCAAGGGTACCTCACTTCTGTGTGTGCCAAAAATACAGAACCTCATTCTAAGAAGAAAACATCAGACAAACCCAAATTAAGGAAAAGTCCACTAAGTAACAGACCAGAGCAGCTGCCACCAAGTGGAGGAGCCCAAATGCCATGAGGGTCCTGGGACAGGAAACGACATCGGGGACACTGAGGAAATACAAGTGACATGTGGAGCTAAGATGCATTTCTTGCTTTGGTCACTGACCTATGGTTATTCCGAGAGATGCCGGCATCAGGGGAGCTGGGTGGTGGGTCTACAGGAATGCTCTGTGCTATTTTGTGATTTTCCGTAAGTCTAAAATTATTTCAAAATAAAAAGTTAAGAAAAAGTGAAGTTCCCTCTGGAAAAAAAAAGGACTAAAACAGATAAGGGCAAAAAATCACCAGCACTAGAAGACATGGTCTGGGCAAGAGTGACACGTATTCCCAGGCCATGTGAGTTTTCAGGCATCAAGCGCTGGCCCAGGAACCAGCACGGTACAGGAGGCACGGGACACTCCCCGCCCCTGTGAGGCACAGCTTGGGTTCTCACAGTCAGGAAAGATCATGAAAGGGAAAGTCTGTAACTTCTGGGTGCTCATTCCCAGCTGGTTTTTCTGTCCCAAACCCTGAGCACCTGACAAAGGCTGACACCCCTCCTGCAGCTCAGCATGTGGCCAGGGAGGGTGCCACGGAAGCCCCACCCACCTCACGCAGGCCACAGGGCTGGATGGGTGCTTGCAGGATGGTTCTTATGTCCCGTTTCACCTACAGAACACCTCTTCCCCTGACTTGCTTGTTCTTTTCCTGTTTTATTGTCTTAATCTCATGCTGTTTATAAACATGAGAGTGCATTTTTTTTCTTTTTTTTTTTTTTTTGAGATGGAATCTCACTCTTGTCACCCAGCCTGGAGTGCAATGGCACGATCTCGGCTCACTGCAACCTCCGCCTCCTGGGTTCACGCCATTCTCCTGCCTCAGCCTCCCGAGTAGCTGGGACTACAGGCGCCCTCCACCACGCCCAGCTAATTTTTGGAATTTTTAGTAGAGACGGGGTTTCACTGTGTTAGCCAGGATGGTCTCGATCTCCTGACCTCGTGATCCGCCCACCTCGGCCTCCCAAAGTGCTGAGATTATAGGCGTGAGCCACCGCGCCCGGCCAAGAGCGCATTTTCTTAAACCACCAGCACTGCAATACCTTCCCAGGAGTCAGTGGTGCAGCCCCATGTGTGAACACGGGCCCCCGGACTCACCAGGCCAACACACTTCTTCAGGATGGTCCACACGCTGAAGTCGCTTCTGCTGAACATGGGAGCCGGCAGCGATGTCCTGCGAAGCACAAAAGGGGTGCGTGTGGGTGAATTCAACACAGGACTCTGACCACTCAAGGAGGCTGTGCTCAATGACGATTTCTCTTTAATTTTTACTCCTAAACATTGGCATTTCTACATTCTGGCATGCCTAGGGACACAGGGCACGACTGCTGCCTAGAGGCCTTCCACACCCATGTTCCCAGGGCTTCCTGGGAATGGTCATGACAACAAAGATGACTCTGCAGTCTTGGCCCCGCAGTGGCCCTGCTGTTGTTTCCTCTCAGAGCTGGAGGACAGGGTGGCAGCTGGAGGGAGTCCCTCTGCCCGCAGAGCCCACAGCCTTCTGGGGGCTCCTGCTGGGTCCCTGGGGCAGCGGCCAGACCACAGGCAGAGGTAAGAGGGCAGCAAGAGTGACCTGAATTAAAAGCTGTTCCGCCCTTTAAACACGTGCTTGCTTTCCTGAGGAGCATTTCTTTCCAGGTAATCTTCCAGTCGGCTGCAAGGCGGAGCCCATGCCCTCATGCTTGCACCAGGAGACCCTCACCCCCACCACTGCTCACCACTCATCAACCGGGACCACTGACCCGGGGCCCTGGTCTCCCCACCAGGAACGTGGAGCTGGAATGAGATACTGTCTCCATCTAGGAGGGGAGCGCCTGAATGGAGACATAAACTTGGATTTGGGGAGAGGCGTGCCAGACCCACACAGGACACCACAGAGCAGGGTGCAAAGAAGGTGCTGCAGAGTAGGGGCCCGGGGCTCCCTGCTGCTCACAGCCCTCCAGGGACACCCCAGGGCTCTCCTGCTGAACTCCCATTTCATGGAAGCTGCTTTGAGGGGCGTTTTGCCTCACACCCAGCAGAACCTTGGCACCAACACTCTGACCTCCAGAGTGATGAAAGCACGAGCTCTTGTCTGCTCTGCTCCCGAGCTATGCCCCGGGAATGCCACGTCAGGGCAGCTGGGTCAGGGCACACTACTGGTGTCAGGGGGCAGGAGGGAAAGGACATGGCAGCTATGAGGCAGGGTGGAAAAGAAAAGGAACATCTGCTGAGTACCAGGCCCGGGCTGCCGGAAGCCAGCACCCAGCTCTGCTCCGCCATCGTCCGTGCACACATTCAGTGAATACTTTGTGATTCGGAGGTGCTACCAGGAGGGGAAAGTGGCTCTGCAGAAGGTCAGGTCGCATCCCCCAAGGATACGACCCTGCATGGAGATGGGATGCGTAGGAACAACAGACATGAAAGAAGAGAAAAGAGGCCCCAGGCCAAGGGAGCAGAGGGAGCTGACACACCCGAGGACCTGAAAGAGGCCCCTGCAGCTGGGACGGGAGGCAACAGGGCTCGGGGCCAGGCCTGAGGGCACAGGTGAGGGTGCTGGCTTTCTTCCTAAGAGGTGAGTGACCACATGGTGCACTGTCCGAGCTGGGTCATTTCTTCTAGTATAACAGGGCGCCATTCACAGTTCTGTAGGAGCAGGAGTGTGAGGCCGGCCATGTGGTCATCCTGCCTGAGTTTTAGGCAGAGGGTGACGGGGTGGGGGGGGGGTCCAGATCTGTCTTTTGAAAAGTGCCTCTGGGCTGGGCATGGTGGCTCCTACCTTTAATCACAATACTTTGGGAGGCCGAGGCAGGTGGATCACTTGAGGAGGTCAAGACTAGCCTGGCCAACACGGCGGAACCCTGTCGCTACTAAAAATACAAAAATTAGCCAGGCATGGTGGCACATGCCTGTAATCCCAGCAACTCGGGAGGCTGAGGCAAGAGAATCATCTGAACCTGGGAGGCAGAGGTTTCCGAGGTCACGCCACTGAACTCCAGCCTGGGCGACAGAGTGAGACTCCGTCTCAAACACAATAAATACACATATACACAAATGCCTCTGCACAACAACAGGAATAAAAGGCAGGGATGCAGAGGCCACTCTGGAAACAAGGGTGGTTGGGTAGACGGGCATGTTGCAGAGCAAATGGAAGAACTGAAGGACCTAACAGCATTTAAAGCGACCACAGAGTCAGGGCTAGAAAACGGGGAATGCAGGAGCGGGGGTGGGGGCTCCCATATCTGTAGGGTGAGAGAACGAACAAACAACAGGTGAGATGCACATGTGGGTGCCAGAGTGGACCCACCAAGCAGGCGTGTGGGCCTACAGCTCGAAGGAGAGCCTGAGGCCAGGCTGGAGCAGCTCCCTGGAGCTGAGACACACATTAGCGGCTGTGCCTGGAGCCTGCAACGCAATGCCACCAGCTCCAGGGCCACTGCCTGTCCCACCTGACACTTGTCCTGCCTTTGTGCCTTTTTTTTTTTTTTTTTTTTGGAGATGGAGTCTCACTCTGTCACCCAGGCTGGAGTGCAGCGGCGTGACCTCGGCTCACTGTAACCTCTGCCTCCCGGGTTCAAGTGATTCCCCTGCCTCAGCCTCCAGAGTAGCCGGGACTACAGATGCGCACAGCCACGCCCAGCTAATTTTTTGTATTTTAGTAGAGATGGGGTTTCTCCATGTTGGCCAGGATGGTCTCAATCTCCTGACCTCATGATCCGCCCACCTCGGCCTTCCAAAGGACTGGGATTATAGGCATGAGCCACTGCGCCTGGCTCGTGCTTCTATCAACAAAGACTGAAGACTTCTTCCCTTTATTTTTTGAGCCAGGGTGTTGCTCTGTTGCCCATACTAGAGTGCAGCGGCGCCATCGTAGCTCACCATAGCCTCGAACTTCTGGGCTCAAGGGATCCTCCTGACTCAGCCTCCCAAGTAGCTGGGACCAGAGGCGTGCACCACCATGCCCAGCTAATTATTTTAATTTTTTTCTAGCAGTGGGGTCTTGCCATGTTGCCCAGGCTGGTCTCCAACTCCTGGGCTCAAGTGATCCACCTGTCTCAGCCTCCCAAAGTGCTGGGATTACAGGCATGAGCCACCGCGACCAGCCAAGGACTGAAGACTTCTTGTGATGGCCACTGTCACTGGACTCTACCTACATGAAAACGAACGTGGAGGAGGAGGAAAGGGAATGAGGTCTTGCTACAACAAGGAAATTAAACGCTTCTTGTCCTGTAGGGGTCAGAGCTGAACACACTGCAATAGAACTCCGCTGAGACAGAGGATGAACTTGGCCGCCCATGGAAAAGCAGGCAGATCTGTAGGAAATCAGCAAGGGGTCTGATGATCAAGACGCCATGTACTGTTTGCCAGGCCCTGACAAAGCCTGTGTCACCCCAAATCCTCTCACAGCAACTCCTGAGGGCAGGGAGGGGAACAGAGGCATTTCTTAGATGGGGAAAGGCACTGCTCAAAAAATTGCCATCTGTGGATTCCAGGAGCCAAGAGAGGCATGGAGTCTCTCTGAACCCTTGCTGGCCAGACAGAGGAGGCTGTCCGGATGGGGAGGCCAGACAGCTGTGGGGGTGCCACTCCAGCTCAATGCTCGTGAGGGCTGAGGGGTACCCTGCAGAGTATTTTTGGGGTGATTACAGACACATTTTAGAAACAGCAGACGTGAGAGAACATACCTGTGTTTCTGAATTCCGTTCTCTTGAGAGGGCCTCTCCCCAGTTTTCCCAATCCTATTATTTTTGCTGGTGTCTAAGTCAATCATTCCCGTGACTTTCTGATTTGCCTCTGAAAATTCCCCAGAAGAGTTATCAGAATCAAAGCCTGTGCGAGACAAGAAAATGGTCATTTTCGCTGGACCTGAAAGATTTTTTAAAAGCCTACCTCCAAGAATTCTGACTATGCAAGCAGGTGACTACAGAGCTCAGTTGTGTGAACGGACACATTTGGAAGAATTAACTCTGGTTCTCCAGAAGCAGACACGGTACAGAGAGAACAGGAGGGTGCCACGGAGCTTCCCTCCTAAGAACGCGCTCCCAGCGAGCTCCAGTGCCCAGGCTCCTCCCACGCTTGTGATTTGAGGTCCAGTCCCAGGCCATGAGCTTCATCTTCCAGAAGGAACCCTTTCATCATTTTAATCTGTGACCTACATGCTCTGGGTGGGCCACTTCTATCGGATTCAAACCCATCCCAAGGCTGCGATGCGCCCGTTGTGGCTCAGGGCTTGTGACCAAGGTCTGCGTCTTGGTCTGAAACACGCCTGCTGACAGTGTTTCAAGGGAGACCATCGTGGCACGCAAAGGCACCACTAAACTGTACCCAGATAGGGAACAATCATGGAAATGCCACACATGTGACTGGACTCAGAGTGGACTCCGGATGAAGGGGGACTCTGGAGAAGGAGCTCTTTAGAATGTGAGTGAGATCCAGCCATGCATGCACTCCTGGAGCAAAAGTCCTGGAGAAGAACGGCCGGCCGCTGCCCTGGTGGGGTGGGCCCTTCCCCAGGACAGAACGGGCAACTAGGGAACAGGAACATACGTCTCCCTTCAACTCCTGTCAGTCTGAGTTGCTGGAAGGGCCAAGTTCTGCTCCAGAGCCGGGTGGAGTGGGGGCTGGGTCCCCGCGATGAGTTTATTCCATGGGGGCTCTGGGCCTGCAGCAGCCGGCAACCACCCAGTGCTTCCAGGGTCTGAGGGCTCCACGTGAGGGGCACAAGCCCGGGAGGGTCAGGTAGACAACTGTGGTCGGACCCCACACGCAGATGAGTCTGCCACAGGCTCCAGAAGAACAAAGCAAAGCTGCTGTGTCCTGCCCCTCCACACAGCAGAGTCCATCCATAAAGGCAGTGCTGGGGTGGATGACATCGTGATTTTGAGAGGATGGGTTAAAAAGGAATCCTGAAATGGCCCACAGTTTCTGAAATACCCTGCCATCTCTCATGTTTTGCTCTCTGTCCCAAAATCAACATCTCTAACTTCTCACTCTGAAGTTATCTTAAAAACATTCCCTACTTAAGGGAATTCCGTGGGGCAGGACCTGCCCCCACCCCGAAGAATAAAGCAGCACATCCCGGGCAGCCACTGCAGCCTCTGACTCAGCCAACACTACATGGATGGCCTAATAACATTCTAAGACCTGGCAGCCACCACAGCCTCCGACTCAGCCAACGCTACTCGGATGGCCTAATAACATTCTAAGACACCACATGCATTTATTGTAGAAAAACAGAAAATACAGATGAGCAAAGGAGGAAGCTGAGATCTCCTATCGTCGGCTCCCTCGGAAACCCTTGTTTTTATTAGCCCCTCTGCGTTCATAGCCCTTAATCCCATACACACTGTTCATGTCCTCCAAACCTTTCCTTTGAATGGCACTGATTCTTAAGACAAATTAAATGCCTAATGAAGTCATTCATTTAATAACTGCTTAGTTTACATACTTTTGAAATTAGAGTTACAAAGTCAGATGAGTATTATAGGCGGTGAAGGAGTCGAGAGTCTACCTCTAGCACGGGTATTTCATCGCATAAAGAGATGAAGTGGTTTTTTCCTTCCATTATTTGTTTTGAAGCCCAAGAACTGAGGGGGAAAATTCTTGTCACCTAGATGTCTGTCCCTTCCACCTCATCCTTGGGGACACATGGAGAGGCCTTGCCATGCAGGAGCAACGCCCCACAGCCCCGCACACCCTGTGGCTCCTAGAACAGTGGAGTCCATCTGAGTACCACATCACACACAGCTGGGAACCCTGGGAAGTCACAGCAAACTGACTCAAAAAGCTCAGAGTTGGCCAGGCGCAGTGGCTGACACCTGTAATCCCAGCACTTTGGGAGGCCAAGGCAGGTGGATCACCTGAGGTCAGGAGTTCGAGACCAGCCTGGCCAACACGGTGAAACCCCGTCTCTACTAAAAGTACAAAAATTAGCCAGGCGTGGTGGTGGGCGTCTGTAATCCCAGCTACTTGGGAGGCTGAGGCAGGAGAACTGCTTGAACCCGTGAGGAGGAGGTTGCAGTGAGCTGAGATCACGCCACTGCACTCCAGCCTGGGCGACAAAGCAAGACTCTGGCTCAAAAAAAAAAAAAAAAATGGCCAGAGGTATTCGGGAAAGTATCAGTCACACCAAGACCCCAGACAAAAAGGACATCCTATGAGACTCCCAGGAGAGGAGGGACCTCAAGGCTGCGCTCTCTGTGACAGACGTGGCATCCCACTAGAGGTCAGCCCAAGGGTGTGAGAGCCTGACAATCCCTCCGCTGTGTGGGATTCAGCAGAGAACACAGAACCACCATGGATGAGTTGCAAGCTCCATGGACCCTCCTCTGAGAGTGCATCCGAGGCAAACACGCTGCAGATAATTCAGCTACGAAATCATGGAAAATGACTTCGAAATTGAGCCTTTGAAGCCGGTAAGGAGCGCATCATCCCCTTCTCCTGGGGTTTTGGATAAGAGTAAGTCAACCATCTTGAGCTGCCAGCGCAGGTACAGGAGCAGCACAGCCTCGGGACAATCAGCCCGCTCCAGCAGGGCCACGGACCGGAGGCGCCACCAGAGCCATCAACATCCTCGGGGTGTGGCCACAGAGACCCTCCTGACACACCCACCCTGGCAGGGCCACAGACTGGAGGTGCCAACGGAGCCATCGCCGTGTCCTTGGGGCATGGCCATAGAGACCCTGACAGATCCTTGAGCGGCAGTAACCGCAGAAGTGCTTCTAAAGATCATCACTAATTCCTGGCCTGCGGCCACATTTCCAAAGCCACTCCTTTCTGATCCCGACGCCTAAGGACAAGGGAACATCAAGGAGAATCTCCTGATGCCCCTTCCCACCAGCAATGGTCCTTTCCAGAAAAAACAAGCGGAATTCCAGATGCTGACTCCGAGGCACAGAAGAGTGGAGAATGAACATGAGGACCTGACAAGACACGAGCTCAAAGGGTTTCAGGCTCTTCCCTGTGCCAGGAGAAGGGGCGGCTCTGGAAGGCCAAGCTGCCAGCCCCGCCTGCCCTTTCCTCTAGCCGCCCCGTCACATGCCCATGAGCCCTGCAACACGGTCTTCATTTTCTTCTTTTTTTGAGTGACTGGATGCCAAAACACATTCTTTTCAATTAGGCCACAGGATTTCATTCAGACCACAGGCTGCATGCCGCCACTTTAAACCATCGTGCGAAAGAAAAAAATAACTGCACTCTGCGGCTGTGAGCGCAGCTGCAGACCCAGGGGTTTGCTGTCTGATGGGATGCATCAAGCAGTGCCAAGCAAGACAGGGTCATCATATCTAGAACGTTCTCATCATGAAGCAGAAATAGGGGAAGAAGATGGCTATCTCAGGAGACAAATGAAAATATCCGCACCCCAGGAAACTCTTCGGGAGACTTAAACCCTGTCAGCCAAAGTCAAGGCTTTTCCCACCTCTGAGATGGATGTCAGGTTTTGCTGAACAGTCCGTGTTTGGGATCGTGAACGCTCACCCACACACTGCTTTACTGAGCATCTTTACACCCCAAACGCCAGGTCCAACATCTGAATCCAGGGACGTTCACCCTTCCAGTACGTCCCCAGTTGGTTCTCTTTTGACTCACCTGTGACGGCATCAAAGAATTCTTCCTCTCCGTTCATCCTTCAGCAGCCAGCCTCCACTGCCCCTGACATGTGCTCTTCTACTGAATCATCGTATCTGATCCACATCTACAGTGTAAGGAATTTTACAAACTTTCTCTTGGAAAAATCCAATAGACACTGAAGATCTAAAGGGAAAAAAATTTTGGCATACTTAGCTTCCAGAAGTTTCACGGTTTAAAAACATTTTAAAAATACCCATTCACCATCCTAAAATCAATCTAAATTCCATGTAAGCAAATTAGTAAAATAAATTATCACATCACAAACATAATTTCAAAAAGTAAACGAGAGGGAGCATTTATAACGGAAGATCAATCAATGAATAACAGACCAATAATTCAGCCCTATAACAAGAGTTGTTTCTAAAAAGCATTATTGGCTGGGCATGGTGGCTCACGCCTGTAATCCCAGCACTTTGGGAGGCTGAGGTGGGCGGATCACTTGAAGCCAGGAGCTTGGGACCAGCCTGGCCAACACGGTGAAACCCTGTCTCTAACTAAAAATACAAAAATTATACAGGCGTGGTGGCGCACGCCTATAGTCCCAGCTACTTGGGAGGGTGAGGCAGGAGAATCTCTTGAACTCGGGAGGCAGAGATCGCAGTGAGCTGAGATCGTGCCACGGCACTTCAGCCTGGGTGACAAAATGAGACTCTGTCTCGAAATAAATAAACAAATAAATAATTAAAATAAAATTAAAATAAAATTAAAAGCATTATCTACAGTTATGTAAGAAAACAATAAAACATTAATTTGGGAAAAGTCATGGGCGCAGGGTGTGGTGGCTCACCCCTGTAATCCCAGCATTTTGGGAGACCGAAGCCGGTGGATCCCTTGAGGTGGATCCCTTGAGGTCAGGGGTTCAGAGACCAGCCTGGACAACATGGTGAAACCCTGTCTCTACTATAAATACAAAAATCAGCCAGGCGTGGTGGCAGGCACCTGTAATCCCAGCTACTCAGTAGGCTGAGGCAGAAGAATCGCTTGAATCCGGAAGGCAGAGGTTGCAGTGAGCCGAGATCACGCCACTGCACTCCAGCCTGGGCGACAGAGCGAGACTCCATCTCAAAAAAAAAAAAAAAAAGTCATGGGGGCAGTCAGAGAGAGCAGGTGAGCTTCAATGAGGTGTTCAGCATCCGAGGTTCAAACACGGCTCTGGAAGTTTTGCTGAAAATCATTGCAAACATTCACCAGAGGCTGGAACAAGTGGCTGTATAAGTAAATGGAAAATTATGTCTAAAATTTCACAACTACCTGAAACCAACATCAATTCTAGAGAATTGAGGCTGCTATGTAAGTTAGCTACTCCCAGGATAAACTGAAGTAAACTTACATTTTCTCACAACGACCTTAGCTCAATATTCTAGAACTCATGCACATTAGTGTCTCCCATCAGGAAAAGCAGCGTTTGATGAACGACAAGAGAAGGAAGCCAAAATCAGCATCCTTACTTGTGTCAAAAATACAAAAACCAGCCCAGAGCTCTCTGCACAGTTCTGAGGGTGAGGGCGCCGGGGCGAGAACGGCCCCCAGTGCTGGGTGACCCCTCAAGCGGCTCATCCCGCAGCCCTGCCACAGCCGCACGGGGCAGCAGCAGCTGCTTCCCTCCAGACAACAGGACAGCCACCACGTCCCCTGAGAGACTCTCCAGTGTCTCCCGGTTCCTCCCTCCTTCCCAGCCAGACTGCGGCAGCCCCTGAAGGCCGGCGCAGACAGCCCTGCTCACGGCCAGGGTGTGCTTGCCCTTGCAGACGGGAGAAGTTGCTGTCACTCACTCAGGTCCCCTTCACAACTGCAGCGATGTGCTTCCCCCTTCAGAGCACTGAGGAGCCAGGGCTTCCTGAGGAGACGCGGCTGAATCCAGGACTGGGCTCCTCTTGCCATGGTAGCAAGGAAGCTGCCTGCCCAGAAAGACTGGGGTGTAGAGTTGGAATGTGCGTCCCTCCAAACACATGCTGAGATCTGACTGCCATGTGACAATGTTAGGATGTGGGGCCTTTGAGAGGTGGTGGGACTGTGAGGGCTCTGCCCTCAGGAATGGCTTAATGCTGTTTTATAAAAGGGTCTGTTATAAAAGGGTGAGTCGGCCGGGCGTGTTGGCTCACGCCTGTAATCCCAACAGTTTAGGAGGCTGAGGTGGGCGGATCACCTGAGGTCAAGAGTTCCAGACCAGCCTGGCCAACATGATGAAACCCCATCTTTACTAAAAAAATTCAAAAAAAATTAGCCCAGGCATGGTGACAAGTGCCTATAATCCCAGCTACTTGGGAGGCTGAGACAGGTGAATCGCTTGAACCCGGGAGGCAGAGGTTGCAGTGAGCCAAGATCACGCCCCTGCACTCCAGCCTGGGCAACAAGAGTGAAACCCCATCTCAAAAATAAATAAATAAATAAATAAAAGGGCGAGTTTGGCCCCCTTTAGTGTGCTCTCTCCCCCTCCCTTTGCCTCCCCCTCCTTCTCCCTCCCTTTCCCTCTCTCCTCTCTCTCTCCCGCTCTCTTCCCTCCTCTCTTGCCCTTCCACCTTCTGCCATGAGATGACAGCAAGAAAGCCCTCAGCAGACACCAGCACCTTGGACTGGACTTCCAGACTCCAGAACGAGGAGCCTGCACATTGCTGCTCATTCTAAACTGCCCAGCCTGTGGCACTGCTGTAGCAGCACAACACAGGCTACGCCAGGGGCTCTCACCGAATGACTCAGGATGAACCTACAGAAGCTCCCACAAGAAAGAGGAGACAATCTGAGCACCAGTACATGGGAAAAGGCTGAAACACGGTGAATACATTCAAGTCCAGAGTTCCTAAGATCCTAAAAAGGAGATTAACTGGTCATGGTGGATGATGCCAGTAAGCCCACAAGTTATTTTGAAACTGGCAATCAAGGAGATAGCATCCTGCCTTCCCTACACACACTGCTGTGCCACTGTCGCCAGGTAACAGGTGAGGAAATTGCGCTTTATGGAAGCATCCCAGCAAATGGATGAACAAGGCACACAGGTGCGTGACCATCACCATTAGACGACACTGGAGAATTCACACATCCAGGCACTGAACCCCGAGAGACGGCCTTGGGTGCCTCCCGGGGAGAGATGACACTGCCACTGCTGAAGCAGTTTTGCCCGGAACACTGAGCCCAGGTTTGTCCAGTTTCTAGCTTTATCTACTGACATGGTCTGGATGTGTCCCCACCACCAAACCTCCTGTTGAGATGTGATCCCCGGTGTTGGATGCAGGCCTGATGGGAGGTGTTTGAGCCATGGGAGTGGATCCCTCACGGCTTGGTGCTGTCCTCCTGGTCCTGGGCAAGGATGAGTGCCCATGAGATCTGCTTCTTTAAAGGCGTCTCTCTCACTCCTCCTCGCGCCATGTGAGGCGCCTGCACCCGCTTCGCCTTCCACCACGAGTAAAAGCTCCCTGAGGCCTCCTCAGAGGCTGAGCAGATGCCAGCGCCATGTTTCCCGTAGAGCAGAACCGCGACCTAATTAAACGACCTTTCCTTATCAATTACCCAGTCTCAGGTATTTCTTTATAGCAACCCAGGAACAGCCTAACACACTTCCCAACCTAGGGAAGTACAGAGACCAGAGGCCACACCACGGCGACTCAGCAGCAGCACCCGGACCCCTGGCACCTCGCCCAGCAGAGCTGGCCTCTGCAGAAAATCAACCACATTGAAAAAGGAGGCGCCCGGGAGGAGAAAGGAAACCTCGTGACTTTGACTGAGCAGCCACTTCTTAGGCGTGGGCACACCATGTTCGACTACCTGCGAACGTGGGGGTGCAGTTAGCAAAACCCATGCACGACCAACCCAGTCTCTCCAACAAATCAATTACAAAGACAGAAAGAGAGAAGGAGAGGGAAGGCTTCTCACCATCTTGATTATGGTGATGTTTTCACGGGTGCACATGCGTGTCAAAACCTATCGTACATGTTACATGTGTGCAATTGATTATATGCCAATTATACCTCAAAAAAGCTGTCTTTAAAAAAAAGACATACTGGCCAGGTGCAGTGGTTCCCGCTTGTAAACTCAGCACTTTGGGAGGCTGAGGCAGGTGGATCGCTTGAGCCCAGGGGTTGGATATCAGCCTGGGCAACATTGCAAAACCTCATCTCTACAAAATACACAAAAATTAGTCGGGTGTGGTGGTGCGCCCACCTATGGTCCCAGCTACACAGGAGGCTGAAGTGGAAGGATCACTCGAGCCTGGGACATCAAGGTTGCAGTGAGCCATGGTTGCATCACTGCACTCTAGCCTGAGTGACAGAGCAAGACCCTGTCTCCAGAAAAAAAAAAAAAAAAAAAAAAAAAAAAAAAGGCATACCAATTAAAATGACGCTTGAAACAGGATGCAAACAAGGCCTACACACAGGCAGACAGGATTTCATGGAGACATTTATAAGACAGTGGAAATCTAAACACAGTGAGTATCTGATGGTAGGAGGATTCCTGCTCATTTTTAAGATGTCACGACAGGCCAGGCGCAGTGGCTCATGCCTGTAATCCCAGCACTTTGGGAGGCCGAGGCAGGCGGATCACCTGAGGTCAGGAGTTCAAGACCAGCCTGACCAACATGGAAAAACCCCATCTCTACTAAAAATACAAAATTAGCCAGACATGGTGGCGCATGCCTGTAATACCAGCTACTCGGGAGGCCGAGGCAGGAGAATCACTTGAACCCAGGAGGCAGAGGTTGCAGTGAGCCGAGATTGCACTACTGCACTCCAGCCTGGGCAACAAGAGCAAAAATCTGTCTTAAAAAAAAAAAAAAAAAAGTCACGATAGTATGAATATCTTTTTGAGAGAACCCTAAAAAAAAAAAATTGTCCGGGCGTGGTGGCTCACGCCTGTCTGTAATCCCAGCACTTTGCGAGGCCAAGGCGGGTGGATCAAGAGGTCAGGAAATCGAGACCATCCTGGCTAACACAGTGAAACCCTGTCTCTACTAAAAAACAAAAAATTAGCCGGGCGTGGTGGCCGGCGCAGTGGCAGGCGCCTGTAGTCCCAGCTACTCAGGAGGCTGAGGCAGGAGAATGGCGTGAACCCAGGAGGCAGAGCTTGCGGTGAGCCGAGATCGCACCACTGCACTCCAGCCTGGGCAACAGAGTGAGACTCCGTCTCAAAAAAAAAAAAAAAAAAAAAAAATCTATTGCTCTGCACTATGTGAAAAGCCTCCCAGAATAGAAGGCAAGTTAGAATTAGAAACCATTTTATTCTCCCTTTTGCTTGTTTATTTATTTATTTATTTATTTATTTTTGGAGACAGGGTCTTGCTCTGTCATCTAGGCTGACATCAGCGGCACAATCGCCGCTCACTGCAGCCTTGACCTCCAGCACCCAAGCCATCCTTCCACCCCCGCCTCCTGAGTAGCTGGGACCACAGGCGTACACCATCATACCCGGCTAATTGTTTAAAAAACTGCTTGTAGGGACAGGGTCTCTCTATTTTGCCCAGACTAGTGCTGAACTCCTGGACTCAAGTGATCCTCCCGAATCAGCCTCCCAAGGTGCTGGGACTCCAGATGTGAGCCACTGCACCTGGCCCGCTAGCCTTTTTTAAAATGCTCCCCTGCCTATAACAAAAGTCTAATGTCAAAGGTAAATCAATCACAGCTTATGGGAAATCTTTAAAATGAGGATTAAGATGCCAGACACAAGCTTAGCTGGACAACTGAGACACCGATGTCGCCTGCTACTGTGTGTTTGTGCCGTGTGGTCCAACCAAGACTGAAGACCCACCTGGGGAGGGCTTTCCGGTCAACAACCAAAGGGACACCCAGAGGTCACAGTGCCCTCAGACCCCCACATCTGCATGTGCGACAGTGAATTCCAACACAGCCTCCCGGTCGCTCCTGAAGGAGTTGCCATAACAGGCACCACACCCTGTGTCTCCTTCTACACTTACCAAGGCCCAGAAAAATGAAGAGGCCTTATCCAGAGCCCATACTACTACCCAACTATACAGATGACTATGCAAGACAACTATGATCCTACTCATTCATTCAACAAACACTCACAGAGAGCCTACCTGGTGCCAGGCCTTGAGGTGGAACTGTGGTGGTCCCGCCCTCATGAAGCCGGTCACGAAGGTGCTCCCAGGAGGGCCCTTCTTGGGCAAGTTCCTAAGGGGGCAACCCTGGAGCTGAGCTCAGAGTGAGCCTTGGGGGCAGGGAGAAAAGACAGGAGGACCAGGGTGTGCTGGGAAGCACAGATGGCCCCATGGGGTCGAGGAGCGCCTGCCCCAGCCAGGTCCTCAGTCCTTCCTCCCTCCCATCTGCCCACCCCTGGACTTCTCAGAGGCCTGGGTGGGGCCAGGTGTGGTGGCTCAGGCCTGTAATCCCAGCACTTTGGGAGGCTGAGGCGGGTGGATCACCTGAGGTCGGGAGTTCAGACCAGCCTGACCAACATGGAGAATACCCCTTCTCTACTAAAAATACAAAATTAGCCAGGCGTGGTGGCCCATGCCTGTAATCCCAGCTACTCGGGAGGCTGAGGCAGGAGAATTGCTTGAACCTGGGAGGCGGAGGTTGCAGTAAGCCGAGATCGCGCCACTGCACTCCAGCCTGGGCGACAGAGGCTGTTTATTTTATTAACAAATAAATAAAAATTTAAAAAGCAAAAATAATTTTAAAAAGCAAAAGTTAGGCTTCATAATTGAGTATCAAAGTTGAGGAATATACAGAAAGTTAAATGTTTAAGAAAAAGCATTAGGAAGGCAGAGTTTATTTCCTGAATATGTTCTTCCACGCGCAGATCTCACTTTGCACTCAGAAAACAATCCCCAGAGAGAGTATTTCAGGAACAAACTTTGCTGGGGTTTTCTGTCTGTTTTAAGGGGCTCTTTCTGTTCAACTTCTCCCTTTTCTACTTCTAGAGAAAAACCCTGGGGCCTGAGTCTGTGCTGGGCATCTCTGCTGGCCTCTTGCCCTTTGTCCTTCTCCAGTGAGATTTTTTTTTTGGGGGGTTGGGGGGCACTTCCTTGGCCCCAAGGACGCCATCCCTGCAGGCCCCAGTGAGTCTCAGTTCCCCTAGCCCAGGGAACTCACCAGTCCCTTGAAAAGGACCCCAGCACACTTTCTTAAAGGTGCTGTCCCCGTCCCACCAGGATCTCAAAATGTCCTACCACTGGTATGAAGACTTGGACTCAAGTCGTACAAACCCATCTTTATGTTTTTCTCAGATGTGGGCCCTGCACGGTGGCTCACATCTATAACCCCAATACCTTGGGAAGCCAAGGTGGCAGATGGCTTGAGCCCAGGAGTTTAAGACCAGCCTGAGCAACACAGTGAGATACTGTCTGTACAAAAAAACAAAATAAAATAAATTAGCTGGGCACAGTGGCACGTGCCTATAAGTCCCAGCTACTTAGGAGACTAAGGCAGAAGGACTGCTTGACCCCAGGTGTTGGAGGCTGCAGTGAGCTATGATTGCTCCACTGCACTCCAGAGAGGGCAACAGAACAAGACCCTGTCTCTTAAAAAATAAATAAATAAATAAATAAATAAATAAAGCAGATCTGACAGTTCAGGAAGTTGGTGAACGAGACTGGGGATCCGGTGCTGACCACCACGGGCGACCTGCTGGAAGTTCAATTACATGTTGTTACTCTGTCCATCAGAAACAGGCAGGGCACCCCGGACATGCTGGACACAGAGAGTGCACTGATCACAAAAAGATTCTAAAATCACTTCTGAGGTTAAACATCAATTCTAAGTTCATACAGTTCTGCCCAGACACGATGGCTCATGCCTACAGTCCCAGCACTTTGGGAGGCCGAGGTGGACGGATCACCTGAGGTCAGGAGTTCGAGACCAGCCTGGCCAACATGGTGAAACCCCATCTCTACCAAAATATACAAAAATTAGCCAGGCATGGTGGCGTGCACTTTTAATCTCAGCTACCCAGGAGGCTGAGGTGGGAGAATCGCTTGAACCTGGGAGGCAGAGGTTGCAATGAGCCAAGATTTAGCCATTGCACTCCAGCCTGGGCAACAGAGCGAGACCCTGTCACAAAAAAAAAAAAAAAAAGAAAAGAAAAGAAAAAAGAAAAAAAAAGAAAAGAGAGAAAATATAAGTTTTATTTCATAATTTAAAAATACATCAGCAAGCAGCACTAACAAATAAACAACTGTGCACAGAGCCTTATGTGGTATTTTGCTGAAAGGGAAAACGTTCCCACTATT
Source organism: Homo sapiens (assembly GCF_000001405.40). Classification (NCBI taxonomy): domain Eukaryota; kingdom Metazoa; phylum Chordata; class Mammalia; order Primates; family Hominidae; genus Homo; species Homo sapiens. The sequence continues at coordinate 62,248,000 of NC_000020.11, read as the reverse complement.
AACAACGATGGGGTTCTGTCTTAGAAAGGACCCTAAGGGGCCGGGCGTAGTGGCTCACACCTGTAATCCCAGCACTTTGGGAGGCCGAGGTGGGCGGATCACAAGGTCAGGAGTTCGAGACCAGCCTGGCCAATATGGTGAAACTCCATCTCTACTAAAAATACAAAAATTAGCCGGACATGGTGGCAGGTGCCTGTAGTCCCAGCTACTAGGGAGGCTGAGGCAGGAGAATAGCTTGAACCTGAGGAGGAGATTGCAGTGAGCTGAGATTGCACCACTGCACTCCAGCCTGGGCGACAGAGCGAGACTCCAGCTCAAAAAAAAAAAAAAAGAAAGAAAGAAAGGACCCTAAGGACCCCATCCAACACTACTTCCATTTGAAAGAATGCTCCTCCTCCTGCCTCCTCCTGCCTCCTCCTGACAGGTCAAAGAATGCTCCTCCTCCTGACAGGTCAAAGCCACTGGCAGAGACTTTCAAACTCATTCCCGTAGGGATCACACTGCGGTCAGGCATGGCCGGGGAGCTACAGTCCCTCAGTCCCCGCGGTCCCGCTGAGCTTCGCAGGGAGGCAGCTGCGGCGTGGGGGCAGCAATCATAAGCCAAGGTGCCAGGGCAGTCACAGGGAATGGGTTCCACAGGCCTGGTTCTGCTCCACAAGAGGCCACATCCAGCACAACCACAGAGCAAGCGACCCCAGAGGACCCACAGGAAGATCTTCAGTGCCTAAGCCAAGAGGCAAGCTCAGCCATCCCTGCACTCACTCAAGCCGACGTGCACATCAAACCAGCTTCCAGGGCCAAGCGAAGTTCCCGGTGCAGCATCGTGCACTGAAGAGCACCTGCCATCCGCTCAAGGTCAAGGCTAACACGTGAGCCCAACCACAGTGCAGAGCAGAACTAGGTCAGGCTGGGGCCGGCCAAGGAGCAAACCAAAGCCACTGTCACATCCCTGCAGGACTTCTCCTTCCCCAGAGCAGTCGGCGACCTGGCAGGGCCTAACCTGGCCACTCAAATGCTTGGAAAGATGCCACCATGACACTGCGAGGTTGCCAGAGCACCAGGAAGGGAAACAAGTGTCACCTACGAGCATCAGAGTCACAAAGTTTAAGGACAGAATTAGCTCTCTGTGGAAATTAAAGAACAGAAAGGTCTCCCGGATCAAGGCTGGAGGATGGGAACATGAAATCATGGACAGCAAGACAAAGCCTGCTGTGACATGAACGGACCCAGGGAGAACCTGGTGTGAGATGCCTGCACCTCCGTGTGGCACTGAGGGGGAGGGGCAGGGGCTGAGGGACAGGGGCGCAGCTCTCTTCACCCAGCACCTTCTAAGCCCTGGGGCAGGAGTGACCAGTCAGGGCCTCTCTGACACCTCATCCCTCCCTGCGTGTCCAAGCCTAGCGTGGGCAATGCTTCTCAGCTAGCATTTCAGCCTTGACACATCCACTTTGCAAACTCAGCCCATGCATCACCCGGACGCCTAGAAGCCCTCACCCCACTGACACCCAGCTGGCCACCAGGCCACAATCTCGTTTCTTTTGCAAAAAAACAAAACTTAACTAAAACAAAGACTCAACATTTCACAGCTTCAGAGCTGAGCTTAGACTCTCCCATGGCACTGGAAATGTCATCTGTCCAGTGTCGTCCCTATGGGCCACAGGTGGCTACAAGCACTTGAAACGTGAGGGAGAACTGAATGCTGGATGCTAATCAGCTGAATTGACTTCACTTCAACAGCCACCCACGGCAGTGGCGCCCATCCTGGACACAGCGTCCCGGGGCCCCATGGGGCTGAGCCATCATGGGACCATGCCCTGCCTGTGACCAGCCCCACCAGAGGGTGGAGGAAGATGGAGGCGGCGGCAGCAGCGAGAGCAGAGGGCTTTGCCAGCCCCAGGCGCAGGTCCAGGCCTCTGCGAGGAGACGCGGGAATGGCAGCCGGCCCCGCGCCACAGCTACCTCTCAAACACCAACCCCACAACGATGGAGGGCCGTCAAGGACACCGCCAGGCCAGGCCCCATTCCTCCTTCCCAGACCTCCCTGGATTGCTCCGTCTGTGCTCACTGAAACACGCCTTCTGCCAATTGTCGAGGAAAAAAATCAAGCCTTAATATTCCTGTCATTGTAAAAGCTTAACGGTTATTTTTACAGATTTTGTATAAATTTAGAACCAAATAAACAAGTCATATGCCATTCACAACAATGACCTTTTTTAACAAGGGGTATGTGCACGGCTGTCTGTCCTCGTCACCATCTGCAGCCCGTCACGAGTGAGGCACGTACGACTGGCCGCTCAGGCCTTTGCCCTTAAATGCACTGTGTTTTGGTGGCAATGGGATGGAATCAAGAGTGACCTTTATTGAACACTGGTTCTTGATCCTTTAGCCAAATAAGGTTAAGTCCAACTGCATCAGAAGCTCCAGGAGACAGCCCTTCTGAGCACAGAACCAGCTGGCTCTAGGTCTGCGCTTTTTAACCTGAACAACCTCTCCGCCTTCTTCAGGCCTGTATGGTTCTTCTTAGCGTGGGGCTCTACGTGGCTCATCACAAACCAGCTCCCTAACACCACACAGAATGTAACACGCCTTAGCTGAAGAACAGGTTTCAGGCCGGGCGCGGTGGCTCACGCCTGTCATCCCAGCACTTTGGGAGGCCACGGCAGGCAGATCACTTGAGGTCAGGAGCTCAAGACCAGCTGGGCAACATGGCAAAACCCCATCTCTACTAAAAATACAAAAAAATTACAGGTGGCACATGCCTGTAGTCCCAGCTACTCAGAAGGCTGAGGCACAAGAATCACTTGAACCCATGAGGCGGAGGTTGCAGTGAGCCGAGATCGCGCCACTGCACTTCAGCCTGGGCGACAGAGGCAAGACACCGTCTCAAAAAAAAAAAAAAAGAACAGATTTCAGCCCTTTATCCTAAGACACCAGCGTGGACACACGAATGGCTCAACCCTGACTCGGGAAGGCCCTGTGCTACGCGTGCCAGCCAGGCAAACTTGCCAGGTGCACATGAGGACTCTGCATCAGTCCAGAATTCACGCAGGAAGTTTCTACACTGAGAAAGGCAGGTGAACCTCTCCCACTGTGCAGACAGCAGCACCCCCACTGTTTACCATTCTCCATGCCAAGAGGGTGACCTTGAGAGGCAGGCAAAGGTGAGCCCGGCTTGGTCCCAAGAAGCAGCTGTGGGGAGTGGCAAACCTTCCCACTGGGCCTCGCGGCCAGTGTGGCCCGACGTCCCGGAAGCGGAGCCTAGCGCCCCACTCACCACAGTCAACTCCCTCAAGTCTTGTCGCTGACTTAACTGCTTCCTGTGGAATATTAATTGCCAAAAATACACCACGCACCTCGAGGAACATTACCTTGTAATGCAGTACGATGTATTTCCAAACACACAAGATGAATGCAAGCGCTTCCGTACAAAAACATGTGTTTTAATCAACCTTCTCCTTATGCAACACAATAAAAAGCTGTTCCAATGCGGCCCACGAGACTGGGTGGGAAGGCAATGGACAGGGCGCATGCCCCACAGCTCACGGGCGCCCTGCTCTCAGAAAGCCATGCCGGAGGGCAGGGAGAGCACTCCAAGGGCAGCAGCAGTCCAGCCAGCCCCCGACCCGCCGCCGCTGTGTATCTCTGATGATCAAAACCAACGGCCCCGAGAGGAGCCCAGCCTGCGGCTGCAGCTAGAGGAGAAGGAGACACCTTGTACCCACATCTCACAACCCAGCAAGGGCCACAGCAGGCGGAGGACGCGGTGAGGGAGTGGGAGGAAAATTAAGACAGCAAAGGGAAGTGAGTGACCCAGGTGAGAGGCTGTTGTCCTGCAGGGCTCCCGGCCTTCCCCAGGGCACCTGCCCAGCCAAGGAGTGGCTGGCTTGCTGGAGTGCGTCCTTGCCCTCTGGCCGCCTCCTTCTCTGTGGCCTCAGCTCCAGGCCCTCCTCACCATCGTGCCCATCTTCATCCTGTGCAGCCCTAATGGGGTCCACTGTGCTGAGAAACCTGTCACCCTAACATCAGACCTGCCCACGTGGCTGCCAACTGTGCTTCCTGAGCACCTACAGGCAGGGCTTCAAACCAAGGTCAGGGAAAACCACCAATCTCTAACCCCCCTACCCTCTGCAAAAAAAATTTTTTTTTAATTAAAAAATTTAAAAAAACAGGAAAAAAAATTTTTCGTTCATTTTTTTCCCCAGAATAATGACCCACATTATTCATATTCATGAAGTTCTCAAAGGGGTCCTTGATCTAAAAAAGGGTCCTGACCCCACCGTGGGCCTCCAGCACTTGGACTCCCCGCTGAGGACCCACCCCAGACCCTCCCGAGCTTGTTAAACACATCTCTTCCTGGGCCCCTCCCGGGAAACCCAGGCTCAGTGAAGCTGGGGCTGGGCCTTGAACCCACACTTTTTAAAAAGTTCCCCCAGCTTTTCTGATGAGAAGCAGGGGTGAAAACTCCATGATGTTAACCCAGGAGCCTTCTACCCTGACAGCCGAGCCACTGAAGAGGCGGAGCTGCCGGGCAGGCGCTGCGGGGCAGGCGCTGCGGGGCAGGGGCTGCGGGGCAGGCGCTAGGGCTCCTCGGGCACCTCTGCACTGGGACCCCTCCCCTGGCCCCAGCTCAGGCACTGCCCTGGCTCTGCTTCCGCTCAGGTGTTCCAGCATTTCCCACAGGTGAGACTTACTTGGAAGACGGGTGATGATTACAGCGAGACTCCCAGCTCTGCTACATCATCAAGAGAGGCCAAGCCAGAGCCAGGGCACTCGCAGGAGCTCGCCACCACAGACGCAGCCCGTGTCCTCTTTCACAGTAAGAGGGTAGCCCCACGCCCTGTGCGCACCTGACACCTGCCGTCATTATCGGAGTCACCGAAATGTCACTGAATCACAGTCCCCCTAGTTTTAAGGCAATAATGGAAGTTGCTCTCTGGCCGAGCACAGTGGCACAAGGTCCCAGGTTACAGGGGGCTCTTTCTCACGATCAGCCTTGGATCAGCCTTAGGTTTATTCAGTACAAAGCACAGGCACTCACTTCCACACCATAGTCCTCCTTCCTCTACAGCTGCCTCCGTCTTTTCTGGAACCAAAACTCCACACAACTCCCTACACACTACAGTCCTCCCTGCCTGGTGCTCCTCCAAGAACTCCCCGTATGAGCCCACAACAGGCGCTCTCTGGGCACCCCTGAAGGTTGCAGTCCCAGCGCCTTTGATAAAGAAATGTGCTCAGTGTCTGCTCAGCCAAGAGCCCCTCAGACCCTTCCCACCCCTGACTTGCCTCAGCGTCGGGGCCACAGCCCCCAGGCCCTCAGTGCGCAGGTGAGAAGTACACACCTTACACCCAGGAGAGAGGCCTGATGACCGCCACAAGCCCTGAGGGTGCGGGAACCTCTTCAGGCCCCAAACTATGGAGCCAGCCACTAGCTCAACAGGACTGATCCCAGAGTTTGTTTCTCAAAATACATCAAGCGAGTGTTCCACTGAAAACAGAAGGCAAGCAAAGAGAAACAGCCACAAACATCAGGCACGAGTCTCAGATCCAGTCCCTTATAAAAGCTCACTTCCACCACTCAGCTCAACTCAGAGGTCACAGGATTTGCATCAGCAGAAGCTCCAGCGGAAAGAATGTGGATGCTGTGACATTCTGCTGAATGATCCCAAGTTCTTTTCTGAATCTGGAAGGAAAAGGAAAGAAGTGCCAAAAAGTTCACGCAAACAGTGCTGTGAGCTATTTAACAGATGCTTTTATTATCAAGAGCTGCAGAGGTGGGCCGGGACACCACCACGCTTCCACAGTGGGACCCTAGCCCAAACCAGCAGCCTGAGAGGCCGGGACACCATGCCTGAAACTCACTAGCAAGAACACTCTGAAAAAGCAAAAATGACAGCAGATTTACAAATCAACTAGCATATGTGGAAAGTGCATTTAAACTATCAAACCAGAACCCACCATATTAACTCAGGACTTCGGTCCTTTTTAATAATCAGTCATGTTCAAATACTGACTTCCTTTCAGTGTAGATAAGGTTATAAATCAACCTGAAAATGTACTACATATTGGAATTAAACCTCGTACCTGACAATCTGTGCTAAACACTAAACGAAATGTCAACACCCAAACAGGAAGTATGACAATGACTAGGAGAAAATCAGCCCACACCCAAAGATCCCGGGACACCTGAGGGTGTGACTGCTGCACTGCTGAGAGGCTCCAGCTTCAGCAGGTGTTGGAGCCAAGGGCGGCCCAGGCACCCACAACGTATCAGACACTTGATGTTATATTTTCACAGATTCCACATAGTAATCCGTCTTACAGGCAAAGACACTGAAGGCAGGAGCCAGTGGGAACCCACCCAGGACCCAAGAGCCCTGGTCTGGCGCACCACCTTCGCAAAGATGCTGTGACTCAGGAAGGCACGGCGCCAGCTGTGCCTGCACGGCCAGACAAGACATGGCTTGCATGGGGACATTAAAGAAATCACCTTGAGGAGATGGCAGCTTCCCTGCTTGAAGACAGCATAAGAACCTAAAATGTGTCAACAATTCCCTTATACAAAATGTCACTTTTGTAATTGGCTGAATGTACTAAAACTTTAAAAGTCGAGCAAGCTTTAATGACAAATCCAAGACCCAAAATTAGCCAGGTGTGGTGGCGGGCGCCTGTAGTCCCAGCTACTTGGGAGGCTGAGGCAGGAGAATGGTGTGAACCCGGGAGGCAGAGCTTGCAGTGAGCTGAGTTCGCGTTTGCAGTGAGCCGAGTTCGCGCCACTGCACTCCAGCCTGGGCGACAGAGCGAGACTCCATCTCAAAAAAAAAAAAATTCCAAGACCCATCTGCTGGCATCTCCTGGACGGCACAGAGGAGAGACACTGGGATGAAAGTCAAGTGGCATTTTTTTCACATTCAAACAGCACCTCTCATTAACATGTGGAACACAGCAGAGTCTGACCCTCTCAACGCACTCGAGGCGTGGAAGAAAAATGTCCTACGTGTGTACTCTAAGGCAGTGTGTGAAGTCCCCTGGAACTGAACTCAGAACGGAGACCTCAGAGTCTGGACTGTACGCCTGTCAGCACCCATGCCCCTCAGTCCTCCCTCTTCACACAGAGACCACCACTGAATCTGCCAGTAACAAAGGAGCTGGGTGGCAGGGAAGGTATTCTGGCAAAATCCTGAATGGTCAAACGGTAAATTACTTTATTTCAGAAAAAATGAAATGGCTTTGTAAACACTCAGGCTCACAAAAAAGAAAGTCTATTAGTTCTATATGTAGCAAAATCCCGAAATTCTGACACAGAGTAATGCAGCATGATTAGAATATTCTAAACGAAAATGTTAAATGAAAATCTTGATATTAAAAGGCAGTACAGGGTAGTGTTTAAGAGTGTGAACCCTGGAGCCTGGGTTCAAATCCATATTTCATAATTTACTGCTGTGTGGTTTAGGTAAGTTACTTAACCTCTCTGTTCCTTAGCTTCCTCATGAATGAACTAAGGATAATGTCAGTACCTGCCCAGTGGACTGTTGTGAAGATCACACAAAGAAAGTGAATACGACATGCTCGTAACAGTCCTGGAACAATCATTATTAAATATTATCGTCTGCTGGGGTAAGAGCTGTCATTAATAGATGGACACATGAAGAAAACAGGGTAAATTCTATGAGGGAGACTCAGTCACTCACTCACTCATTGCCACATTCTAAAAGACGACACTGTGGCAGGCACTGGGCTGGGCAGGGAGGAAGTGCCACCGACAAAGTTCCTGTCCTCAACAAGGGGAAGGTAACTGGCATTCCGGGGTGCGCACTAGGTGTCAGAGACTGTGGTAGAAAATGATTTCATGGCAGGGCGCGGTGGCTCGCACCTGGAATCCTAGCACTTTGGGAGGCTGAGGCAGGCGGATCCCTTGAGGTTAGGAGTTCGAGACCAGCCTGGCCAACATGGTAAAACCCCATCTCTACTAAAAATAAAAAAATTAGGCGGGCGTGGTGGCCGGCGCCTGTGGTCCCAGCTAGATGGGAGGCTAAGGCAGGAGAATGGCTTGAAGCCGGGAGACGGAGGTGGCAGTGAGTCAAGATCGCACCACTGCACTCCAGCCTGGGCAACAAAGCGAGACTCCATCTCAAAACATAAAACAAGAAAATGATCTCGTTTGCTTCTCTTATCAGCAAAGTGCTACATGTCCGGATGAAGGAGTTGAGGCTGACAGCCAGAAAAGAGGCCATGGGCACGAGTTAGGAAGGGCAGCAGGGACGGCCGTGGCTTCCCAGCATGTGGCCCCTGCACCAGTTCCGGGCTCCTCAACTCTCCGCTGTCCTCACCACACATCCAGCTGGTGGGAAGGCCGCACAGCACCCAGCCAGGCCCACAGCAGGCATTCGAGAAACGTCTATCCAACCAAACCGAATGGGACCCCTTCTCCAGGTGTTCCGGGCAGTCATCCCAAAGCTGCCGGAGCCAGGCTAGGCCAGGGCCTGTCCTAGAGGACGGTTCAGATAGAAACGCCCCTGGGAGGTGACCCTCACCCCAGGAGAGCCTGCAACACCCCGACACCCACTGCCTCGTCGCCGGTCCTCCCATGAAGCGGGGAGGCTGAGGTGCTGTGACGACCTAACAGTCTTGGTCTGGGCTTATAAACTTGGAAAGTCTAAAGACGTATTCTTCTGAGTACCAAAATATAACTGGCGAAAGAAGGAACCTCTTAAAATTACATTACCAAAGATAGGTTTTAGGTAGCAAGTTCTCAACCGTGTGTAGTCTGCTAAGATTTATAAATTAAAAACAAAAACAGAGCCCAGGGGAACGGACAAGGGCTCGCGGGCACCCTCCCCGGGACGACGTGCACACAGGCCTGCGGGACAAGAAGGCCAGGGTCGGAGTGGGACTGCGTCTCCCTGCCCTTCTTCCCGGCGGAACTCGCCCTCCTCACCTACAGGATCGCCCTAAATGCGCACGAAATCCTTCCCTGTTCCCGGTGAGGTGGTGAGAGAGGGCGAGGCCGCGAGCAGGTGCGCCCGTCCCCACTTCCTGCTCAGCGGGGCAGCAGGGGGGCTGGGGATCTCGGGGGGGCCGGGCCGGGGGTCCCGGGATCGCAGTTGCCGGGCGACCGCAGGGGGAAGGGTGCGGGGGCCGCGGGACCCAGGCCCAGGCCCCACGCCCGGCCGGAACTTTCCTCCCAAAGTTTCCCCGGGGCGCCAGGCTGCGGCCTAGGCCGGGCGCGCCTCCCAGTGGGGGTCGAGGCCGGGGCCGGGGCCGGGGCTGGAGGCGGCCTGCGGACCCGGGTCCTGCCCGGCCCGCCCTCCCCTCCCCGCCCCGGCTCCAGCCCCAGCCCGCGGCCCAGGCCCCGCAGCTCGCCGGGGTCCCGGGCCTTCGCGTGGCGGCGGCGGGGGCCACTCACCTGGACGCGGGTCCCTCGGTTGCCGGCCGAGCTCACTGCCGCCCCGCCCCCGCCCCGTAGGCCCGCGACCCACTGACACCGAGGCGGAAGTGCGGCCCGCCGCCTCGCCGACTGACAGCCCGCGCCCGCCACTCGCTGCGCCCGGCGCCGCCGCGTCGGCCGCTGCCTGCCCAATCAGCGCCCGGCCCGAGGCTCGCGCCGGGGGGTGGGACTATGCTAATCCCTTCGCGAAGGGCCTCTACCTGTGCCCCCTCAGAGCCCCGCCCACGCAGCGGAGTGACGGCAAGGACAGCCAGTCACAGCAGGAGAGAGGCGGGGTTATGCCGCCCCTGAGCCAAAAGGGGAGGGAGGCAAGGAGGAAAGGGCGTGGCTGCAGAGAGCAGAGTTGACAAACAGTGAGTCAGGTGGCCCGGGGCGTGGGTGCTCCGCCCTCAGGTGCACTGCGTCCTGGCGGCAGTGCGGGCCTGCGAGGCTACCCAAAGCCCTGGGGGCTTTTTCCTACAAATGCTGGGGACCGTGCGATAGCTGGGGCGTAGCTGCTTCCACTGTCCTACCAAATCCTGAATATCGTCCACCTCCTTTGCATGCCATTCACCGCCAACCAAAATCCAGCGCCAATTTACCCCTCCAGCTGCATCCCCGACCGTTTCACCACCATACTTAAAACCCTTTGGACTCCCACTGACCTACAGTGGCTCCAGGGTTAAGCCCAGAAGTTCTGGAATCAGACCTGGAGCTTGCATTCTTTACCAGCTGTGTGGATTTGGACAAATTAATTAACCTCTCTGAGTCTGTGATCACTCAGTTTCATCTGCAAACCAGGGTTCCCCTGTCAACATCTCATTGAAGTCATGGGTCTGGTTTGAGGTGAGTGGAGTGGCATAAACCAGGCTGGCTACATAGTCACAGCAGTTGGTTTAGGGGTCAGCCTGTGACCCAGTTCTAGCCAAAGAGGCTCAGTCCTGGGACTTTTGCTGTAGGGTCAGAGTTCAGACCGGAGGGGAGGCTGAAGTCAAATGACTCTCCCATCTGCCCACAGACCTCTCCAGAGCTGGGTTAGGTGAGAGAGGGAAGGGGCCAGTCTTCCACATCTCACTACCCGAGAACAGGGCTGCACGAGAATGAAGCCAGCCCAGAGGAAAGCCGGAGCAACCACGGCCGGGTCACGTGGACCCTGCTGCACCTCAGCAGGTCCTTTCCTTGACTTTTCAGTTACGTGAACCACATGCTTGTTTCTGCTTCAGCCCATTTGAGGTAAAGCCAAGAGTCCTGGGCTTCCTGTGGCCTTGAGAGCTCTGGCAGATGACCCGTGACCCCGCAGTGCGTCCTGCAGCAAAGCCAGCCCCCGTTGGGCCTCTGCACCCCCTCCTCAGGCCTTGTCTCCCCACTTCCAGGCTGCCCCTAGCAGGGCCATGGAGGCAGGGACAGGCCTTTGCCCCATCTGTGGCCCCGTGGCAGACGTGGGTACTCTCTATAAATTTCAGGGCATGAGTGAGCCAATGAACGTGGCCTCTGTGGCAGGGGTGGGGCCCAGGCCACATCTCTGGGCCCAGCAGGGCCGTTCTCCCCCACCCCAGGGGCTGGCCCCACTCACTGGTGGGCCACTGTCAGTCGGCGCCACTAGAGACGTGCCGGGACCAGGAAGGAGCTGGCTGAGCCTCTCCTGAAGAGAGAACGGGGAGGAGGGCGGGCAGGCCTCAGAAACAAAGGGGTTGCCATGGTTACCTCTGAAGAAAGCGACTCCAGCCGGTGAAAGGGAAGGGAAGGCGTGCGGCCCCCAAGCCAGGACAAGGACGATGAGGCCAGTTGCCACGGAGATGACTGCGCTCCACAGCTTTCCCTGTGGGCCTTGCCAGGGCCAGCTCAGGGTCCCAGAAACCCATCACTCTCCATGTCCCTCACCCTAAGTCTCTAAGACTCTAACCCCTGTGCCCTTGAGGGGATCCAACCTGCCCACCCACCCCTTGACCACGAGCTCTGCAGTGAGGGCAGCCTCAGAGGCTCAGGCAGAAGGACCCTCTCATCTGCCCAGGGACCACCCCAGGGCCAAGCAGGGAGATCCACCCTGGCCTTGGGGTTGGGGGTGTGATCTCAGATGGCCCCTGGGCTGGAGCAGGGGTTTCACCCCTCTCCACAAATGCAGTAACTGAGCTTCAAGGGTAGTCTGCCGTCAGCCAGCACTGCTGGAGACGTGCCAGGACTGGGAAGGGTACTTCCTCCCCGGGGCCAGTTGCTGGGACTAGGCGAGAATCCTCCCTCAGTTGGTGGGTAGTAAGGAGGGTGCCTTGAGACCAACTTAGGCGTCTTTGTTATGATCTTTACTAGGTCACGAGGCCAATTCAAGAGGCACAGTTCTCCAAGGATGGAAGATGGGGGTGGAGAAGGCAACAAAGATGGATGAGCTGGGGCCATGATGATGAGGATGATGATGTTGATGATGATGATGGTGATGGCGGCCGAGTGCCCTGTGATTTACAGGCCCATCTGGTTTCATGTTTGCAACAGCCAATCAAGTGGGTACCAGGTGCCATCATTCCCACTTTACAGATGAGAAGACTGAGCCCCAGACAGGTTAAGTGACTCCCCCAGCCCTGCAATGAGGAAGGGCCCAGCACAGCTCCAGGCACAACAAGCAGGCACTCCAAGCATAGGGAGGTCTGGTGGACCAGGCCTGGCCCAGGAGCTTGTCGGCAAGGCAGAGCCGCATCCAGGCTCCCGGACCAGGATCCGCACACGAACAACAGGCCCAGGAGTTCCCATGGCTGTGGCTGCTGGACCCCCGCACCAGGTGGGCTGGCGGCTGTGTCCCACACATGCTCTCTAGAGCCTGAGAAATGCTCATCCTGCAGGTGATTTGGGGGGTGTCTGCTCCCACCTTCACTGCTCTCAGACCAAATTTCTGCTTCCTGACAGAATTTGTAGGATCCTCCCTCTGTCCTCTTAGCCAAGGAGGGGAGAAGCTCTCTCCCTCCCTCACCATGGGGGAGGTCACCAGTGGGTGGATTTCATGACCCACATACCTCCCAGGGCTGGCATGCGGGGTCCAGCAGTCCCAGCCACAACTATGTCATCCCGCTTCCTTTCCTCTCACGGTGAAGGAGGCGGAAGAGAGGTTGTTGCTCCCACCTTTTGGATGGGGAAACTGAGGCTTAGAGAGCAGAAGCAGCTTGCCCAGGGCCTGGCAGCACCAGTCCCGCCTACGACCCACCGCCCTTTCCCCCGCTCCACTCTTACCTCCTCCCCCAGGTTTCTGGGTCTGGGTTTATCTCTTTATCTGGGTCTGCACCCACAGCTGCCCCATTAGATCAAACAGGGCTTGGCTTCCAGGAACGCCGGGTGCCTTGGCATTGCTGGCCTGGCTGGCAGCTGCTGGCTGGTGAGCCCCAGCTGAGGCTGTCTCCTCTCCCCAGGCACTCCCCAGGCCTTTAGAGAGGACATTCTCCCACTCTCTTTTATGGAAAGCCATGGAATCTTCTGTGTGGATGCAGCCTGGGCAGTCAGAGAGGGGCCTGGCCCTCACGTGGCCGCAGCTGACCCCTCCCCGCCGCAGCTCTCCAGTCTCCTCTGCGACGTGACAGCCCTGGCTTCTCTGCTGTGGGGAGGAGAGTATTTTTAGTTTTGAACCCACCACGTGAAGCGAGACAAGTTATCAATAGCAGCAGCAAAGGGCTTTTTCTTTCTCTCTCTCTTTTTTTTTTTTCCCATGTCTTTGGGACCTGAACAATCTGCACCCATTAAATTCTGCCAAAAGAAAAAATAGTGTTCCTCTTATAAACTTTTTACCCCACAGCTTCCTTGCTGCTGCAGCTTTGCAAACCCACTCTTCCTGGGATGATCCCCCTGGTCTCCACAGCCCCCCTCTCCACTCCTGGGCACTGAGACCTGCCTGGGAACAGGCCCTTCTGAGCAGAGGGCCAGGGTGGGGCTCAGGCCACAGCTCCAGAGCAGTTGGAATGAGGGGCTGGGGAGAGGGGAGAAAGGCCCCCCAGTTTCCCGCTCACAGAGCTGGCAGCAGCCACAGCCTCTCCTGGAGTGCTTGCTGCCTGCCCGGGGCCAGGCCCAGCTCCTCTGAGTGCAGTAGCTCAGGGACACGCCCCACCCCGCAGTGAAGGGCAGAGAAGGTGGCCTTCCCAGAGGCCTTTCCGGCTGTAATTCCTTGTTTCTGGAGGAAGGGGTTCCTCAGTCAAGTAGGCTTGAGAACACTATTTAAACAAAGTCAACAGGTGCCCTCCCCAGCCTTAGGCTTCCCAGAGCCCTTCCCACTCAGGTGCACATGGAGGCTCCAGGGCCCAGGAAGGGCCTGATGCAGACCCCCAACATATGGGGATGGAAGCCTTTTTTCTATGAAGTTTCTTGCAGGACACTGGAGTGGCTTCCTGCCTTGCTGGGGGAAGCATTTGAGCCAACATGGCTGCCTGCCCTTTAGAACTGGTTAGAGCTGCGTTCCTGAGAAAGCTCAGAGTAACAGAGGCTTCGACAGAGTAGAAACGTACTTTTCTCTCGGTGACACAAGCCTGCGCTGTCCAGCTGGCAGGGTACCATGCATCCTCAGGGACACAGCTCCTATCTTACACTATCCTCTCCTAGTGGCATCCTCAGGGACGCAGCTCCTACCTTACTGTATCACTCTCCTAGTGCTGGCTTCCAGCCTCAGTGTCACCTCATGGCCCAAAACAGCTGCTGATGCTCCAGCCATCACAAGCATACCTGACCAGAAAGGAGGAAGGAAAAGAGGAAGAGCAAAAGTGCTGCCCCCTAGATGAGTCAGCTCCCTTTGAGGATCTGTCCCTGAAGACACACCCAGCACTTCTGCTCACATCTCACTGGCCAGAACTCCATCCTATGCCACTTTTGGTAGGATAACGGCATTTTAGCTGAGTGCACTTCCAGCCTAAACAAAACATGGGGCTACGGGGAGCAGATTACAGATGGCCCCAAAGCCAGGCCTAGACAGTCCCAGACCCAGAAATGTGGACATCTCCAGAAGCGACCCATGAGTGCCCTGCCTCAGAAGAACCGACAGCCCCAGATGCAAGACAGAGCGCCTGGCACACATTCCCTGGCACGCCTGTGGCACAAGGGCTGTACTCCAACTCCGTGCCCCAGCGTGGTGCTGCAGCGGCCACTTCAGCGTTGGCCCTGGAGTTTCCCTCTTCCTGGCTGCACCCTGACTGATGGGAAGTGGGTTCCTGCTCCTTCTTGAAATACCTGTTGAAAACCTGCTGCACTCTGCTGGCCCCACCCTGGGTGCCGGGGTACCTCCAGAAGCAGGGCACCCACCCCAGAGGCTGCTAGGCAAAGGGCTTTCCTAGTGTGGGAAAGTGGGGGACCCTGGGGGACCTCTGCACCCTTCCTGAGGGCCCATGTAGGGTTGGCAGGGTGTGGGCACATCCCTGCAGGGAACGGGAGGGGCAGGTGGGAGCCGGAGGAGAGACAGCTGGGCTGGGTTAGATTTAACTTGCTGCGGGAGCCAAGTGCGTTGGCTGGAGCCACTGGCTGGGCCTCAGTGCCAGGGGATCCGCCAGGCACGGGGGTGGGAGGGGCAAAGTTTAAATATGCCTGAGGAGCCAAGATGGGGGGCAGAGATGGGGCCCAGGTTGAGGAGCCACCGGGGGCCTGAGGGTGGCGCCATGGGTTTCTCCTCAGGAGCAGCCCAGCAGCACGCTTGCCCCTCAGCTGGAGCTGGGGATGGGGGTTGGGTAAGAGACAGCCAGCCAGAGATTTGGGGTTCTTCTGGGGATGGGTGTGCTCCCCCAGTTGCATCCCTGGGAGAGGAGGTCAGGGAGGGGGTGGAGGGGATGGCTAGGGGTCTGTGTGTCAGGGGTCACAGCAGGGCACTGCATACCCAGCCCAGTCCTCGTGGTCACGGTAGAGAGGGGTGACCCATGAGGCAGAGCTGTACCCACCAGGAGCTTCATGCATGGCTCACAGCACCCAACCTGTGCTGTCACATGGCACCTGAGGTTAATTTACCAATCTACCATTGCCGTCTTGAAATTCTTCATCATCTTGGGGCAAGGAGCTCACATTTTCACTGTGCGGAGGACCTGGTAAATCCTGCAGCCATCCTGGGCGAGGAGGGTGCGGCACTGGAAGCAGGGCCCACGGGGTTTCAGCAGTTGCACACAGCCGGCTGGGTGATGCCATCCCTGCCAGGCATGGTGACAGGCTGGGCAAGCAGGCTGGGCCTGTTCTGGGGAAGAGATGGAGGGGCTGATAAGAGGCCCTGTGCTGGGCTTCTGTGCCTGGTGCCAGCCTGCACAAGCTGGGGGAAGGCAGTCTGCCCAGGGGTCCCATGTCCCAGGGCTGGGAGATCCCTGGGGCCAGGGAGGACCATGCTGGCCGGTGCTCCCACTCGCTGGCTGGCTTCAGGAAATAGGGGTTCAGTAATGCCCAGGGCATCTGCAGGAGGTGGGTGTGGGTCGGTCTGGGCAGATGGCTGGGAGTTGGGTGGAATCTGGAGCCCATGGGGGTCTAGACCCAGCCTTTGCTGATGGAGGTCTTCGCTGCCGATGGAGGTCCTAGCTGCCGATGGAGGTCCTAGCTGCCGATGGAGGTCCTAGGTGCCGATGGAGGTCCTAGGTGCCGATGGAGGTCCTAGGTGCCGATGGAGGTCCTAGCTGCTGATGGAGGTCCTAGGTGCTGAGGGAGATCCTAGCTGCTGATGGAGGTCCTAAGTAGGCCACAGAGGCACTCTGAGCCTCAACTTCGTGGGGGCTTGGTGAGGCTCAGAGAAGGCAGAGCAAGGGAAAGTTGTTTGGAGGGCATGTGGGCATTGCCGGGGCTCTGCCCAGTATCCACCACATCTCCTAGGAGCAGCCCTGAATCCTTCTTTGGGAACTACCCATAGGCTGGTACTAGGCTGAGCCCATCTCTTGCCCCAAATAGGGCATGTGACTGGGACCTGGGCATCACTCATTGCCTAGCCATAATCAGTCAGATCGTACTTGGGCCCTTCATGGACCCCAGGTCTGAGCTGGGATGTCAGCCTGGAGGTGCCATGCCAAGGGCAAGGGCTGTCTGAGAGGACAGCAGGCTGAGCCCAGGGTGGGGACACCAGTTTTGATGGTAGCCGTCGGGCTCCTGGATCCAACCATGCCTGAAGGAGATGGCACCACCAGTGTACTCTCAGATGCAGGCAAAGTTTCCATCCTGGTAAATGAAGTGTCCTGAGCCATCTGCCCACCTCGCCACACAGGGAGAGGACGGCCACATGTCCCAACAGGTCTCTGACTCCCTCCTCTCCTCATCAGGGCATTCCGGGCTGGGGTCACCCTTCAGAAGAGCACACAGGTGGGCACTCAAGATGCACACCAAGGAGCCCCAGATGTTTCCACCAGGGTCTTTCCACCACTGGCTCATCCAGTGCTGCATAGGTGGGACACAGAGCCCAGGGGATGGAGGAGTCGCCCAGTGACCTCACCGTGCATCCCTTGGGCACTCCCATCTCTGCTTGGATCAGCTAAGCAACTCCAGAAAAAGTGAGAGGATGATGGGATGCCAGGAAGAGGCAGATCCAGGTGAGGTTGGCCAGTGTAGGGGAGGGTCAGGGGGATGCACCAGGGTAACAAGCACTCCGGGGATGTGGACCGTCATTCCCTCAGGGCCTTGGGGAGAGACCAGATGGCCCCATCATGTCCTGCAAAGACAGCCTCTGACCTGGGTCTAGGAGCTGCGCCTCCATCATCCTCCATCAAGGCCCGGCGCTGCCCCCTGCTCATGCCCTTGGTCTGGCCCGGGACCTCGGGTTCCCAGCTGCAGCCAGGACGCACCCATGCCACTTTGGTGGGTTCCAAGCAAAGCTACGTGAGGCCCTACAAAGCCCTTCGGTCCCAGGCACTCTCCCCTGCTCCCCCAGGGACAGCCCAGGTGGGACAGCTTGTTCCCTTGTTTTCTGGTTGTGTGTGTGAGTGGAAGTGTGTGTGGCAGAGTGTGTGTGTGAGAGTGTGAATGTGAGTGTGTAGTGTGTGTGTGGCATTGTGGGAGTGTGTGTGGAAGTGTGAATGAATGTGTGTGTGAATGGAAGAGTGTGGAATTGGGGGAAGTGTATGAGTGAGCGTGTGTGAAAGTGTTAGTGTGTGTGAGTGGAAATGTGTGTGAGTGGAATTGGAGTGTGTGCGTGTGTGGAAGTGAATGAGTGTGAGTGTGTGAGTGGAAGAGTGTGTGGAATTGGGAGTGTGTGTGTATGGGTGTGTTGAGGGTGTGAGTATGGAAGTGAGTTTGTGTGTATGTGTGACTGTGTGAGCATAAGTATGTGGAATGGGGGAAGTGTGTGAGAGTGAGTGTGTGTGGAATGGGGAAGTGTGAGAGTGAGTGTGTGTGTGGAATGGGGAAGTGTGTGAGAGTGAGTGTGTGTGGAATGGGGGAAGTGTGTGAGAGTGAGTGTGTGTGGAATGGGGGAGTGTGTGAGAGTGTGTGTGGAATGGGGGAGTGTGAGAGTGTGTGTGTGTGGAATTGGGGAAGTGTGTGTGTGAGTGTGTGTGTGGAATGGGGGAAGTGTGTGAGAGTGAGTGTGTGTGTGGAATGGGGGAAGTGTACGTGTTTGTGAGTGTGTGTGGAATGGGGAGAATGTACGTGTTTGTGAGTGTGTGAGTGTGGAATAGGGAAGTGTGTATGTGTTTGTGTGTGTGTGGAATGGGGAGAAATGTGTGTGTTTGAGTGTGAGTGTGTGAGTGTGGAATGGGGAAGTGTGTATGTGTTTGTGTGTGTGGAATTGAGGAGAAGTGTGTGAGAGTGAGTGTGTGTGTGGAATGGGGGAGTGTGTGAGAGTGTGTGTGTGGAATGGGGGAGTGTGTGAGTGGAATGGGGAAGTGAGTGTGTGTGGAATGGGGGAAGTGTGTACGTGTTTGAGTGTGTGTGGAATGGGGAGAATGTACGTGTTTGTGAGTGTGTGAGTGTGGAATGGGGAAGTGTGTATGTGTTTGTGTGTGTGGAATGGGGAGAAATGTGTGTGTATTTGAGTGTGAGTGTGTGAGTGTGGAATGGGGAAGTGTGTATGTGTGTGTGGAATTGAGAAGTGTGTGAGAGTGAGTGTGTGTGGAATGGGGACAAGTGTGTATGTGTTTGAGTGTGACTGTGTGTGTGTGTGGAATTGGAGAAGTGTGTGTGAGTGTGAGTGTGGAATGGGGAAGTGTGTGTTTGTGTGGAATTGAGGGGAAGTGTGTGTGAGTATGTGTGAATTGAGGGGAAGTGTGTACGTATTTGAGTGTGAGTGTGTGGGGAATGGGGGGAAGTATGTTTGAACGTATGAGTCTTTGAGTGAGTGTGTGCGGGATGAGTGTGTGTGTTGAGTGTGGGGGATGAGTGTGTGAGTGTGTGGGATGAGTGTGTGTTGAGTGTGTGGGGGGTGAGTGTGTGGGTGTGTGGGATAAGTGTGGAGTGTGTGTGAGTGTGGGTGAATGTGTGGGTGTGTGTGAGTGTTGAGTGTGTGAGTGTGTGGGATGAGTGTGACTGAGTGTTGAGTGTGTGTGTTGAGTGTGTGAGTGTGTGTGGGGTGAGTGTGAGAGTGTTGAGTGTGTGAGTGTTGCGTGTGCGAGTGTGTGTGGGATGAGTGTTGAGTGTGTGTGTGTATGGAAAGGCGTGTGGGCAGCAAGTGACAGTGATTCGTGCCCAGACCCAGGGGAGGGGAGTCTGCCTCTAGAGCAATTGTCGCCCCCTGCCCTGGCTCAGGGCCTTGTGGAGGGAGGAACTGTTTCTCCCACCCTGACCTGTCCCTTGCAGGGCAGAAGGGGACAGTGTCAGTTTCCTCCCGACACCTCTGTCACAGCTCGCACCAAACACCCTCAGACACACCCGCAGACCCACAGACGCACGTGCACACACACATAGCCCAGAGAGACACGCACAGACATACCCGGATGCACAGAGACGTGTACACTGACAGACGCAGACATAGACACACGCACGCACACGCATGCATTCTTTGCCTGCTGCTTGGGAGCCCCCATCCTTCCTCCCCCAGCACACGGGGGCGGCCACATTCACTGGGTCCCGGCCCCAGCACTGATCAAAGCTGGGTTAGTTTTTCCAGCAGGCACCAGGTCCCCAGGAGCTGCCCTGGATCTGCGGGACTCCAGGGAGTCAACAGAGAGGGTCGTCCCCGTCCCTGTCCCCATCTCTGTCCTCGTCCTCGTAGGGCCCAGACTCCCCCTCCAGGACGAGGCTCCCTGAGCCCACCTGCACTGCTCAGCTCCTCCACGTGGCGCCTCTTCCCGACCTTCTGCAGGGGAAGAGGACCCAAGGCTCCAGGAGGGGTCAGGGCGCTGCGTTTGCCCTAGGGGTGAGGGCATACACTACCTGGGACCACGGCCAGCAGCTCTGGGAACAGCACAGGCAATGGGAAGACCTGGAATAACCCTGAAGGCTTCTGGGAGGAGGCACCCATAGGGGAAGGTGCCGGGTGGGGCAGAGCGTGAGGGGCGTGTGTCTGGGGAGGGGCATGGAGGTGCAGGAGGTGGGGACAGAGGGAGGAGGAGGGGCCACCTCCTCACCAGGCTTCAGGTTCCAGGGTAAGGCTGGCCTCTCAGCCTTACCCTGAGAACGGATCCAGGCGGCAGCCAGATGGAGACCGGCCTGCACAGTACTCACAACGGGCCTCCAGTGTGCCCCCGCCGTGGCCATCCTTGCTTCCTCCCCAAACAGACTACCCCACCCAGGCGGGAGGCAGGGGGTGGACAGAGACGGGGCTAGCCCTCCAGCAGCCCTGGGCGGTGAGCACAGGTGTGCTGGCCACATGTCCCACGTTCTTGTCTGTCGCCCTCCACTAGATCCACCAGGCCCCTGCCTATGCTGACCTCAGCTGCTGGAGGGGAGGGCCCCAACGGCCTGTGTGTGGAGCAGCCAGGAGCACGTGGCCCCTGGCTGGCCTGCCTAGCCTTGCGCCCTGGATGGGGGCCTGCAGGATGGACCGGGGTCACCAAGCCTGGTCCCCACTTGGTGGGGGACCTAGGCTGAGGGGGTGGGCAAGGTATTCAGGGCAGACACCAGCCGGGTCTCAAGGCACCCTGGCATGGGAAGCAGGAGGAGCTGGATGCCAACCAGCTTGACGGTCCAGACATCCCCCTCCCCCAGGGCCTGTCCCTACCTCTGGCCTGGCCCAGCGGCCCCCTGGCTTGATGCTTACCACTGTCCAGGGCCTGATTCACCCCCAGGCACCAGCAGGGATCGGGGGTCATGGCCTGGGTTTGGCTCGGAGGCCCCCCAGGCAGTGCTGCTCTGTTGGATCATAGCCACAGGAGGCCCCACCAAATGCTCTTACGGATGGGGCGAGGGCTCCTGGGCTGGGGCTGGGTCCCCCACAGCTGGACTTGGGTTTGGGGCTGGGTCCCAGCTGCCCTGGAGCCCTCTCGGCCTTTCAGAGGGTTCTGGAAAAGCACAGTGGAGACCGTTCTGCTTTCTGTCTTCTTTTCTGTTTTCTCTATCACGTCTTCATGCCTAGCCCACGGAGGGAGGCTGCACAGATGCAATCTGTTCCATTCATTCAGCGAATACTTCTCAGCCAGCCCTAGGAGGTGCACACTGCACGCCAGCAACAGTCTGGCTCACACGGAGGGACTTTCCGGGGAGGCAGGAGCTCCTTTCCTCCGGCAAAGATTTTTTATTCCTCCAGTTCTCCGGCAGCCTCTGCACTCACCGGGCTGTTGACCCTCAGATCAGACCTGGGTTCTCAAGACCGCCTCCAGGCACCACCTCCTCCAGGGAGCCTTCCCGGGATCACTCCTTCTCTCGTGCTTGATGTCTCCACCGGGCGCCATCCTTAGGAGGGAAGAGCGCTGGGTCAGGCTCCATTCAGTTCTGCACTCTCCCTGCCCCAGCCTCTGCCCTCGGACCCAGGCCCCAGGGCTCAACAGGCCCCCAGTCTCAGCAGAAGGAGCTGAGGTGTGATTGGAGCTTGGTTTTCTGGGGGCCGCTGTCCTGGCCTGTGGTGTGGGTGTGCCCCTGCCTCTTTATTTATTTTCTGTAGAGACAGGATCTGTCTGTGTTGCCCAGGCTGGTCTTGGGCTCCTGGTCTCAAGCAATCCTCCTGCCTTGGCCTCCTGAAGTGTTGGGATTACAGGCATGAGCCCCCACGCCCAGCCTGCGACCCTGTCCCTTAAGCTGGCTGTATCAGCCCTGGGTGAGCAGGGAGCAGACCCCGAGCGGGCTGCAGGCTTCCTTCCTACGGATGGACCACGGGTGGCTCCACAGCCATCCTGCCCGGGCCCCTTGAGACCTGCCAAACTGCCATCACCCATCACTGCCCCTCTCCCTGCTCTCTCAGCCTCACTTCTCACAGCAGCCAGGGAACAAGAGAAGCAGATGCCCCGAGAGAAGGTCATCTCTGCAGTCGCACTTTCCCTGCCGCCCCAACCACGGCCAGGCTCTCTGTGCCCAGGCCCACTGTCCCAGCAGGATGGCACTTGGACCCCTGAGGCATTGCTGGGGGATTAAGCAGGGGCTCCTCGCGGGGACCTCAAAGCAGCTTCAGGGATGACCACCACTACTCCCCCTCCACTCCTCGTGCATCCTCAGCCAGGGTTTGAGTCCACCGTTGTGAGCTCAGGCATCACGATTGCCCAAGCCAGGCCAATGCCAGGCCAAAGCAGCTGATCCTGGGGTTCTGTTGGCTGAAAGGCAGCCTCCTCTCCTGCCTGGGGATGGAGGAGGGGACAGGGGAGTCACTTGGAGCTGCAGGGAGAGACCTCAGGGAGATAATCCCTGCCTGAGGATGAAGTGCACACAGGATAAGACGAAATGGAGGGAGCAACTGTACTTGAGCCCAGATGCAGCTGTGCCTGAAACTCACTGCCCCTGGACTTCGTGGGCGTAGGAAACAGCACCTGCTCCTTGTCCTTAGGCCCTTTGGACTTGGGCTCTCTCACTTTCAACCAAACTATAGCAACTAATGTCTGGCTCTCCTGTCCCCTCTCTCCTTCCTACCACCCAAGTCTTGGGCCCAATTCTGCCTGGTCTGCAAAGGCAGGTAAACCAGACTCAACTTTTCATTCCAAGTTGGCGGCCTCAGACGCCATTCTTGTCACACCCAGGCCCTGAGCTCGTCAGGATGCACCCGGAGCTGGCTCAGAATGTCACGGGGGAAAAAAAGACATGGAACAAAAAAAGAAAAATTTACATTCCCATATTCAAATGAGCTCCTGCAGAAAGAGAGAAAGCAAATATGGGTTCCTTGGAAGAGGCGGCACAGTGCTGGCCCCAGACCCCCACAGGTGCCTTGGCTGTAACTAGAAGGACAATTGTCCTGCACTGGCCCTGGCGGCCCTGCGCCTCACCCCCATATTACTCACCAGCAGCTGCGTCCCCATGCAGCAGAGACAGAGCACTGCGGGGACAGCACCTGGGCGCACCATCAGCTTTTCTGGGCACCAGAGATGCTGGCCGCAGAGCTGCTCCCCCGATGGCACAGGGTGATGGGAGAGCGTCCTGCTGTCCGCTGCTGTGACACCAGCATGGCCACCAGCCCAGAGTTCCTCTCATCCCAGCCCCTGGCTGCCCATTTGACCAGTCTCATCTCTTGAACATCCCGTTGGCAATTCAGCCTTGGCGCCCTCAAACAGGGCACCTCTTCGTCCCCCAAACCTGCTCCCTCTGGTTCATTGTCAGCACCTTCTTTGAGGCATTTGAGCCCAAATTATGGAGTTGGGCTGGGCGCCTCGTCTCCTCTGCCCTCTCACACCTCACATGCCAGCTCATGTCAGAATCTGCCCAGGTCTGCCTGACCTCCACCGCCACCATTGCCTCCCACCTGGAGTCTTGCAACGCCTCCCCTCTGGTCTCTCTGCCCCCATCCACCTAGAGACCACTCTCCAATGCAGTCAGGGGATTGTGTAAAAGCGTCCCCCAGGCCCTCCTGGAGCATCTGTCTGAGAAAACATCAGCATCCTTGCAGCAGCTCAAGGGGCTACAAGACCTGCCCCTGGAACGCACTCCCCATGCCCCCGCCTGAGCTCCGGCCGCGTGAGCCTCCTCGTTGTCCCTGGAACACGAACGTGCTCCATCCCTTGCCCTTCACTCCTGCTGTTCTCCTTCCTGGAACTCTGCTTCCTCCAATATCCACCTCCCTTTCTTCCCCCTTTGCTCGTGTGTCTCCTCAGTGGAGACTCCCTGACCACCCTTTCAAAATTGGAACCTGGGCTGTGGGTCCTCCAGGAAGCAGACGCCGAGACAGCGTGGGAGGTGGAGAGATGTGTTGGGGTGAGGCCTGTGAAGGATCAGGGGTCAGGGGACAGGGGCAGCTGAGCTGGGGCCCCGCCTGGCACGCGTCCCCTCCCTCCTGCACTCTCCCACCTCGGCTGTGGCCACTGCAGGTCCTGGAGGCTCACGCTCCTTCCCTGAGCCCTGGCCACTGGACCTTCTCAGGCTGGGGTGGCCACACTTGTCCATGCACAGAAACGATCAGGCCAGGGGGTGCCGTGGCACCCAAGAGGGCCCTGAGTCTCACACCCACCCCCTCCCACCCCTCCTCTCCTGGAAATAGCAGCCCCACCTTCTCCTGCTGATCAGGGCCACTTACCCCGACAGAAAGGCGGCTCCTCGTCTTGTCTGCTGGAGCTCAGGAGCTCAAAGTGCCTGGGAGCCATCCACAGCTGTGTCCCCAGTAAGCAGGTGTCCCTCAGAGATGAGAAGCTTGAGCCCTGCAGAGCCCAGAGTTTGGAAAGCACAGATTCCCCTGAGGATGCTTGGGAGGGTGCCAGGCGGGGCCCCTCCTGCTCCTTCCCTGGTCCGAAGGCCTGTGGTCTTCTTGTTGGAGACGTGACGCCATGGAAAGGACTCTGCTCTGTCATCCGTGTCTGCAGGGCAGAGTCAGCCTTGGAGGTGAGTGCCCCAGGCTGGTGTGCCTCTGGAGGCTGCTCCTGGGTGGTGTGGCAGCCCAGACCCTGGTGGGCCCATGGCCGGGGGCCATGCCGGCTCTGCCTTCATGGGAAGAGGGTCCCCTGGCCAGATGCCACACTGTGTAGGAATCTCTGCCTGTGGATCTGAGGTCCATAGGCCCCTGGATTGCAGCGTAGGCTCAACAGGCAAGACAGGCCGACGCACACCCGGAGCAGGTCTGTGGTCCATGAGGGCTAGGGGAAGGGGACCCATGGAGCCATCTCACCAGCAGCTATTTGCTGTCCTCAGAGAATGTCCCCTTCTTGGGGCTGGGTGTTGAACGCTTGCTGGCGGTCAGACATTCAGAGGCAGCAGCAGCAGGTGGGCCTTGGGAGGTGGGGGTCGGTGCCCTTTGGCCCACACGTAGCCTCCAGGGTGGCCACTGCACTCGGTGGGGCCGTGCTGCACTCACTGCATTCACCTCAAACATCCCAGTTCGAGGGTGGCCGATGACAGAGGCTTGCTAATGTCACGTCTTCAGGGTGAATGGCTCCTTGTGGGTGTTTGCTTGTGATACGAAACCAACAAGCTAGGCCCCCAGTCACGTGGCCGTCCACATGGCTCTGGCCCAGAGCTCCTGTCTCCATCTCTAGTCCTTTTCCTCCCCAGCCCGGACCAGCCTGCCGGGACATTGGCCTCTGCCCATGAATACAGGGATGGTCTCCCCTGGCGACTTTCTTTTCTCATCACAACATACACAACATAGCTGCTCCCTGGGACAGGGCCCCCCAGGGCTAGACGGGCTACACAGGGACCAGCCACATGCACCCTGCATTGCCGTGGCCACATCAAGCCCCACCCCAGAGGACAGTGGCCTCCTGTTTGGGCAAGGACAGGGGCCTCTGGCATGGCTGCTGGTCATGCTGGTGCGCTTGCTGGCCTCAGGCTGGGCTGGACATGTGGCCATGGAGAGGGTGCGCCTGCGTGACCTCGGGCGGGGGAGCTCACCAGCACTGCAGGGAGGCAAGTCCTGCCCAACTTTATGGTCTTGCAGGGGCTGGTGAGGTCAGGTACCAAGCACTCCCACCGAGTCTGGCTGAGTCTAGGGGGCGTTCACGGCCGCCAGCCACTGTCATCATCAGACCTCGGGGACAAGCCAGGCCCTCTCCTCTCTAGGTAGCCTCCATTTACAGCAGCTTAGAGAAGTTTGGTAACTCAGCCGGGGTCACACAGTTGGGTCCCCACTGCCAGGGGCCAAACCCCGGGGCCTCCTTCTGACTTCCCGCAAGCGTGCCCTGAGGTGACCCACAGGCGTGTGATGGATATGTGTCACCACTGTGGTGACAGGCTGCAGAAGTGGGTCCCCTGGCCGATGCCACGCTGTGTGGGATTCCCCGCCTGTGGGTCCAGATTCCATGGGCCCCTGGATCTTGGTGCAGGTTCCGCAGGGTTTCAGAACAGCTGTGGGGCAGGTGTGGGCTCAGCTGTCCCTCCTGAGGCTCTGGGGCAGAGAGAACACCAGGAAAGCTCCCTCTGTCTGGGTCGTCTGGCTCAGGCCAGCACTGCCCAGGCTCTCCGGGGCTGGTCAGTTCACGGGGAAGCCTGGGCAGCTGTGGATGACAGGGGAGGAGGGGTGGGGAGGGAGAATGGCTGGGCGGGCCTCCAGACCCCTTCATCCTTGGT
Source organism: Homo sapiens (assembly GCF_000001405.40). Taxonomy (NCBI): domain Eukaryota; kingdom Metazoa; phylum Chordata; class Mammalia; order Primates; family Hominidae; genus Homo; species Homo sapiens. The sequence goes on along the minus strand of NC_000020.11, from coordinate 62,222,106 downwards.
TCTGCTTGGGATTCCAATTTATATTCCCCATTCCAAGATGGGGACACTGAGGCTCCAGCCAGTGAAGGAGAGAGCCAGGGCCCCCTCTTAACCCCCACCCAATGCCATCTCCTGCAGCCTCAGTGGGTATTTGGGGAGGAGAAGGGCCTGGGGAGGAGTCCTCTCAACAAGGAGTTCTGGTTTGGGTGGGGACAGTGAGTCAAGAGCTGCAGCAGGCATGGGTGGCAGCTCTGATGGCCCCACAGCCCCTTGCTGCCCAGCTCCATGGAACTTTTCCCCTTGAAAACTTTTCCCTGGTCCAGGCAGAGTCCCTCCACACTGGGTGAGTTGGGGTGGGGTGCAGGGAACGTGGGGGAGCCTGTATGAGGAGTAGGGTTTGCAGGTGGAGTGGGATGAGTACAACCAAGCAGTCAGAGAGGGAAGCCGAACCCCTCCCCCAAGAGCAGACTCCTAGAAGCCGTGAAATAGTGGGCTGACTGGGGCCACGGGTCTGGGGGTTCCTTTCTGCAGTCAGCCCTGAGGTGGCAGCAGAGGAATCCCAGCTCCTCCTTCCCCAAAGTTTCTGAAGCGCCACGGGGGGCGAGGGGAAGGGGCAGGTCCCCACAGTATGGGGAAGCTGCTATAAGTAGGGGAGTGACGGTGCATGTCAGCGCCCGGGGTCCCCTCTGCAGCCCCTCCCCCAGACACGCGCACTCTGGCCTCTTTGAGGCACCAGGGATGCCTTCGGCTGCTTCCTTCTCCTGTGAGCGGAGTTGCTGCTTCCTTCTCCTGGGGCGCGGCTCCCTCCCTGCCTGCTGTCTGATGTGTGTCTCGCTCTTGGTGGGTCCTCAGCCTGGCGCTGGTGGCTGCTTCCCTGGCCTGTGGGTGTCTGTGTATCTGAGTGTGGGCATGTCTGTCTGTCTGCCCTCAGTGTTTCAGGAGGAATCTGTCCTTGACCCGGTGTATCTGAGCGCATGTGTCTGGTGGTGGGGGCGCTCCCTCCTGCCACCTCTCCTCTCCTCCCCCGTCCCCTCCCACAGGCGCTAACACAGCCACCACCTGCGCCCTGAGCGCAGTGACCTCGTCTGTCCGCTGCAGTGGCGACTGCCCCTCTGTCCACAGGGGTCCGTGGCTGGGCTCCGAGCGGCTTGCTGCTCCCTCCTCAGCCTGAGGCCGCCGGAGCCCAGGCTAGACGCGCTCCCCTCCGGCTGGGTCCGCCCGGCGCCTCATCTTCCCTTATGTAACTCCACATCTGCCTGCGCCTTGCGGGTCACCCTGGACCCTGCACTGGGCCCTGTCCACACGGAGGCTGGCACCCAGGGTCCGTGCAAACGGGAGGTGGAGCGGACCCCTGGTCTGGGCACCGGCTTTCCAAGACCCCCTCCTCCCCATCCCTTCTCCTCCAGACGTTCCTTGCCCCGGAGACCCACATTCCCAAAACATGCACCGAGGAAATGCCCCGCAGGGCAAGTCCCCGGAGCGCGGGTGCAGGCGTTTCCCCCACCCCCACCCCGGGTCCCCACAGGCGCCAGGGCTCTCCATGATGACCGGGCAGGGGTCACCAGGGCCGAGGGCACGGGAAAGGCCGAGCAACCCAGACCCCGGCTCCGAGTGCGCGGGCTGACTGACCGCAGGCGAGCCCCCAGACCCGGTCAAGCCCCGGCCGGGCTCCCAGCCAGCTGCTGTGAGCGCAGGGGCTGGGCTCCAGGCAGCCTGGCGGGCACGCGGCGCTGTCCGTGGTGCTGCCGGCGCCGGGCGGGGCGGGGGCGGGGAGGGGGCGGGGCGAGGGCGGCAGCCAATGGCGGGGGCGCTGCGCGGGGCGCGCGGGGCGGTGGGCTGGGCGCGGGGCGCACTCGGCTGCGCGTTGCGCTCCGGCTGCACGGTCGCACCGGCAGCGGCTCAGGCTCCGGCTCCTCTCCCGCTGCAGCAGCCGCGCTGCCGGCCCCACTGGGCTCGGATCCGGCCCCGGCCCCCTCGGCACCGCCTGCTCTGGCCCCGGCCCCGGCCCCGCGGACCATGCGCTGGGCGCCCCCAGGGGAACCCGACCCGGCCAAGGGCCCGCAAAGACGAGGCTCCCGGGCCGGGGCCCCTCCCGGCCGCCCAGCTCTCGGCCGGCGCCCTGCCCCGCGTCCCGGAGCCGCGTGAGCCTGCGGGGCCATGGAGCGCGCGCCGCCCGACGGGCCGCTGAACGCTTCGGGGGCGCTGGCGGGCGAGGCGGCGGCGGCGGGCGGGGCGCGCGGCTTCTCGGCAGCCTGGACCGCGGTGCTGGCCGCGCTCATGGCGCTGCTCATCGTGGCCACGGTGCTGGGCAACGCGCTGGTCATGCTCGCCTTCGTGGCCGACTCGAGCCTCCGCACCCAGAACAACTTCTTCCTGCTCAACCTCGCCATCTCCGACTTCCTCGTCGGTAAATCCCCAGCCCCTGGCCGCTGGGGACCCAGGGGCGCCCAGCGTGGCCGGGCCAGCGGGGACTGGAACACGGACCTGGGTGGCTCCCGCAGGCACACGCCCCACCAGGGGACCCGGCCTGGGAAGGGGGCGTCCGGAGCCCATGGGGTGGGGGGCACAGGCGAAGTTCCTTGCCACTCAGGCCTCGGGACAGGGGCTGGGGAGAGATGTCCCCGGGAAGGGACACGGGCACTGGGCGAGGCGCAAGGCGCAAAGGCAGCGGGTGCAGCTCTGGCTCCTGCGCTGTAGCCAAACAAAGGCTGCTGCGGACTTAGGACGCGCGGAGGGCGCAGTGGGGCGGTTTAGAGAAGGTCTGGGGGAGGGGACATGGAAGGGGGATTTTTAGAGCTGTGTTGGGGGAAGGGACGGTGGGGAAGGTGGGGGTTGGGGGAGACGCTCGGAGGAGCGTGCTCTCACGTGTCCAGGCTCTGCTGCCGGCTGGGGGGCGGGGCACGCGGAGGGGGCTGGAGCGCCAGACACCTGTTGGGGCTGTGAGGTGCGTCTCCCAGACGCTCCAAGCCCGCTTGGCAGTAGTAGTAGCGGCTGGCGGCTGGCGGCTGCAACCAAGTGCCCTTTCAGCCAGGAGAAAGGCTTTCTCCTTGTCTAAGCTGAGACCGAGGGTTGTCCAGCGCCAGGGTAGGGGCTGGAGTCCAGCGGGGGAGGGGAGAAGGAAATTGTCTTCTTTCCTCCTTTGAGGGCTGGGAGGGCTGGACAGAAGTCCAGGGAATCCCGACTCCAGGCTCTCGGGGGTCTTGTGGTGGCCAGAGTTCCCCATGCCTGGATCATCCCTCCTGCCCCCAGGCCCAGGGGACACAGATAGTGCTGGGAGCTATGTGGGGGTGAAGGCTGGCGGCAGGGCAGAGTTTGTGGCTGACACCAGGTGGAGGGGTGGTAAGATGAGGATGGCTAGTTCCAGAAAAGCAGCCACCATGTGACCCCAGGTCCCGCCGGTGTCTGCGCTTAGGTCCGTCTGTCCCCTGGCCCCTGGCTGCATGGTCCCACTGTGGCCCTACTCCCCACAGGCGCCTTCTGCATCCCACTGTATGTACCCTACGTGCTGACAGGCCGCTGGACCTTCGGCCGGGGCCTCTGCAAGCTGTGGCTGGTAGTGGACTACCTGCTGTGCACCTCCTCTGCCTTCAACATCGTGCTCATCAGCTACGACCGCTTCCTGTCGGTCACCCGAGCGGTGAGTCCTGGGCTGCGGAGCTCCTGTTCACTCCGCAGGGACAGTCGGGACGCCCATGGGAGGCACCTGGGTGGGGACGGCCACTTCTGAGTTGTGGGCAGAAGTGGGCTTGGTCCCACTGGCTTTGCTGCTGACACATGGGCCACTCGACGGCCAGCTGCCCACTCGGGGCCATGGCTGCAGCCAGACTGACCTGGCCCAGGCAGGAGACGGGGAATCTGGATGCAGATGGTCCTGAAGGCAGGGCTGTCGCTGCAGCCCCCGCCCTGGGGCAGGTCCACAGTCCCCGGAGTTAAGGGAGGATCTGGGGCCAGACGCCCTGGGTGACATCCCTCCCACATGCGTGTGTGCAGCGTGCACACACACACAGGCCCCGGGAAGGCAGGCGGCAGATCCTGGCTCCGCAGATTTCCCTTTGTGGGAGCGGCCACCTGAGTCAGGGACCCTGCCCCACCCAGGCTCCCGCATCGGGGCCATGCAGCCCAGGGAGCCGCTGCTGAAGTCACACCTTCCCCTTCTCATCTCCTTGGCAGCTCACGTCCCCAGGGCTTTATGAGGGCCTCTGCAGGACTGAGGGCAGGTTGTTTGGTTCTAGCCTAGAAAGGCTAAGAGACAGGGTGCAAAGAGCATGGCTTTGGGTTCCTCTTGAGCCCATCCCCCTGTGGTCTCTCCCTCCTTTCCTGGAGCCACCAGGCATGGGGCACAAGGAGAGCTGCCACGAAGGGTAAAGCGGCCGAGCAGAGAGCCTGGCATGGGGGTGCTCTGCCCACCTCTCATTAGCAATAGCTGTGAACATTGCTCCCACCGTCACCAAGGTAAACGCCATCAGGCTGGTGGGGGAGGGTGGCAGGGGCTCTCAGGTCCTCCTCCTCGAGCTGTCCTACCTGAGACCCCTCAGTGGGATCCCTTGGCCCTCCTGCCCCCTGCCCCCACCAGCTGGTTGCTCTCTGCCCTGAGGAGGGCCCTGCCCTCTCTCCCTCTTCTTCCCAAGAGGCCCTGATGTCGATCTGGGATGCTTTGTTCTGTGGCGGGGCGGGGGATGTCTCCCAGCAGTGGGCCAACTTGTGGCTTCACCCCTGCACCTCCAGCTCCCAGGGGTGCGAGCACCTGTGCAGGAGTGGGGCTGGACCTCCCACCCCAACCTCTGCAGATGGCTCGGGCCTTTGCAGGATCAGGATGCATCATGTCAGAAACAGCTGTGTGTGCACGTGGTCTGGGGCTGATGCTGAGTCTGGTCCCAAGGGTGCAGGGGCCAAGGACAGGACCCCCAGGGAGCTCACAGCTGGTAGGGGGTGGTAAACAGGCAGCCTAGCAGAGAGTGAGGGTTCAGGTTGGTCCCAGGGAGCTTCTGAGGCTCTCACTGAGTGTGGCAGGGCACCAGTCCGGGACCCCAGTGGGGAGGGTTAGAGGAAGGGAGGGGAAAGAGGGAGGGAGGGAGGACAGGAGGGGAAAGGAGGAGCATTGCTGCTGAGGGAAGGGCCCACATAGGGGCCCACAGGCTACGGGGGCGCACCCAGCCCAATATTCCTTCCGCCCCGCCCCTGACCAGCCTGCCCTTCTGCAGGTCTCATACCGGGCCCAGCAGGGTGACACGCGGCGGGCAGTGCGGAAGATGCTGCTGGTGTGGGTGCTGGCCTTCCTGCTGTACGGACCAGCCATCCTGAGCTGGGAGTACCTGTCCGGGGGCAGCTCCATCCCCGAGGGCCACTGCTATGCCGAGTTCTTCTACAACTGGTACTTCCTCATCACGGCTTCCACCCTGGAGTTCTTTACGCCCTTCCTCAGCGTCACCTTCTTTAACCTCAGCATCTACCTGAACATCCAGAGGCGCACCCGCCTCCGGCTGGATGGGGCTCGAGAGGCAGCCGGCCCCGAGCCCCCTCCCGAGGCCCAGCCCTCACCACCCCCACCGCCTGGCTGCTGGGGCTGCTGGCAGAAGGGGCACGGGGAGGCCATGCCGCTGCACAGGTATGGGGTGGGTGAGGCGGCCGTAGGCGCTGAGGCCGGGGAGGCGACCCTCGGGGGTGGCGGTGGGGGCGGCTCCGTGGCTTCACCCACCTCCAGCTCCGGCAGCTCCTCGAGGGGCACTGAGAGGCCGCGCTCACTCAAGAGGGGCTCCAAGCCGTCGGCGTCCTCGGCCTCGCTGGAGAAGCGCATGAAGATGGTGTCCCAGAGCTTCACCCAGCGCTTTCGGCTGTCTCGGGACAGGAAAGTGGCCAAGTCGCTGGCCGTCATCGTGAGCATCTTTGGGCTCTGCTGGGCCCCATACACGCTGCTGATGATCATCCGGGCCGCCTGCCATGGCCACTGCGTCCCTGACTACTGGTACGAAACCTCCTTCTGGCTCCTGTGGGCCAACTCGGCTGTCAACCCTGTCCTCTACCCTCTGTGCCACCACAGCTTCCGCCGGGCCTTCACCAAGCTGCTCTGCCCCCAGAAGCTCAAAATCCAGCCCCACAGCTCCCTGGAGCACTGCTGGAAGTGAGTGGCCCACCAGAGCCTCCCTCAGCCACGCCTCTCTCAGCCCAGGTCTCCTGGGCATCTGGCCCTGCTGCCCCCTACCCGGCTCGTTCCCCCAGGGGTGAGCCCCGCCGTGTCTGTGGCCCTCTCTTAATGCCACGGCAGCCACCCTGCCATGGAGGCGCCTTCCTGGGTTGGCCAGAGGGCCCCTCACTGGCTGGACTGGAGGCTGGGTGGCCGGCCCTGCCCCCCACATTCTGGCTCCACCGGGAGGGACAGTCTGGAGGTCCCAGACATGCTGCCCACCCCCTGCTGGTGCCCACCCTTCGCAGTTACTGGTTGGTGTTCTTCCCAAAGCAAGCACCTGGGTGTGCTCCAGGCTTCCTGCCCTAGCAGTTTGCCTCTGCACGTGCACACACCTGCACACCCCTGCACACACCTGCACACCGTCCCTCTCCCCGGACAAGCCCAGGACACTGCCTTTGCTGCCTTCTGTCTCTTGCATAAGCCTCAGGCCTGGCCCTTTCACCCCTCTTCCCACCAACTCTCTCTGCCCCCAAAAGTGTCAAGGGGCCCTAGGAACCTCGAAGCTGTTCTCTGCTTTTCCATTCTGGGTGTTTTCAGAAAGATGAAGAAGAAAACATGTCTGTGAACTTGATGTTCCTGGGATGTTTAATCAAGAGAGACAAAATTGCTGAGGAGCTCAGGGCTGGATTGGCAGGTGTGGGCTCCCACGCCCTCCTCCCTCCGCTAAGGCTTCCGGCTGAGCTGTGCCAGCTGCTTCTGCCCACCCCGCCTCTGGGCTCACACCAGCCCTGGTGGCCAAGCCTGCCCCGGCCACTCTGTTTGCTCACCCAGGACCTCTGGGGGTTGTTGGGAGGAGGGGGCCCGGCTGGGCCCGAGGGTCCCAAGGCGTGCAGGGGCGGTCCAGAGGAGGTGCCCGGGCAGGGGCCGCTTCGCCATGTGCTGTGCACCCGTGCCACGCGCTCTGCATGCTCCTCTGCCTGTGCCCGCTGCGCTGCCCTGCAAACCGTGAGGTCACAATAAAGTGTATTTTTTTATTGGTGCTGATTCCTGAGGACTTTGTGGGGTGCTCAGAGCCTTCGTGCTTTGAGGAGAGACTCCAGGGAGTCCAGAAACCACTGAGAAGCAGGCGTGAGGATGAGGGCTCTGTGTTTTCTTCTAAGTCGGGGGACTGCAGTGGGGATGAAAGACCAGCCTGCCACACCAGGGTTTAATCCCAAGAAGGGTTTCATGTGCCCTACCGCCAGACCCCTGCACTTCTCAAGACCTGGCTGGCGGGTGAGGAGATGCAGCCCACGCCCTGCACAGGAGGGGCCCGCTCTGGCCCTGAGAACACAGACATGCAGCCTTCCTGCCCCCAGGACAGGTGCCTCATCTTTCTTGGTCAGGAGCAGGGTTGCACCCCAGCAAAACTTGGGACCCAGGGAGGATCATGGCCATGCCCAGCGTGTGCAGGGTCTGGGTGGCAAAGGGACTGCAGTGACCAGAGGGGAGGGATTGGGCTAGCTGGCTGGAGCTAGGCTGGAGGGGCTGCTAGAAGGGATGAGCCCTGGAGCGAAGGCATCTTTGGGAGAGGAGCTGTCCTGGACAAAGGCCTGGAGGGGGGACTGAGGGTGCAGGATGAGGACGCTGGGAGGAAGATGGAGGGAGGGAAGGTAGCACCCTTCGCTGTGGCCCGTGAGCCTTTAATCCCGAAGGCCGTTGCACCTGCTCCAGGGGCCCCAGGAGAGGGAGGCAGACACCAGCCCGAACCCAGGCAGATGCTGGCCCACACCCAGGTGCTCAGAGGCCACTTGGAAACCAGACAAGCCCAACCTAGGTGAGATGCAAACTCGGTGGGCCAGGTGCCACCTCCCCCAACGTCCCGTCCCCCAGCTCCAGCCTCCAGGGTCCTGACGTCTCTGAGCCCACTCTACTTCCGACAGTGCAGCCTTGCTAGGCACGCTTCTGCTCATATCTTTCCTTCCTACCCAGGGAGAGAATCTCGCCATTTTCTGGCTACTCTCACAGCCAGTGCTGGGGGTGGGTGGAGGGTCCACCTGGGCAGGGAGACCTGCATCTCCCCCTCAAAGCACCGCTTCCCAGCCATGCCGGCTCTCAGCACTGCAGAGGGGAAGCTAACAGCAAAATGCCTCACCTCCAGACCTTTTTCACGCCCTGAAGCTAGAAGCTAGACCTGCACTTTTGTTTTCCAAACTCCCCGGAAACTTCTCCCAGAATCTGAAGCTCCACACCCCCCTCCAACCCCCATCCCCACTCTCCTTCCCCCCCATCCCTGCTCTCCCTTCCCCCATCCCCGCTCTCCCTCCCCCATCCCCGCTCTCCTTCCCCCACCCATCCCCGCTCTCCTTCCCCCCCATCCCTGCTCTCCCTTCCCCCATCCCCGCTCTCCCTCCCCCATCCCCGCTCTCCTTCCCCCACCCATCCCCGCTCTCCTTCCCCCCCATCCCTGCTCTCCCTTCCCCCATCCCCGCTCTCCTTCCCCCATCCCCGCTCTCCTTACCCCCCATCCCCGCTCTCCTTACCCCCCATCCCTGCTCTCCCTTCCCCCATCCCCGCTCTCCCTCCCCCATCCCCGCTCTCCTTCCCCCACCCATCCCCGCTCTCCTTCCCCCACCCATCCCCACTCTCCTTCCCCCACCCATCCCCACTCTCCTTCCCCCCCATCCTTGCTCTCCCTTCCCCCATCCCCGCTCTCCCTCCCCCATCCCCGCTCTCCTTACCCCCCATCCCCGCTCTCCTTACCCCCCATCCCTGCTCTCCCTTCCCCCATCCCCGCTCTCCCTCCCCCATCCCCGCTCTCCTTCCCCCACCCATCCCCGCTCTCCTTACCCCCCCCATCCCCGCTCTCCTTCCCCCACCCATCCCCACTCTCCTTACCCCCCATCCCCGCTCTCCTTCCCCCACCCATCCCCGCTCTCCTTACCCCCCATCCCCGCTCTCCTTCCCCCACCCATCCCCGCTCTCCTTCCCCCACCCATCCCCGCTCTCCTTACCCCCCATCCCCACTCTCCCTCCCCCCATCCCCGCTCTCCTTCCCCCACCCATCCCCCCTCTCCTTACCCCCCCATCCCTGCTCTCCTTCCCCCACCCATCCCCCCTCTCCTTACCCCCCATCCCTGCTCTCCTTCCGGCTCCTGGACTTCTGACTGCCTCCCAGACACTCAAGTGACCCCTCCGAGACAGGCTCCTCTTCCTGGGCAGAAGCCACACAAGGCCCCTCTTAGTGACAGAGGGAGGGGCAAGACTGGGGACACCTGGGCCTTCTTCATAATTCTAGCCCCAGCCCGTGTGCACCTCTGCCCCTGGGGCTGGGCACAGTCCCAAGCGGAGCTGGAAGCATGATGGCAGATGTCACTTTCAGAGTGGGGCGCCCCTTCTGCCTCTGGGAGGCCCTGAGGCTCCTCCAGCAGGCCAGCCGTTGGCCTCCCCTGTGGGCCCCCAGTACCACCCAGCCTGGCTCCGCAGCGGGTGTTGTTCCCATAGCCGAGAGCTGTCTGGGAAAGGACAAAGAACTGTTCTCTGCAGTGATGGATGCTTCTGTGCCGACAACCCAGCAGAGCCCTGGCTGCCCCTCCGCCCGGCCCTGCTAAATGGCTACAAATTGGAGGATACAAGCACAGGCTTTCAAGCAATTTTGCCTTCAATCTCTGGAAACTGCTGCTCCCTGGAGCTCCTGTGCGGGATGGAGGAGGAGAGAAGAAAGACACCGAGTCTATTGGGCCCGAGTTCTGCAGCAAACAAACACACAAGGGGGCCTCTCTCTGTGAGTGAGCATTTGGGAGGGGAGACAGAGCCTGCGGGCCCCGGGCTGGAGCTGCCGCCTGGGTGTCTGCCCACCCAGGCCACTGCTGTTTACTGAGCACCTACTGTGTGCCAGGCATGGTGGTGGGGAGTGGGCTGCACAGGGCAAGCACTCATGTGGTCCCTGAGCTTCTGTGAGCTGGACCAACGAACAGCCAGCCTTGAGTCCCTGAGGAACAGGGCATGCTGGGGACACAGAGGGCTACCATGGTGCATGTGGGTAGCCTGGCCACCTAGCGGGGCCACCCTCGGCCCTTCTGTTGCAGGAGACAGGGCTGCAGCCAGGCCCTGGGCGGTCCTCAGGAAATAGGGGCCCAGGCCCTCAGAGGCTGCCACTGGCTGTGTGTCTGGCCACCTCACCTGCCTCGTGCTGGTTCTGGGGTGCCCCTGGGACAGGTTCTGGGCACATGCTGGGTAAGGATCCTTCCCAGCTTGGGATGAAGCCCCTGAGCTCTCAGGGTGCCCAGCAGGCAACCCCATTTCCGTCCTGTAGGAAAGGCCCAGTTACTGGTGAGCCAGGGCCACAGCGAGGGACAGCTGGGGCCCCAGGCAAGGCTTCTGGAGCCCTGACCTGGGGGACACATGGCTGCCTGGCACTGTCTCTCTGGGCCCCCAGACCACCCAGTGCTTATAGCCGGGCCTGGAGGTATGAAGAGCCTTTCGTCCAACATTTACTGGCACTCTCCTGGGTGCCAGGTCCAGGTGGGGAACCCTATGCCCTTGAAGCCATCTTGGGAGGCACGGACCTGCTTCGTTCTACAGATATGAGAACCAGGGTTTGGGAGGCTGGTGACACCTCTGTCCCACGCCACCCTCGGCAGTTGGGAGTGCAGCCAGGACTGGACGCCAGGTGTGACTCTGAAGCCCATGCTCTTTTGGCTCCATCATGCTGTCCCTGAGTGCCTACTGTGTTCTGGGCACCAGGCAGGTGTAAGTAGCTCCCCCCACTCCCGTGGACTGTGCCCTCTTGGGGGACACCACTGTGTGCAGTTGCTGGTGGGGGTACCCCCTGGGATGGAGAGCAGAGTGGGACATCCAGGAAGCCTCTGTGGGCCTCAGAACTGAACCTCAGCTCTGCTGATCCTCACGGGAAGCATCTATGGAGTGCCACCGGGGTCCCTCCATCGTGCCGGGCACAAGACCCCACTCAGCCAAGCTGGGGCAGGAGCTGGGGGAAAGAAAAGAGAGGAGCAGGGGGTGGGCTGTGGAGCCCGAGGTCCCAGTTGCCCAGGTCAGGCAGAAAGTGTGTCTGGAGGGGAAACTGAGGCCTGGCGGACGGGGATTGCCCCAGCCCACCCAGCAGGTCTGCATTAAGGCTGGGACTAGAATCCAGACTTCCTGGGAGGGTGCCAGCCCCGACCCTTCCTGTCCCTGCCCGTCTAAGAGGCCAGGCCGGGGCTCCCTGGGCCTCGGCTTCTTCCCCTGCAGAATGGGCTCGGCCACGCTCGGGGGTGGATGGAGCAGCGGTTGGTGAGTGGCCTCTGCCTGGCCCTCCGAATCCAGTTGGCACCACTCTCCCTGCCTGGCTGCAGCTCAGCAGGCCCCTCGCCCCCGCGGGCAGGAAGCAGCTCTGGCGCCGCTGCAGGCCTCCCCATCATTACCGAAAATTGCTCCATTGTTGGCGGTGCACACACCTGCTCGCAGCGGACAGCACTGTGCTAACGTCATTAAGCGCCGGGCCTCTCAGCAGGCAGGGCTGGAGGTGGCCGGCTGGAGGAGGCTGGGAGAGGTCGCTAAGGTCCCTGGAGGGTCGCCTTCCCCCCACCCCCTCTCCTTCCTTTCTCATGGGTTGGAAATGAGCATGGGGTCTGGAGTCGGCTGGACTGGAAGGTCGGTCTGACTGGGGCCACTTCCCAGCGGTGTGACCTCAGACAGGTCCCTCAGCCCCTGGGGACCAAACAGCGCCCCCTTCACCACTGAAGTCTGGTAAGGATGGAGGGATGTCTTGCTCCCAGTGCCCCTGGGGGCCAAACCCCTCCCTGGACCTGATGGTACATCCAGGGACTGGTGCTGGGGGAACATCCAGGGTCTGCGGATCCTGGAGCAGGAGGCAGGGTCAAGGGTCAAGCTCCAGAGAGGTCTCAGTTTCCCTTTGAGGACACACAGGGGTCCGTGGAGGGGTAGAAGCCCAGCAGGGCTGGAGCAGGGAGGGGCAGGGCCAAGGTTCAGGGGTCCCTTTCTGGCGCCCGCCTGGGAGGAATCCTCTTGCTGCCAGGCACATGTGACACGCTCAGGCCGTAGTAACAAGAAGAACGGCTTCTGGCCCACAACACGACGTTTTCGGCACTGTTCTGAGCCCTTTCCTCAGCTAAACCCATCTTGTTGAAGGAGGTTAAGTGGCCTGGTGGACATCACACAGCTAACTTGGGACTATTTTCCCAACCCCTCAGCTCTCAGGGACACCTCAGGCACCTGTTCAGGAGACGCAGTTTTCTCTGGGGAACCACTGCCCCTCACTCTGGTGGGCTCGGCAGGGCCAACTCCACCCCTGGGCTCCAGGGTTCATGTGGGTCTCAGCCATGGCTCGGCGCCATCACCACAATGGGTCTGGGGTGACACACATCACATCCCCAGCCCCGCCAGTGGGCGGCAGTCCTGGGACTCTGGCTGGAAACCTGAGAAGGAGGTGCCCTCTCCAGCTGGAGCGGCCGTCCTGGCCGCCTTCGAGGCTGCCCTTGCCGAGGCTGCCTGGTGGAGGGAGTCCGCCTGGAGCAGACAGCAAGGAAGAAAGCCAAGCTGAGAGCTGCGGGGAGGCGGATTCCCCATGCTGTCGTACCTGAGCACCTGGATCCAACCCTGCCTGAAGCTAGACCTGGGGCTTAATGTTTAACAAATTACCAAGTCCATCTTCTTTCCTAAAGCCCATACAAGATGCATTTTTATAACTGGAGTGGGAAAAATCCTGCCAGGTGAGACTCTGCCCAGGCTGGCATCCTCTACCTCAGGGAAGAACGGGTCACTCCTGCCCAAGGGAGGTCTGTGGCTCTGACTAATGAAAAGTGGGGAAGTTAGAAGATTTTCTGATAGATAATAGTGTGTTTGTCACGGTTGCGGCAGGAAAGGCATCTCCCAACACTGCAAGCTCTGGAGAGAGGAAGGTGCTGTCCTTTCTGTCCACAGGAGGCATCCATGAGATGCCTCGCCCAGGCGGCCTGCCTCGAGTGGCCCCAGCAGGGAGAGGCTTCAGCCCCTGCCCACAGCCCGTCCAGACCACCCCCTCAGGGGCTGGAAGAAGGCAGGGGAGGCTTCGGGGAAGGGTGTACCTCGTTCCCCTAAACCCCTGGCGGTCCTCTCCCCCAGGTGGCCCCGTCTCCCGGCAACCCCTCCCGGGAGGCACCACTAAGGAAAATCAGTGTTGAAGCCACTCTCCCTGCCACCACCTCCCCCTTGCTTGGGTCACTACCTCCTTTCCTTGGGGTCACCAGATAAGAAGCAGGACGCTCCTTAGGGTCACCAGATAAGATGCAGAGCCCTGAACTTCAGTGTCAGGATGAATAATGTTTCAGCGTGCACCTCACATGCAGTGCACTCTTCATTGTAAATCCAAAACTCCACTCTAGCAGCGTGGGCTGTGCCTGCCTGAGCAAACCTGCCCACTCCCTTTTCTCTCCCTCCAAGGCCCTCCCTCCGCTGACGGGGACACTGGGGGTGGGACGGGGTGCTGAGTTTTAAGAAGCCACGAAGCTCTTTGGCAAGGAAGAGAAGGGGCTAGGGTTGGGGTTGGGTGGGGGACTGGGGGAGTGGCTTCCTGGGACCTGGACCCTGGGGCCTGGACCCTGGGGCCTGGTAGGGGGCGGCAGGCTGGGCACCAGGGGCGTGGGTTGCCCAGCACACGGGGTGGGGGGGGGCGCGCGGAGCCTAGCCACCAGACCCATGAGGCTCTGCTCCACCCTTGGCTGGGGATCCCAGGTGACATCCGGGACCCCTGTGAGCCCAGAGGATCCTGAACAGGGAAGGTGCCCCTCTGTACCCAGGCAGGGCGAAGGGAGACTGCTCCAGGCCCAGGCGGGGAAGGTATGGCCTTGGCTCATTGGCTGGGTCTTGTTATCCCCACTGGACTGAGGAGGGAACAAGGCAGGGGGAGTGAGACACCCCCGCCCCCACCCTCAACACCCAGCCGGGCCACGGCCAGGCCTGTTCCCCTGGAGGCCATGGCAGAAAGCGGAATGATTTCCTGGCTCTGGGGAACATCATGGATCCATTGGGACCCATTGATTTTTTGCAAAGAAGCAATTTTTTTTTCTCCTAAGGAACCAGACGATTACAAGAAAGAAGAAACGATCAGGTAGCCCTGTTTCTCGCGAGCCCTGTCCCCAGCACCCACTCCTGGGGAGGGGTGGTAGTTCCCATGCAGGCCTGTCTTGCACCCCATGGGTTCAGCAGCCTGTGGGCCATCAGGTCATTAGGGCACATCCAGGGACCCTGCCCCTGTCTTGCCTGTGTGGCTAACCCCATGTCACATGGAGGAGCCTAGGGTCCTCTCTGACTGTCTGGCTCCTTTCAGAAGTGGAGACCCTGGCCTGGGGGTAGGGCTGTTGGTGGAGCCAGTCCTGGCAGTAAGAATATGAATTATTCGAACAGCAGGCAGGGTTGGGCCTGCCGTGCGTCCTCTGTACGGCCTCTTCCTGGCGGTGCTGCTAGAGATGTCCCCAGATCCAGGATCCTCGGCAGCGGCAAAGCCCAGGAGGGATGTTTCCTGCAAAATTCTAACACCAACGGGTGTGCAGCCTGCAGAAAAGTTTGCTTTTGTTTTCAGCTGACCTCACGCTGTCTTCTTCTAGCAGAGATTGAGCAAGAGCACCAGGAGGGGACAGTCCCAGGAGGGCTGGGGTGGTTGCAGCCCGAACATTCCATGGAGCCTCCAGGAGCTCGCCAGAGGGCAGTGGGCTCCCGACGCCTTGACTTTTCCTCTTTCGAGATTGTTGTAGATTCCATGCTGTTGGGTGCAACACTACAGAGACCCCACGTGCCCTTTATCGGCTTCCCCCACAGGGAAGCTTGGGTGAGCCACCCTCTAAGACCACAACACACGCCATCGCCGCACGCAGGACACACGCCATCGCCGCACGCAGGTTCCCACTCCCCTGCACTCGTGTGTGTGTGGCATGTTTAGTTTTATGTCATATATATATATATATATATATATATATAAATTTTTTTTTTTTTTGAGCCAGAGTCTTGCTCTGTCGCCCAGGCTGGAGTGCAGTGGCACGATCTCGGCTCACTGCAAACTCAGCCTCCTGCATAGCTGGGACCACAGGTGCCTGCCACCACACCCAGCTAATTTTTTTGTATTTTTAGTAGAGACGGGGTTTCACTGTGTTAGCCAGGATGGTCTCGATCTCCTGACCTCATGATCCGCCCACCTCGGCCTCCCAAAGTGCTGGGATTACAGGCGTGAGCCACCGCGCCCGGCCTATGTCATATTTTTTATCGTGGTGATAAACATAAAGTTCACCACTTGAGCTATCTGAAGTGTGCGGTTCAGTGGCTCTCCCATCACCACCCTCCACCTTCAGAGCCGGTCATCTTCCCAGCCTGAAACACTAAGCCAACAGGATTCTTTCGCACGTGCAGACTCGTGGCCCCACCGCCAACACACAGGGTGATGGTCTGAGGACCCTGGCATGGCCCTTTTGTGTCCACGGCTACCTCCACCCTCCCGCCCTCCTCAGCCCGAGGACCGCCAATCCATTCTCCTCATCGTTTCTGGAACACTCTGTAGAGGGAACCATCGTGTGTGACCTCCTGGCACTGGCTCTCCCCGGCTTGACACCTGCGGTCCCCAGGTGGACGCCATGCACGCAGAGCTGCACCCCGCCCCCGCCAAGCACTGCCGCACCCCGCGGCTCTGCAGCCTCTTTAGCGGCACCAGGACAGGTCCCCGGCACGTGTGTTCACTGATGAGACGCTCCGGTTGCCTCAGCATGTCTGCCCTTCAGGCCTCCATCCCGGGGCCAGCGCCGACCCGGGCACTGCATACAGACAAACGAGGTCTCTGTTCTCCAGGAGCTTAGGGCGGGGGGGCGACGGCGGCTAACGTGAAGTGTGGAAAGTGCGTGCACGAGAGGGTGGTGGGCCCAACTGTGCAGAGCCTGGGCGCGTGTGGCTGTCTTTGGCTTTTTGACTAGAGGGCATTTCACGGGGTGTCTGGGCAGGGCACTGGGTCACAGGGATCAGCAACACCAAAGCCTGCAGTCCAAGGAGTGGCCTCAGCATGGCTCAGACATAGGAAGGGGCAGTGGGGCTGGTGCTGTGGGCACCAGGGACTCCCAGTGAGGGGCCTGGCTTCCTGGCACAGCCACAGGGGAAGACTGAGGGGCCCGGGCACCAAGTAGGGGAGACATTAGCAGGCCACTGCCATCGTCCAGAGCGGGGTGGAGGTGACAGGCATGGCGGGACCTGGGGTGGACCCGAGGGCAGAGCTGCTGTGCTGGCGAGGTGAGGAGGCAAAGGCCCCACGCGAGACTGAACTCAGTATAGCACGTGCGCCGGGAAGCACACACGACCACAAGATGGGAAGGGAGGCTGGGAGTGGAGGCTCACACCTGCAGTCCCAGCACTGTGGGAGGCTGAGGCGGGCAAATCGCCTGAGCTCAGGAGCTCGGGACCAGCCTGGCCAACATGGTGAAACCCTGGCTCTACTAAAAATACGAAAATTAGCTGGGCATGGTGGTACATTTCTGTAATCCTAGCTATTCAGAAGGCTGAGGCAGGAGAATCGCTTGAACCTGGGAGGTGGAGGTTGCAGTGAGCCAAAATCGCGCCACTGCACTCCAGCCTGCATGACAGAGCAAGACTCTGCACCACCCCCACCGCCGCCAAAAAAAAAGATGGAAAGGGACATTGCTTGGGGTCAAACAACGTGCCCCCAAATCCACATCCACAGAACCTCAGAATATCACTATTGGAAATGGGGTCTGTGCAAATGTAACTAAAGATCTCAAGATGGGACCATCCTGGGTTTAGAGAGGCCCAAATCCCACAACTGGCTTCCAGAAGATAAGAGGACAGACACACAGGGGGAAGTTACATGAAGACAGGGCAGGGACGGGAGCCTTTGCCACTGCTAGCCGAGGATGGAGCAGGAAGGACCTCCCTGGCCTTGAGAGGCCTCACCCCCGACAAACAAGAGAATCCACTTAGGTTTTTTTTGTTTTTTTTTTTTTTTTTTCTTGAGACAGAGTCTCACTGTGTCGCCCAGGATGGAGTGCAGTGGCGCAATCTTGGCTCAAGTGATCAGGGGTTCAAGCGATTCTCCTGCCTCAGCCTCCTGGGTAGCTGGGACTACAGGTATGGGCCACCACCCCTAGCTAATTTTTACATATTTTTTAGTAGAGATGGGGTTTCACCATGTTGGCCAGGCTGGTCCTAAACTCCTGACCCCAGGTGATCCGGCCGCCTCGGCCTCCCACAGCGCTAGATGACAGGTGTAAGCCCCCATGCTCGGCCAACTTCTGTTAAGTCACCCGGTTTGTGGCACTTTGTCATAGCAGCCCCAGGAGACTAATAAGGAATAGATAAAACTTCATTTTCAAATGGACACACTACGTTTTCCTACAGCGCTGCTGTGGAGCTGGGCTTCTACAGGGGATGCTCAGGGCAAACCCCTCCTCGCCCGTGTCCAAGTGGAAGGTGGCAGGGCCCCAGGGCACCCAGACTCCACCCCACCTGGGCTGCGGCAGGAGAACTGCTTGAACCCAGGAGTCGGAGGTTGCAGTGAGTGGAGATCGCGCCACTGCACTCCAGCCTGGGTGACAGAGTGAGACTCCATCTCTCTCTCTCTCTCTCTCTCTCTCTCTCTCTCTCTCACACACACACACACACACACACACACACACACACACACACACACACACACACACTGAGTTTCAGGCCAGGCGCAGTGGCTCATGCCGGTAATCCCGGCACTTTGGGAGGCCAAAGTGGGCAGATCACCTGAGGTCAGGGGTTCGAGACCAGCCTGGCCAACATGGTGAAACCTTGTCTCTACTAAAAATACAAAAATCAGCCAGGCGTGGTGGTGCAGGCTGTAATCCCAGCTACTTGGGAGGCTAAGGCAGGAGAATCGCTTGAACCCAGGAGGCAGAGGTTGCAGTGAGCCGAGATCGCACCACTGCACTCTAGCCTGGGCGAAAGAGTGAGACTCTGTCTTAAAAAAATAAAAACAAAAGTAAAAATAGTTTAAAACTAGGAGCAGCCTGAAGGCTCCTCATGCCAGCGCCATCCTCCGTGCACCTGCCAGCGCTTACTGACGCCGTCTCTGGGTCAGGTGTTCTGAGGCTGCTGGGGATACACAGAGACCCTGTGTCCAAGGCAGCCCACACATGCTGACTGTGGGGGGGTTGGCCTGCACCCGCGGTCCCTTCCGTAACTAAAGACTGCGGTGTCGGCCGCCTCAGGCATGGCTACTAAAGACCCGCACAGACGGCCACATAGTGTACACTCCAATTACAGGATCTGTCTGGAAGGCAGGTCCCTGGGGACAGAAGGTAGACGGGTGGGTGCCCGGGGGAGGGGGAAGGCGGGTTCACGCTAACGGGCACAGGGTCTGTTTTCGGGGTGATGAAAACGTTCTGGAATTTGCAGTTTGACAGTTGCACAACCTTCTGAACATACAAAAAAACCACTGAATTATATAAAGTGGTGAATTTTATGGTATGTGAATCATATATCCCATTTGAAAAGCAGACTGACAAAAATTTGTTTCTAGGCAGGAAACAGGAAACTGGGGAAGCCAAGTGTAGCTTTACCCTACTCAGGGAGAACAGTGTTGGAGAGAAAGCTGTCAGCTTTTAGAACGCGATGGCAAAAGCTGTGTGTGTGGCAGGGAGAAGTCTTGGGGCTTTTTGCAGCAAGGAAAGTTCTGGGCAACCTTCGTGGCAGTGACTCCCCCTCTGGAGCCTCAGCTTCAGCAAAGGACGAGGGCATGTCCCCAGAGCAGCCACAGTCAGGCCCAGATCAAGGTTTCAACCCACGGGGAGGCTGGGCTGGGGGCTCCGTGCAGGGGTCGAGCCACAAGGCATCTTGAGCCTCCCCTGCAAGAGCATCAAGATGAAAGCCAGGGATAATTAACGCCGTCAGGCCTGGGGCGACTCCACAAAATCCTTTGTGGCGGCCTGAAAGAAAAAGCAAATAGATGCAAAACCCATCTCTGGTTTCTAGGATAGAAGGACCTTTGAAATTATAAGACATTAAAATAAAGCTTCGGGTAAAAGGACTGTCATGTTCTAGCTGCAGATTTGATGTGAGATCAAAACGGAATTGCTCCTGAAAGCCCAGGCACCGGCCTGCTGTGCAAAGCGCGCCCCACCCCAGCGTGCAGAGACGCGGCCCCGGACCCTTGCGGCTCATCTCACCTGAGGCTGCCGTCTCTCCTCCAAGGGCTGGGGGTCCCCTTCTGATCATCCTTCTCTGCTTCTTTGTCCCCTCCACTTTTTTTTTTTTTTTGAGATGGAGTCTTGCTCTGTCGCTCAGGCTGGAGTGCAGTGGTGTGATCTCGGCTCACTGCAAGCTCCGCCTCCCAGGTTCACGCCATTCTCCTGCTTCAGCCTCCCGAGTAGCTGGGACTACAGGTGACCGCCACCACGCCTGGCTAATTTTTTTGTATTTTTAGTAGAGACGGGGTTTCACTGTGTTAGCCAGGATGGTCTCAATCTCCTGACCTTGTGATCCACCAGCCTCGGCCTCCCAAAGTGCTGGGACTACAGGCATGAGCCACCGTGCCCAGAATGTTCTGTTTTTGTTTGTTTGTTTGTTTGTTTTTTGAGACAGGGTCTCGCTCTGTCACTCAGGCTGGAGTGCAGTGGTGCAATCACGGCTCACTGCAGCCTTGACCTCCCAGGCTCACATGATCCTCCCACGACAGCCTCTGGAGTGTCCCCTCCACTTTCTTTCTTAGGGGCCCCTCAGGGACATGTCAGAGGCCTGAGACTACTTGGGGGATGTCTATGGGCCAGGCAGGCTGCCAGCAGCTGAGCTGTCCTTGCCCTGGGGCTCCTCTGCAGTCAGGGAGACACCAGGCATGGGCCTGGCTTGGATGCATCAGTACTTGACTGCAAAGACTTAAACCACAGACAGGAAAGGCGCTGCTGCAGTCTCGACGGTCAAATGCAGGGCCCCCTCAGCTGCCATCCCACTGAGGGGCGAAGGCCCATCATCTCCCTTCGGCTCGGTAACTGCCTGGCGTAGCACAAGGGTTCTCTTTAAATCCCCAGCAAATGGAGCTGAGTGGAAATTCCGCCCCATATTACCAGGCACACGTCTCCTTCCACTCCTCACTATACCCTGCCCATGCCACGGCCGCCTTCTGAGAATAACGCTGACAGTTCCATGGCCCACAGCCCCTCTAGTTAACTTGCTGTGCACACGGCAGCCCAGCCAGAAACACGCAGCCAGGTCGGATATTGGGTGCATTCAGTCGTGAAGCCTGAGGCTTCCTGGCTCCCACTGAGCACAGAGAAGTGTTCTGAAGGACAGGAAGCAGCTGGCCTCACTGCTCTTCTCAGACGGCTGATGGAGAAAAGCTCACAGCTGCCTGCGCCGCTCTGCCTGGACTTGCATCCTCGGCCCCACCCCTTGCGCAGCAGTGAGGCCCCCCGAGACACTGGTGCCTGGGCTTGCGGTACCGCAGGGCTGCTGGACAACGGGCCAGACGCAGCCCCAGTGTGGATCCAGAGGTCTCTCTCCGTAGCAAGCCATGGAAGCACGACGGGCACTGTGCTGAGAACCCTGGTCTGCACTTCTGACCTGGGGCTCTGGCTGTGCGGTTCTGCTGAGCTCATCCGAGAGTCCACGCGTGCATGGCGGAGACCTGAGTCAGCGGCAGGGCCACCCCGTTATGGGCACCCCAACCCCTTATTAGGGGTGTTAATCAGCACAAATGAGCAACTGGCTCATCAGTCGGTGCAGGCTGACAGGTGCAGGAAATACGGAGGGCAGGCGGGGTAGGGGGCACGGAATGCTTCCCAACATGAGGGCATCTCAGGCCAGCAGGCGGGGCCCAGAGACCCAGAAGCACCACAACTCCCCCGTGTCCACAAGGCACTTTATGCATTCAAAACCACCGAATTCACACCCAGGTTTGCTCAGACAGAGGCCCAGAGGCGACCCCGCTCTGGCGTGGCTACCACCTGAGCGGCTGGCGGCCCTGGCCCAGCTCGGCCTCCGCGTAGGCGTCATACAGCACCTTCAGGTGCAACAGCAGCTGCTCCAGGTTCTCGCCGGTCAACGCCGACAGCACGATGACCTCCTGTCCCAAGTGATCCCGGAGCTGGGACAGATTGGCTTGGGCTTCAGGGAGGTCAATCTTGTTTGCGACGATTGCGTGGGGCCTCGCAGACAGGCCCTTTTCATACATCTCCAGTTCATATTTTAAATCGTCAACTTGAGTCCACGGCTCAGGCTGAGAAAGATCCACCACGAACAAGAGAAAGCGGCAGCGCTCGATGTGCCTGAGGAAGGCGGACCCCAGACCCCTGTTCTGGTGGGCGCCTCGTATGATGCCGGGGATGTCGGCCACTGCAGGGAAGACAGGGGCACACGAGGTGACCACTTGGCACACCCAGCACCCAAGAGCGCCTTCCACCTCGAGCCTGGGAGAGAAGGCCTGGAGCCCACTGCGAAGGCGGATTTCCTGAGTTCTAACACTTTCCTTTCAAGGAACGCCTTGAACTGAAGCCATTTGATTTAGCACCTGGGTGATTCACTGGGCCAACTGACACCTGAGGAATTCAATGCTTGGAGATGTTTGGGAGACCAGCGTGGCGATGGATCTATCTAGTAGAGTACATTTCATACCTTCTCTTTCTGCTTCTAATAGGATTCAAAAAAGAGGAAAATGGCTGCCTGTACTCTACTAATCATTTGATTACTGATAGAAATTTACATGTAGAGTACTCTGCAGATATAAAGTGCCATCCAAATAACCTTACCAGCAGGCTTACTATTTTTAATGGGTGTATTGTCTTCTGGGAAAAAGTTTTATTCTCTCAAACGGCACAAGGAAAGCTTTTAAGTCACGTGTTGTGATGCTGCTGAGCTTCCACAGATGAGAGGGGACAAATAGAGTGGGAAGAAATACTGTCCTCGGCTGGAATTTCAATGCAGGTTTCTGAACTGTAACTGACAGATTCCTAGGGGATGGGGTGGGAACCTGATTTTCATAGAGAACAGGCTGATGAAAATTGTTTAAATTAGGGCCAGGTGCAGTAGCTCACGCCTGTAATCCCAACACTTTGGGAGACCAAGGTGGGGCGGGGGGCAGATCACTTGAGATCAGGAGTTCGAGACCAGCCTGGCCAACATGGTGAAACCCCGTCTCTACTAAAAATACAAAAAAATTAACTGGGCGTGGTGGCGCACGCCTGTAATCCCAGCTACTTGGGAGGCTGAGGCAGGAGAATCACTTAAATATGGGAGGTGGAGGTTGCAGTGAGCTGAGATCGCACCACTGCACTCCAGCCAGGGTGACAGAGTGAGACTCCGTCTCAAAAAAAAAAAAAAAAAAAAGTTGTTTACATTAGGAAAAACAATGCTACTTTTTTTTTTTTTTTTTTGAGATGGAGTTTCGCTCTGTCGCCCAGGCTGGAGTGCAGTGGCATGATCTCGGCTCACTGCAAGCTTTGCCTTCTGGGTTCATGCCATTCTCCATCCTCAGCCTCCCAAGTAGCTGGGACTACAGGTGCCCGCCACCACACCCAGCTAATTTTTTTGTATTTTTAGTAGAGACGGGGTTTCACCATGTTAGCCAGGATGGTGTCGATCTCCTGACCTCGTGATCCGCCTGCCTCGGCCTCCCAAAGTGCTGGGGTTACAGGTGTGAGCCACCACGCCTGGCCAACAATGCTACATTTTAAACAGAAAGCTAAATTTAAGAGTTACATCATTACTTTTCTGAATTACATCATTTAAATCTAACCTTTGGGAGAATTCTGGAAGTTCTACCTGCTATTTGTAGGTGGCCTTCGTAGTGGACGATCCCGACGTGGGGCTTCAGGGTGGTGAACGGGTAGGAAGCCACGGCGGGTCTGGCGTTTGAAATGGCCCGGAGCAGTGAGGACTTCCCGGCGTTGGGGAATCCCACCTGGGGGAAAGAGGGAAGACGGTGGCACGGCCCGCGGCAGCACCTTTGTTAGCGCAGAGTCTGTAACTAACTGGGATTGGAGGGAGGATTTCAGGGCTGGGGGAGTCACAAGGGCTCATGCTCACGACCAAGTCAGCAGTGTACTG
This sequence comes from Homo sapiens, assembly GCF_000001405.40. NCBI lineage: Eukaryota > Metazoa > Chordata > Mammalia > Primates > Hominidae > Homo > Homo sapiens. Next base: position 62,198,972 of record NC_000020.11, on the reverse strand, counting down.
ATGGGAAAAAGGTGAGTCGCAAAGCTGTTCTCTTCCAGGCCACTGGCAAATCCCCATTGAGAAAAGTGGATTTTCTAGAGCTGAGTGTGTGCAGATGCTGTTGGCAGTGGGGACACCTACCATTCCGGCGTGGGCCACCGTCTTGAGCTCCAGGTGGAGAACTCGCTGCTGTCCTGGCTGTCCAGGGGTACAGGTCACAGGGGCACGGTTGTTGTTGGCCAGGAAGAAGCGGTTGCCTTTCCCTCCTGCCCCGCCCAGCGCGGCAATGTACTCATCTCCCACGCAAGACAGGTCGGCCACAACTCTGCCTCCCTCCTTCACCAGCGTGCCCACGGGGACCTGGGGAACAGCAGGCACTCATCAGCTGAGCTCTACCAGCAGTGAGGAAAGGAGGCCTTAACCCATTCCTGAAGCAAGCGCTAAGGAAAGAAGACAAGAGCGGACTGTGCCCCGGGCAGCTGCCCGCCCCACTCACCTCTGCCAACAGCTCCGGAGCACAAGGAAAAGGTCCCAGTGCTCCAGGGCTTTCACGGGGCTGCGTACACACCCTTCTGACTGCACAAAGGGCTTTTTCAAATAGTGTTTCTAAAACGTTAGTGTGAACTGAAGCACCAGAAAAAACATCTAAGAGACGAGTGAATTCAGCTCGCGAAGGAGACGCAGGCCCGCTGGGTGCCAGTGGCCTCCCTCAGTCAGAGGTCGGCTCATGGGGTCAGAGACGGAGGAAGCGTCCGTGCCGTGGGCTCCCTCTTTTTAAAAGAGAATCGTTTCATGACTTTTTCACTAGACATGCACATGGTGTGAGACCCTGGTACAAATGCCCGTCTGGGTTTGCTTTGAGGGGTGGGGCTGCTTTCCCGCTGTCTGCCAGCCTCCGTTTCCATTGTGCTGTTTCCTAGCTGTGGGCATCAAGCCACAGGGGCCCCGTGGGTCACACGGTGGCCCCCAGGAGCTGGATGATCCAGAACAACGGGGACAGGGCCAGGTCCGGCAGTCTCGGCTCACCCGGATGTAGAGGACGGCGCCACTGCGCCCGAAGCAGTTTTTACTCCCTCCATCTTCTCCACTGAAACCCTGGTACCGCGACAGGACCGACGACAGGGACTTGACTTGCTGGTCAACTAAAGCAAGAACAAGAATCTCAGTCCCTTTGTGTTACGACAACCATGGCCTATTGCTGATGTGTCTGGGTCCAGTTTAAGAACCTTAAAAATAGGTATGGAAGCATGGAGTGAGGGTGCAGCAGAAGTTACAAAACCAGCAAAGTGATTTTTTAAAAATGAAATCCTTATTTTCCTTCAAAAAGTGCTATCATTTCTGAAAATTTTTAAATTTCTTATTTTTTACAGTAGCTGTATTCTATGCTTTTGTTGTGAAGGCTTCACTCCCAGCTCGCTATGCGTCTATGCTGAGTGTGAATATAACCAGCAGCCAGCGGCACCCACCGAACCCACCACACAGGCCTCGTGCTTTCACGCGACCGACATGTCAGCTTCCCTGACAGGAAACTCTCTGTGCTCCTGAAATTAAACAAACAAAACAAAACATGTTCAAAGTTGCTTTTTCTTTTTTTTTTTAGACAGAGTCTCGCTCTGTCAGCCAGGCAGGAGTGCAGTGGCATGATCTTGGCTCACTGCAACATCTGTGTCCTGGGCTCAAGCAATTCTCGTGCCTCAGCCTCCCAAATAGCTGGGATTACAGGCATCTGCCACCACGCCTGGCTAATTTTTCTATTTTTAGTAGAGATGGGGTTTCTCCATATTGGCCAGGCTGGTCTTGAACTCCTGACCTCAGGTGATCCACTCGCCTTGGCCTCCCAAAGTGCTGGAATTATAGGCATGAGCCACTGCGCCTGGCCTCAAAGTTGCTTTTTTGGGTGTGCTACTTAACTATGAATATCCATATAATTTTTTTTTTATGTTTTATGTTTTTATTTTTTTGAGACGGAGTTTCACTCTTGTTGCCGAGGCTAGAGTGCAATGGCACGATCTCAGCTCACCGCAACCTCTGCCTCCTGGATTCAAGCAATTCTCCTGCCTCAGCCTCCCTAGTAGCTGGGATTACAAGTGCCCACCACCACGCCCAGCTAATTTTTTTTGTATTTTTTGTAGAGACGGGGTTTCACCATGTTGGCCAGGCTGGTCTCGAACTCCTGACCTTAAGCGATCCACCCGCCTCGGTCTCCCAAAGTGCTGGGATTACAGGTGTGAGCCACCACGCCCGGCTGAATATCCATATAATTTATAAAAATGATATCCATACATCAGGGTTTTTTTTGTTTGTTTGTTTTGTTTTGTTTTTTTGAGATAGGGTCTTCCTCTGTTGGCCAGGCTGGAGTGCAGCAGCACAATCGGAGCTCACTGCAACCTCGACCTCCTGGGCTCAAGCCATCCTCCTGCTTCAGCCCCAAGTAGCTGGGACTATCAGTGTGTGCCACCACATCTGGTTATTATTATTATTTTTTAAGAGACAGGATTTCACCACGTTGGCCAGGCTGGTCTCGAACTCCGGACCTCAAGCGATCCACCCGCCTCGGTCTCCCAAAGTTCTGGGATTACAGGCATGAGCCACTGCGCCTAGCTGGGTTTTAAAAATTTTACTTTTTTTTTTTTTAGAGATAGGGTATTGCTCTGTCACCCATGCTGGAATATGCAGTGGTGTGATCACGATTCACTGCAGCCTTGAACTTCTGGGATCCAGCAATCCTCCTGAGTAGCTGGGACCACAGGTGCACGCTACCATGTCTGGCTAATTTTTTCAAAAATTTTTTGTAGATCCACAAACCTTGAGGCAAAAAAAAAAAAACAAAAAAACAAACAAACAAAAAAGACATGGTCTTGCTATATTGTCCAGGCTGGTCTTGAACTTATGGGCTCAAGTGATCCTCCTGCCTCAGCCTCTCCAAGTGCTGGGATCACAGGCATAAGCCACTGTGCCTGCCCATACATCAGGTTTTTAGTTCAAATGCACATGCAGTCTCGGGGCCCCTCCTCAACCCCGCTGCACTGCCCCAGGGCACCTGCCTCTCAGAATGACGTGTCCACCGTTGCCTCCGTCCCCTCCATCAGGGCCTCCAAACTCCTTGCGGGGCTCACTGTGGAAGCAGCTTGCCCCAGCGCCTCCGTTTCCTCCACAGACAAGCACTCTCCGATAGTCCACAAAGTACCTTTTCTACAGAGAACACAAATATCCCACGTCATCTCAACACTCCAAGGTCCTTTCAAGACACCATGCATCCATTTGAGATGTACATCTTCTATCTATAACAGCCTATTAAAATTAGAGGTTAATGACACTAATATTGCTAATCACTTCTAAATTCCGAAGATAAAAAACAGTCTCCACAAGTCAGTTGCATTTGTAGACTGAGGTAAATCCACAATGCAGATGTAAGTATTCTGTGTGGACCTACACTTCAAAAATTCAGCATTTCTTACTCTGGGTGAGACTGATTTAAAAACCAACAACAAAAATCAGCATTTCTAAGCTAAAAAACCCACATCTTGTTTAGGAAATATTCCTTATATAATGTGTCTTTCCATTCAAAAAAACCATTCCTGAAATCATAGATCTTTACTCTTAGAAAGTTCTAGTTTCCCAGGATGCGATAGAGAAATAGGAAGTTAGAATCGTTCCTGGACAATTACCAGGCTTTCGACTCTGAAGAAAGAGTATTTTCTGGGGCCTGATGAAAACAGGGCTCATTTAAAAAATGTGGTGAGGCAAACAGAGCCCCTCGCTGGAGGGAAAGCTGTTTTGTTTTTTGTGGTTTTTTTTGAGGCAGAGTCTCGCTCTGTCGCCCAGGCTGGAGTGCAACGGTGGGATCTCGGCTCACTGCAAGCTCTGCCTCCCAGGTTCATGCCATTCTCCTGCCTCAGCCTCCTAAGTAGCTGGGACTACAGGCACCCGCCACTGCGCCCGGCTAGTTTTTTGTATTTTTAGTAGAGACGGGGTTTCACCGTGTTGGCCAGGATGGTCTCGATCTCCTGACCTCGTGATCCACCCGCCTCGGCCTCCCAAAGTGCTGGGACTACAGGCGTGAGCCACTGTGCCCGGCTAGGAAAGCTGTTCTGTAGGTCACTAAGGTAGGTGCAATCTGGATGAAGAGAGAGAACCAACCAGGTTACTGTTCAACACACAACAGCTCCTACCACAGGAGGGTCAGCTCCCGCAGCCCAGGGTGCTGCAACCTCACCACACGCTGGGGAGGACACCTGGCTTCTGCCCACGTGCACAGACAGACGTGCCCTGCCCCTGACAGCCACCCAGGGCTGCTGCCTCTGCACTCCGATCCAATACTCCTCAAATGCAGTTTTTTTTTCTTTTAAAAGAAAATTTTAAAACATTTAAAATTTTTAAACACAAAAATTTAAACACAAAAAAAAATTTAAAAATTTAAAACACAAACATTCTAAGATTCTTTGGCACCACCATGTGGGAAAACCACGAACTGTTATTTCCAAATTTCAATGTGTAATGCTGTCATGCGCCAACGCAAGCAAAATCCACCAGACAGGGAGGAAAGCCCCACTGGTGAGCACTTCGTGGAGGACAAAACCTCGACTCACTTTCTCTCCTGGGGAGGAGACAAGCCTGTGCTAACGCTTCAGCTATTTGAGCACACATCCCACCAAAGCGGCTTTTCCACTGGAAGTGCTGTTTGTCCCAGTAATGCTTATCTGGAGCCCCTCCATTCAGCAGGAAACGAAGGGAGTCATAAACGTGCATTTTCTTGAATTTATTAGAGACAATTCATGCTTTAAATAGGAGGTTTTGGTAAATAGAACAAGAAAAACTTATAAGGCTTAAAGAACCATAAAACGGAAGGTATATTCCCCCCTACTTGTTTTATTTTTATTTATTTATTAATTTAAAAAGGTTTTTTTTTTTTTTTTAGTAGAGACAGGGTTTCACCATGTTGGCCAGGCTGGTCTCGAACTCCTGACCTCAAGTGATCCGCCTGCCTTAGCCTCCCAAAGTGTTGGGATAACAGGCATGAGCCACCGTGCCCAGCCTCCGCATTTGTTTTAAATTAAGAAATAGCCACACATATGAAAGGATATATGTAACATACATGTAAAATACACAGGCTCATGGGAAAATGAGCAGCCTGTATCACGGCTTTCCAAGCACGCAGCGCCTCTCCCAGCCTGCTGGGATTTGCTGAGCGTGGGATTTAGCACGCAGGCCTGCGTTTCACCCTGTCATTTTCAAGAAGCTCCACGTGCCCCATCACTAAGATCATCAACTAACATCAACAGAGATGAGACCCAGAGGAGGACCCGAAACCACACCCTGTGCCTTCTGAGGAGGAGACAGGCAAGCTGCTCTAACTCCAGGAGTCTCACCAGCTTTTTCTCAGAGAGCAGCTTCTTCCCCGGGAGTTCCTGATGCTTGGCGAGGTCCGCACGGCCGACCGAGAGCAGCCTGGGAGAAGCCCGCTGTGGCAGTAGCCGGCTGGGCTTCAGGCCAGCCCATGTGGACAAAGCCCAATGCCCCACGCCCTGAAACACGGTCCTCAATCTTGCTGAGAAACACCTTGCAGGTGCCATGGCCCCTACAGAAGTCAAATTGGCAAAATGAGATACTTGGTTTAATGCTGGGCATGAAACAGAAACTGAAGACGAGGGCCTCATGCAGCAGGTCTTTGTGCACGTTTCTGAAACAAACAAGTGAACTGATGAATCCGATTTTCCTGGTCACTCACCCTCTCGGCCCTGGGTCACGTCTTGCCCTCTGACCCGTCAGCCTATCTGTGACTTGGGAGCAGGATTTCTGTACAAAGGATTTAAAACATGAAATCTTCCACAACACTGGACACATCCTCTTATGGAATAGCAAGGTTCCGCTCAACGAAAATATTAAAAAGGAAATCTGAAGTGCAAGTCAAAATTTCTTGAAAAGAAAAACACCCATTTATTAAAATGTTATCAAGAGTGTTATCCTGTGTAATTTTAAAGTTGTTACATTGGAACACAAGAATATTAAACATGGGGCATAGCGGCTAAGCACCCAGGCTCTGGAAAGTAACTCTAAGGGAAGGCCATCCACCTGTGTGGCCTCGGCCTCCTCACACGGCTGGGTGAGGACGGGCTGAGCTGATCCACACGGCTGCACAACCGCGGCCCTGGCTGTGGCACCGATAGAATGAGAAGAACACACTTGGCCCCTGCTCCTGGCTCCTGACACAGAGCTCTCAGAACGCTGGTAATTTCCTGAGTGACAGGGGCGATAGGGGTGCCTGACACAGAGCTCCTAAATCCCTTGGACTTCCCAGGTGACAGGAGAGTCTTCTGTTCTAATGAGGCACCTCTTGGTGGGCTCCTGGATGGCCTTGGGAGGGGGCTGGTCATCATAAAGACCAAGCCACGATGAGAAGCCTGGACCTTTCGGCCCCACCCCCACCCTCCAAAAAGGGCAGAGGGGCTGGAGGCTGAGTTCATAACTGATCATGTCTCCATGATGAGGCCTCCATGGAAATCCTGGAACTAGGGGCTCTGGAAAGCTTTCAGTTTGGTGAACTCATCCCCGTGCTGTAAGGCCAGCCACACAACTCCCTGGGGACAAAGGCTCCTATGCTTAGGACCCTCTGGGCCTCGCCCGTGCCCCTCCTCACCCAGCTGCCTGCCTGTGCCCGCTGTGGCATCCTTTATAGTAAACTGGCAATGCAAACCAAGTGCCTTCCTGAGTTCTGTGAGCCACTACCGCAAATCATCAAACCTGAAGGGGTCGTAGGAACTCCCAATGTGTAGCCAAGATGGACAGAAGTGTGGGTACCCCAGGGACCCACTACTTGCAATTAGCATCTGAAGTGGGGGGTGACTGAGCCCCTAACGCTGGGGTCCCTGATAACCGCGGCAGGGTCAGACTGAACTGAATTACAGGATGCCTGGCTGGTGTCTGCAGAGGACTGGCGAATTGTTGGTGTGGAAAACCCACACATTTGGTGCCTGATGTGTAGTGTGGGTGGAAATATCCCCGGAGCGACAGGGTTGGCACAGCTGCAGACTCTAAGTGCCAGCTACTGTCACTCTCAAAGCCTCATTTAAGCTGTCACTCATTCAACAAGCCGCTCATGACAGCCGGCTACCTTGCAGGTGCCAAGGGCACAGTGAGGAAGTCCTGACCCTGCCCTCCAGGAGAGGACAGCCCCTCTCCCTTCACCATGAGCACAAATACCTGCCTGCTCCCAGAGCTCCCCAGTCTTCAGCAGGTCGCACAGGAGGGACCTTACAAGGTGCTCCCCATCCTGACTACAAAAGATGTGTACAGAAGGGGCCCCAGTGGACGGCTGAAAACTCAACACGGGGCCAGAGCGGGAGCACAACGAGGGGACACCGCCTGCCTCCTCCCTCGCAGTGCCTCGGACGCCTCCCTCTCCCCAGCCTCACTCCTCTGAAAAGGTGCCACCTCCTTTGGGGGGGTCACTATCTCTGTGGGGTCCTTGGCCATTCTGCTTTAATTCTGAGGCAATCACAGTTACAGAAAAGCTGGAAGAAGAGTACAAAGAACTTCCTCCTGAATCACTTAAGAGTCAGTCGCCGACTGGACTTCCCTGCACCCAGAACAGTCCATGTGTGTTTCCTAGAGAAAATGGTGTCCCCTCCAGAACCAGGGTGTCATTGAGACTGGCCATGACCGACAGCCCCTCCCACGTGGGCCCCGGTCTCAGCAGTGCCTCTCCCTGTAGGAAAGTCTGCGTCCCTATCCCGGCTGCCTGCAGCTGCCACACCTTGTCCAGCTCCTTGGGCTGGAAGGTTCCTCAGCCTCTCCTGACTCCCGAGCCAGCCCTGACACGTGGGAGGCAGCAGGCCAGCTGTGCACAGGACGTCCTCATTCCCAATTCAGCACTCTGGGGTCATTCTAATTTTCTCTTGTGGTCTTGGTAACTCCATTCTCCGCCTATAAGAAACCGGGCCTCCATGCACTTTAAGATATTTATGGAGCTGCTCAACCCCTACCTGCTGTGACCCGCCCTCAGCTCCACCTCCCCGCCTGCTCCCAGAGCTCCCCATTCTTTAGCGGGTCTCTGTTCTCCGACTGGCTGAGTTCCCGTGCCGGGCCACCTCTCCATGGGACACCCTCCCCTTGATACCCTTCCTGTAAATATATTTTACAGGACAGCTGATTTTGAGATGGTTTTAGATTTGTGGACAAGGTGCAAAGGCATCCCTGCGGACTTCCTCCCCAGTGCCCCCGCAGCCGTGCCTGTGCGGCCGCCGCCGCTGCACCGCTACTAACTGAGCTCCAGGTGGGGCTTGGGGCTCAGCAGTTTCCCAAGAGCGTCCTTCTTCTGGTCCAGGATCTAGGCCAGGATCCACCCTGCTTTTAACCATTATGTAGGGATATTTTTAAGTGTTGTCAGAAAAGAGGCACCGAGGTATTCTATACGCAGGGAAAATATCTTTCAGAAACGAAGGTGCAATAAAGATTCTAGATGGCAGAAAACGAACATAGTTTGTCACTAATACAGCTGCTGTATAAGGAATGCTCAAGAAAGTTCCTCGGGTTGAAGGAAAATGATACCAGAGGGAAGCCTGGATCTTGAGGAGGGAAGGGAGAGCAACAGAATTGGTAAATATAAAATACTATTGTTTTCCTCTTAGGAGTTCTTAAATATGTAAGACTGTAGACAAAAAAATACTGCGTAGTTGGCTTCCAACGCGCACAGAAGTAATCCACATGAAAGGCAACAGAAAGGTCAGGAGGGGATTCGAGGGACCCAGATGACTGCAAGGTCCCCACGTTTCTGTGAGGGGCACAGTATGAACTCTGAGCAGACAGTGAAGGCTAACAGGTGTGCAGACTGGAACCTCCAGAGCAATGACTAAGACACAACACAAAGACACAGATCCGAAAAGCCAACAGATAAATGAAATGCTCAGAACTAGCCCAACAATTCCAAAGAAAAAGAACAAACAAACAAAAAACAGAGGGGACAAATAGGAAACAAATAATAAAAGTGCACCTAAATCTAACCATATAAATAATTTCATTAAATGTTAATGTTGGCTGGGCGCGGTGGCTCATGCCTGTAATCCCAGCACTTTGGGAGGCTGAAGCGGGCGGACCACGAGGTCAGGAGTTTGAGACCAGCCTGACCAACGTGGTGAAACCCCGTCTCTACTAAAAATACAAAAATTAGCTGGGCATGGTGGCGTGTGCCTGTAATCCCAGCTACTCAGGAGGCTGAGGCAGGAGAATTGCTTGAACGGGGAGGCGGAGGTTGCAGTGAGCCGAGATTGCATCATTGCACTCCAGCCTGGAAGACAGAGCGAGACTCCATCTCAAAAAAAAAAAAAAAAAAAGTTAATGTTTACAAATTCTAATTAAAAGGCAGAGGTTGACAAAGTGGATTAAAAAGAGCTAGCTGGGCACAGCAGTTCCTGGCTGTAATCCCAGCACTGTAGGAGGCCAAGGCGGGAAGATCTCTTGAAGCCATGAGTTCGAGACCAGCCTCGGCAAAATAGCAAGACTCCTGTCTCTACCAAAGGAATTAGCTGGGCATGGTGGCGCACCCCTATAGTCCCAGCTACTTTGGAGGCTGAGGTGGGAGAATCACTTGAGCCCATGAATTCAAAGCTGCTATGAGCTATGAATATGCCACCGCACTCCAGCCTGAGCAATAGAATGAGAGAAAGAGACACTTTTTTTTCTTTTTTTTTTTTGAGACAGAGTCTCACTCTGTCACCCAAGCTGGAGCACAGTGACATAATCACAGCTCATTACAGCCTTGACTTCCTGTACTTAAGAGATCCTCCTGCCTCAGCCTCCTGAGTAGCTGGGGCTACAGGTAAGTGCCACTGTGCCTAATTTTTAAATTTTTTTTGCAGAGACAGGGTCTCCCAGTTACCCAGGCTGGTCTCAAGCGATCCTTCTGTCTTGGCCTCCCAAAGTGCTGAGATTACAAGCATGAGCCACCACACCTGGCCTGAGACCCTGTCTAAAAATAGAAAAATAAAAACAGTAAAGACATAAAATCTGAACAATACTATCAAAACATTTATCTAGTTGACATTTACATAACAGTACATCCAACAACTGTACAATATACACTGTTTTCAGGTACAGGTGGAAGTCATCAAACAGACCATAAGATGTGTCATAAGTCTCAATACATTGAGAAGAAATCATAGTCAGTCCTCCGTATCTGTGGGGTCAACAAACCTCACGTCAAAAATATCTGGAAAACAAACAAAAAAACCAGTAACAATACAACAATTTTTTTAATTTAAAAAATAAAGTATAACAGCTATTTACATAGCATTTACATTGTATTGTACTATAAATAATCTAGAGATTACTTGAAGTATACAGAAAGGCCCGGTACAGTGGCTCACACCTGTAATCCCAGCAGTTTGAGAGGCCAAGGCAGGAGAAAAACTTGAGGCCAGGAATTTGAGAACAGCCTGGGCAAAATAGCGAGACCTTGTGTCTACCAAAAAAAAAAAAAAAAAAAAAAAATTAGCTGATTAGCTGGACATGGTGGTGCATGCCTATAATACCAGCTACTTAGGAGGCTAAGGTGGGAGGATCACTTAAGCCCAGGAGTTGGAGGCTGCAGTGAACCATGATCACACACTGCACTCCAGCCTGTGTGACAGAGCTTCTGTGGTGGGGCTGGGGGGAAGTATATGAATACCAACCACAGGGTCTATTCTCGGAATTAAATTGGAAGTCAATAGCTAGAAAATATCTAGGAAAATCCCAAATACCTGCAAATCAAACAAGCTTCTTCTAAATAATCCATAGGCCAAAGAAGAAATCAAAAGAGAAATTACAAAATGTTTTGAACTGAATTATAATGGAAATGCAAAATACCAGAATTTTTTTTTTTTTTTTTTGAGACAGTCTCGCACTGTCGCCCAGGCTGGAGTGCAGTGGTGTGATCTCGGCCCACTGAAAGTTCTGCCTCCCGGGTTCACGCCATTCTCCTGCCTCAGCCTCCCGAGTAGCTGGGACTACAGGCGCCCGCCACCATGAAATACCAGAATTTAAGAGATGCAGCTAGAGTAGTGTTTAGAAGGAAACTTACAGCTCTAATGGCTACCTTGGTAAAGAAGAAAGATCTAAAATCAGTAACCTAAGGCTCCAAATCAAGAAACCAGAAAGAGCAAAGTAAGCGTCGAGTAGAAGGAGGAGAATAATACAGAGCAGAAATAAAGAGACAACAATAACATGTAACAGAAAAAAACAGGTTCACTGAAAAGACAAGCTAACTAACACACTTCTAGCCTGATCAGGAAAACGAGAGAGCGCAAACCTCCACTGTCAGGAATGTTCAACGGGTTATCAGGACACACCTTACAGACAGCCAGAGGGCAAGAGAATGCTGGGAACGACTTCATGCCAGCAAATTCAGTAACAAATTCAACTTACATGAAATGGACAAATTTCTTGAAAAAGGCAACTTATTAAAGAAACACAAGAATAAACAATCTAGAATAGCCCTGTATCTACTCAATAAGTTAAATTTCTTATAAAAGAACACTCCCCAAAGGAAAACTCTAGCTCGGCTTGTTTTCCTGGTAAATTCCATGTAACATTCCAGGAAGAAACAGTGCCAATCTTACACAAGCTTTTTCAGAAAATAGAGGAAGTGAGATCACTATCCAACTCATCCTATGAGGCTAGTACCAAAATCTGACACTAAGAAAAAATAAAATTATAGACCATACCCCTCATGAATATAGATGCAAATAACTCTTAACAAAATATTACCCAATTGAATCCAGCAGTTCAGAAAGGATCACACATCAAGACCTAGTAGGGGTAATCTCAGAACACAAGGCCACATCAAGCAGTCAAAACTCAGCCCAGGCACTTCACTATATCAACAGGTGGTACCACCGTCTCAACACCCACTCATGAGGAGGAAAACAAAACATCTCAGCAAACTGGGAACAGACGGGAACATCTTCGCCCTGATAAGGGCACTACGTAGGGCCGGCCGACAGCTAATCACATTTAATGAAGAAATACTGAATGGTTACCTCCCAAGATGGAGAAAAAGGGCCTCCACACATACCACTGCTATGCAACAATGTCCTTTCACACACTGAAATAAAGGGGGAAAAAAGGAAGAAGTAAAACTGTCCCTGTTTACAGAAGAGAGGACAGAGTTCCACAGAGAATCCCAGGGAAGGCTGGGCACGGTGGCTCATGCCTGTAATCCCAGCACTTTGGGAGGCCGAGGTGGGCGGATCATTTGAGATCAGGAGTTCAAGACCAGCGTGGCCAACATGGTGAAACCCCATCTCTACTAAAAATATAAAAATTAGCCAGGCGTGGTGGCACGTGCCTGTAGTCCCGGCTACTCGGGAGGCTGAGGCAGGAGAATCGCTTGAACCTGGGAGGCAGACGCTGCCGTGAGCCGAGATCACGTTACCGCACTCCAGCCTGGGTGACAGAGCAAGACTCCATCTCAAAAAAAAAAAAAAAAAACAAAAAAAAAAGTCCCAGGGAAGGGAACTGAGCAAGATGGCATGTTATCAGGCTAATATAAAAAAATCAGTTGTATTCTTAAATACCAGCCGCAAACAACTGTAAATTAAAATTAAGAAAAAACCCCATTTATGGTAGTGCCAAATACAAAAAGTACCTGAAAATAATTTCACAGTAAACCTTCAAGACCTCTACCTCACTACTTGCAAAATACTGTTCTAAGTATTTTTCAGGGATTAACTCATTCAGTCCTCATAAAACTCTGTGAAGTAAGTCCTTCATCATCCTCATTTTAAAGTTGCGGAAACTGGGCAGACAGGTGAAGAGACTTAACCCAGAGCTATCAGATGGGAAGGCTCAGGGGTGGTGCATAAAAACAGGTTGGGGAAAAACAACTCGGGCTCATCAACACAAGCATAGCCACGGCTCAGCCTGCTGGAACGTTACACCATCCAGCCCGGATATTCTGGAAACCAGGCTTCCTGATGCAGGTGACATGGAACCTGCAGATCAACCGCAGAGAAGGTTGCAAAGCCAACCAGAGACCTGAACTCGGAGTCTTGCCTAATTTGCTTCCTCCTTTTTGCCCTTTCAATTTCTCTTTGGAGGCCCGCTGAGTGCTGTGCTCTCTCCCCTGCCGGATGAACAAATCCCACTGTTTTCACGCTGCTCTTTGGTGTCTTTATTTTCCTTCCAACAAGGCTGTCCTTGACCTGTCCAGCACAGTCCCCACTGGCCAAATGTGGCCATTTGGCTAAAATTAACTGAAATGTAAAAACTCAGTCCCTGAGGTAACATCTAAGTGCACACAGCCACATGTCACGAGTGGGTACATATGGGACAGCACATATTAGAACACTGCCCTCATCACAGAAAGGTTTTTTTTTGAGACAAGAGTCTCACTCTGTCTCACTCCCAGGCTGGAGTGCAATAGCATGATCTCACCTCACTGCAACCTTCGCCTCCTGGGTTCAAGCAATTCTTGTGCTTCAGCGTTCCAAGAAGCTGGGATTACAGGCACCCATCACCACGCTCAGCTAATTTGTGTACATACATATACATGTATATATATGTATGTGTATATATTTTATTTTTTATTTTTTATTTTTATTTTTTTTGGAGACAGTCTCGCTCTGTCGCCCAGGCTGGAGTGCAGTGGCATGATCTCAGCTCACTGCAACCTCTGCCTCCCGGGTTCAAGGGATTCTCCTGCCTCAACCTCCCGAGTAGCTGGGATTACAGCTGCATGCCACCACGCCCAGCTAATTTTTGTATTTTTAGTAGAGACAGGGTTTCACCATGTTGGCCAGGCTGGTCTTGAACTCCTGATCTCGTGATCCGCCCACCTCAGCCTCCCAAATTGCTGGGATTACAAGCATCAGCCACCACGCCCTGGCCATTTTTTTTCTTTTTTATTTGAGGCAGAGTTTCACTCTTGTAGCCCAGGTTGGAGAGCAATGGTGGGATCTTGGCTCACTGTAACCTCCGCCTCATGGGTTCAAGTGATCCACTCGCCTCAGCCTCCCGAGTACCTGGGATTACATGCACCCACCACCACACCCAGCTCATTTTTGTATTTTTAATAGAGACGGGGTTTCACCGTGTTGGCCAGGCTGGTCTTGAACTCCCGACTTCAGGAAATCCACCTGCCTCGGCCCCCCAAAGTGCTGGGATTACAGGCGCGAGCCACCACACCCAACCAATATATCCACTTTTAAATGTATTCCTAACGATAATACCCTGCGAGGGGTAATACTGCATGCCGAGCTATCTTCCATTTGCTTTTCCAGACCAGCTTTCCACCCTGCCCTGTGCTGTGTGTCAGGAGCCTGAGCTTGCCCCATAGGAAAACCTACTGGGACCTGGCCCTCTACCAGAGACTGGAGGCAGGAGCAGGAGGCCGGGACATGGACCTCCCTGCCCACTCAGACTGAGGCTCACACCTCCAGTCCAAGAAGCCCTCCCCAGTGACTCTTCTCCCTGTCCCGATCACTGCTGCCTTCCCTGATCCTTTGGAGTCCAGGAGTAGAAACTCCACTGCCACCAGTTCCAGGCTAAAGGACCAACTGTCATTAACCTGCACTCTGCCTTTGCAAACGGTCCCTTTATAAACCCTCCTCAAATCCTCCTGTGAGCATGAAACCTGATTTTTTTTTTTTGGGTATGTTTTTGAGACAGAGTCTCGCTCTGTTGCCTAGGCTGGAGCAGAGTGGTGCGGTCTCGGCTCACTGCAACCTCCACCTCCCAGGTTCAAGCGATTCTCCTGCCTCAGCCTCCCCAGTAGCTGGGATTACAGGCGCCTGCCACCACGCCCGGCTACTTTTTTGTATTTTTAGTAGAGATGGGGTTTCACCATGTTGGCCAGGCTGGTCTTTAACTCCTGACCTCGTGATCTGCCCGCCTTGGCCTCCCAAAGTTCTGGGATTACAGGCGTGAGCCACCGCGCCCAGCGGAAACCTGATTCTTGACTTTACATTTTTTATGCCCATCTAAAGCAGTGGAGGCTGAGACTCACAGAGGTTCAGTCACTTGCCCAAAGTCACATAGTATCCTCTGGCCTCCCTGGCATGCTGCTGACACCTGCATTTTACGGCAGGAATCTTCTCACTGAGGTTCGCCTACACAGACTTCCCAAGGGACTAAGGCCAGGATAATTTCAAAGGAATCCATTTTCTGCCCAAGTTTCGCTACGTTCTCTCTGCTAAAACAGAACTGCCTGAGGACGAACCTGCGTTTAAAACAATTTGAATTCTCCTTTCCCGTCCCCCTTTTATAATGGGTCCTCCCCTTTACAAAAGAAAGGTATTTCTCTAGTGACACTGCCCAACAACCCCTCTAATTCCCACCTACAGGTCTGTGTGAACGCCGTTCCTCGGTATCCACAGCTACGAGAACGTAAATGGGAATAGAACGGGTAACCCGCTCTCACTGGGCAGAAGCCAGCCACGGACAGTGAATTATCTGGAAATGCGTCTCCCTGAGGCGCGTTTACAATACAAAACTTTATTGTTGTTTTATCATCCAAATGTGTATATATTTATGTTGTTTTGTGCAACTGTATACTGCCAATAATCACTTTAAAATGTTTAATACTTAGAGCGCTGGATCAAGGCAAATTCCTAACAACTTGACTCGGAACTCACACACGGCACCCATCCCGTGACAGAGCACCACCGGGGTGGCTGACAAGACTTCTGACCCCAAAACGCGGTTCTGCGGAGAGAGTGGGGCAGGACCGGGGAGCAAGGCGCCGCTCCCCACCGCCCGAGCGCTCGCTACTCCAGGGCCGCAGCGCTCGGTCCCGCCGGGGTTCGCAGCCCGGCAGCCCTCCAGGCCTCTCAGCTCCTAGGCCGGGGCCTCTCCCGCTCCCAGCGCCCCGGTACCCCGCGGCCCAAGCCGAGGCCCCTCCTTGCGCCCGGGCCGCGACCACCCCCCAGGCCCACGCTCCCCGCTCCCCGCTCCCGCACTCACCGGCTCGGGAAAGCACGTCACTTCCGGAGCGTCGCAAGCGGCCGACCACTTCCGGGGCCTTTTGGCTCCGGAAGCCCAAGGCTTGCCCAGTGCGCAGGTGCAGAAAACACGCCGACGGACCGAGAGGCGACCTTGTCCCTGGTAGCGGAAGCAGGAGCAACGGCAGGAGGGATGCGGAGCGCTCAGCTGCAGCCGCGCTTCTCGCCGGCGCCCTCGCTGCCCGAGCACAAGGACAGCCGCCCCGCCCGTTCCACCCGGTGCCCAAGGTCCCCCAGCTTCTCTGACCCCTCCGGCGTTTGCGGAACCTCCCGGGTCTGACGAGGACACCGCCGTTGCCCGAGGAGGCTACGGGGCAACGCAGAGCAGGCAGTGGGGACCGCAGGGCAGCCCCGGGGCGCCGTCCCCACCGCCCTTACCCTGGCTTCGCCTTGCCGCCGCGGGGAATCCGGTGCGGACGCACGCGAACTCTGCCCGGGAGCCGAGGTGACGATCTACCTGGTCTCGGTAATAAGTATTTGCAAAACACATCACACCAAAATCCCGTTAACTTCATGAAAACTCACTTTATAGGATGATTTTTGAAGAACCAGTTTATTAAGAGATTACACCAAAAGCATAAACAATTTATACGTCAAACTCCGACTGAAAAAAAAATAACCGATAAGGATGTTTTTTAAATGTACTGTACTCACAAATAACAAGACAAATTTGACCTGTTCAATAAATAGAAATGAAGTGGCTAAAAATGTTTAAATGGAAATGGAAAACAGTCGTCTTCTTTGTACAGTTTTGAAGGGGTGCCCCCTATTCACGCCTACACGTAGAAAAACCCTGACAAAATCAGAGGTTCACTTAACACTCCAACCATATGAGCGTATTAAGGTTTCTTTTCAGATCTTAGGAGATCTTGTCCACCTTAATCCCATTCACAGATCTTAGGAGATCTTGTCCACCTTAATCCCATCATAAAGACTGTTGGCATGAGTTCTGATGTACTGTTTTAATATGCTGAGTACTGTTGATTCAACAACAAACCTTAATGGGTGATGAGCTTTTGCATACCAATATGAATTTGTCAGCACTTCTGAAAACTGGCCATCATTTTTCAAATTCACAATTTGCTGGATGTCAGGGAACAATAGGAAGAAGAATGAGCGTCAATTTTCATGTCTTCCTTTGCTTCTTCACTGGCCTTCCATAGAAGTAGTCAGAAAAAAACAAAGCACCATCAACCACACTTCACAAACAATTCATGTTGGCCTAAGCTTTGCTCAACATTCATATGACAGAAGATAGAATAATGAAAAGGAACTGCTGGCATCACTTTCCCCATAATATTACATAAAAATGGACAGCACATTAAATAAACATTCTGTTATTAATCATTAAATATATTAACACCAAAAATCATGTATAAATTAGGAAATAAATGTACAAACTATTTTGCAAAGTGCTTTTTAAAATATATACACAACATTCAAGATATTCTTAATGTAAGACATTTCAGATTGAAGTTTTGGGGTAAGTGTCCTTTTCTTTCAGAAAGTATTATTAATACAGCACTTAAAAAAACACACAAACACACAAAAAAGGCATATTCCCAGATTGGCAAGGAATAAAAATAAACTATCTTCACAGTTATCTAAAATGTTTAACATTTTCAGTGGGAAATTTTAGTCCCCGATTGAGTTTGCAAATTAGGTCTATGAAAATTGACAGGAAAAGAACACAATCAAGGGAGATGACTCCCTAACTGAAATTGCTAACGCGTTTGTCAATTAGCAATTAAGAACTCTCATTTCGGTGATCGAATATGAACACATACGTTTATTTTTGAGCCCTTACCAGTGTTAAGGGTTTTAGAAACCCTTAGTGCCTACAAAATAAACACTTCTCTCCCCATTTGTGCGTGACATCCGTCTCCTAGGAGAGGGGAGAATGTCCTAGAACAGGACTGGTATTCAACACAGGCAAGTCCTTTAATCTGTGCCTCAGTTCTTCATCTCTAAAATGGGAACTGTTACCTGCCTCCAGATTTCCTCATAGGGGCTGTCAGAATTAATTCAAGCAAAACACATAAGTGACTTATAAATTCTAAAGCACCCGACTCTGGATAAAGAATTAATTTTAACTTATTTATTTATTTATTTATTTATTTTTTTGAGACGGAATTTCACTCTTGTTGCCTAGGCTCGGGTGCAATGGTGCGATCTTGCCCCACCACAACCTCTGTCTCCTGGGTTCAAGCCATTCTCCTGCCTCAGGTTCCCGAGTAGCTGGGATTACAGGTATGCACCACCATACCTGGCTAATTTTGTATTTTTAGTAGGGACGGGGTTTCTCCATGTTGGTCAGGCTGGTCTCGAACTCCCGACCTCAGGTGATCCGCCCGCTTCGGCCTCCCAAAGTGCTGGGATTACAGGCGTGAACCACCACGCCAAGAATTACTTTTAACTTTTAAAACAAAACATCAATTAAAGAGAAATATCGTTATTACTAGGCCTCATATATCAAGCATTGGATATCTCTTGTATTTTCTTGGTAGTTCTTGGAAATCTGTCAGCATTTATCCAAAGATTTTTTTAAAAGGATTCATAGCAAATATGAATATTATTATTCCAACTAAAGGTTGATCAAATGTCCATGCTACTTGTTAATTGAAATGTGGGATTTTTTTCCTTTGACCATACTTTTGCAAGTGTGCTGTCTTTAATGTTCACACAGAATTTAAATGGGATTTAATGTCTTAGAAATGTAAAAATTACTCAAGTTTCTCTATATAAAACCTTTACTTTTCATTAGAAAGAACACAGTAATGTAACTGGATGTGACTTTCAGACATCCCTAAAAGAAAAGAAATGCTTGCTTGGAGATCTGAGCAAGTAGGTCCTGGAAGAAATAATATAAAATAAACAACTTGCCAACTGTTGGGAAGATTTGGTTTGAATATTTAAAATTACCTATCAACTTAGAATTGGGCTTATTAAATATTCCAATCCCAGAAATGACCATCAGCTAAACAAGGGTCAAAGCCAGAGTAATCTCTGAGGGCCCACTTCCCAGAGAGCTGCCCCTTTCCTTCAGCAATACCGCTGGCCCTGGGTTAGGCAATTTGTCCACGGCCCTTAGGGATTCATATTTATTTGGAATACAGTCACTGATCCCTGTTTACTTTTTAATACAAAAACATGTACCTTTTTGGATAAACGGAATTGGCGAGAGACAGGCAATGGGCAAGCTCTGGAAGTGGCCATCTGTGGCCTCTCCCGTGGGAGATGTTTATCCTTTTCGTTACGTAACAGAAACTGACCCAACGCACAGAAGATGCCCTCCCACCCACCCCATCGAGGCACAGGAAGAGGCTGCCCTCCAGGGGCTGCATGTGTGTCCAGCTGTGGCGTAGCCAGTTAAAGAAAAGTTGACAACCCACACTACAACACTGCATGAGGAGGAAAATGAGACCTAACGTCTGTTGACGGGAACAGGTGGACTGTGGTGTCCTCGAGATCTGTCCTGTCCCTGGGCACAGAATGCTCTGATGACAAAATGACCCCCAAAGCTAGCTAGAAACATTGAGAAGGGGGCGGGGGACAAAAAAAGGATACCTCTCCGTGTACCGACATACAATACTATACACAGCACCAAAAGTATCACACCACCAAGCGCTGTCTCACGCCAGTGGTGTGCGCTCGGCGTCATACCCAGCATGAAATGAGCACGCTTCACATGCAGACGTGGCACTGGGCGAACAGGTAACCAACATGTCACAATTCACCAGAGCTGCCGCCAGCCCATCCGGCCCCTGGATGAACACGCTACCACAAGGGCTCCAGCCAGAATGTGTGTCCCTTACTGCTGGTAATTTCCATACTGGCCCTAAAAGAGATCAAGACACAGATTACACCCCTATAGTAATGAGTGAAAGGAAGACAGACGTCCACCCCAGCCCGGACAGGGGGTAGGAGGGACAACAGCAAGCAAACAACCTCTGCTCACATCTCTGCGGGGCAGCGAACGACTTTCCAGAAGCCACTGGCCAAGCCTGGGGCTAACAACGTAGACAGGGCCAAAGGTTCATTTGTTCAGTCACACACTGGCATCGCTGCGGCCGGGCCTGTGCCAGGCCTGGCATCAGAGCCTTATGCTGGGCCTGCTATGCAGGAAGGCTCTCCTCCAAGCTGGCCCCACTGGGAGCCAATGCAAACACCATCTGCCCCCGAGCCTGCTACAGTAAGAAAATGGGAGCGGGGACGACCAGGGTGATGGGTTTCAATCTATAAAAAAAAATCTAAAGACCCAGGCTGGGCAACATGGCCAGACTCCATCTCTACAAAAATCCAAATATTAGCTGGGTGTGGTGGCGTGTGCCAATAGTCCCAGATACTTGGAGGGTGAGGTGGGAGGATCGCTTGAGCCCAGGAGGTCAAGGCTGCAGTGAGCCGTGATTGCACCACTGCACTCTAGTCTGGGTGAGACCCTGTTTCAAAAACAAATCTGAATTTGGGAGGCCGAGGCAGGAGGACTGCTTGAGCCCAGGAGTTTGAGACCAGCCTGGGCAGTACAGCAAGACCCCATCTCTACAAAAAAAGAGAAAAAATTAGCCTCGGCCAGGCACAGTGGCTCACGCCTGCAATCCCAGCACTTTGGGAGGCCGAGGTGGGTGGATCATTTGAGGTCAGGAGTTCAAGACCAGCCTGGCCAACATGGTGAAACCCCATCTCTACTAAAAATACAAAAAAAAAAATTAGCCAGGTGGTAGTGGCACGTGCCTGTAATCCCAGCTACTTGGGAGGCTGAGGCAGGAGAATCACTGGGCCTGAGAGGTGGAGGTTGCAGTGAACCGAGATCATGCCACTGTATTCCAGTGTGGGTGACAGAGTGAGACCTTGTCTCAAAAAAAAAAAAAAAAAAAAAAAGAATAAGCCACATGTTGTGGCGCATGCCCCGGAGGTTGAGGCTGCGGTGAGCCATGTTCCTGCCAATGCACTCCAGCCTGGGCGACAGAGTGAGACCCTGTCTTAAAAAAAAAAAAAAAAAAAAAGGCCAGGCACAGTGGCTCATGCCTGTAGGATTACAGTCCCAGCACTTTGGAAGGATCACCTGAGGTCAGGAGCTCGAGACCACCCTGGCCAACATGGCGAAACCCTGTCTCTACTAAAAATACAAAAATTAGCCAGGTGTGATAGTACGTGCTTGTAATCCCAGCTACTCCGGATGCTGAGGCAGGAGAATTGCTAGAACCCGAGAGGCAGAGGCTGCAGTGAGCGAGATCGTGCCACTGCACTCCAGCCTGGGCAACAGAGCAAGACTCCATCTCAAAAACAACAACAAAAAACAACATGAAGAAGAGAAACTAGAGAGCCTGTGCCCCACAAGGCCACAAGGCAGAATTCCTTGGGCAGCAAAACGGAGCATCGGACCTGTGGTGAAAGCCACTCGGGAGACTGCCACAGGGGAAGACAACGGATCATCATCTGCATGCCTGTTCTCCATGTGTCCCCAGCTAGTTAATGATCAGATTTCCCGAATGCCCCCAGCGAGGAAGTGGGGGAGGGAGGAAAGCTGTTCCAGCCTGACCGAACACGTCACATTCTCATTCCCAGAGCTGCCTGTGATGATTCTAGTTAGTGGGAGTCTGTTCTGATGTCTTTCTGCTCCTGCACCATTGGGTAAGACGGAAAGCCTCAAATCCAGAGCTGCTCAGCTGAAGGCATGGCAGCCCTGGAGCCCTATAAAACCACTGGCAGCCCCAATGCCTCAGCACCTTTTTTTTTTTTTTGAGACAGAGTTTCGCTCTTGTTGCCCATGCTGGAATACAATGGCGCGATCTCAGCTCACTGCAACCTCCGTCTCTATCTGCTCCCGCCCGCCTCTGCTTTCCAAAGTGCTATAGGCGTGAGCCACAGCGCCTGGCCGCCTCAGCACATGTTTAAGTGTAGCCCAGTGGTTCTCAAACGGAGACAGTTTTGCCCCTGGGGCATCTGACAATGTCTGGAGTCATTTTAAATTGTCAGACTGGGCAATGGGGGTGCTACTGGCATCGTGGTGGAGGCCAGGGGTGCTGCAAACATAACACAGTGTGCACAATGGCCCCTAGGAGACGCCCAGCGCCGGCAGTGCTGTGCCAAAGCGCCACGGCCAGCTACACTGGATGCTGACTAAAGGCTATCTTAATATTTTGCAGTTAGATGGACACATTTCCCCCCAGATGTGAAATTCTATTCTCTATCTTCCCCATTGCTCTGTGTCTTTTTCTTTTTTTTGAGATGGAGTCTCTCTGTCGCCCAGGCTGGGGTGCAGTGGCGTGATCTCAACTCACCTCTGCCTTCCCGGTTCAAGCGATTCTCCCACCTCAGCTTCCCCAATAGCTGGGCTTACAGGCACCCGGCTAATTTTTGTATTTTTAGCAGAGATGGGGTTTCACCATGTTGGCCAGGCTGCTCTCCAACTCCTGACTGCAGGTGATCTACCCGCCTCAGCCTCCCAAAGTGCTGGAATTACAGGTGTAAGCCCCCACGCCTGGCCTTTCTTTTTCCTTTTTTTAAGACAAAGTCTCGCTCTCTGTAGCCCAGGCTGGAGTGTAATGGTGCAATCACGACTCACTACAGCCTCGACCTCCTGGGCTCAAGGGATCCTCGTGCCTCAGCCTTCCAAGTAGCTGGGATTACAGGCATGCACCACCATGCCTGACTACTTTATTTTTTGTAGAGACAGGTCTTGCTATGTTACCCTGGCTGGTCTCAAACTCCTGGGCTCTAGTGATCCTCCTGCCTTGGCCTCCCAAAGTGCTGGGATTACAGGCATGGGCCACCACGACCGGTCACGGTCTTTTCATAGGTAGGTATAAAGTTATATGTCCTCTGGTTCAGTCTTATAATTAAGTTAGGACATTCACTTATTTCACAAAATCCAAATAAGTTATTTTCAGGACTGTATGAAGGAGGTATGGCGTCTCATCAGAATCATTCACATATAATTCTAATTTAACATCAGGATGCAGACTGCTGTCCTTCCAGACTCCAGCATGACACTCCTGTGCAAACCTGGAGGGCCAAGCTGGGGCCTGCTCCCCGCTGACCAGCGCCCAGCACACACTGGGGAGAGGCGGCCCCTGCGTCGGCTACAGTGGCCTCACAGTGTCCTGAGAGCACACCAGAGCCCTCCTGACATCTGTGTAAATGCCTCATCAGCGTGCCCTTCCCAGGCATGGCCGAGTACGGTGCCCTGGCAGGGAGACTGTGTTACATGGTCTTTAGGCTTCTCTACATCTACCTGGTGACCCTTTGCCCTCTTGAAGAAGGAGGACGAGAAGCATTTAAAAAACAGTCTTTGGCCTCTTACCTACCCAATTCCCTGAGAAAAACAAACTTGAGCGATGTAGTGCTTTGAAATTTCACTGGCAGTGTAAAGTGTCCCTAACACCTCCAGCCACCTCAGAGTCACCAACACAGAGCCACTTCCTGCTAAGGACTCTCTCAAAGGAGGCTCCAAAAAATGTCCCAGACCATTCTCCTTCATATGCCCTGTGCTCCAGCCACCGAGCCTCCTTCAGGCTGCCTTCACTGGGACAAACCTCCTGGTGCCTCAGGACCTTGGCACGCCCTCTTCCCTTGCCTGGCTCATTCTCCTCTAGGAGGCCCTCGCTCCTGCAGTGCTCCCACCACACAGACCCTGTCCTCCTCCAGGGGCCCCATCCCACTCAGAGGGAAAGCGATGTCTGCTTTATGGAGGCCCCTACGCCCACCTGTCCCTGTCACCTCCCGCCACACCGGCCTCCTCACTGTCCCGAGAGCTCCCGCTCTTCCATCTTCCAAGCTGCTCTTTCCTCAGCTCCTTCAAAGCCCTGCTCACTGTTCCTGGGCAGAAAGGGCTTCCCCCTCCCTAGGCTGAGCCTGGGGCTGCCAGCCACTCCCCGCTGTGTCTTCGTCCTGGAATTGCCCACACGGGCCAAATGCGGTCGCCTGCGCCCCCATCTGGAAGGCGGGCTCCATTTGGGGCCCCCCGCTCTGTCCTCAGCACAGTCTGGCCCTGTGGGACCACCTTATGTCTCTGTAGCGAGACATAAGCTCTAAAAGTGCAGGGTTCGTGTCGCGGCCACACACCAAGCACTCAGCAGAGACCGGACGCGTACCCAGTACGTGACAAACACTGGCAGAGTGAATGAATGTGAGAACCAGGCGTGCAGATCTAACGGTGAGCTTAGGGTATGAAAAGCCAGCTGGATGACTGAGGTGAGCGTATACACAGAGGCAATTCTGCAAAACCTTACAGGCTCAGAGACTTAACGTTCTGGAAGGAACCCTGGAAGCCAGTTAGTTCCAGCTCATTATTCCTCATGGCCATAAGAGAAATCTTCATTATGTCTCGACAGGCGCGGCGGATGGGCACATCTGGAAACATCCAGAAAGCTTGCCTGTTCATAGCCGTAGGGCCGCTGCTGCTGGGCAGACGGCGCTGTCTGCGGTGCTCGGTAGCTTCCGTACTGCTGGCCTTGGCCTTGCTGGTAGCCGGGGTACTGTGACGGGGCTCCCTGGGCAGACCCTGAGAAGACACCAGGAACCGTGAGGCCGGCCAAAACGGACACCTCTTTCTTTTTTTTTCTTAACTTAAAAATTTTTTTTAAAACTTCCTCTTCTCCTTGAAAAATTCCCGTCTCAATGCATCAGCCTTTTGTCAATCTCCAGAACACCTGGCACCTGCACGTGGCTCCACGTTAACTCTGTACAGCGAGAGCACCACGTAACCGACTCACCAGCCCCTCCAGTCCTGTGAGGTCCCAGGACTGTGCCCCAGGCCCCCCACCAGCATGGCGAGGGCTGATGGGCTCTCTCCATCACCCCAGAACTGCTGCTACCTGAAGGCAGGACAGCCCTCCAGAACCCGCTGGCCCCAGTCACACTGGCTGCTGTAACTTGTCACTGAACTACCACGGGAGCTGCTGAAAACCTGCAGGCAGGTGAGACAGAGACATCGTCTCTAGGAAGGCTAAGTCAAAGGCTCCGGCAAGAACTGATAGAGGCCAATTTTTTTTTTTTTTTTTAGGCAGGGTGTCACTCTGTCACCCAAGCCAGGCTGGAGTGCAGTGGCGTGATCTTGGCTCACCGCAACCTCCACCTCCCAGGCTCAAGTGATTCTCCTGCCTCAGCCTCCCAAGTAGCTGGGACCACAGGAGTGTGCCACCATGCCTGGCTAATTTTTGTATTTTTTGTAGAGATGGTCTCACTATGTCATCCAGGCTGGTCTCGAACTCCTGGGCTCAAGCAATCCTCCTGCCTCAGCCTCCCAAAGTGCTGGGATTATAGACATGAGCCACCACACTGAGCCTCAAGTAATTTATTTTTTTATTTTTTGAGGAGTCGTCTCACTCTATCGCCTAGGCTGAAGTGTAGTGGTGTGATCTCGGCTCACTGCGACCTCTACCTCCTGGTTCAAGCAATTCTCCTGTCTCATCTCCTGAGTAGCTGGGACTATAGGCCCCCACCACCATGCCCAGCTAATTTTTGTATTTTTAGTAGAGACGAGGTTTCACCATATTGGTCAGGCTGGTCTTGAACCCCTGACCTCAGGTCATCCGCCCACCTCAGCCTCCCAAAGTGCTGGGATTATAGGCGTGAGCCACCACGCCTGGCCTCAAGTAATTTTTATACTATTTAATTAGTAATGGCTGTAAAGGGCTGAATAAGCACAGCAGAATCAGGCACGTGCCTCATAAGAAACCACGTGTGTGGAGCTCATCCTGAGAACTGAGATCTTGCTCCAACAAAAGACCTGGGGCAGCCCACACCTTATTTTTCAGAAGTTTCCTGGGTGATTGTAAGCTGCAGTGAAGGCTGAGACCCACAGGCTTTGACCTGCTCTGTCAAAGAGGTTGAAGCTGGGCCTGAGGCGTGCAGGTGATGGATACACGGGACACTGGCTCCCGTCACAGGCCACGTGGGCAATGAATTTATGTTTAAGTTAAAATAAGATGTTTCAGGTCTACGTGCATGGATGTTTCCAACTTTTCTGGAAACCTAAAGGTATTCAAAATAAGTTTATTACACATCTGCCTGAGCACCAGGGTCACCGGGCACGTACCCACATGTGGCAGGGGCAGGGGTGGGCGCTGGGGGGCCCCGAGGAGCGTGCTCGCCTCTTACCGTAGCCCTGCTGCTGCCCAGGGTAGCTCTGCTGGCTGGGGTACTGAGCACGTACCCATGTGTGGCAGGGGCAGGGGTGGGCGCTGGGGGGCCCCGAGGACCGTGCTCGCCTCTTACCGTAGCCCTGCTGCTGCCCGGGGTAGCTCTGCTGGCTGGGGTACTGCTGCTGGGAGTACGTCTGCTGCTGCGCGGCACCCTGCTGGTACCCGGCCTGCTGCTGGCTGTACTGGGAGTTTCCTGGAGGGAGGAGGAGACACAGAAATGACTTTCCCCACCTGGGCTAAGGGGGCTCATTCTGTGGCCCACTCACGACACGGTAACTTTGGAATCCCAAAACCAAATCCATTGCTTCGGCATGTTTATTTTTTCACAACCATTCAAATACTATACTACACCTTTATCTTATAGAAATACAAATGGAAAGCTAAGAAACGAAATGGTTAATATGACAACTAAGACAGAGATGAACGCCAGCGTCGCGGGTCAAATGTGCTCCCCAGAGAGATGCTGATGTCCTAACTCCAAGTACCTGTGAATGGAACCTTATTTGGACATAGGGTCTTTGCAGATATAATTTTTTTTTTTTTTTTCAGAGACAGGGCCTCGCTCTGGGACCCAGGCTGGAGTGCAGTGGTGCAATGAGGGCACACTGCAGCCTCCATCTCCCTGGCTCAAGTGTTCCTCTCACTTCAGCCTCCCAAGTAGCTAGGACTACAGTGTGTGCCAGCGTGCCCAGATAATTTTTTTTTTTTTTTGAGATGGAGTTTCGCTCTGTTGCCCAGGCTGGAGTGCAGTGGCGAGATCTCAGCTCAGTGCAAGCTCCGCCCCACCCGGGTTCACGCCATTCTCCTGCCTCAGCCTCCCGAGTAGCTGGGACTACAGGTGCCCGCCACAACGCCAGGCTAATTTTTTGTATTTTTAGTAGAGATGAAGTTTCACCATGTTAGCCAGGATGGTCTCGATCTCCTGACCTTGTGATCCGTTCACCTTGGCCTCCTAAAGTGCTAGGATTACAGGCGTGAGCCACGGTGCCCGACCATGCCCAGGTAATTTTAAATCTTTTGTAGAGACAGGGTCTCTCTATGTTGCCCAGGCTGGTCTCGAACTCTTGGCCTCAAGCAATCCTGCTGCCCCTGCCTTCCAAAGTGCTGGGATTACAGGCGTAAGCCACCATGCTCTGCGCAAAGAATCCATTTTCTACTTTACTTTTCTGGTTGGAAATAACTTTCCTTTTTTAGAAGCTGTAAAATTTAAGTATTTTAAAACTGCAATCTAGTATTTTTTTTAAATAACAGCTTTATTGAGATAATGCACACTGGAATGGCTTAAAAACCTATCAGGGTAATTCAATCTGTAGTTAGGTGGGATGACAAAACTAACACACGCTCTTATTCCAGGCTGAACTCCTCCTAAGGCGAGAGCTTCGGAAAAACTTACTTGAGCCTTTCCAGTTATTCTCTATCCAGGAAGTATCTTGAGTCTTGAACTTCCACGCCTTCCTCTAAATCCAGGGCCGGTTCCAGCAACAGCTGGCAAACGAGCTGTCACCGTCACGGGAGAAGACTTAAGGTCACTATCCTTTCTCCTGCCCCCATGAAAGCCATCTGAGACATGGGGGAGTGGGTTTTCAAGGGTGTCAGGCTTTTGGGGGTCAGCCTGCATATTCTCATGTTTTATAGCCCACTTTATTCTTTACATAATAAAGGAGCCAGTTTGTGGCCGGGTGCGGTGGCTCACGCCTGTAATCCCAGCACTTTGGGAGGCCGAGGCGGGTGGATCACAAGGTCAGGAGATCGAGATCATCCTGGCTAACATGGTGAAACCCCGTCTCTACTAAAAATACAAAAAATTTAGCCCGGCATGGTGGCGGGAGCCTGTAGTCCCAGCTACTCGGGAGGCTGAGGCAGGAGAATGGTGTGAACCCAGGAGGAGGAGGTTGCAGTGAGCCGAGATCGCATCACTGCACTCCAGCCTGGGCGATAGAGTGAGACTCCATCTCAAAAAAACATAAACAAAAAAAAAAAATAAAGGAGCCAGTTTGTAGGAAACGGGCCAGCTTTGCCCTGGCACCCAGCAGGTATGCAACAACTGTGAGAGTGCCAGCTCAGAACACCCAGCCCCAGCACACAGGGACCAGGCCTGGCTCTCACACCCCAGTGGGTGCTCAGGCGATCTAGTGGGAACTGGCAGCAGCCGCCCTATCCCCAAAGAAAGGGGGCTGCTGAGATAACTGCAGGGAAAGGGGGCACGACATCTGTGGAAAAGGCCTTTGCCGTTTTCAGATGTGTTGCATGAAATCTGCAGGGCTCGGGGGAGCCCAGGCCGTGCTCTCAACAGGACAGCAACGGGGCGGGCAGATGTGGGGCCTTCCTCCACAACCAGCAAGTACTCCAGGGTTCTTTCTTTTCTTTTCGAGATGGAGTCTCGCTCTGTCACCCAGGCTGGAGTGCAGTGGCACAATCTCGGCTCACTGCAAGCTCTGCCTCCGGGGTTCACGCCATTCTCCTGCCTCGGCCTCCTGAGTAGCTGGGACAACAGGCGCCCGCCACCACGCCCAGCTAATTTTTTTCTATTTTTAGTAGAGACGGGGTTTCACCGTGTTAGCCACGATGGTCTCGATCTCCTGACCTCGTGATCCGCCTGCCCCGGCCTCCCAAAGTGCTGAGATTACAGGCGTGAGCCACCGTGCCCAGCTCTTTTCTTTCTCTAAGAATCCTCTGGCATTCTGCGGGGTGCCCGTGAGAAGGTGCCGGGCAGCATGGCGCATCTGTGTGTGAAACAAGAGGCCACGGCACACCCTCTGCTTCCTCAGAAGGAGCAAGATGTGGACACAATGAGCCACGAGGAACATGTGAACGACGCTCAAAGCCGTGTCACATAAAAACACAGTGATCCACACGAGGACGCAGCCAAGGCGGCCCCAGCACTGCCCAGGGAAGATGAGTCCCACAGGCCCCGGCCACACCACCCTGTCGTCCACTCCTGGGACACGCTGGTCACCACCTGGCGAGGGCCTGAGAAATGCACACGACACGCCAGCCGCGCTCGGGACTCCAGGAGGTGTGGACGGTGTGGACAGCCATAAAGTGAGGTCCTTTCAGTTTCTGTGACAGCCAATGATGTTCCTTTTTTTTTTTTGGAGATGGAGTCTCGCTTTGCCGCCCCAGGCTGGAGTGCAGTTGCGTGATCTTGGCTCACTGCTACCTCTGCCTCCTGGGTTCAAGTGATTCTCATACCTCAGCCTCACAAGCAGCTGGCTTTACAGACATGCGCCACCAAGCCCAGCTAGTTTTTGTATTTTTGGTCGAGATGGGGTTTCACCATGGTGGCCAGGCTAGTCTCAAACTACTGATCTCAAGTGATCCACCCGCCTCAGCCTCCCAGAGTGCTGAGATTACAGGCGTGAGCCACTCTGCCCGGCCCCAATGATGTTTAATTTAACTTCTGAAGCTGCCAATACATCTACATGATTCAAAGGTACATACAGACGGACTCATACCTTCAAGAGGTCCTGGGAAGGTGGCCGCTTCCACCCCTGCTCTGGACTGCCTGAGCCCTAACCCCATCTCCTACCCGGAAGCATTTGTGTTGGTTGTTTTGGTGTTTGTCCATTGGCTGACGGTGTGAGTGTGCGTGTGTGCAAGGGCACAGTCTCCTCTTGCCTGCATTTTCACAGAGGCACATCCCATGCGCCCAGCTCCATACTTGGCTTTGGCAGCTCATGGGCGGTCTCTCCTAGCAGCAATGGCGCCCAGATGCCAGGTCACGAGGGGCTGCGCTCTGTCCAGTATGCGTCACTGCAAACCTCACTGTGACGCGAACGCGGGACTCGCACCCTCTCCTGGCCCCTCCCCCACCGAGCACCACATCCCGATGCTCCTGCCCAGCACAAGTGACCCCGTGGCCCCCGCTGTCCCCTCCTGGCTTGGTCAGCCCCACTCTGGTCCCCTCCTATTACTGGTGCCCTGCGCATGAACACCCTCTCGTTTTATCAGATTCTGCAGGCTCCTGACTGATGCCGTCACCAGGAACAATTCCAGCACCAGCCTGTCCCACTCATCCTGCTGTGGGATGACTCAAAAGTTGGAAAATTCTTTTTATTTTTGAGACAGGGTCTTGCTCTGTTGCCAAGGCTGGAGCGCAGTGGTGTGATCATAGTTAAGTACAGCTTCGACCTCCCGGGCTCAAGCTATGCTCCTGCCTCAGCCTCCCAAGTAGCTGGGACAACAGGCGCATGCCACCACACCTGGCTAATGTTTTTTAGTAGAGAGGGGGTCTTACTATGTTG
Organism: Homo sapiens; assembly: GCF_000001405.40. Taxonomy (NCBI): domain Eukaryota; kingdom Metazoa; phylum Chordata; class Mammalia; order Primates; family Hominidae; genus Homo; species Homo sapiens. Next base: position 62,168,630 of record NC_000020.11, on the reverse strand, counting down.
CCTAGGCTGGTCTCGACCTCTCAGGCTCACGTGATCCTCTGCCCTGGCCCCCACAATGCTGGGATCACAGGTGGGAGCCACTGCACCTGGCCTGATGCTGGGATCACAGGTGGGAGCCACTGCACCCGGCCTGGAAAGTTCTTTATGGTGCCTTTGACCCATTCCTCCTAACGTCCCCCCAGCCTCTCCACTGCACCATGGGCCACAGTTGTGTTTGAAGGTGGCTATGACACATCCGCCAATCTCTTCAAAGCAAAGCATCTCCAGGCCTCTCACCCCTGCAAGACTTCACAGTACCACCTGCTGTAGGGTAAAGTGTCACCATGTATGTGCACTCCTCATGTCAGAGTCTAACAAACAGATGGAATAAAATGCTTCTAAATCAAGGAGGAAACCACACCATCTGTCTTACTGGCCTTAAGAGGTTACTAAGCTTTTCAGCAAATTTCTCATCAATGATGGAAGGCAAGAGTACCTAACCCACAACAAGCTACGGAAGTACCTATCAGCCAGGCACAATGGCGCACACCTGGAGCCCCTGCACTGTAGGAGGCTGAGGTGGCACTTGAGCCCAGGAGTTCAAAACCAGCCTGGGCAACATGGCAAGACCTTATCTCTACAAAAATTAAAAAAAAAAAAAAAAAAAAAAAAGCCAGGCCTGGTGGTGCATGCCTTTAGTCCCAGCAATTCGAGAGGCTGAAGCAGGAGGATCACTTGAGCCTGGGATTTCCAGGCTGCAGTGTGCCACGATCAGGCCACTGCACTCCAGCCTAGGTGATAGGGCAAGACCCTGTCTCTTTAAAAAAAAAAAAAAAGTAGCTACATCAGACACTAAAAGGCTGAGCAGCACATCCTGCGTTTGTTTTTGGGACAAAGTGTGGCAGCCTTGGGCAGACGCATGTGGACACCTCGCCATGGACAAGGCTGAACCCTGTGCTCCAGCTGGAAGGGACAGGGCCAGGCCCATGATGGCAGAGATCCTGCTGACTCCCAGGGCTTACGGAGGCACCACTGCAGCCAATATGCCAGAAGATAGCCTCTGGGTGCTGGCCACAGGGTGGCTTTTGTTTTGAGACAGGGTCTGGCTCGGTCACCCAGGCTGGAGTGCTGTAGTGCAATCTCAACTCACTGCAACCTCTGCCTCTGGGTTCAAGCGATTCTCCCACCTCAGCCTCCTGAGTAGCTGGGATTACAGGTACCCGCCACCACGCCCGGCATTTTTTTTTTTTTTTTCGGGAGAGAAAGGGTTTTGCCATGTTGCCCATGCTGGCCTCAAACTCCTGAGCTCGGCCGGGCGCGGTGGCTCACGCCTGTAATCCCAGCACTTTGGGAGGCTGAGGCAGGTGGATCATGAGGTCAGGGGTTCGAGACCAGACTGACCAACATGATGAAACCCCATCTCTACTGAAAATACAAAAATTAGCTGGGTGTGGTGGCGGGGCCTGTAATCCGAGCTACTCAAGAGGCTGAGGCAGGAGAATTGCTTGAACCTGGGAGGCGGAGGTGGCAGTGAGCCAAGATCATACCACTGCACTCCAGCCTCGGCGACAGAGTGAGACTCCGTCTCAAAAAAAAAAAAAAAAAAAAACAAACAAACTCCTGAGCTCAAGCAATCCTCCTCCACTGGCCTCCCAAAGTGCTGGGATTACAGGCGTAAGCCACCATGCCTGGCCATTTCTTTTTTTTATTTCTTTTTATTTTTTTTGAGACAAAGTTTCACTCTTGTTGCCCAGGCTGGAGTGCAATGGCATGATCTCAGCTCACTGCAACCTACACCTCCCGGGTTCAAGCAATTCTCCTGCCTCAGCCTCTTGAGTAGCTCAGATTACAGGCACATGCCACCACGTCCAACTAATTTTTGTATTTTTAGTAGAGACGGGGTTTCACCGTGTTGGCCAGGCTGGTCTCAAACTCCTGACCTCAGGTGATCCACCCACCTCAGCTTCCTAAAGTGCTGGGATTATAGGCGTGAGCCACAACACCTAGGCTCTTTCTTCTTTTAAACTTTCATTATGTATTCATGTACTTTTTGTTTCCCCCAGGTTTACAAAGGTGTAACTGACATTTCAACGTTGCAGGCATTCGTAGCGCACACCGTGATGTTTCTATATGTGCCTACACTTGCGTGCTTTATTTCTTCACAGCAGGCTGAGATGTGTAAGCTCAGAAGCAAAACCTTTACACATCCAATTCTTTAAGAAGTAACCCAAACAAGGAAATCTGTAGCCGTTTAGTGCCTGCCTGCTTTGTGTACCTGGTGAAGCCTCACCAACACTGTTACCTCTTGATAAATTGCAGCCCTGCAGTGGGAAGGCCTCAGCCACTGCTGCCTGCCGGTCAGCGTCAGCAGACACGAGGCCCCTCTCCCCAGGGACTGCAGGCCCGCCTTCCCTCCCGGACGAGGTTGCGCAATCCCGCAGGCGATCATCAGCTCTTCTCTGGGGGCCATCTTTATCCCGGGGTGGGACTGGAACGGGCTGTGTGTACCTCTTCCCAACTCCACATTCTGGGATGTTCTGTTGGGGTTTCAGGGCAGCCAGGGTGGGGGCACAGACACCACAGAAAGGGGCAAGTCCACCCGACACGCAGCCCCCAGCGCAGCACTGCCCAGGACCGCCATGAAGGGCGGCAAGCCCCCAGCCACAGATGTGCGTTTCCTGGCCTGCAGGTGTCTGAAGAAACGCGAGGCCACACCCAGCGCAGCCACTGCTGGCCTCCAGCTGAGGAAGCTCTGAGAGTGGCTCGCAGGCCCCACGATCCCTGGCCAGACCCAATAACAGAGTCTGTGTCCCCAACCCCAGCATGGCCGGCTGAATCCTTCCTGTCGCAGGCCCCACGCTCCCTGGCTGGACCCAATAACCAAGTCTGTGCCCCCAACCCCAGCATGGCCGGCTGAATCCTTTCCTGTCTCACGAACACACCCATAAGGCAAGCGGGGCTCCCGACACAGCCTGAATTTCCAGCTTCCAGAACACACTGTCTCTCCTCCCACGCGCTGTGCTGTGATTTAAGGGACTCACTGAAGGCAGGCACCGCGTGCTCCTAAGGGTGCAGCGTCTTAACTCTGCTGCGTGTGGCGCTTACGCTCGAGCCCAGCACGCAGCCGTGCTCCTTACCCCCCTCATAGTAGTGCTGCGTGGACTCCTCGAAGGACCGGTCGTAGCTCTGCTCCGTGTAGGATGACTGCTGGTAGGCGTAATCGCCATGGCCTGTGCGAAACGGAGACGGCGACAGTCAGCGGAGGCTGTGCACTGCACAGGTCCCGGAGGAGGCAACTGAGACCCAGGCTGGGGAGATGTTGTCTGGCCAGGGAGGCAACAAGAGCCGGCAGGACCCGTGTTCCCCAAAACCATGCCCCAACCTCCTGAGCCTCGGCCTCCCCACTGAAATGCAGACATCAATGCCTCCTTCTCGGGGCGACTGTGAAGCTACCTGGGGATTTATGCAGAGGATCAGCGCTTTCAGTGCCTGCCACACAGCCATGCTAGTGACCCGACTGCCTTCTCCCCGCCACCGCTAGCTCCTGGGAGGACGCAGGCAGGGGTGTCCAACCCTTACCGAGGCCTTCGCTGCATGTGACCATCACGTGGCCAGGGTGGCTTGCCCTGCTGCCACCTGCCCACCTGTCTGTGCACCTGCCCCTTGCTGGCTGAGGCCAGCTCCCTGCCTGGATGCCTCCCAGGGATCAATCCAGCCTTTAAGACCACTTTATTTTATTGTTATTTTTACTTTATTTAGAGACAGGATCCTGCTCTGTCACCAAGGCTGGAGTGTGGTGGTGCGATCATGGCTCAATGCAGCTTCAACCTCCTGGGCTGAAGCGATCCTCCTGCCTCAGCCTCCCAAAGTGCCGGAATGACAGGTGTGAACCGCTGTTTTCAGCCAAGACCACTTTCAGTATCCCTTCCACAAGCCCTGGGACTATGCAAAGACTGAAAGGTGACGACGGTAAAATACTCTGCAGAGATGAGAAGGTGCAGGAGGAGAGGTGCTGCAGGTGGAGCCGTCACCTTCAGGGCATTCTCTGTGAAGCTGGGAGGCGCCTTCTTGAACATTTCCACCTATCTACAGCTAGGAGCTACAATTATCCGCCTCCAACTCCCACAGCCTTTCAGGAAGTAGAGGCAAGGCCGCGTGGAGGCCAGTGCAGCGGTGTGTGCCACAGCTTCTCTCTGCAGAGGCCAGGCACCACTGCCAGCCCAGCTCACCCCATCCCCTACCTTGCTCCTGCAGGGCGTCTGGCCACTCTGCCTGTAGCCCAGGCCTGAGCTGGAATGACTGAGGACACACTGCAGTGGCCACACCCTCCTTGCCCTCCTTGCCCTCCTTGCCCCTGCAGCTGCTCTGCGTTCCTGGGCGGGGTCAGGCCGCCGCCAGTGCTCACCGTCGGGGTAGTACTGCTGGCCCATGGGCTCCGCGGCGCCCTGGCTGTGGCTGTACTGCTCGCCATAGTACTCCTCCTGGCCCAGGTACTGCTGGGAAGAGCCTGCGGGGGAACCACATTCAGCGCCAGTGCGGGCCGCGCCCTCCTCCCTCAGAGGACCTGCTCGCTCACTGGGGAAGCCAAGGCCTTGCTGAATGGCCTCACCCACCCGAGGAGAACACCCCACGCTGTCATCGTATCCAACTTATGTTTTGTATTTTTAGTACAGAGTTTCACCATGTTGGCCAGGCTGGTCTTGAGCACCTGGCCTCAGGTGATCCGCCCACCTCGGCCTCCCAAAGTGCTCGGACTACAGGCATGAGCCCGGCCTGTGACACTCTTAATGACAACTGCCGCCCCTGCCCCCAACACTGACTCCTCGGGGACAGCAGACCCTCCACGGGCCACACCCTGGCCCTCACCCCCAGGGTCCACACTCAATGTTAACACCAAGGCGCCAAGCCTCACTCCCCCAGGCTCCCCGCCTCACTCCCCCAGGCTCCCCGAAGAGAAGCACACACAGCCTGGCACTTCACGACCCGCGGCGGTCAGCTGTGCCCGCGACCTGGCCCGGCCGGGCGTTACCTTGCTGGGAGGGCCGGTAGGGCGCCATGGGCCGCTGCCCCATCATGCTGCTCCCCTGGCTGCCCTGCCCCATCATGGCGATGGACGACTGGCCCTGGTAGTGCTGGCTGCCGCCCTGCGCCGAGCTGTAGTGCGACGTGGCCGCCTGCTGCTGCATCATGGAGACTGAACGACAGGACAGAGGCCCCACATCACCCCGGGAAGCCTCCCGCCCTCCCTCCCACACCCAACTACCTCCTGCGCCCGGGCGGGTTCCTCGTTATTTTCCTGTGCTCCCCACGAGGACAGCGTCCTCCACCGCAAGGCACGCCTCCCCTACGTGGCCTGCACTGACGCCCTGCAAGCTCAGACCCGCTGCTTGCACCGACTCTACCCCACCTCTGAGAGCCCAGTGCTGTCTGTCCAGACCCAGGGCCAGTGGCCCCCACTCCCTGGGGCATTCCCTGAGACTCCATGGGAAACACCCCAGCCCCTCGCAAAGCTGGGGGACAGGAGGAGTTGATCGTGCACCCACTGGCGCCCATCCCTCCGGAAGCTCTCAGAGGCAGCGGCCAGCCCCGATTCACGGGCCCCTCCCCTCCAGCACCCAGCAGGAGGGCAGCTTCCCCGGGACCACATGTCCAACGTGCATGTGTCAAGGGTCTTGGAGGCAGGCCCAGGCCCCCCGGGGTTGCAGAGGCAGAGTAGGTACCTGGGTTGGACTGCATGTTGATGTTGGTCCGAGACACGTAGTTGCCGATGGTGCCTTGCCCCTGCATGGGGACGCCCTGCGAGGCGGGTCCCGCGTGGCTGTAGCCGGGCCCAGAGATGCTCATGGAGGTGGTGGGCAGCGTGTTAGGCGCCGTCTGCTGCATGGACACGTGGCTCGGCCCTGGCATGGGGAGCAGGGAGTGGTGTCAGGCACTGGGGAGCCAGGTCACCACTTCTGAAGGTGAAGACACCCCAATTTCCCTTCAAGTGACTTTGGGAAGAGTTGCTATCAACAGCACTATTAATGATTAAGTGACTAATAAATAAGTGGCCGGGAGCAGTGGCTCATGCCTGTAATCCCAGCACTTTGGGAGGCCGAGGTGGGTGGATCACCTGAAGTCAAGAGTTCGAAACCAGCCTGGACAACATGGTGAAACCCCGTCTCTACTAAAAATACAAAAAAATTAGCCAGGTGTGGTGGCACGTGCCTATAATCCCAGCTACTTGGGAGGCTGAGGCCGGAGAACTGCTTTAACCCGGGAGGCGGAGGTTGCAGTGGGCCAAGATCATGCCCATTGCACTCCAGCCTGGCCGACTAGAGCGAGACTCTGTCTCAAAAAAAAAAGAAAAGAAAACAAAGCAGCGTACATGCTAGCAAAGCACAGGATGAATCGTTTATTTGTTGTTATTTTGTTATTATTTTCTGAGACAGGGTCTGGCTCTGTCACCCAGGCTGCAGGGCAGTGGCATGAACAAGGCTCACTTCAGCCTCACCCTCCCAAGCTCAAGTGACCCTCTCTCCTCAGTCTCCCGAGTATTTAACAGTTTGGACTACAAGTGTGCACCATCACACCCGGCTAATATTTTTATTTTTTGTAAAGATGGGGCTTTGCCATATTGCCCAGGCTGGTCTCAAACTCCTGGCCTCAAGTAGTCTGCTGGTTTAGGCCTCACAAAGGGTTGGGATTAGAGATCTGAGCCACCACACCCGGCCTGTTATATTACTGTTAATGGTCTCCAAACGTTATCCATGCTTCTCAATCCAAAGACAGGAGCATTCCATTCCTATTACACAATCCACCTGGAACCCCGCAACTTGCATTTGAATTTGATGGAACGTGACAGTGTCAGAGAGAGTGGACAACTGGAGCAGGGGCTCAGCCCAGCCGCACGGCACGCTCGCTGCGGCCCTGAGCCTGGGCGATGGCAGCCGACCTGTGGCTACCCCAGGAGGAGTGGGTCCCATGCCCAGCCCTGTGAGGGGTGGGGTGCCCCACCATGGCAGCCGGCTGCCCAAGGGCTGCCTTGGTGGCCTCGTAGCCAGGAACGTCCTCCTCCCCCGCCGCACTCACCGTTGCCAATCTGGCCCTGCAGGAGGGAGGAGGGTGGCAGGCCCGTGCTGATGGCGTCACTCAGGCTGCCCTGAGAGTGCAGGCCCTGGCTGGAGCCGCTCTGAGTCAGGGCTCCAGGGCCCAGGTTCATGTTCTGCGTGGGCGGCTGCAGGCAACAGGAAGTTTTCAGGGAAAAACGGTTAATTTACGGAGAGCGACCTCCACAAGCCAGGCCAGGGATGAGAGGGCACCCGAGATTTGCCGCCACACATCATGGCCACCTGGTCAATGTTCGTAATCAGCAGCCATCGTCACAGCCAGGTGACCGCAGAGCACCAGGCCCAGATGGAGATGGCAGAGTGAGCATCTGGGTGAGCGTTCACAACCCTACTGAGTATCAAGTTCATCCACACGTGCCTGGGTGTGAAAAGCTGGACCTCCTCCTGGGACAGCAGGGAACCCCTTTCCCGGCCCACCAGGCTGAACGCACCCCGTCCCCCTCGGGCGCAGGTGACCAGCGCCTCTGTGCTCCCCAACCACGACCCCTCCGTGCCAAGAGCTTCGGCAGAGGTGGGATCCCTCTCCTGTTTCCCGTGCTCCTGCTGCATGTGCCCCTTCCCCGACTACCCCCACCCCACACCCGCCTCGGATCACACCGCACAGAAGGGAGTGAGTGTGAAGTGGCCCTCAGCACTCTCCCAGATCAAGGTCAACCAGCAGCTCTGGAGGTCTGCACACACATGCTGTCTACACCTGGCCAAGAAAAGGAAATTTCCACCAGGACCTGTGGGTGTCTGCAGGGTGAAGAAGTGCAATTTGACAGGTCAATGGAGGTGGGTTTAACATTTTTACTCGCAAGACACATCCTGGCATTTATGTCATCACTTGCCGAGGACTAAGGGTCACTAGGAGATACGTCATTCCCGGCGACATGTCTGTCCCGGAACCCCGTCAGCAGGACAGAGGCTGCAGCAGCACGACCTCGTCTTCACTGTGACAATTTAATCTTGGAAAAATGCATTTTAAAAAATCAAACAAAATAAAATATTTGAACTAACACTGGGAGAATTTACTGTGCTGGGCATGTTCTCTTTTAAGTTCCGTTCTCACCCACAGCAGCGCATGTGCACGGTTCACAGTGGCTCAAAGCACCCGGAGAGGCTCCAGGGAGACGCAGGGCCCCCATCCCACCTCTCCCCATCCCACCTCTCCCCACCCCACCTCTCCCCACCTCTCCCCATCCCACCTCTCTCCACCTCTCCCCACCCCACCTCTCTCCACCTCTCCCCACCCCACCCCACCTCTCCCCACCCCACCTCTCCCCATCCCACCTCTCCCCACCCCCGACCCGAGAGCTGCGGCTGCTCCTGGAGTGGCTTCTCCGGGGCTTCCCTCCCTTCAATACATAACGAGGCTGAGCCACAGTTCTGACCTGGCCACCTCAGACGCTGTCATTACTCCCAGTCTGTCAGGAAGGGTTGGTCACCACCGCCCACACTCCCATTTCTGGTGGCTCTAGTGGTATTTTTGGTTTCTCTGAGTCATCTTTGCTACCTGAGATGACATGCCCACAATTCCGATCTTAGGCAGTGTCGGAGTCCTTGCTGGGTAAAGGAGGCCAACCCCCCGTGGGTACTCACGGCAGGAAGCAGGGACTGCATGTTCTGGTTGGAGTCTGCGATCGTGGCCAGGTATACCAGGTTCCGGTGCAGGATCTGCTGGTACCTGCAGGAGAGGGGGCACGCATGAGGCAGGACGACGGGACCACAGAGTCCCCACGTGGATCCAAGGCAGAAGTAAAGTGTGAACAAGACAGCCTGACATCCAGCCAAACCCCATGAGGACATGGACCCCAGATGACACCCAGCTGGACACAGGCAGGTGGCAGGGTGCTGGGGTCTCGGTGGGGACGGGAGGGCAGCCTCTACCCCAAACCCTGAGCAGGCTCCCAACCCATGACAAAAACTCTGGAAAGACTCTAAGGTAACAGCTAAGCGGAAGCTGGCATTGGTCTGTTCAGAGGATAGAGATGGGGGGAGGCCACGAGGAGGCAGGGGCCCGAAGGTGACAGAGGGACAGAGCCCTCGTCCAGCTGAGCCAGGCAGTGGGCGGACTCCATAGAGCCAACGACCCTGAGAAAGCCCTGGAAAGAAATGGGGAAGCACAGTTCTGCCAGGGAAGGCCCCTCGTATACCTCGCACCAGTGGGGACCCAGTCCCTTCACCCCACCCACACCCAGGGGTGTCTGAGGCCATTCACGCACTTCCCACCTCCAGGTCAGTCTGACGGCCACTTGGACAGCCGCTTGGAGGGTGGCAGACTGGCCACGCACCCCTCCTACGCATCAGGCCCTAGGTTCACAGGGTCACAGGAGGTCCCACCTGGAGTAGGTGCTGTCTCCTGGTGCGCTGGCTGTTGGCCACAGAGCTGCCCAGAGAGGCTGGCCCAGGCCTCCCCACACTGCTCCTGCCTCCCACTTTCCGCCTCCCTCAGAACTACCCCAGTTCTGGCAGCAATGCTTCGCAGCTGTGCCAGGGACTCTCGGGACATATCTGGCCTCCGTGCTGGGGGACTCTCGGGACATATCTGGCCTCCGTGCTGGGGGACTCTCGGGACATATCTGGCCTCCGTGCTGGGGGACTCTCGGGACATATCTGACCTCCGTGCTGGGGGACTCCTGGGACATATCTGGCCTCTGTGCAGGGGACTCCTGGGACATATCTGGCCTCCGTGCTGGGGACTCCTGGGACTTATCTGATCTCTGTGCTGGGGGACTCTTGGGACGTATCTGGCCTCTGTGCTTAGACTCTGCATGACACCCTCCAAGTGTTCCGGTGTATGGCGGGCACTCACTGCGTGCACTCGGCCGTCTTGCCCTTGCTCTGGTACTCCAGGATGCACTGGATCAGGTGGTGGTTCTCGTCCAGCATCTGCGGAGAGAGCGTGAGCGGGCGCTGCCGACGCGGGGCTGTCGCTGACCCTCGGGATGAACAGCCATCGCTACACATCTAGTTTTCATATAGGTTGAGCGTCCCTTACGTGAAACGTGTCAGATTTCAGATTTTTCCAGATTTGGGGATATCTGTATTAGACCCACCGGTTTGGCATCCCTAATCCGAAAACCCGAAATCCAAAATGCTCCAATGAGCATTTCCTTTGAGCCTCATGTTGGTGCTCAAAAGGTTCTGGATTTTGGAGCACTTCAAATTTCCAGATCTCGGATGCTACGCCTGTTCTGTATACGAAACTGTCGTTACGTGCATTGCCTCAGCCACCACAGACCGAACATTCACACCTCCCTGTGCTGGGGACTTCATCCGTAAGCGGCAGGGCCATCTAAGCCCACAAATGAAAACACAGAGGCCCCGTGCCCCCAGCAGCCCCCAGCCCGAAGGACCCTCCAGCTTCCAGGGCCCTTGACGGCAGAGCATCTGTGCAGCAAGGGTCAGCCAAGCCGATGGCAAGGATGTCAGGACCCTGTGGGCACCCCACAAGAGGCCCTGGTGCCCCTAGCTGGAGGGGATAGCCTCGAATTGCAACCACACAGGGTGGGGCACAGGTAACTGCCCCCTCCCAAGGATCAGCAGGGGTCCAGGGCACTCCCAGGTGGTAAGGGCATCGAGACTTCCTGCAGGGGCTGCACCAACCGCGGTGAGGGAGGGAAGGAAAGGGTCTGGGGGGGTCAGGGACGGCACCACCGGTAGAAGAAACCACACACACACACAGGCCGGCGTGGGGGCAGAAAAGATGCGTGAGACTGCGGAACCGGGCATGACCTAGACCTGGGGCTGGCACCCCGCAGCCCTCACCCCCAGGGGTGCTGCGCTGAAATGCAGGAGAACGGCACGATAGGCCCACAGGCCACACAGGGAAGGCCGGTCCCGTCTTGAACCTTCCGTGTCTTACACATAAAGTGTGTGTGCACAGACAAGGTCATGACCCTAAACCCAGATTAAACCAGTTTCAAGTGACTCAGGTGAACAGCCAGATGTGGGCCTCCCAGAGCTGGGCCAGGGGTCTCTCTGCAGGCGCCACGTGCTCCTAGAACTGGCAAAATGGAGGCTTCTGGTCCAGGGACGGCCAGGCATACACTCCGCCAAGCACGGTCTGCGCTCAAGATGGGCACTGCCAGGAACCTGTCAGATGCAGGGGCTCAGCCTGTCTCTGACCTGGTGACCCACGTGCCTGGCCACACCTGAGCAGCAGGGGGCTGGGCCCACAGATTCCCCAGGTTTCCTTCCCAAAGCGCCTCCTGAACGTGCTCTGTGGCCCCAGGAGGGCTCCGGAGCACTCCCCAAATCAAGCGGCCCAAGGCCTTGCGTCCACACACCTGCACGTAGTCAGGACGTGCTGAGTCTGGTGGTTGGTAGAAGTGGGGAGGGGTGGGTGGCAGCAGAGGAACAGGGGCTGGGGCCAGGCGGCATCCTGCAGACACCACACAGGACGCCCACAGGCCGTGGGGAGCAGGCACAGGAGAGCCGGCTCTTTCAAGGTGTCCACCTGGGGGCAGCACTGGGTGGCCCGCGGAGACCCAACGGGAGGCGAGAGAGGAGAGAGGGGGTATGGGAGGGGACTGAGAAGAGGCGACACCCGCCCTGTGACCAGCTGCCTCTGTCTGCAGGGAGGCACAGAACTGAGCCCACCACGCCTGCTGCTTTTCATAAAAAGGCCTTTTCTCAGAGGCTGGCACCCAAGGAAAAAGCAGTGCCTTTTGGCTCCACTACAGCGTGCTGGGTCACTCAGCCCTAGGAGGCCGCTCCCGACAGGAGCTCTACAGGCCCTGGAGCAGGGGAGCCCCAGGGCAAGGGGAGGAGGAGCCCACCTGCCTGCCTGGGGCCTTGGGGCCACCCAGCTGTGCCTCCACCCTGCAACGTGGCCCCTCTAACTGCGATTTGACCTTGGGGCCCAAACTCATCCACAGGCAGAGGGAGCCCAGGGTGGAGAGAGCCAAGCCAGGCCAGCTCACAGGGCAGAGCCCGGACCCACAGCCCCAGCTGAGTGACTGCCCTCAACTCAGCTTCCTCCTCCGCCGGTCTCCACGACTTCAGGGTTGGTTTCTCCTGCTCTATTTTTTCTTAAAGTTATACCTTCCCCCTTTCCACTCTTTACCACTTTTCTCCCTGCTGGGGACAAGGTGCCCTGCACTCAGCTGAGCCCAATGGGGCCGAGGAGCCATCCTGAGATGGGGGTGGGGGGCCGCCAGGGGACACTGTGGGCCAGGCTTACCAGTGGGCAGGTGAGGGAGAGTCCACCTGCCAGGCGCCAGCATTCCAGATGGCTCTGCCTTCAGATGAACTGCAGGAAGGGACAACTATGGGCTTTCTTCCTTTCCTTCTAAAGGGCTTCCCCTCCTTGACTCCTAACCCCCAGGCAGAGATTGTCTCCAGGGACACGAACTAGACACGGCGGGCATTTCAGCATCACTCCCAGCACGGGGCCGGGATGGGCCGGGGGGCGCAAGCCACTGACTTCATTAGGCAGAGCCCCGCGGGTGTGCACTGGCCAGGGCAGTGCCGCGAGGTTTATGTACGCACGACGAAGCACGACGAAACACAGTACTGGTGTGGGTGTTTAGAAAACTGGATACAGAGAACTTTCTCATGTATGTTAGACACATACCCACTTGAAAAAGGGCAGGACAGGCAGAATGAAAGGTGGAAGACTGGACACCCCAAACCCCAGGCCCCGGCCGGCGACTAAGGATGGAACAGGTGTGGCCTTCTAAGGACAGAATGGGGAGGGCACAAGATGGCAGCAGCGGGAGTTTGGAAGCTGAAAAGCACATGGATGAGTAACAACTGAATCAGTGCCCCCAGGGCACCTGGCCTGAGCCACACTGTGCTGCGAAGCCCCACAAGGCTCAGGAATGTTAAAATTCTGGCACCTTTCAGGGTCGCCCAGGATCTGCTGGCAGGAGATGGGGTTGGAGGAGGGGGCGTCTCCAGGAAAGTGACCAGCCTGGAGGAAAGATGCTTGGGCACTGAAGGGAAAGAGCACCTCAGAGTGAACCACAGGCCACACGCCTGCCTGAGCATAGCAGGCAGTGCCCCGGCCTCCAATCCGCAGAAGCCACAGCGGTGCGGCCCCCACCTGCCATTTGAAAGACAAAGGCCAAAACCAGCCACAGAGGCCAAAATCCAAAGATGAAGGTTATGCAAGACGGAGACTTTTTCTATTTGCTTTTCTTCTGAGACAGGGTCTCGCTCTGTCACCCAGGCTGGAGTGCAGTGGCGTGATCTTGGCTTACTGCAACCTCCACCTCCCAGGCTCAAGTGATCCTCCTACCTCAACCGCCCGAGTAGCTGAGACTACAGGTGTGTGCCACCATGCCTGGCTAAATGGGTTTTTTTTGTTGTTGTTGTTGGTAGAGACAGGGTCTCCCTGTGTTGCCCAGGCTGGTCTCGATCTCCTAGGTTCAACTGATCTGCCCGCCTCTGCCTCCCCAAGTGCTCATTACAGGCATGAGCCATTGCACCCGGCCTGAAACTTTTTAAAAAAATCCAACAAAACCTATTATTAATATCCTCACAAAGTCAGCCGGTGCAGTGATGCAGGTTACTGGAGCCCCAGAAAAGAAGATGATGCCAGTTAGAAACAACAGAGGGGGCAGAAGAGCTCTGGAGGTGAAAACCTGTTAGTCAGAACACAATTCAACAGAGGGGCGGGATATGAAGTTGAGGAGGAGTCCTGGAAAGCAGGACGGATCGACCGAGGTGAAAACAGAAAGATCACGAAGAAAGGGAGTGGGCCAGCGCGGCCCTCCAGGAGCCCCAGAGACAGGAGCAGTGAAGAAATCACCCCCAAATCCTTCAATCATTTTCTCAGAGCTGAAGGACGCATTTCCCCATTGGAAGGGCCCCCAGGTGACCAGTTTGCCAAAAAAGACCAGGGACAAAGAAAGATCCTAAACATGACAGGAGAGAAAAACCAGGTTCCACGTGAAGGACAGTGGATTCCGACAGCACGGAGCCTCCTACATGGGCCCGCAGGGTGCAACGACCTCACGGAGACTTCCGGAGGAGCTGTGTCCCATACCAAGGGACACCCCCTGAGGTGTGATGACCCAGTCCCAACGGAGACCTCTGGGGGGCCGATGGCCTGGCCTGAGGGAGGCTCTGGAGGAGAGATGAACTCACCATGGAGGTTTCCGGAAGGGCTACGGTCTGATCCTGAGGGAGACTTCTGCGTAGAAATTCTAGTCCGCCGAAACCGCAACCAGGCGTGAAGGGGGAATGGACGCACTTTCAGACCCGCAAGTTAGGAAAACGCACCTTGTACCCAAACCAAGGGCACTCGATGACTGGCCGGCATTCTTCAAAAACTGTCAGAGTCATCAAAGACAAGGAAGATGAACAAGTGGTTCTCAACAGACATGGTCCCAGGGTCCTTCCAGTAATCCTTAATGATGTCCTACAAAAGCCATTACCGGGACAACTGGGAAGTCACAGTGAGTTGGAGCAGACGGCTGTGCTGCTGCCATGTCAGCTCCCCCGTTTCAATCTTTGTACGGCGTCATGTCCTCGTTGGCAGCAAAGTCACGTTCAAGCATTTGGGAGTAAAGGGGCACCAAGTCTACAACTCATTCTCAAATTGTCAGGGCAAGAATAACACGTGTCCACAGGACAGAAGAGGGGAGGGGACAGCAAGTGAGGTGGCGTTAACATGCCAGCAGTCGAGTGAAGGGAGCGTGGGAATTCTGTTTAAAGGGACACATCCCAAACACCTGTTCTCAGGAGGCCATAAAATGATGCGCCTCCCTCCCCAAACCAAGGGAGCAAATCCCAGGAGAAGACCCAAGACCCAACCCAAGAGAAGCCAAAGGAATTCGGCCAATGGTGGGAGACCCACGGAGAGCAGCCCCGAGACTGAAACCCGGAAGAATACCTGAGCAAAGGAGGAGATACACTAGTGACAAGTGATTGAAAAGAAAAACAATCAACAACTCCAGGGAAAACAAAAGCCAGGCAGGAAAAGCAGTCACACGGTCCTGCGTGGTTCAGCAGTGAGCAAGGTGTTTATCATCACCACGTCAACAGCAGAGGCAGATCCAACCCCCGAGAAAGCCACTCTGACGGGTATGAGTGGGGAGCGCAGGTGTGCAGCGGGGAGGGCAGACCTTATCGGGTGACCTGTTCTCCCTGGTCACCAGGTAAGGTCAGCAGCCCTAAACCCATTCCAAAGTGGCCACTTGGTTTGGCCTTGAGAAGGGCAAGACAGCGCCTCTGGGAGGTGGGAGGCATTACTCCTGAGGTTACTCATGCCCTGATAGGGTCTGTCTGTGTCCCCACCCAAATCTCATCTTCAATTGTAGTTCCCATAAGCCCCACGTGTCGTGGGAGGAACCCAGTGGGAAGAAATTAGATGGATGGGAGCTGTCTCCCCCATGCAGTTCTTGTGATGGTGAGTGAGTCTGCATGAGATCTGTTGGTTTTACAAGCACCTGGCATCTCCCCTGCTTGCGCTTCTCCTTCCTGCCGCCTTGTGAAGAAGGTGCCTTGCTTCCCCTTCCGCCATGATTCTAAGTTTCCTGAGGCCTCCCCAGCCCTGTGGAACTGTGAGTTAATTAAGCCTCTTTCCTTTATAAATTACCCCATCTCAGATATTTCTTCATAGCAGTGTAAGAACAACTAACACACACGCCCATGGTGCTTCTTGACTCCTGATGTGCACGCGCGGCTTTGGTGAGCATAAAATCCAAAGCAAAAGACCCTGACAGGACGGAAATGCACCGACAGGCAGCTGTGGCCCCCACTCTGGAGGTTGTCGATTCGTAGTTTCTTATGTGTCTGTGTTTATGAAAATCTCTAAGACAAGCATTTACTCACGGTATCATCTGCAAAGCGACCTTAAAGAGGCCTGAAGTGAGTCTGGGGTTGCCAGGGCTGGTGATGGGCCCACCTGAGTCTCCTCCACCTGGTGTGTACCTCTAACACTAAGCTGAACAAAGAAGCCATTCACGCGGCCTGGAGCGTTCTAGATCTTCTGTATTTACTGCTGTCTTCTGCAGACACTGTTTCCCAGCTTCCTGATGTGCACTTGTGAATTTTTCTGCAACGTGAGATACAGTTCTCCCCACCCTTTCCTAAGAGGCCGAGTTTCTACAGGTTCAGGGGTAAACCCGCGCCAGAGACGCCACCGGGAAAGCACTGAAGCTGGTGGCCTGAGGCCTCCCGAGGTGAGGGCGCTGGGGACAGAGATGAGGTGGCAACTCCATCTGGAGGAGCCAGAGGCTGGCATCGGGGGCCGCAGCAAGGAGGGGTGGTGAGATCCCATCTCTGAGCATGCTTCATCAATGTGCCCATCCTAGGCCTGGGTGAGTGGAGGCGACAGTGAGGAGGTGCGACCCGCTCTGCTCATGGTGGAGTGGGCGTGGGTGGCCAGTCGGGTGAAGACCGACGTGGGCATGCATCTGCTCAATGCCATGAGGCAGCGGAGCCCCAGGAGACTCCTGGGGTTGACGTCCAGCTGGGCTGGAGGCTGGGCAGGAGCACATGGGTAAGGTGGGGGAAGGGCGGCCCGATGGAGGAAACAGGCATGTGTGAAGGCCACGGGGCATCTCCAGGAATGGAGGCCAGCTCTGGGGAGCGGGAAAAGAGGGGAACGGGGGAGGCCAGCCCTGGGGACCGGGAAAAGAGGGGAACGGGGGAGGCCAGCTCTGGGGAGAGGGAAAAGAGGAGAACGGGGGAGGCCAGCTCTGGGGATCGGGAAAAGAGGGGAACGGGGAAGGCCAGCTCTGGGGAGCGGGAAAAGAGGGGAACGGGGGAGGCCAGCTATGGGGAGCGGGAAAAGAGGGGAACGGGGGCTGCTGGGGGACAGGAGTCCTGTGCCCATTGTGGGGGTGACTTTCTCAACCAAAGCCTGTGCTCACTGCAGAGACTGGCTGGACCAAGATCCCAACGCGGCTGGGTGCATCCATTACCCAATGCGCAACAAACCTCCCGGAGCCGCGTGGTTGAAACATGATTTCTTAGTTCTCATGATTCTGGGCTGGTTCGGAGGATCTTCTGCTGGGCTTGGCTGGGCTCGTGGCTGGGGCAGCTGGGACACCTGGGCCTCCCACTCCCTCTCTGCGTGGTCACCCCTGTGGTCTCAGGCTCTGAGGGGTGGCCCCAACGTGTCTCTGTTGGTCAGGCTGGCTGATGCCCAGGGCCAAGCCCAGCACCCACAGGGAGACAAACCCAAGGGGCACGGAAGCCACGGCCATGGCAATGGACCATGTGGGTGAGCAGAGAAACTGGATTTGGCAAGCGGGGACTGACGGGGGACACGGGGCTTGGCTTGGAGGGCCCAGGGCACAGCCAGGCACCAAGGATGGGGTCTGGGGCTGCTGAAGCCCCACCGTGGGGTCCTAACTGGGTAGGCGAGGGAGTGAGGATGAGAACCAGGGACGGAGAACTGGGGTCCCAGAGCCCACAGAGAGTAGGGGAAGGGCTGGGGCTACCAGGCAAAAACCTGGGTGAGGGGCTCTCAGCAGAACAGTCTCTCCCCAATGACAACCTGTGTGGGGCCCTGGAAGCCAGACAGAGGAGGCCTGGGGCTCTGAGGCTCACTGCCGGGGCTGGCTCAGCCCACACTGGGCAGGAAGACCTCCAGTGTCCTCATGGTTGTCCTTTCTAATTACAAAGACTTTTGGAACCTTTTTAATTTTGCAGGAGGAACCCCTGGCTCCTCTTCCCCAGAGGCCAGCTCTGCCGATTCTGGAAGCGTCTGGCATGGAGCCTGTGCACTCCCCTCCCGACTCTGCACACACCTGATAACGTTTCGCTCCCGCTGCTCCACACAGCTCCCTTTCCTCTCAAACATCTTGGAGACTGTCCTCTGTCAGCACATAGAGACCTCACCTGTCCCTTGAGCCCAGGAGGACAAGGCTGCACGAGCTGTGATCACGTTACTGCACCTCAGCCTGGGCGAAAGAGCAAGACTCTGTCTCCAAAAAAAAAAAAAAAAAAAAAAAAAAAAAAAAAAAAATCCACCTCAATGTTTCTTATGCTCCGGAGAATTCCACAACATGGACACAACGTAGTACTCTGTCTGCTTGGACAGACATTGAAATTGTTCCCCGTCTTCTGCCACTACATGCAGGGCTGCCATGCACTCCCCACGCATGGCGTGGACACAGACGCAGAATCAATTCCTAGGAGTCATCAAGGTGTGAGGGGGACCAGCCTGGCTAACCGGAGAGCTGGTCGAGCATCAGCAGGTGGCTAAGCCAGCGATGGCACCTGCGCTAGCGCCTGCCACTCCTGTTCTCGGGGCAGACATCGCTGACCCATCAGCAGTCCTTCCCTCTGAGCCCAGCCTGAGCTGCTCCGTCCCTGCCCCCGAGGTCAGCAAGCCGATACTACAGACTCCACTGATGGAAGCCAGTGGGACCCCTCTGAACATTCACCCAACTGTGGAATCCGTGAAGTCGGTGTGTAGGTTTCAGAAGAGCGTCTCAATTTACACATGTGCAGTCTCCTTGAGAGGAGCTGGCTGCTGCCTCACGGCCCCACCGCTGTATGCTTGACGTGTGTGTGCAATTTCAAAGACTCTAAGAACATGTGAAGACACGCTGAACAGACACAAGAGCAGCCGCCTCTGCATGTGCCTTGGCAATCACTTCCAGTCTCATGGCGCTTTGGGCTGTCACAGCACAGCACAACACAACAAAATCACTGTGCTCCTGACAGTTTCCAAGCTGGAGACGTGCTTATTGTACTAGCAACACGCGACGTCTGTATGCATCTCATCCATGTGCTGACACTGCTTTTTCTTTCTGACATGACCCTGGACTTGCGATGGTTTCCTGCAGTTTGGAATGGAGTCCTCACCTCCCTTTCCGAATACCACGGATAAATTCCGGCCATTCCTTGCTCGTTGAGTGCCTGATCAAAGGCTAAAGCTGACCAATTACAAGGCTGCTGGGCATTGCCTTACCCATACAGGCTATGAGGGAGGCCACAGCCCTGTCCTCTTCGTAAAGACAAGGAAACTGGGGCACAGAAAGGCGAAGCACACATCACCATCAGCAGGATAAGAATGTGAGCCCAGGAGGCCCGGCCTGCCCCACCCTGCCCTCCTGCAGCTCCATGGCCCCCATCCCCATCCTGGTAACACCAAGGACCTGCCTGCATTCCACACCTATTTCCCATTTGAGGAGGATATAAACAGCCCATTTCCGTCCCCATTGTGCACAGCAGCTGTGGTGGCCGATTAGAATCAGACCAGTGTCACAGGAGCCCCCTTCCTACCATCATCCATGGCACCTTCTCCCAACCCTTTGGACTCCTCTTGTGATCACATGGAGGGAGGTGGTGGAGGTGCCTGCCCGAACCAGGCGGGAAGACCTGCACTCCCTCTTCCCAGGCCTCCCAGGCCCCACAGGCCTTACGGTCCATCAGCGCCAGCCCGCTAACTGCTCGGCACCCAGGGCCTGTTTATTCCTGCATCCACTGGGGACGGGCGTGACACTGCCACCACCTGCAGCCCGGGGATTCCAGGGAATCTGTCTTCTGACTCCAAGCACACAGAGGCAGGTGCCCAGGCCCCGACCCACTGGCCCAGGGCCCAGACCGCGCAAAGGGCCGGAGCCTCGAGGAGAGCACCCGCAGGACCGCCGGCTAGCGAGCACCACCTGGGCAAGACCTGGGCTGCCTTTGGCTGCTGGCTCCAGACTCCACACCCGGCGACTGGATGGCAGACAGGGACTCTGGAGACCCACCAGCCTTGGAAAGGTCACGGGTAAAGGGCAGTGGGCAGGCACAGTGTCTTTATCCAAATGCGTCCTCACCCTCCAGGCTGGGTAGGAGTTGGGAGAGCAGCTTCAGGAGCATCCAGCAAGAGGGTGTATGGCCAGGCTTTACAGGCAGAGGGGGGACAGAGGCCAGGCTGTGGCTGCTCCCTCCAGGACAATGCCTTTCTCCTGCCCACCTCCCCCGTGGCGCTTGGGTTCAAGGGCCTTGCAGAGCGCCTCCCTCACCTGACCTAAGACAGCAAGGAGGCCGAGCCTCCCTCACCTGACCGAAGACAGCAAGGAGGCTGAGCCTCCCTCACCTAAGACAGCAAGGAGGCCGAGCCTCCCTCACCTGACCGAAGACAGCAAGGAGGCCGAGCCTCCCTCACCTGACCGAAGAGAGCAAGGAGGCCAAGCCTCCCTCACCTAAGACAGCAAGGAGGCCAAGCCTCCCTCACCTGACCTAAGACAGCAAGGAGGCCGAGCCTCCCTCACCTGACCTAAGACAGCAAGGAGGCCGAGCCTCCCTCACCTGACCGAAGAGAGCAAGGAGGCCAAGCCTCCCTCACCTAAGACAGCAAGGAGGCCAAGCCTCCCTCACCTGACCTAAGACAGCAAGGAGGCCGAGCCTCCCTCACCTGACCTAAGACAGCAAGGAGGCCGAGCAAGGCCGGTGGCTGCGGGGTCCCTCCCCGGGGCTGAGCCCAGGCTCCGGAATGAGGGGACCCAACCCCCCTATCCCTGCGGATGTAAAGACAGGCCCCCATGCTCCCCTTCTCGGGTGGGGGGAGCCTCTGATCGCAGGAGGAACGCTGTCAATCAGCCACATGCAAGGGAGGCTCGGCATCCCCAAGCCATTCAGTCACTGGACAGCTTTAACCTTACAAACACTCCTAGCCAAATTAGCTTGCGTTCCTTCAGACAGCAAGTTCCACTTCTGAGGGAGCACACAGGGTGCCCACTGCCTACTGGGTGTGCACCCCATCCTCCGCAGCCCATCCCCACCCAGAAGTGCGCCCCTTGCCCATGCCCCACCCCCGCACCTGGGTACCAAGGACATGGGGTAGGGCTGGTCCAGCTTCAACAACTCCCTGGCTCTCGGACCCTGGGCACGGCACTAACCCACCCCACGAAGGTCTTGTCTTCCCACACCAAACCCACCCAGCAGGCGGCCCCAGGGGCCCACCTCCTCTCAGCTCCATCCCATTCCCTCAGAGCCTTTCCCCAACCCTGCCCCGCAACAGGTGCTGGGGATCCAGACACCCAGCAGACAGGCAGACACCACTGCTATTATCCGGCCAAGGAAACCAATGAGAAAACCAATACAAACAGAAACAGTAACACATTTATTGAGCAATTACTGCATGCCAAGCAGCAAAGAGGCAACTCAGGGGTCCCCTTCAAGCCTGGCCACATGGTCCGAGGTGACCACTGCAGGCCCAGCCCCAACAGCAGCGTAAGGAGCACGCACTGGACAACAGAACACTACAGTCCCCAGCTGGTGGCTAGAGAACACCCAGCCAGGCCCAGGGCCACCGTGGGGACATGGCCCAGCCCCACCGCAGGGTTCCCCAGCACAGTCATGTCCTCTGTGGTGCTTGCCACAGAGCAGTTCTGACTGTCTCACCCACACACTGCTGCCTGGTCACCACCAGCTACCCTCCCCACATCAGCCCAGCACCCCCTGCCCTTCCACTTTAGGTCCCCCAATACCTGCTCCATGCAGGCCAGGCTCGGGACCCTCTGTGACTCCCTGCCCCTGCCCCATGGTTCTCTTTCTCTGGGATAGCCCTCACCACAAACGCACTCTCGTGGGCTAAACTGTACCCAGACCCCTGGTGCCTGCGCATGGGAGGTACTGGAAATGAGGTATTTGAAAATGAAATAAAGACGGGGTCATGCTGGATTAAGGTAGGCCCTAAAACCAGTGACTAGAGTCCTTATAAAAAGTGGGAAATTGAGGCCAGGCATGGTGGCTCATGCCTGTAATCCCAGCACTTTGGGAGGCTAAGGGGGGGAGGGGGCAGATCACTTGGGGTCGGGAGTTCAAGACCAGCCTGGCCAACACAGAGAAACTCCGTCTCTACTAAAAATACAAAATTAGCCGGGCGTGGTGGCACGCGCCTATAATCCCAGCTACTCAGGAGGCTGAGGCAGGAGAATCGCTTGAACCTTGAACGTGGGCGGGGGCGCGGAGGTTGTGAGCCCGAGATCGCGCCACTGCACTCTAGCCTGGGCAACAAGAGCGAAACTCCATCTCAAAAAAAAAAAAAAAAAAAAATGATCAAAGCAGAGACACGCTGGATGCACCTACAAGCCAGAGAACACCAAGGGCTGCCCGCAGTCATCAGAAGCCAGGAGAAGAGCAGGTAACTGACCCCTGGACTTGGGACTTCTGGTCTCCAGAACTGTGAGGGAATAGATTTCTGTTGTTTGAAGCCACCTGGGTTGTGGGAATGTGTCAAGGAAGTCACAGGACACGAACGCATCTGCTTATCTCAAAACGCTTCCACTGATGGGACCAGCGTCACAGATGATCCAGCACGTGCTCAGCACTAACTGTGCTCAGACACTATGAGAGGCTGGGGATCAGCAAAGAATAATCAGTCACATGCCAAACTCAGGAGCTCAAGCAAGTGCTACAAGGGCCACATGACTGCCGACGGAGCATGAGACGCGGAACACGTGAGTGAGGCTTTGAAGGTTGAGTAGAAGTTGGCCTGGAAGATCTCCACCCACACAGAATGCTGTAAGGACAAGGTGTAGACCTCTTTCTCCTTCACTACCAAGCAGAATGCTGTAAGGACAAGTTGTAGACCTCCTTCTCCTTCACTACCACGCAGAATGCTGTAAGGACAAGTTGTAGACCTCTTTCTCCTTCGCTACCACGCAGAATGCTGTAAGGACAAGTTGTAGACTTCCTTCTCCTTCACTACCACGCAGGCTTCAGAGGGGTCCCTGGCTTCTCTTAAAGCTCTCGGCATGACACTACCAGCACACACTGTGGACACAGCACACGTCTGAGGCATAGAACATACACCTCTCACACCTTTCTCAGCCTTCTCACACCTCCCAGTAAAAGATCCCTGGGTACATATATTCACCGTCAAAACACCAAGCCCAATACGCAGACTGCTGGCCCTACCAAGCCAAGTCAGCAGCCTAAACTGAAGGCCTATTTCCAATGGTCAGCAGGCTGAGTTTCTGCCCAGGGACCCACGGTCCACAGGTGCATTTCTTCCTTTCTGATCTGATGTTCGGGGCAGCACCTCAATACACACTTTTACCTGGAGAATTTGGGGAGCTTCAATGGAACTGTGTGCGAAGTGCAAATAATGGGATAAACGTTGCAGCCAAAGGTAGCTTCAGGAACAATGACTGTTAAGCTCCAAAAAACCAGAGTGCCAGGAGATGCTCTGGGTTCCAACATTTGCCTCTGAGCCTAGAGCTTGACCTCCGCCTGGCCAAATGTTCCCAGATCAAGGGGCACCAACAGAGCAGACCCTGGAGCCACCGTATGGGATCGACACCTGGCTGTGCCACTTACCAGCAAGGCATTTAGCCCCCCTAGGCCTCAGTGTCCACTTACCAGCAAGGCACGGCCTCCCTAGGCCGCAGCCTCTTTAGCTATTAAACGGGATGCCAGTAGCTTCTATGAAGAATTGGATGAATCAAGATTTATAAAACCCCTAGAACAGTGTCTGGGATACGGTAAGCGCCACATAAGTGTTTACTAAGTAAATTAAAATGCCACACTTGTAAATCTGTATTTCTGCTATTCTCAATCTCTCCTGTTCAGAGTTGGCCAAGGTTCTCATTTGTTAAGACCATCAAATTTCTAAAACTAGCAACAGCAAAGGTAGTCTCAAAATAGGCGATAGATTTAGGACAACTTCCACAGGAGACTGGCACGTCATCAAGGAATAACAGCCTCAGTCAAGGTCAAGGTGAACCCCCTTAGGGAGACAAGCGGCTCCTGGGAACCTAGGAATACCACTGTTTATCCCTGCAATCCCACCAGGGTGAAGACGGAGTCAGAGTTTAGGAAAAAAAACCAATGTCATTCCAACAGATGTTGTGACAACTGAAACGGGTATGGCTAATGCTGATTTTCTTCCGAATCTGTCTTCTACAGAAAAAACAGCAGAAAATACAAAGTCTCAATTTCAAAACTTAGGGCTTTGGATAACGGTGTCCCAAACCCACATAAACGCTGTCTCTTGAAAACCACAAGGCCGAACTTACGGAGCTAGAAGAAAGGTTGTGGAGCAAATCCGTCAAGTTTGTTAGGCGAGGCGGCTGGCGAGGGTGTCACGCTGAAACCCGGCGTAGCCGCGAGGATACGGAGGGGGCGGTGCGCTCCCTACGGGGCCGGGCTGCGTAACGATGCCCCGCAAATGGGGATCGGGACGCGTCCTTCCGTGCCTCCATCGTTCGCGCCTCGCTCCAGGAGCAAGAGGGGCAGCCCCGGCCACAGTCCCCGCGGTCGCAAGTGCGCCCGGAGGCCGACCCGGGCCCCTCACCACTAACCAAAATGAGCGCAGAAAACGAGTACCGCCCGCCGTCGCCACCGAAGCTGGCTGCGGAGCGCGACAAGCCCTCGCCGCGGCTCCGGCCCCGAGGGGTCCCCGTGCGCCCGGCATAGCCCAGGACAGTTCCCAGCGCGCGCCGCGGACTCGGGGGACAGCGCGCTCGGGGGCCGGCAGCCTCCAGCGTCCGCCCGGCCCCCACCGCCCAGTGCCCCGGCCCGAGGGACCCGCGCGCCCCAACAAAGTTGGCGCAGGCTCTCCGGGGACCGCCCCCCACACGGCCGGGTGCCCGCCGGCGCGCAGGCGTGGGACGCGGGGAAGGGCACGGGGCCGCCGTCGGGGCTCGCGGCCGCCCGGCTGCGCCCCGGCTTTGTTCGCGCCCCGCGCCCGCCAGCTGCCCGCGCCCCGTCCCCGCGCGCGCCCGCCCGCAGACCCGCCGCCCAGCGCCGCCGCTCCGGCCCGGCCCACCTTCTGGATGGTTTGCTGCGTAACCTCCCCTTTGCCTCTTGGCCGGGCAGACGCGAAGGCCACGGACATGGTGGCGGCGCGGGGCTCAGCCCGTGGTCATCGAGGTGGATACTCCGGCTGCGCTGGGCGGCCCGAGGCGCTCATTATCCGCAGTCGCGGAGGGGGGGAAGGGGGCGGGAGCGCGGGGGGCGCCGCGTCGTGGGCTCGTCCGCCCCGTCGCCGTCGCCGCGCCTCCGGGCCCGCGGCGCCGCCGCTCCGCCCTGCAGAACGGTCTGCGGCCCAGTGCCGAACGGTGGCCCCCGGCGACCCCCTCGCACCCAGCGCCCGGCCCTCGCCGGAGCACCGCCTCCCACCCCCGGCCACCGGTGGTTCGGCCTGACCCCGCCCCGGCGCGCGCCATCACGTCCGCCCGACGCCGCCTGACGCTGCCCGTCGCCGCCTGACGCCGCCCGTCGCCGGCAGCGCAGGACACGGCGCCGAGGGTGGGGCGCGGGCGTAGTGGCGCCGGGAGTCGCGGGTGCGCGCGGGCCGTGAGTGTGCGCTTTTGAGAGTCGCGGCGGAAGGAGCCCGGCCGCCGCCCGCCGGCATGAGCTACGACCGCGCCATCACCGTCTTCTCGCCCGACGGCCACCTCTTCCAAGTGGAGTACGCGCAGGAGGCCGTCAAGAAGGGCTCGACCGCGGTGAGGCGGCGGGGCCTGCGCGGGGCCGGGGACGCGGGCGGAAGTGGGGCTGGGGAGCCCAGAGAGGGCCGGGGCCGGGCGCGGCGCTGTGGGCGCCCGCGGGCGTGCGCGGGGCAGCGGCGCGGGCGGTCAGGGCTGTAGCTGAGCGCGGGCCCCGCTGCCGGTCTCCACGAGTGCCTGCAGAGGCGGCGTTTGGCGTGAGCCGCGAGCGCTCGTTCTCCCCACTCAGCGCCTCGCTTGGGGCCCGGCCTCGCGTGGGGCCCCGGGCACGGGGGCCGTGACGACGCCATCTTGAGCACCCCTGGCCCCGGCCGGGCGCGTGGGTCGCGCCGCCGCCCCGGCGAGCAGAGGCCGGGCGAGGGCCGCTCTGGGCCGCGGAGCGCGGGGGGTAGGCCGTGCGCTCGCTGGGGGGCTGTTCACGCAGCCGGGTGGCTGGGGAGCGAACTACTCAAACCCCCCTTATGGGGACCCCCACCCGCTCCGGGGCAACACTTATTCTCTAGGCCCAGGTGGGCTTCGAGAACAAAGCGGCTCGCTGGCCTGGCCGGTGGCGGGCGCCTCCCAGGTCTCCGCACTCTGCCGGGAGGAGCCTTCCCGGGGCCGGGCTGCAGCCGCCCGGGTCAGGACTGGTTTGGACGCGGCCGTTTCGTTTTGACGAGGGCTCGTGTACATTGACCTTAGTGACATTGTTTGAAACTTAAATTCGTACCATCAAGACGTGTCAGTTTAATTGGTCAGTCTGTGAGATCGTTATTCTTTTATCATCTGGTATTCAGAGGTTTGAGCAGGCAGAGAAAGCAGCACACACGGTTCTGTAAATTTTGATTTGTTTTCATTTTCTGAATCTTTGTTTTGAAATGAAGGCCCAGTATTCATCAGGTGATCTAACTCAGCTTAAAGAGGACTAGGAGTCGGCTGACCCCTGTACCCACCCCAATACTGCCACCCCCGCCAGCTGGCCGCCGCTGGCTTTAACGAACCCATATAGCTTCTCTGGGCCTCGAGTCAGTCGAAGGTCAAGTGAGTCAGTACCTGAGAAAGCTCCCAGAAAACCCAAACACTTCAGATCAATACTTCTCAGCCAGGGATGGTTTTGGGCCCACACGGAGCCACTGGCAGTGTGTGGAGACTTTTCCAGTGGTAAGACCTTGCAGAGGTGCTCTTGGCATTTGGAGGGTAGAGGCCAGGGACGCTGCTCAATATCCCACCCGTGCTCAGGGCGGCAGGCACAGGGAGATCCCCCTGCCCAGGTGCTCACAGTGCTGAGCTGGAGAAGCCCTGCTCTAAACCAGGAGGCGCTGTTTATCCCAATGATGGTTCCCTTTGTTTCTGGCTTGACTCGGGTTGACTGTCAGTGATTGTTCATGCTTTTAATAACAGCCATATCCTTCTCCAGCATCAGCCATAAACAGTTTGGGATAACACTTGACACCTTGTCCACTGACGGCAAATCAGGCCCCTTCTCATGGCTGTCACATGAGTATGTCACAGTGCAGGAAACAGTGCATTGTGGCTCAATATAATTTCACAACTACAGAAACACTGCCTTCAGAACACCAGACTTGAGTGAAAGTCTCAGGCTTCCAGGCTTTGCATGGGACTGATTCATTGGGTTGAAAGGAAACACATGCCGATTATATAATGGTTACTTACTAGCTATGTTGTAACTAAAACTACATCTCAGTATTTGAAAGGCCCAGGTTGGGCACCTAGGTGAGCACGCCTGGGCTAGCTCTACCAGCAGTAGATGAATACCCCTGGGTTTGCAGGATGTGGTGCCAGCCACAGTGACAGACAAGTAGAGGAGAAAGGGGTGTGGGTGAACGCACCTTCCAGTGGGAGCTGCTACCCGGAGTACGTACCCCCCAGGACCCAGGTTCAGATCTGCTCCTACTGCTCGCTGCCTGGCAGTAGAACCATGTATCACTTTTTTGGGAGGATAGGGTGGGGTGAGGGGACAGGGTCTTGCTGTCTCTGTCTCCCAGCCGTCATGGCTCACTGCAGCCTCCACCTTCCAGGCTCTAGCGATCCTCCCACCAGCCCCCACAGTAGCTGGGACTACAGGCTTCAGCCACCACACCTGGCTAATTTTTGTACTTTTTGTAGAGACAGGGTTTTCCCATGTTGTCCGGCTGGTCTTGAACTCTTGAATTTAAGTCATCCACCCACCTCAGCCTCCCAAAGTGCTGGAATTAACAGGCATGAGCCACTGCACCCAGCACTCATATCACTTTCTTACGTGGTTTGTGGATCTTAATTAAAGGTTGGTGTTCGAGGAAGAGACATTGTTGTTCTTGGTGTGGAGAAGAAGTCAGTGGCCAAACTGCAGGATGAAAGAACAGTGCGGAAGATCTGTGCTTTGGATGACAACGTCTGCATGGCCTTTGCAGGTATGAGTCGGTGGGGAGCGCTGTCTTACTCTCTAGAGTCTCAGCGAAGAATAGGGCTTTGGAGATTAACTTGGGTGTGTGGGCTATTGTGAGCCATATAAACTGAGTAAATGAAAATCATTTAAAAGAATTGGATTTGGACTTTTAAGTTGGCTAGTTTCTTTGGTGGCCTCTCTCTGCCATAGCAGGTGAAACAAATGGCTAAATGGATGAAAACACTTCTGGCTGCTGCGCAATTTGACCTCCACTGTTATTTTTCTGTATCAATCAGTTACAATCTAGAGAAAGGCTGGACTTTCTAGAGCTAACTGCATCTGTGGCATGGAGAGGACAGAACCACGTCCTGCCATCCCCAGCAGTAAAAAGGACCACACTGGTGGATGCAGGCCATGCCTCGCCATGTTCTCAGCGCTGTTTTGGTCTTGCTCATTTCTCCTCTCAGCAGATGCAATCTAGGAAGATCTCAATTCATGTAATGAAATTAGGGATTAACTCAATTTCTAAGATTCCCAAGAGGACTCAGGTACTGTATTTAAGTATGGTCTGAAGTACACAATTCTTCATATGCAGACAGTCCCTGTTGATCTGTGTTTTTAAAAATCCAGATTCTGCACGGCAGCCTACAATTTTTTATTTACAATGGGTTTATGGGGTAGTAAATGCATTTTCAGCCAGGTATTTTTGACTTACGATGAGTTTAGCGGGATACCACCCCACTGCACATCAAGAAGCATCTGTACCCAATTTCCTGGAAGTTCCCAGGGGCTGATAGGTTCCGCTGCCAGTCAGTTAGAATAGCCTTGCTGCCGGTTTGGGGGGTCTGTGGAAGGTTAAATGCTGGGTCATCGTGTCTGTCCCCACCCTGTAGTTTGTGCTGTCTCTCTAGCAGAAGCCTCTCTGCTTTCCTTGCAGGCCTCACCGCCGATGCAAGGATAGTCATCAACAGGGCCCGGGTGGAGTGCCAGAGCCACCGGCTGACTGTGGAGGACCCGGTCACTGTGGAGTACATCACCCGCTACATCGCCAGTCTGAAGCAGGTGGGTGCCTGCCCGCTTGCATGCTCACCTCTGGCAGCAGGGCAGTCACGGCTCCGCCATGGAGGGTCCTGCCATGTCACTTCAGGTGAATCAGAAAACTGATTTATTCTGGGGCGTGATCCTAATCTTGACTTGCACAAGTGTAACTTGACCTAGCTCACCAATTTCAGTAACATTGTTCTGTTCTCAGTTCCTGGCATGGGATATTCCAAATTCCTGTGTCTGGAGGGAAATGATAGCTTTTGTCTTGCCATCCTGAGTGACCAGTCACAAAGCAGTTGAAGGGGGCTGGAAGCCACCCTATGAGGACACGCCATTAGTATGTAAGCAGAATGTGTGTCTACCTGTCAAAGTAATTTCCAGTAACCTGAGTTCACAATTCTGGTCCTAGGTGAGTTTTTCTAGGAGTGAAAATGCAGAAAAGGATGTTGAAAGCTATTGGCTAATGTATCATTTGAACTGCTGATAACCTGAGAAGGGGCTCAGGCATGGTTTAAAATGTTCGTATCTTCACTAAGTACGGTTCTTTCCTCACATGCAGTTTCTTAATTGGATGGCACTGACCTGTTTCTTTTCTTGCTAGCGTTATACGCAGAGCAATGGGCGCAGGCCGTTTGGCATCTCTGCCCTCATCGTGGGTTTCGACTTTGATGGCACTCCTAGGCTCTATCAGACTGACCCCTCGGGCACATACCATGCCTGGAAGGTGAGTTCGTGACAAAGGGGCTTTGGACAGTCTTGCCAGAAAAAGGCTTTGAGGGGTGGGAGGTCCTGGGCTTCCTGCTGTAGGCCCTGTATCAGTGAATGAGTCAGTTTAAGTTAACCTAGTCCTATGAGAGCAAGAAAATGATTAAACATTGCTGTTTGGAAGAAAATCAAAGGGCAGCAAGGTGTAAGCGTAGTCCACATAAATTAAAATTCTTGGGTGGGCGTGGTGACTCACGCCTGTAATCCCAGCACTTTGGGAGGCCGAGGCAGTTGGATCACCTGAGGTCAGGTGTTCGAGACCAGCCTGGCCAACATGGCAGAACCCTGTCTCCACTAAAAATACAAAAAAAATTTGCTGGGCATGGTGGCACATGCCTGTAATCCCAGCTACTCAGGAGGCTGAGGCAGGAAAATCGCTTGAACCCGAGAGGCATAGGTTGCAGTGAGCCGAGATCACACCACTGCACTCCAGGCTGGGCAACAAGAGCAAAACTCTACCTCAAAAAAAAAAAAAAAAAAAAATCTCCCATTGCCTCTTGATAGCGCAGTAAAACATACAATCGTATAACCCCATTCTCGGTAAGAATCAGCATCAACTCTAAAGAGCTCTTTGCAAAAGGAAGCCACGAGGCAGGGCCTGTGTCCACAGCTGCTGTCCAGCACTCCAGCTTGCCTCCTGCCACTGCCACTGGCTGGGCGGCCCATGTAGGGCAGCTGTGTTCCAGGGCTGGCCCTGGGTTGTCATGCCCTATGCCACGTGAGAACATACGTGTCTGTTTTAGGCCAATGCCATAGGTCGGGGTGCCAAGTCAGTGCGCGAGTTCCTGGAGAAGAACTATACTGACGAAGCCATTGAAACAGATGATCTGACCATTAAGCTGGTGATCAAGGCACTCCTGGAAGTAAGTTTGCATTTGGAATCCAGGCAAGGTGGTGAAGATACCACGTTTTGGTGGTGAGTGGTAGGTAGATGAGCAGGAAGGAAGGTGGCAAGGATCCAGCAGTAATGCTTAATGACTGCTGTGTTCCAGGCACTGCTCTGGTCTATGGTGTATCCTAACTGCTGTGTTCCTTGAAATAGCCATGCAAGATGTGATCATTAGTGTCTTTATCCAGCCGGGGCAGCTGAGGGTTGTGCAGGGACACACAGCATGAGAACCAGAGGCAGGATGTGAACCCAGCTGTCCAGCTGTGGAATCTGTTCTCGAGCCATCACTAGGCCTTCCAGAGGCTTGAACTGTTGCTAAAGTCAGGGGATTAGAGAACTGGAGATATGGTTGGGCTTTGTCAAGACCTTGAAGTGCTAGCAGGTAAAACCAGAGAGGGACTAGCTGGAAGGCCAGGCGGGAGCGTAGGCATCAGGATTCCTGGTTGTAACCACTGTGTCAAGAGGAGGGCCTGGAGCAGCGCTACTGTGCAGGAGAGAGGAGTCCCAGTGCTGGGAGGCGGAGGGGTGTGCAGGCATCCCAAACAGACTTCACAAATGGCCATGAGTTTAGGACAAAGACACAGGTTTTGGGGGCTGGGACCTCTGTTCCTGGGACGGTGCTGGGTTTGGGTACACACCTATTTAAGGTACTCCTGAGAGCTGCTTTTGTCTTGAATAGGGAAAGGTGGTTAATGCTCCTGTCTTCTGTCCCTTCAAGGTGGTTCAGTCAGGTGGCAAAAACATTGAACTTGCTGTCATGAGGCGAGATCAATCCCTCAAGGTAATCACCAAGTTTGTCTGCTTTCTTTACCTGTCAGTTTTCTCCCATGATCAGGGCTGAGCAGTACCAGTTCCGAAGGAAACATCATAGGGCCATTCTGTGGTTTTAACATTAGGAAAATGTCTTTCTGAGGCTCCCCATACGTCAAAGAGAAGATTCCCATCTTCCTCTGATTAGATGGTCCACGCGTGTTCTCTGGGCATGCTGAGCGGCTGCCAGTCAGATCTGCTGCTGCTGCTACTGCTGCTTAATACTTGTCTAGGTCAGGCCAGCATCCTCTTGTTTTTCTTGAGGTTCCTCTCCAAAGAGGCTGTATGAGCAGCAGTGCCAAAGCCTGGCCGCCCTCCCCAGAAGAGGGCGCTGGTTCCTTGGCACCTTGTGTGGCTTAGGTAACCATGAAGTTTTTTTCTATAGATTTTAAATCCTGAAGAAATTGAGAAGTATGTTGCTGAAATTGAAAAAGAAAAAGAAGAAAACGAAAAGAAGAAACAAAAGAAAGCATCATGATGAATAAAATGTCTTTGCTTGTAATTTTTAAATTCATATCAATCATGGATGAGTCTCGATGTGTAGGCCTTTCCATTCCATTTATTCACACTGAGTGTCCTACAATAAACTTCCGTATTTTTAACCTGTTTTTTTTTTTAAGAGAATGTGTATCTTTAGGTGCAATCACAGCAGTCCTCTCATCTCTCACCCTTCTTTTTCAACCCTGAGCCACCGTAATTGAGCTTTCCTTTCTGTTCCTTGTGGCTAAGACAGTAAGCCAGTGTGAGACACAGGTTCCTCCCTTGGGAAGTCAGAGCTGCTGCCCTGGGTCCTGCAGAGAAACCTGGCCTTCAGCAGACCTGTTTCTCTGTTGTAGACACAGAATGACTTCCGTTTGCTTTTAGACCTTCATTCTAGTCCCCTAATGAATGTATAATGTCAAGGACACAAACACAAGTAGCCCTGGGTTCATTCTGTAGAGCAGCAGCTTTGTTCAAAGCAGCTTTGCATGTCTGACTTTCATAGACCACATCTTGACGTCTGCCCCCTATGTTGAAGACTGGTTCTGGCTATTCTCTGCCCTTTCCTGTGTTTTGACTTCTAGTCCCACAGTTTAAGGCTTTTGGGTCCTCTGGTCCTTGGTTTTGGGCATGTATCTTCTAAAAAGGAGTAAAGGGGCCCAGATACATTTTGAGCTCAGCGTAAAATGTACAGTTGTCAAAACAATGAACATTTTAACAGCAAGGTCAGCTGGCACACGATAACCTGACTACCTTGCGATGCTCTGGGAGGCAATACCTGTTTCACCAAGTTCTCTAGCTGGGTGAGGACTGTGGCCACCAGTATCTGGCACACGTAACATTTATTTTTCTGCTGGTCAAGGATACCCATTACCCCCACCCAAGAAATGGGAGGGCCCCCCACTGGCAGTTCTGCTGTGGAGCCTGATGGCCACAGGCAGGTAATGAAAGGAGAACTCATGCAGCTGGTGTGTCTCCTCGTCCTCTCTGAGGGCCACTTTTAAGGTCACCTGGAAACCCATTAGACTAAAATGGGATGCTCTGAGCCTAGAACCAGCCATGTCTTTGTTTTTCTGCGTGGGTCCAGGGTGCAGCTTGCTCATGGCTGTGTAACATGCTCTACGGTGCCTGAGAACCTGAACGCTCCTGAGCTGGGGAGCTTGGAGGCAGCAGGAAGGTGGCAAAGGGGCCACTGCTTATGATACAGGTGTTATCTGTGAGCTGGGTTTTTAAAAGAACTTTGTATCCAGTTTCTGAGAGCAGAGCCATTCATCCCAGAAGGGTGGCCCACAGGGAGAACCCGGGTCTGCTGGCCGCACTTCACCCGACCAATTGGGTCAGCCACCTCGTTCCATCACCTGATGGGGCCCAAGTCTCCCCAAATTCCACCAGCCTAAGTGTGTGCTCCAGACCTGGACATGATGCAGAGGTGACTTGGGCAGAAGAGTCAACAGGATTCTTAGAGCATCAGAAAAGAAAATTTTAAAGGTTTGCATGTTTATTTATAATTACAATTTACATTACTCCAACAGAGGAGCCCCCTTGCTATGTTCTAATTCTTAGCCATTAAGTCCTACAAAAATAAACCCAAGCTTTTACAGTAACTTAATCAATACAGAACTAAAGCCTTTATAGCTATTAGAGGGGTTTAGTTACCAAGGTGCTTATTTTCGACAAAATGCCCTGTCACTCAGAGGACGCATGCGTATACTAAAGTTCTGACCCATCGACTCATGCAACAAATGTAGACCCCACCCTCCCTCCACCCACTGTTACAACACAAACACAAAACAACGATGTACAACAGAGGGGAAATATGCTCTTGGTCAACTGACCTTGCAGAAAAGACTGGCTTGTTTCCAAGTGGATGAGAACGCCAGTGTGTGGCCAGAGTCCAGCAATGACTGACCGGCCCAGGTCAGAGGCTGGCAGGGACCACAGAAGGGCCAAGGCGCTGCCGGGGCTCATCCCAGGCTCCAACCCCAACCTGGAAGCTTGTGGACACCAGGCTCTGTGCAGCAGCTCCGTGGCTAGCGTCCAGGGCCCCTGGCCACTACTCCCAAATGCTTCTAGTCCACCCACCCCTGGCCAGCCCCAACCTTGACATCACTGTGGATGCCATCAGGGTGGTCTGGTTCACTTATACAACATGATCCATGGGAAAACCCCTTCCGTGCCCTCCACCCACCCACCCCTGCCCCCCACGCCACCCTGTGCTGGCCCTGCCTGACTCCTGAGACCCCACCCTTGGCAGTGGGGTGCCAGGCCAACAGCACCAGGGGCCAGCTGGGTTACAGAGATGTACTTGGCTGCCACCTCTGCCAACAGATTTGGTTCCACTTTTAAAAGTCAAAGCTTGTCATTAAAAAAAAAAAAAAAAGTCACAAAGTAAGGATTCAGCTTTCACTATAGAAACCTTTTTGCAAAATACCAAAACCTTAGAATTAGGCTATGCGCAACTAAAAAGGAAACACAGATAAAGAGACCTCAAAGAGGTTACCCATGAATACTTCCCCAAAACAAGTGGTTCTAACTCAGACCATGTCCAAGTTCAGTTAAGTCCAAAACACAAGTAGCAGTATGGGTCTCTTCCAAACTCCGTAAACAAAGTGACCACCTCTCCCTGTAAGTGCAGCGTTTTCCTCGCGTCCTGACACACACAGCGTCAGTTATGCGCCACTTCAGTAGGAGCCTGCAAGAGATGACAGGAAGTCAAGCATCTGCTGGGATAAGCTAGCACTGTTGCCCCTGCTGGCGAGCAGGAGCCACTCAGCCTCCCTCCTGCCCCCAGAGTCAGACTGGCTACCCCCATTCTTCTCACAACCCACTCTGAGAATCCTACTTGTACAATACACTGGGGACAGGGACGCAGCTAGTGGCAGGAGGGCTAGTCTTTCCAGGGCCCACCTGGCTGTCCCGAGGCGCTGGGTGGGGTTGGCACCAGGCACCCCATGTGGGACGCTCCGCCCAAACCCTAAGGTGCCCACAAATCCACTGGGACCTGGTTAAAAATGAAGCCTCTGATTCACTTAGGGCCGGGTTGGGCCAAGACACTGGCTTTGGAGCAAGGTCTCACTTGCTGGCTTCACCTGGGTGGTGAGCCCCCAGCCCACGCGACTCCCGCACCACCTCACCTCCCATACCTGCAATCTCACTTGGAGGATGCTGGGGCCTGGATCCTACCCCCACAGATGCAGGTTGAAGTTGGCCAAGAGCCTCCCGGGTGACTCATAGGGTCGAGGCCCTCGGTTTGGCTTTGACACCTCTGGGCCTCTCTTCTTCCTGGGAAACCGAGCCTGCTCCCCACCTTCCTAAGCTCTCCAGGTGTGCCTGACCCTACACCCTCCCACCAAAGCGTCCAGAAGGTTCATCCACTCACCTTTGGCTGCACCCTCACACCCTGCCAGTCCCGGCCCTGTGGGAAGTGGGGTTGCGACGGGTGGTCCCATTGCCCCTGCCTCCTCGGAATCCGCCCCGAGAACTGCGGCCACGAAGAAACCTCCCTGACACCCCAAAGGTCTCTGTGTTGAGCTTCCTCTCTTCGGCCCACGTCGTCCGCCTGGAGCTAAACCACAGAGGAAATGCTGATTGTAGCAGGCACTGACTCCCAGGCTTCTGGCCAGGCCTCGTCCTCAGAGCGGCCCAGGGAAGGAGGGACAGACTCACCAGGGCCACTACAGGGAAGGGGCGGCCCCGTCAGCTCTGGAGCCCAGCTCCGGCACTGCAGGTGCTCCCTGCCACGTTTCCAACCAGGACTGTCTCCACAGTGGGCCGGGGATCGGGATCCATCTCTACCATCTCTGGCACCACAGGCAAGCAGTGATACTAGTTGGCTACCAAGGCAGCCGCTGTTGCTCGCTGGGCACAGAGAGGAGCCCTGGGGAGGCCCAGGGGCCCAGGAGACCTGAGACCGGACCATGAAGTGGACCCTCCTAGACAAGGAGGAGGCTAGGATAGATGGAACAAGTTCCCTGGAATGTGATGCTTCTGCTTTGGGAGTTTGAAAGACAGGGATACAGCATGGACACTCATGCCACCCAAACAAGCTGCTGGTGGGAGACTATCTCCCACATCCAACTGTGCACCCAGCACTCCCACCCAGCACTCCTACCGACGCAGACAACAGCTCCAGCAGCACACCCACCCTGAGCTCCTCTTCAGCCGGAAACCTGCTGCTCCCACAGACTTCCGTGTTCAAAGAAACAGCAACTCCACCCATCAGCCGCCCAGGCCAAAAGACTTAGGAGTCATTCTGGACTCTTCTCTTGTCATGTTGGCCAATTCTGTTAGCGCCACCTTCAAGACACATTTAGACTCTACTCCTTCCCTCTGTCACCACCACTGCCTGGTTCCAAGCCACCTGTGCTGCAGCACTGGCCCCTAACTGGCCAGTCAGCAGCCACACTTGCCCACCGTCCAACCACTCTCACCAAGGACGCCGTAAAACATCAGACCGCACCACGCTTCAGCACAAAACCCTCTGATGGCTTCCCGCGGCACTTGGAACAAAAGCCAAAGTCACTGCCATGCCCTACAAAACCCTACAGGAACCCATCCCCCAGACTCGGCCTGTCTGGAAGCACTTCCCGCACTCATCTGCGCAGCCTGCTCTGCCTGTGAGAACTGATCATCCACTTCCCATCGAGTTACAGCCCCATCCCATCGCCCTCACTGCCTGGCCTTCACGACATGCTGTTCTATTTTTCCCCTGGCAGAACATGAACCTGAAGAGGTGGCGCTCTCCAGCCTGCCTTCTGAGGCCCCCTCAACGCCCCGCGGCATGTCTGGCGCTCAATCTGCAGGACAAATGGGCCCAAGTTTCCAAGCCAGGCCCACACTGTAGATGCCACCCACTCCCTAGGGTGCTTCGCGGGACTTCTGACCAGCTGTTAGGTGTGAAAAATAAAACACACCACATGGTCCCTGGCCTCAAACAATGAAGTGAAGGAAAGCCAGTGTGAGCACGTTCTAGCCATACCTCAGGCTGCTAAGCAAGGACCTCAGGCTGCCAGGCCAGCGGGACCAGCAAGCAGAGCACCGTGAGGTATGCTGAATGTGGACACGGGTCTGCCGGGGGGGGCGGTGCAGCCCAGCCTTTGTGGGGACAGGGCAGCAAAGCCAAGAGGAAACAGGCTCGACCTCAGCCAACTCCTCGGGTCGGGATCCCCAAGAGGCTTCCCACACGCAACCTGCTGGGACTCCGGCACCCATCATGCAGAAACGCAAGCAGGACCCTAGAACAGCTACCCTGAGCCTCAGAGTCCAGCTCTGCCCTCAGGTTGAGAGCCCTCAGCCCTGTCCTTTCTAGATTGGAGGACTGTCCTCCCCTCATTCATTCAGCCTCTCACCTGGTCTTGAGTTCAGAAGAGATGTTGTCGAAGAACGACTTGGATTTGTCATAGTAGCAGTTGGGCCCCAGAAGGTCTTCCTCAGCGGGCGCTTCGGCACTCTGGGTCACCACAGCCAGGTCCTTCTCTTCCCCCTTCTCAGCCTTGTCATCTACAAAAAGAAGCAGAACACGTGGAGATGGAGGAGGGGCAGAGCGCACAGCCTTTTAGCAGGGTGGTCCCTCCGGGCTCACTCGGAAGCCACCCTCAAGCTAAGACATCAACTATGCCTTGTGCAAAGCAGAAATCTCTTCTTCTACCTTCTAAGTACAGGTCTCGTTCTGCCGTCTGGGCTGTGCAGTCTGCACCTTATCCCACCCATTTTCACACCTCCCAGCACCTCACTTCATTAATTCCTCACTGCCGGTCACCATCCGCCTGGCATCCCCGGTTCCTCTAGGCATCTCTTCCTTTTCCTTGAGACAGAGTCTTGCTCTATCGCCCGGCTGGAGTGCAGTGGCGCAATCTTGGCTCACTCCCACTGCAACCTCCACCTCCTGGGTTCAAACGATTCTCCTGTCTCAGTCTCCCGAGTAGCTGGGATTACAGGCGCCCACCACCACGCCTGGCTAATTTTTGGATTTTTAGTACAGATGGGGTTTCATTGTGTTGGCCAGGCTGGTGTTGAACTCCTGACCTCAGGTGATCCACCCACCTCAGCCTCCCAAAGTGCTGAGATTACAGGCGTGAACCACCACACCCGGCCAGGCATCTCCTCCTAACACTCTCTAGGGGTACTCCTGTGCAGAGAATAATTTTCATATAATGAGCCAAACCTTTAAAATTCAGTTTCTTCTTAAATTCTTTGTCAAGCTCCTCTCGGTTGAACTGGGCATTTGCACTCTCGAAATCAAAGTCACCCTCAAATTTGATTGTGTTTTCCTTAACGTTAGTTGGACGGTTTTGCCCTCTGGAGCGATTCCTTGTTCGCCTGTTTCCTGTGAGGACAAAGGACAGCCCTGGCTGAAGTAGGTCACCAACCCAGTGATCTCAAACACCTCACAAGGAATTTCCAGGCACACCCCCAAGGCCACAGAAGGAACAGAGCACACAAGCAGCGACTTCACACCAGCACCCCTGAAACCGTCAACCAGAGAAGCAGGCAGGAGGGCAAGCAGAGCTCAGCCTGATCACTCGTGGTCCCCAGAAATCAAGTGGCAACAGGTGTTACCTGATCGCCTCCTCTGAGGTCTTCTGTTCTCGTCATTCACCTGCCCTTGAGCTTGCACAGCTGCCGGCTGGACTACATCTACGGCGCAAAAGGGAAGAGTAAGGCAAAGCTCCTATAGCAGCCGGAAGCCAGAACCCAGCTGTGGAAGCAGGCCCCACCACCATGGGGCACGCGGCCAGGGCGGCACCGCAGGAGGCTGCTGCACAGGCCTGCCCTGCAAAAGCACATGGGGCTTAGGATGGGGGAGTAGTATTTTTTTAATTAAAAAAAAAAAAATAGCCCAGGAAGTAGTGTGCCACTTTTAGAACATCAAGCAAACTCCAGGAAATGATGTGTTCAAGTACCGCTGGCCGTCTTGCTGCTCGGCTGGGCCTGACGACCGTTGAGCTGCGTCCCTGTGGTGCCCTTGCCAGGTAACAGCTTTTTAGCATTCAGGTTGTCAGCAGAACCAGTCTGCACAGCCTGCTCCACCATGGGGCTCTTGCCGACTGGGATGGATGGAAAACCAGCTCCTGAATTGAGGAGGGGAGGAGGGTTTAAAAACAGAGAGAAAAGAAGCAAGCCTTATATCTCCAGGCATTTCTCTTCTGCTGGCATGTCAGGAAGGAAAGGAGGGCAACTGCCTAGATGTTCTATCAAATCCAGGCAAAGCACCCCCAGACTGGGCCATTCCCTCTGAGGCTAGCCCAGGCAGCAAAAGAAGGCCAAGAGTCACTGGGCAGCACCAAGGCCAGTTCATCTTTGGACTCCCCACTCCCAAAGCCCTGAGCTTCCCAAGTTAGGGAACCTCAAGGACAGGAAAAACACCGTGCCTACAAACAGGCACCTCCCCAGAAGTGTGGAAACAGCTTTCTTAAAACCACACAAGCTCCAATCCCAAAGGAGCTCAGCAGCCCCAAGATCCTGATGAATTCAGGATCTGAGAATTTGTTTCATTCTGGTCCACACTGGAGAAGAACCAGCCCAGCCTGGGATTTTCTAGAAAATGCAGTGAACAAATTCTGAAGTTAAATTCTACAACACTGTCATTTCCACTTAAGGCACAATAAAACTAAAAATGATGAAGCAGGAGCTGACTTCCGAGACGTAGCAGCCTACACTTCTCTCAAGGGCAAAGGCTCATCATGAAGACACAAAGGGCTCCTAGGTAGCCTTTGGCAAGGGGCTATGCCTATGAAACTGCAGTCCGAGGCCCACGCACAGGGGATGAACCCTCAGAAACCAGGCCCTCTGAATCAGGAGGAAAATGGGAAGCACCACCCACCTCTCTCCATCTCCTCCCTTTCCAAGGTTCCAGGACCTGTAGGGACTCTAAACAGGACAATGTGGGACTGGGTGTAAGTGAACAGAGATCTGAAACAGAAAAGGCACCCTAACCACAGGGTAATTATTATTAGACGAACAGCCCAATACACATGAAGACTGGGCATCTCATCTTACTGCTTTTACGGAATAGAAATGAAAAAAAAAATTGACTGTAGAAAAATTCCTTGTAACCAGATCAAGAGAAGCTCTCAAAGGGCAGGTTGGAACGACTCTGCATAGAGGTCTGGAAAGTGTCCTCTGGCGGGAATGCACCCGGGCCACTTTCTCACTGATTGTCTCACTCAGCATGTCCGGGAGACAAACACAGCACTGCCTGCCTGCTGATCATACTGTGACTGCAGGGGCATGGATAAGGGGCTTGTCTGCTTTTTACACAACCAACTAGTTCAAACAAAGTCTTGCCCTATGAGCAGGTTTAGGTAACTGATCCTAAGAGCAATAGAAGTATCTGTGTCATTTTTAAGTGGGGGAAAAAAAAAGACTACTCTGTAACTCAGATACACAGAGTGCATGCAGGATTTGGAAAGCAGCACCTGCAGAATGACAGACTGACAGCAGCTGTGTGCCATAAGGAAAGCCCAGGCATCAACCTGGACCAGGGCCGGGTAATGGCGATGGTTCAGCTTGTCAGGGTGCTATGTGTAACACAAACATACAGCAAGATCGTCAATATGAATTTTAGAACTTCAGGGGAAATGAGTAGAACGTGAGAAAAGATCTAGAAACCCCACAGGTGCCGCCACCACCACAGCACAGAGACAGGTGGTGTACACTGGCCAGCTGGCCATCAGGCTGATACTGTCCACCTGGCCAAACAGTTGGCGACTGTCACCCAAGCCCCTAATTTTGAATCCCCTCAATGAGTGATCTATGAACCACACGGATCAAAGAGCAAAACAGGCATGTCAGGTGCTTTGGGGAGTCCCCCCTGCAGCACTCTGGAACACATTTAGGACCCAGCAAAAACCCCAGGGAAATGACTTTCTGTGAACAGTGAAGTTTCCCGTATGTGGTAGTCATGGTACAGGTCAACAGAGAACCTGGACCCAGGGAGAGAGAACAAACTACTCCGCTGATTCTTCGTAATCCCTTCTTTAACACTGAGAGTTCATCAATCAGGACTACATGCTGAAGCAAAACAAGCAGCTCAGCGGCTGCATGGGCTTGGCAAATGATCTGCTACAGCTACTGTCATTCTGTCTGCTGCTTTACCCCTCGCTCTCAGAATGGTTTGCAAGACAGCATGCAGTTCTCCCAAACTGCTGTTACCCTTGGCAGTGAGCTGCTGTGGCTCTGAGGACAAGTCAAGCTCTGAAACGGGCTGTGGAGATGGAGAAGAGCTAGGGCTGGAAGCAGCGGCTGAGGCTGGAGGGCTTACCAACTTCTCTAAAGGAAGATAAAGGAGAAAGAGCAAAAAGAAAGCACACAAATAAGTCAGGATACACTTGTCTTGTGTCTAGCAAGCTTGGAAAGAGCCAAGCAACCTCTTGTAGGATTCTGTCATACAAACACGTTTTAGAAACCCAGAGAGCTGGGCTGGGAAGGCCGCCTGTCACACTAGGAATAGCAACCAAGCAAGCATGATTTGTAGCAGCAAGTGGCCTACAGACCTCGTTTAGGGTTCCCTGTCTCACTACTTCATGCTGGATTCTGAGCAAGGGTCGTGGATCACCTGCCAATTCTACACTCTGAGCCCATCTGCAAAGCTAGGTCCAGGTTAAGGACAAGGCAGGATCTTTCTCTACATATGGAGAATAGAATCATACTCTGGGGTTTTTCAATCTTGGTTGAAACCATTTTTGAGCGAGGCACTTACAGTAGAATAAGGGACATGATGGGTGGGTTTGTATTTCACGTCTATATTTACAGGCTTATAAATGTGCAAACAGCTAGACTTCATCTGTAATACTACATATATATCAGCTATTTCTTCTTTGAAGCAGATATACCAGGACTTCCACCTATTTATTTTTTGAGACAGAGTCTCACTGTGCCGCTCAGGCTAGAGTGCAGTGGTGCAATCTCAGTTCACTGCAACCTCTGCCTCCCAGGTTTAAGCAATTCTCATGCCTCAACCCCCCAAGTAGCTGGGATTACAGGTGTGTCCCACCACACCCAGCTAATTTTTGTATTTCTAGTAGAGACAGGATTTCCCCATGTTGGCCAGGCTGGTCTCGAACTCCTGACCTTGTGATCCACCCGCCTTGGCCTCCTAAAGTGCTGGGATTACAGGAGTGAGCCACTATGCCTGGCCCAGGACTTCCACCTAGATCCGCCCTGACTCTTCGAATGAATTTTGATTTGATTCTTCTGTTCCAACACTCAGGCTGCTGCCTCTTTTACTTTCAGTTGAGTAGTTACTAAATGCTCTCACAAGCGGAAGTTGCACTGGGTAATTTACTAAGTGTGCAACAAAACAGTCTACAAGCTGAGCATGACAGGAATGCATATCCCCACCCTCAGGCTCCATCGCTCCACTCAGTGACAGTTACACGCAAGGGTAGTTTACCAGACAGAAACAGGTCACTCACCTAGACCCAGGGAGGCGGCATACTGCTGGCTGAGCAGGGAGCTGGCCGCCAGCGGGCCGTAGGGCGCCATCCCTCGGAAAGGGCTGTAAGGCACGTGCGGCTGGAAGGGCGAGGCGGAGGCAGAACCCAGGGAAGACTGAACAACGAGACATCGGGTGAGAACGGCGAAGGCCATCCCATCACCCCGCACGCCTTCATCAGGGCGCTTGTTCAGCTGGGAAACAAGCACCGTCCCATCAGCCTGCACCCTTGAGATGCTGGAGGAGCCCTTGGGGTGCAAGTTTCCAGTATGGTGAGAGCTGCCTTTTCCACAGCATTTCAGTTCCAGTTTCACCTGTCCATGTAATTCCTTTTTTTGTTTTGTTTTGTTTTTTGTTTTTTGAAAGAGTATTGCTCTGTCGCCTGGGCTGGAGTGCAATGGCGTGATCTCAGCTCACTGCAACCTCTGCCTCCCAGGTTCAAGCGATTCTCCCAGCCTCAGCCTCCCGAGTAGCTGAGATTACAGATGCCCACCACCACACCCAGCTAATTTTTGTATTTTTGGTAGAGACGCGGTTTTGCTATGTTGGCCAAGCTGGTCTTGAACTCCTGACCTCAGGTGATCTGCCCACCTCGGCCTCCCAAAGTGCTGGGATTACAGGTGTCTTGTCCATGTAATTCTAACCCAAATTTCTCCTAACTCAAAGCCATCGGATGGCTTCCCACTGCTCCCAAAGCCGGCCCTGTGTGATCCCACCTTCCAGGATGGGTGCTCAGCACAGAACCTAATGCAGTCTGAACCCCAGAGGAGCTAGTGAATATTTAAATTTAGAAGTGAAGAAAATATTAATCTGGGCTCCCTGGGGGAGCATGGGCAAAATAAGCCATAACCCAATAAGCAGGCACATGGCATCAGACTTGCAAATCTGGTGTTGTATAACAGCAGCATGTAACGACTGGGCGTAACCCGAGGGCAAGCCCTGCAGTCCCTGCAGGTAGGTCACGCCACTCACAGCAGCTGCTCAGGGCTCAGACTTCTCCAACCAGAAACTAAGGGCAAACGCTATGCCCGAAACATCACAGGTCCAGGAGCATCCACTCATACCACACTACACTACACACGCGCACATGCACACCCAACTCCCCAGGTCGCCTTCCTTAAGAGCCACGTGACACAGCACACACCACCTACTGTGTGTGCTACAAGAATCAACACCTTCTGTGAGAGCAGCAACAGCCTGGACAAAAGTTAAGCCACTTTTCATTAAAAGGTTATTCCTCAGGCTGGGTGTGGTGGCTCACGCCTGTAATCCTAGCACTTTGGGAGGCCAAGGCGGGTGCATCACAAGGTCAAGAGATTGAGACCATCCTGGCCAACATGGTGAAACCCCGTCTCTACTAAAATTACAAAAATTAGCTGGGCATGGTGGTGCGTCCCTGTAGTCCCAGCTACTCGGGAGGCTGAGGCAGGAGAATTGCTTGAACCTGGGAAGCCAAAGTTGCAATGAGCTGAGATCACGCCACTGACCTCCAGCCTGGTGACACAGCGAGACGCTGCCTCAAAGAAAAAAAAAAAAAGGTTATTCCTCACATTGAGCGTTCTGACCAAACATGCCACCAAGCTCCAAATGGAAACCAGCATCTCCTACAGCATGCACAGAGGGACAGTGGCACACTTACCTGAACAATGGCGGGATCCTGCGGGAGTGTGTGCTGAGCTTTCGGAGGTTCACACACAGTGATATCCTTGATGTCACTTCCTCGGAAAATGATGTACTCATAAATCTCCTCTCTGGGGGGCGCAGGCCTATCTGTGGGACGGTCTTCAGTGCCAAAGGACCTCACTTATGAGTGGAGAAAGAGAAGCGTTATTGTTGTCCTCAGCCAGTTCAATCAACCCTGACACCACTGCTCCCAAGCCTTCCAAAAGACGGCGACACTTGCTCAGAGCCACAACACAGCACCCCAGGTCCACATTTCAACAACTACTTAATGCCCCGATTTTCAATGGACAGTGCTGATAATGCACCAATTGGTGAAGCTCCAGACAACAGACAGCTCTAGATCACAAAGATGACAAGGAACAATTTCACAGACTGACAGTCTGATGTGCGAAGGCACCAACGTACAGAGCTCTCAGCAAAACAAGGCTTGCTTCGTAAGGCCTCCCTGTTCACGTTTGACTCTGTAGATCCAACAGCCAGCCGGCTGCTTTATGCCCAAAGCCTCACCGCACATTGCGCCTGAGGAGGCAGTTTTCTCACAAAGGAATCTAGACGAGTGTTGCCCTTACCCTTCTATCCATAACAAACCTTGGAACAGCTGTAACAGAAAACAAAGGGAGACAGGGTCCCAGGATTATG
This sequence comes from Homo sapiens, assembly GCF_000001405.40. Lineage (NCBI taxonomy): Eukaryota > Metazoa > Chordata > Mammalia > Primates > Hominidae > Homo > Homo sapiens. Next base: position 62,124,097 of record NC_000020.11, on the reverse strand, counting down.
GACCTCTGACCCCGGCTTCCGCATCTATAAGGAATTGAGTCTACTAACCCCTAACCAGCAGGCTTCCAGGAGCGCCCAAGTCTCTTTCTAGCAAGCCTCTAGGGGCAGAGGTGGGTGGGACAGCAGCCTCTAACTGGTAAGACACAACTCCTGCTAACTCCTGGGCCTACTCTGGGCCTCAGCTTCTCTAACTGGGCTCTCCTGTAATAAGTGTAGTGAGGTTCCATGGCTGCAAGTGAGTGCATAGCCCTGGCATACTCAACAAGCTCCTGAAGCCACGCAGGAGACGGGCTTCAAAAGGAGACACTCCCTGTTTGGAATGAGTGCGTTCTTCTACACATGAAGTTCCCTGTGACCTAAGCAGCGTTTCAGACGCGTCTAGACACTTCAAGAACCCCTGGGAGCCTAGCGCCAGATCCAGCACACACACGGGCTTAGGCAGACGTGGCTCCACGGGCACTTTTCTCTGAGAGGCAGGGGAAGTGCACTCCCCGTCTTCTCTGGGTGATGAAGACAAAGAAACTCTGGACCACCCGCTGCCTCAACAACCTCAGAGATTCTGACTCTAAAGAGCCCCCCTCCTGTAAGTCCTCCAGCGGCCACAGCCGGTTACGAGCACCCACAGGCGGCTGTCACCAAAAGGTAAGCCCCACAGTGGGAAGGTCAGGATAGAGCAGGAGAACCGTTTAAACCGGGGCATCTGGCTGCCAACGGATGCTTCTGCCTTGGCAGGAGGCCGCATTAGGACGCGGTATTTGTTCAGGATCAAGGCCCCAGCTGTCTAATAAGTTCCAGAAAGGCTTGCAGGATTCGCGTGTTGTGACCCCACCCCCAGCCTTCGGGAGACGCCGGGACACTGGCCCCGCCACCCGACCTCGAGGCTCCCCCGCAGGGATCCCCCCAGGCTGGCGGGGAGGAGGCCCGCTGACGGGAGCCGCCCTGCTCCTCGGAGCTGGCACCTGCAGAGGTGGGCTGGGCGGCCGAGGGGGCGGCACCGCGGGGGCCGGGCCCGCCCCTCACCAAACACCGCCGGGCGCCCGCGCACAATCCCGCCGCCCTGGGAGCCCAGGGAGACCATTGTGCGGCCGGCTACGCTGGGGGAGGGTGGCGCGCGGGAAGGGGGCGCCTCGGGGGCGTCCGGGGTGAAGGCGCGGGCAGGGGATCTCGGGCCGGGTGTGCCCTGGGTGGGTTCTGGGCGGGGTCTGGGCGCCAGGCTCCGGGGCGCCCCGGGGCGGGGAGGGCACCGCAGGCCGGGGCTGTTGGCGGACGGGGGTCAGCGGGCTCGGGCGGGCGGCGGCCGCTACCTTTGGCGAGCGCCACGGTGGAGTTGTCGGTGTCGATGGTGTAGAGAATGCCCTCGTAGCGGATCTGCGCCTTGGAGATGAGGCTGATCTTGCTGCCCAGATACGGGGTGCCTGAGGAGCCGCTCATGGCGGCGGCCGGGGTGCGTCGGGCCGCGGTGGGGAAGGAGCGCCGGGCCGCGGCCCGCTCCGCCGCCGCGCGGTGGCCTGGCCGCCCGCTCCTGCGCTCCTCCGCCCGCCGCCGCCTCCGCCTGGGCGCCTCCTCGCCACCGCCCGAGGGGCCTGCGCGGGCACCGAGCGAACCAAGAAGGGGCGCGCGACTGGGGCTCTGAGAGGAGCGCGGGGGAGGAGGGGCCGCCGCAGCCACATCCGGGGCCTCGCGCCGCCACGCACCGCCACGCACCGCCCCTTCACGCTCGCCGCCCATTGGCTCGCCGCGCCCGCCGTCCTTTAAATATGGCCGGGCCGCCAGCTGGGGGGCGGGCCCTCGCGTCGTTCCTGCGCAGCAAGGCGCCGCTGGCCGGGGGCGGGTCTCCCCGGCGATCCGCCCCACCCTCGGCCGGCTCCCGGCGGGCCCCTCGCGGAGCTGGGAGCACGAGACTGAGCGGGCGGGGGGAGGGGTGGGAAGCGGCCCGGGAGGAGCGCGCGTGCGCGTGGGCGGGCGGCTGCGGTTTGCACGCTCAGTGGGCGGGACCGGGGAGGAGCGCCAGGCCCCGCCCGCGCGCGTGCCGGCGCCGCCCCGGACCCTGGGCGCCGCGAACACGGGGGCTTTGCCCCCTTGGCCTCAGTTTCCCCTCCTACAGAAGTGGGGTCCGGACGACTCCCCTATCTTGGGCCAGATGCGCCTATAGCCCTCACCCTCATGGGGGACCGGGGAGTGGCGGAGGCCCTGGGCGCCGGGTGTTCCCGGGCAGCCCCGGGACTCCCGCCCCAGTGCCCAGGTGCCGGCGGGGGGCGGGCGCGGCGGCAGCTCCCGGGAAGGCGGCGCTTCCGGCGTGGCAGCCTCTAAATATAACATGCTGAGCACACTTTCTCTTTTAATCCTGCCCCTCCTCCCAAAGCCTGCCGCAGCTTTCCATTTCCCTTAAAATAAATTCTGACTGGCTACCGGGGGCCTCGGAGCCTCCGCTCGTACCCGGGGCTGCGGCCCGGAGGCCTTGCCCACCTCCCCGGCCGTGGAGGAAGCTCGGCCGCCCGCCGTCGCTTAGCTGCGGGCCCTCCTCGCGTATACTCCGCGTGATTAGTGACCGAGGGCGCGCGGTGTGTGCTTTTTTTGCTTCCGTCTTGACCGTGAACATCATCAGATCACGGACCAATATTGGGTCCTGGAAAAAAAAAGTAGTGGGTGGTGACTATAAAAATGCAATAGGCTGGGCGCGGTGGCTCACGCCTGTAATCCCAACACTTTGGGAGGCGGAGGCGGGCGGATCACTTGAGGTGAGGAGTTCAAGACCAGCCTGGGCAAAATGGTGAAACCCTGTCTCTACTCTAAAAATACAAAAAAACTAGCCGGGCGTGGTGACAGACACGTGTAATCCCCAGCTACTCGGGAGTCTGAGGCAGGAGAATCGCTTGAGCCTGAGACGTGAAGATTGCAGTCAGCAGAGATCTCACCACTGCATTCCAGCCTGGGCGACAGAGCTAGACCCCGTCTCAAGAAAAATAATAATAAAAATGAAATAGAATAAGCTAGAAGATATCAGATGGCGTGGTGGGTGGCTCATGCCTGTAATCTCAGCACTCTGGGAGGCCGAAGCGGGAAGATCACTGGAGGCCAGGAGTTTGAGATCAGCCTGGGCGACATATGGAGACCCCATCTCTACAAAAAAAAAAAAAACTTTAAAAAAAATTGGGCGAGTGTGGGGGCACATACTTGTAGTTCCAGCTCCTGGGGAGGTGGAGGCAGAGGCGGGAGGATCACTTGAGCCCAGGAGTTGGAGGCTGCAATGAGCTGTGATTGGACTACTGCACGCAGGGGTGGCAGCAAGACCCTATTTCTAAAGGAAAAAAAGAAAATAATAGTATCTCGCATGGTGAAAGTAAGTATTATTTTGTGAAATATTTAATTCACCTGTTTGTGTAAGTGTGGACTTGGTAAGGACCTAGAATGTGTTTCTGACTATAATAAGAAGATCTTACCTGCCCTGCAGGGTAGACGCTGTGACTCCCCATTTGACAGAAGGGGAAACAGAGGCCCAGCACGGGGGAGTCACGCAGAGAAGTTGCAGTCTGGCCTGGTGGCATCCTCCACAGGCTTGGGGCCGCATCACACTGTCTCTTGTCTCTTCACAAAGGTGAAGCCAACCTGCTCCCACCAGAGCCCGGCAATGGCCAGTAAGAGAACAGTGATGAGTTTAAGGAAGGGGACACAGGAAGCAGAAGAGAAGAGGGAAAATTCAGTTTCATCTGCCAAGATTGACCTGTACATTCTAGAATTGCTTCTTGGCTCCTGGAACATCATATGCAGGAAGAGAACAGAGACAGCAAAGCCATGGAGTCAGCCCAGCTCAGGGAGGAGAGGTCTCCAGCGACTGGGGCATCTGGCCCTGGGAAGCGCGACCCAGACTCTCAGCTTCTCAACACAGCACATCCTTCCCCACTTGGATATACAGGGTGCACCTGTCAGGAGGAGGTGCCAACCAGGTCTCCTGAGTGAGCTGGCCTGGTGATCCCATGTGGAGTCAAAGTCCTTCTGTCCCCCCACCCCACCCCATTTTCCAAGTAAGGAAATCCAAGGTCACAAATCCTGTACTTCATGCCTCCTAGTTTCTGAGCCACAGGCTTCTGGCTGTGTTGGGGGTGGGGTGCATGCTTCACTAGCAGGAGCTGATTCTGCCTTGAAAAGGAGCTGGCCTCTGAGCCCCCGGACTGAAGGCAGGGAGGGTGCAGTTCCCAGAGACCTCCGAGTGCCTGCCCAGCCCGTGGGTGTGCAGCTGGTGGCTCCCTGAGAACATTAGCCACCCTGCAAATGCCCAGGAAGGCAGAGGCTAAAAATATACGTAGTGCCCAGGTCCAGGAATGCAGGCCCTGCCATTCATTCCTTGGTATCCTGCCCAAAGTGGAGGGCACTTGGGTGAGGTCTGAGAAGGCGACAGTTGTGCCAGGCCTAAGTCGACCTGGACGTTCACTGGCATGGCTTGTTTTCCAGGCTGGGGCACATGTATCCAGCACCTCCACTATAAGCAGCTCTTTACTGTGCACAGGTCTGAACAGCCCACCTGCCTGGTAATCACCAGGCTTTAGACCAGCGAGCCCAAGGATTTGGAGGAATGAGCTGGGGCTTCTGGGAAACCCTGGGCCACTTGGACTGCCTGCCTCAGTTTCTTCATTTGCCTGTCCATCTCACTGGTGTGCTTGAGGACCCCGGAAGATCATGCCTGTGAAGGGCTTTGAGAGTAACCAGGGGCTATTCTGGAGGAACGTGTAGGAACTGGGTGTGCTGAGGGCACTGGGAGGGCCATAGGGACAGCTGGAGAGGTTTCTGCTGCAGCCACAAGCCACTCATTACGTGCTTGCTCTGTGTATGTAGGAGCATGCCGTGGTCCCCAGTGACAGGTGGGGAGACATGGAGTAAGGACCCTGCTCCACGTTGCATCACCAGTCTAGCTGGGGTGGCACAGGCCAGCATCCTGCAGCAGGTAAGGGTGCCCCACCACAGAAAACCATCCTGTGACTCTAATGTTCCCCTGAGCAAGAATGACTGGCACAGCCATTGATCTCACAGGTGTCATTGCTCAGTAGGCGCCACACAAAACAGCTGAGTTAATTCAGAGGGCGTTAACGATGGGTGGTCCACAGATAAGTCAGTGGTCTGAAGTGTGGCCACGTGCTGGTGAGACAGGACTCAACCGTCCCCGTCCCCTCATTCAGGATCTGGCGCAGGAGAGGGGATTGGGGAGGCCCTGCAGGCCTCAGGCCCCCTCCCCCGAGGAAGACCCTCCAACCGCACAGGTGCAACAGCACCAGCCTGAAGGGAGCTGAGGAGGGCACAGGTGTGCCGTGTGGGGAGGCTCAGGGCCAGCTTTGCTAGGAGGACTTCCGGGCAGGGAATGGGACAGTGAGGCCCAGGGAGGGTGTTCGGGGCACAGGGACCCACAGGTGGCTGGACAGTAAGGTGAGGAGGGAGGGCTGAGTTGATCCTGTACCATCAGGAATTCTCATGGAGGTCTGACCTGCTCTCTGTGAATCCAGTTAAAATCCATTTCCTCCTGCATGGGGCTCTGCAGGGCTGTTTTCCCGGGAGGCTGGATGAGCACCAGTGGGTTGAAGTTCAGGCATCCTCAGACCCTCTTCCCTCTTCCCATCCATCTCCCCCTCCTGCCTCCTGTCCCCCTTCCACCTCCCTTTCTCCCCTTCCCACCCCAACAGCCGAGTTTCCTGGCGTGAGGAGCCCTGTGTGATGGGAAGTTCCTTGGAAAATAAAAGAGGAGTGTGTTAAACTCCAGCACCTAGCGGGCAGCCTCGGCCCCGCTTCCAGGTGCAGCTGGAGGGACAGCTGGCTGGAGCTGATGAGAACCTGGGCAGACCCAGACACCAGCTTTCGAAATGTCAGATTCTGATAGGGCCAGCCCTGGTGCTGCCACCTCAGAATGCAGGATCAAATGCTGAGAGATCCTGGTGGAACAGAAGACGGGCTGTCAGCGGGAGGCTGGCAGCTTTTCTCTCCCGGTGGCTGTGAGGGGCTCCTGGGCTTTAGGGGCTCAGGAATGGCTGGGGTGGGGGCAGCATTCCCCAGCCCTGTGTTCTACTTGGATAGAAAGTAAACGATGAAAGGCCCCTTCTAAGTCAATCCACCACTGTCTTACTGAGTGTCACCAGCCCAGTCCCACCACTCAGTGCCAGACCTGGTGCCCAAGCCGGCCACGCATTTCCTCCCCGAACCCCTCCGCAGCCCTCCGGATGTGGTGCTGCACCTTGTGAGAGGAGGAAACCAGGCTCTCAGCCTGGGCTAGGTGACAGCCAGCGTCACACGGCCAGCACATGACAGGGCTGGGATTCCTGTGTCAGTCTGCCGGCTGCTAACCCTGGGTGCTCAACGTCCGGGCCTCCTCCCTGGTGGTCCTCTGTGCTCAGCCTTCAGGTTGGGGCGGGGGGAGGGGATAGTGAACGGCGGGAAGGGACAAAGCCCAGACACGATTTCTGCACTTGGAGCTCATGCTCTGCAGATGTCCAGATGGAGACTGACCTGAGGTTGGCACTGGGCATGAGGGAAGGAAGCAGCTTCTTCTTCAAGGGTCTCTCCTATTACATTGTATCCTCTCTTGACTCCATGCAAAGGATGCCGGGTGCGTCCTAGAGCGTTGCCATGGTTACTGAAGAGGCCTACGGGCTCATCCCAGCCAGGCTGGGCACTTGTCTTTACGCCTGCCTGATGCGGCACGAGCGCCTGCTGGGCAGGGTCACGGCCCAGGAATGAGGTCATGTAGATAAAGGAGCGGTGCAGATGTCGGGAGAGGTGTGCCAGGCTTCCCAAAGCCTGTCCTCACCAGGCAGCGCACCCGTGGACCCTCGTCCATGCACCAAGACATCCCCGTCGTCAGATGGAAAGCATTCTGCCAGGGCACGTGGTTATTTTTATTCGTGTTCAGTTCCGACTTGTTAACACCGTAATCCTTTCCTTATGTCGCTGCCTTCACCACCCTGAGAGCACAGGCTAGATTGAGGCTCTGTGTGGCAAGAAATGATGTGCATCAGAAGCCGGCAGGCAGCCACACGGGCCCACCGAGGTCGACCCTGGCAGTGAAGCCCATAACTGGCTGCGCGGGGGTGTGTGCGGCGGAAGGGGCAGGGCATGGGCCGGGTGAGAAGAAGGTGCGCCAGTGCAGGGCTGCCCCAGGCTTTTCCAGCAGGTACCAGGAGCTGGATGGGGAGGATGGCGCCTGAGACATTTCTGGTGGCTCATCTCGCTTAGACAGGCAGTCGCGGACGGACGCGAATACGTGTTAGTCTTTCCCAAGCACTGGAACATGGAAACCCCATTTGCCCTGGGAGCCTTGCTGCATTTGGGCCAGAGAGTGTTTACAAATGGCCTTCCCCACGCACCGCGGAATCTCAGAGTCTGGCCCTTCTGTGCTGGGTGGAACCGGAACTCGTGCCTTATTCATTTATGTGTCTAACAGCTTTATTAAGGTTGTTTATTTATTATATTCTATAATATTCACCCATTTGAAGTGTACAGTTTCGGCTGGGCACGTGGCTCATGCCTGTAATGCCAGCACTTTGGGAGGCCAAGGCGGGCAGATCATTTGAGGTCAGGAGTTTGAGACCAGCCTGAGCAACATGGTGAAACCCCATCTCTACTAAAAATACAAAAAAAAAAAGTTAGCTGGGCATGGTGGCGCATGCCTGTTGTCCCAGCTACTCAGGAGGCTGAGGCAGGAGAATTGCTTGAACCTGGGAGGTGGAGGTTGCAGTGAGCCGAGATTGCACCACTGTGCTCCAGGCTGGGCGAAAGAGCAAGACTCCGTCTCAAAAAAAAAAAAAAAAGAAAGAAAGAAACTGAAAATAACAGCAGACAAAATTCCTAATAGTTGAGTGCATGCTGGGCGTTGTGCTGAGCAGTTTATGTGTGTGGTGTTCAAAGCAACACTCTGGAACAGGTTTAATGAGTGTCCCCATTTTATAGCCAGGGAACTGAGGACCAGGGCAGTTAAAGAACATGCCCACTGTCCCAGCGGAGCCAGGATACAAACCCAGGCTGGAGAACCCATAGTCTTAGGCACAGTGTTACACATCCCACCCAGATATTTGCTGAGTAAATAAATGAACCCTGTCTGACTTTCCTGCCTGTCATCAACAAAGGCCAAGTGAGGTCAGGTGCGGTGGCTTACGCCTATAATCTCAGTGCTTTGGGAGGCCAAGGCAGGAGGATCACTTGAGGCCAGGAGTTTGAGACCAGCCTGGGCAACATAGTGAGACCCTGTCTCTACTAAAAATAAAATTAGCTGGGCATGGTGGCATGTGCCTGTAGTCCCAGCTATTCAGCAGGCTGAGGTGGAAGGATCACTTGAACCCAGGAATTCAAGGTTACAGTGAGCTGTGATCTTGCCACTGTACTCTAGCCTTGGTGACAGAGCAAGAGCCTCTCTCTAAAATAAATACATTAATACATAAATAAATAAAAATAAAGGCTGCGCCAGGCATGGTGGCTCATGCCTGTAATCCCAGCACTTTGGGAAGCTGAGGTGGGCAGATCACTTAAGCCCAGGAGTTCAAGATGAGCCTGGGCAACATGGCAAAACCTCATCTCTATAACACACACAAAAATTAGCCAGGCGTGGTGGCACTCACCTGTAGTCCCAGCTCAGGACTGAGGTGGGCAGATCACTTGAGCCCGGGAGGTGGAGGTTGCAGTGAGCCGAGATTGCACCACTGTACTCCAGCCTGGGTGACAGAATGAGACCCTGTCTCAAAAAAATTAAAAACTTTAAAAAGAAAGGCCAAGTGAGAGGGCTGTGGGCTGGTTTCTCTGGGAAGGAGACGCCAAGGAGCTGGAACTGAGGGTGCAGAAGTTAATGTGAGTTTCCCCCATGAGAGAAAACCTGGGGGAAGTGAATTAGGCTGGAGCTGTTGGCTGAGATGCTGACCTGACACAGCACCTGCTGAGCCGAGGGGGAGTTTGGCGAGTTGGGAGGAAAGAGTGGCTGGTACAGGAGCCCTGACGGGGCAGAGGGGCTGGTCCTGGTACTACCGTCTGACTCAGCCACTGGCTGCGGACACCCCAGCGGGCGCCACCTCAGCAAAATCAGAGGCAAACCCTCAAGGCTCTAGCAGCTGCAGGCAGGAAACTGGGGAATAGGCAGGTAACCCCTGGAGAAAGAGCTGGGCAGCAAGTCTCTTTCTTTCTTTTTTCTGACACAGAGTCTCGCTCTCTCTCCCAGGCTGGAGTGCAGTGGCATGATCTCGGCTCACTGCAAGCTCCGCCTCCCGGGTTCCCGCCATTCTCCTGCCTCAGCCTCCCGAGTAGCTGGGACTACAGGTATGCATCACGATACCGGGCTAATTTTTGTGTCTTTAGTAGATATGGGGTTTCATCATGTTGGCCAGGCTGGTCTCGAACTCCTGGCCTCAAGTGATCCACCTGCCTTGGCTTCCCAAAGTGCCAGGATTACAGGCTTGAGCCATCGCGCCTGGCCTCTTTCTTTTACCCTTTTTTTTGTTTTTGTTTTTGAGACGGAGTCTCGCTGTATTGCCCAGGCTGTAGTCCAGTGGCTCGATCTCGGCTCACTGCAACCTCCACCTCCTGGGTTCAAGCGATTCTGCTGCCTCAGCCTCCTGAGTAGCTGGGATTACAGGCACATGCCACCACGCCCGGGTAATTTTTGTATTTTTAGTAGAGATGGGGTTTCACCATGTTGGTCAGGCTGGTCTCAAACTCCTGACCCCGTGATCCACCTGCCTTGGCCTCCCAAAGTACTGGGATTACAGGTGTGAGCCACTTTTCTTTTTTTCTTTTTCTTTTAAAATTTAAACAGAGGCTTGCTGTGTCACCCGGGCTTGAGTGCAGTGGTGTGATGATGGCTCACTGCACCCTTGACTTCCCAGGCTCAAGCAATTCTCCTGCCTCAGCCTCCTGAGTAGCTGGGACTACAGGCATGCGCTACCACGCCCGGTTAATTGTTTGGTTTTTTTTTTCCAAGTTTTTGTAGAGAAGAGGTCTCCCTCTGTTGCCTCGGCTGGTCTTGAATCCCTGGGCTCAAGCTATCCTCCTTCCTCAGTCTCCCAAATCACTGGGATTACAGACATGAGCCCCCCCATGCCTAGTCCTTTTCTGAAGGGAGATCTGAGTGGTACATTTCTGTACCGTCCACCCCTTGTGCCCAGGGCCTTTGTCCCGTGCCTGGGCAGAGGCTGCTCCTTTGGGGTCTATAGCCCCTTTCAGGAGGGAAGATAGAGCAGGGAGGTGGGCAGAAGAGCCCCCATTGCTGTGGCTGAGCTGGGGCCCACCTGGCATGCGTTCCCTCCCTCCTGCATTCTCCCACCTCAGCTGTGGCCACTGCAGGTCCTGGAGGCTCACACTCCTTCCCTAAGCCCCGGCCACTGGACCTTCTCAGGCTGAGGTGGCCGCGCTTGTCCATGCAAGAAATGATCCGGCCAGGGGGTGCCATGATGCCCAAAAGGACCCTGAGCACCCTTGGAATCCAGTGCCACAAGTGTCCCCCAGTCTTGGCAGCATGCACTGACTGAGCCTTGCAGCCCCCCTGGGGGTGTGGCCTCTTTCCTCCAGTGTCAGCCCGGTGTGTCACCAGGTGGGCTATGGTCTGGTTTGGTGTCTGGTGGCCCAGAGAGGATTCAGGACAGCTCTCAGAGAGGAGGAGCTTGTTATCTTGTCAGGGAGAGAATTCTACACTACAGAATTCTGGGGAACAGTGGGCTCTTGATGGGGAAGGGGGCGTCTGAGGGGTCAAATGCTACAAACTCCTCAGCACAGTCTGCACATTCAGTCTGCACCCCCAGCAGGGTGTCCCAGGGCTCCCAACCAGGGCTCCTGACAGCCTAAGCTGTGACTCCGCTGGCTGCTGAGCCATCTCTGTGTTCAGCCACTGTGGCTGTGAAATCTGGACTTGAACTTGAGCTTGTTCTGCACCCCTGCCTGCTGCCTGCTGCCTGCCTGCCCTGAGGGCTTCTTGGAAGCCAACACGCTTGCTGGCTCTCACACTTAGTCTTCAGTTGTTTGTTAATTGCCCTCAGCTTGTCATTATCCATCTCTAAGTCAATGCGACTTAGTTAACAATCCTCCAATTCCATTATCCTCGCCCTCGCCACACATTTTAAGAACCCGAATCAGCTTGGGTTGTGGCACAGGGCTGGCCACGGTCTCTGCACCCTCTCATTCTCCCAGGTTATTGCAGGGAGAGCATGAACAGCTGGGCCGGCCAGGCTGGCTGTGCCCCTTGAACCAGGGAGAGTCCTGGTCACTGACCAGGTGGAGTGCGGTCCTGTCCACAAACCCATCTTGCTGCCTGCAGAAGTGCAGGCAGTCACGGCCTTACTCAGCAGTGACTCGGGTCACTGGAGAAGAACATGACCTGGCTTGAGATGGTCATCTGGAGGCTGCCAGCTTACTCCACCCCCTTCCTTGGATGGGGATCTGGGCAGCACCTTTCTGCCTCTGCCATGGAGAGGATGTCGGTATTCACTATAATCCATGCCCTCAACAATGTCCTCGTGTGCCATTTTGTGAGGAGTCATGCATACCCTTTGGGAAGCTGCCATAGTCCTTGTGTTTGAAATCAGCATCCACCCCATGCCCCTGCTGGATCAGACATGGGGCTCCCGCGGCCATGGCTGTGCTGCCCGGCCATCTCCTTTGTCACCAGTGATTGGATGGGATGGTCACCTGGCCAGGGGAACCAGTCCCTAGGCTGGGCCAACTAGTTCTCTCCTGGGAATCTGCATTTGGGGCACGAAGGAGGGTGCTGAGACTGATGATGGTAGGTCTTCTCACGGGAAGAGCACACAGGGCTGAGCTGGAGTCAGGGCCCCAGAGCAGCACCTATTATGGGGCTGCAGAGGATCTGGGAGCAGTGGAGAGAGGCAGGCAGTGGGGCCAACACGCCCAGGTGCAGCTCCAGGAGAGGTGGAGTCCTCCCCTCCCCTCCTTTCCCCTCCCCTCCCCTCCCCTCTTTTGAGCCTGAGTCTCAGTCTGTTGCCCAGGCTGGAGTGCAGAGTGCAGTGGCGTGACCACAGCTCACTGCAACCTCAACTTCCCAGACTCAAGCAATTCTTCCACCTCAGCCTTCTGAGTAGCTGGGACTGTACAAGCATGCACCACCACACCCAGCTTTTTTTTTTTTTTTTTTTTTTTTATTGAGAGAGAGGTGGGGTCTCACTATGTTTTCCTGGGCTCAAGGGATCCTCCCACCCTCACCTCCCCCAGTGCTGGGATTACAAGCATGAGCTGCCTGGTCTCATTTCATTAAAAAAATTTTTTTACGCATACATAGTAGTTGTATATATTCATGGGGTACATGAGATACTTTGATACAGGCATGCAGCATCTATTTTATTTTTTATTTTATTATTTATTTATTTATTTATTTTTCTTTTGAGACGGAGTCTCTCTCTGTCACCCAGGCTGGAGTGCAGTGGCGCCATCTCGGCTCACTGCAAGCTCCGCCTCCCAGGTTCACGCCATACTCCTGCCTCAGCCTCCCGAGTAGCTGGGACTACAGGCACCTGCCACCACGCCCGGCTAATTTTTGTACTTTTAGTAGAGATGGGGTTTCGCCATGTTAGCCAGGATGGTCTCGATCTCCTGACCTTGGCCTCCCAAAGTGCTGGGATTACAGACGTCAGCCACCGCGCCCAGCCTCAGCCGGTCACTTCTTGAATGCTTTGCTGCTTAGAAACTTCTTCTAGCAGATACTCTAAATCATCACTATGAAGTTCAAACTACCATGGATCCCTGGGACATGAACAGAATACAGCCAAGTTATTTGCTAAGGCATAACAATGGTGACCTTTGCTCCAGTTCTCAACAAGTTCCTCATTTCCATCTCAGACTTTGGCAGCCTGGACTTCATTGTTCTTATCATTATCAACATTTTGGTCACAACCATTTAACCTGTTTCTAAGAGGTTCCAAAGCTTCCTTCATCTTCTTGTCTTCTTCTGAGGCCTCCGAACTCTACCAACCTCTGTCTGTTACCCAGTTCCAAAGTTGCTTCCAAATTTTCAGGTATCTTTATAACAATGCCCCCACTCCTTGGTAACAATTGTCTGTATTAGGCTGTTTTTGCATTGCTATAAAGAAATACCTGAGACTGGCCTGGCACAGTGGCTCACGCCTGTAATCCTAGCACTTTGGGAGGCCAAGGCAGGTGGATCACGAGGTCAGGAGATCGAGACCATCCTGGCTAACACGATGAAACCCCATCTCTACTAAAAATACAAAAAATTAGCCAGGCGTGGTGGCGGGTGCCTGTAGTCCCAGCTGCTCGGGAGGCTGAGGCAGGAGAATGGCATGAACCCAGGAGGTGGAGCTTGCAGTGAGCCGAGATTGCACCACTGCACTCCAGCCTAGGCGATAGAGCGAGACTCCGTATCAAAAAAAAAAAAAAAAGAAAGAAAGAAAAAGAAAAAAGAAATACCTGAGACTGCATAATTTTTTTTTTTTTGAGACAGTCTCACCCTGTCACCCAGGCTGGAGTGCAATGGCGTGATCTCAGCTCACTGCAACCTCCGCCTCCCAGGTTCAAACGATTCTCGTGCCTCAGCCTCCCGAGTAGCTGGGATTACAGGCATGCGCCACCACGTCCGGCTAATTTTTTGTATCTTTAGTAGAGATGGGGTCTCACTATGTTTGCCAGGCTGGTCTTGAACTCCTCACCTCCTGATCCGCCTGCCTTTGCCTCCCAAAGTGCTGGGATTACAAGCGCGAGCCACCGCACCTAACCATGACTGTATCATTTATAAGGAAAGAAGTTTAATTGACTCATGGTTCTGTAGGCTTTACAGGCATCTGCTTCTTGGGAGGCCTCAGGAAGTTTCCAATCATAGTGACAAAAGAAGTGGGAGGAGACACATCACACAGTGAGAATGGGAGCAAGGTTGGTGTGCCACACACTTTTAAATTACCAGATTTCATGAGAACTCACTCGCTATTGCAAAGACAGCACGAAGCGATAAGAGATCCACCCCCATGACCCAGACACCTCCCATCAGGGCCCACCTCCAATGCTGAGGATTACAATTCAACATGAGATTTGTACAGGGGCAAATATACAAGCTATATCAATTACTTTTTTTTTTTTTTTTTTTTTTTGAGACAGAGTCTCACTCTATTGCCCAGGCTGGAGTGCAGTGGCACAATCTCTGCTCACTGCAAGCTCCGCCTCCCGGGTTCACACCATTCTCCTGCCTCAGCCTCCTGAGTAGCTGGGACTACAGGCGCCCGCCACCATGCCCGACTACTTTTTTTTGTATTTTTAGTAGAGGCAGGGTTTCACCGTGTTAGCCAGAATGGTCTCGATCTCCTGACCTCATGATCTGCCCACCTCGGCCTCCCAAAGTGCTGGGATTACAGGCGTGAGCCACTGCACCCGGACTATCGATTAGTTTTGTGTTAAGTTTTGTATATAGTGTGAGGTAGTATCCAACTTCATTCTTATGCATGTTGATATTCAGTTTTCTCAGCACCATTTGTTGAAAAGACTGTTTCAACAAATTTCCCATTGAAGGTGCCTGGTACCCTTGGCAAAAACCAGTTGCCCATAAATGTGAGAGTTTCTTTCTGGTCTCTCTGTTCTATTCCATTGGTCTATATGTCTGTCCTTATTCTAGCACCACACTGCTCTGATTACTGTAGCTTTGTAGTGAGTTCTGATATTGGAAAGTATGAGTTCTCTAATTTTGTGCTTCTTTTTCAAGATTGCTTTGATTATTCTGGATTCCTTGCCTTTCCATATGAATTTAGGGATAGTTTGTCAATTTCTGCAAAGAAGGTAATTGGGAATTTGATAGGGATTGTGTTGAATCTGCCATACCAGTGGCATCAGGGAAATGCAAATAAAAACCAATTTGGGCAGCAATGTCATCTTAAAAATATTCGGCTTCCAACCCATGAACATAGGATGTCTTTCCACTTCTTTAGGTCTTTTAAAATTTCTTTCAACAACGTATTGTCGTCTTCAGAATATGTGTTTTGCACTTATCTTGTTAAGTTGACTCCAAAGTATTATGGAATTGTTCTCTTCATCTCACTTTTGGTTTGTTGATTACTGCTGTATAGAAACACAATTGATTTTCATACATTGATCTTATACCCTGCAGCCCTGTTGTACTCATTTATTAGCTCTAATAGTTATTATTTATTTGTTTATTTTGGGACAGGGTCTGTTACCCAGGCTGGAGTGCAGTGGTGTGATCATAGCTCACTGCAACCTTAAGCTCCTAGGCTCAAGTGATTCTCCTGTCTCAGCCTCCCAAGTAGCTGGGACTATAGGCATGTGCCACCATGCCTGGCTAATTTTTAATTTTTTTGTAGAGCTGGGGTCTTGCTACATTGCCCAGGATAGTTTTGAACTCCTGGGCTCAAGCAATCCTCCCACCTCAGCCTCCCAAAGTGCTAGTTCTAATATTTTTTCAGTGGCTTAGGATTTTCTATGTACAAGGTCATGTCATCTGCAAATAGAGATGACTTTACTTCTTCATTTTCTTTTCTTTTCTTTCTTTTTGAAATGGAGTTTTGCTCTTGGTGTCTTGTTCCAGGCTGGAGTGCAATGGCATGATCTTGGCTCACTGCAACCTCTGCCTCCCAGGTTCAAATGATTCTCCTGCCTCAGCCTCCTGAGTAGCTGGGAGTACAGGCATGCACCACCATGCCCAGCTAATTTTGTATTTTTAGTAGAGACAAGGTTTCTCCATGTTGGTCAGGCTGGTCTCGAACTCCCGACCTCAGGTGATCCACCCGCCTCGGTCTCCCAAAGTGCTGGGATTACAGGCGTGAGCACTGCACCCAGCCTACTTCTTCCTTTTCAATATGGATGCCTTTGTTGTATCTTCTTGCTTAATTGCCAACTCCCTCTCTTTTTATAGATGGGGCTCAGAGAAGAAAAGTGACTTTCTGGGTTGCTCAGCTGGGGACTGGCAGTTGGGGCTGATGCCCCACTGAGTAGAGGCAACTGCTGCCTCCCTGGCCCTTCCTTCCCCACCTATGTTATTGCCTTTTACTGCTGGGCCTCTCACTGGGGTCCTGGAACTCAGCACACCAGCACATGTAAGGCCTTGTGTGGCCATGGGGATGGGGAGGGCCCAGCATGCTCCAGCGTTTCCAGGAAAGCCTGTGAGGATCCTGTCTCCCCACAGCAGGACTCCCAGGAGTCTCCCTGACTTTGATGGCCTCCTGTGGTGAGAGGCTGGCTCTTATGAGCACATGGCAGGCTAGGTCTTCATCAACTTTAGAGGCGCGAGCTGCTGCGCCTGGCCAAGACTGCAGCATTGATAAGGAAAGAAGTTTAATTGACTCAAGGTTCTGCAGGCTTTACAGGAAGCATAGTGGCATCTGCTTCTTGGGAGGCCTCAGGAAGTTTCCAGTCATAGTGACAAAAGAAGTGGGAGCAGACACATCACACGGTGAGAACGGGAGCAAGGTTGGTGTGCCACACACTTTTAAATTACCAGATCTCATCAGATGGCAAAACCAGATGCTTCCCCAGATGCCGTTCCGCAAGATGGAGCTCTCTGGAGTGCTGGTTACTTCTGCGCCCAAGCCAGTGGGCTGTCTCTCCTGGATGCCAAATTAGGGTAAGAAGCTGACTTGACCCTGACCCCAGGCAGGTAGGGACCGGCAGGTGCATGGGGCAGCTTGATGCACTCTCCCCTCAGGGCATCAAATGGCAGTAGAGTCCAGCCAGGCACCCCCTGCCTTCCCAGGAGCCCCTTTTCTGGGGCTCTGTAGATACCCCCTCACTCTGGGAGGTACATGATGAGGGAAAACCAGGCTGGGGTTGCCCTCATGGAGCATCCAGTTGAGAGGGGGAAGGAGAGGTAAACCAGATACTCACCTGGCTGAGTAATGACCAGCAGCCAAGCAAGCACAGAGAAGACAAGGAGAGGGTGCATGAGGCCTGACCCTATAGGGGCCCCAAGGAAGTGACAGCGAGCCCCAAATTGAAGAATGCATGGAGGTTAACGAGGCAAAGACAGGAAACTGCATGGCAAAGGTCCCGTGGCAGAAGGGAAGATGGCACCTCTGGGGAGCTAGAAGGAGACCAGAGTGGCTGGAGGGGCAGAGGTGTAGGTGGCGTAGAGTGAGGTAAGGCTGGGAGGGTTAGGGTGGGAGAGTGGGGGCACAGGTATGGGTGGGCCAAGGAGAGGCTGGGCAAGGGGCAATGGGGAGCTTCAAAAGGTTCGAGTGAGGCCCCTTATGTCTGAAGACCAGGCAGGGACATCTCTGCAGAATGCATCCCAGGGCAGGCCCAGTCCCCAAGAAGAGCTCGAGCAGAACACTTTTTTATCTTTTTTTTTTTTTTTTTTTTTTGAGACAGGATCTCGTTCTGTAACCCAAGCTGGAGTGCAAGGGTGCGGTCACAGCTCATTGCAGCATCGACCTCCTGGGCTCAAGTGATCCTCCTGCCTTAGTCTTCTGAGTAGCTGAGACTACAGACATGTACCACCATGCCCAGCTGATTTATTTATTTATTTGAGACGGAGGTTCACTTTTGTCACCCAGGCTGGAGTGCAATGGCGCGATGTCGGCTCTCTGCAACCTCTGCCTCCTGGGTTCAAGTGATTCTCCTGCCTCAACCTCCTGTGTAGCTGGAATTACAGGCGCTCACCATCATGCCTACCTGATATTTTTATTTTTGTACAGACAGGGTCTCACTATGTTGCCCAGGCTGGTCTTGAACTCCTCTGCCTCCCAAAGTGCTGGGATTACAGGCGTGAGCCACCATGCCCGGTGTCATCATCTTAATGATTAGAACATTGCCAAGTCCACAGGGGTTCAAACATGGTTGATTTATCACTCTGGTAGTGAGTCTAGTTCAAAGTCAGCATTAGCCTCTTGAATTATTTATAAGCTAAATGTGTAAACATGAAGAATTTAAATAACAATGTAAGGTTATTTGTAATTATGTCCAGAAATAAAGGTTATAGGCAAGAACTTCTTGAGAACAAAGAGAAAGAGAAAAGTAATGTGAGAAAGGCCTTTGGATAAAGGTTTTGGGGGTGTAAAAGGCAACAACCCAGTCCTAAGAAAATAGAGTTGAACTGATATTCAGCTACACACGCATCTATCCATGCATCCACCCACGCATCTACTCATCTGCCCATGAATTTGCTTATCCTTCTATTCATGCACATATCCATCTATCTACCTACCCACCTATCTGTTCATTCACCCATCCATCTGCCCATCCATCCATCCATCCATCTGCACATCCATCCATCCATCCATCCGCCCATCCATCCATCCATCCATCCATCCATCCATCTACCCATCCATCCATCCATCCATCCATCCATCCATCCATCCATCTGCCCATCTATCCATTCATCCATCCATCTGCCCATCTGTCCATCCATCCATCCATCCATCTGCCCATCTATCCATCGACCCATCCATCCATCCGTCCGTCCATCCATCCATTCATTTCTATTATTCATTCATACATTTATGCATTGTCTTGGGTCTGGAAACACAATAATGAACTGAACACAACAGGGCTCTCCCTTGCGGAGCTGGCAGAGATCAGCTGCAGCTGGTGGCAGAGACCAACGTATACCCAAGTGTGTGCTTGAGATGGGGTAAGGCTTCTTGATAGGCAGGTGCAGGCTGCAGGGAGGTGGGGGGAGCAGGATGGGGGCGCTGCTCCCTCTAGGAAGGTGAGAAGGCCTCCCAAGGAAGGAGCCGGTGTGATGGGGCTTCTCTCTGCTCCCAGCAGACGCAGACCCTCCCCACACTGGCCTGTCCGCTCCTCCTCCTCCTCCATCTGGGGCCTTTGCTCAGCCCATGGTCTTGTCTGGAAAGCCACCTCCCCTCTACCTGGCTGATTTCTGCCCGTACTCCCACCTCTTCCAGGAAGCACTCCCTGATTAGTATCCACGTGACCTGTGTTTCTCAGAAATGCTAAGAACATTCACTGTTTGGATGAAGAACACAATATTTTTTTTTCTTTCACATGCACTGGATGACTTCACCGTGTTTACTGTCTTTGGTTTTGTTCCAAAGTGGTTGTAAAAGTTGGGCCTGAGATGTGCAAACATCATTCTTGGTTGCTGTTTGTGCGCCTGGCTGAGTCCAAGTCCTTACAGGCAGTCCCTCCTGCCTCCCGTGTATCCCTCACTCCCACCTCCCCCAACACCTAACTCTTCCTCCTTTCCCAAGGGCTCCCTCCCACCTCCCCCTCCTTTTCTCCACCTCCCCTGCCTCCCACCTCCTCTTCCCATTCCACCCATCTCTTGTCTCCTTCCTTCCACACGGCTCCTCCCCCGGCCCCCCTGGGCTCCCTTCCCTTCTGCTGAGTCCTCTCCTGGGAACTTCAGCTTTCCCCTCTCTTCAGAGCCATCCCTAGTAGCCCCCAAGTATCCTGCAATTTTGTCCACTCTAAACCCCCCTCCCGTAACCCCCTATCCCCGGCAAGCTTGCCTCCTGTTTTCTGCAAACGCCAGAGGAACTGCCCCTGCAATCACTGCCATTCTGCCACAAGCTGATGCTGTCGTGGTCAAGGTCACCCATGACTTCCTGGAGATTAAGTCCCTTAAGCTGTCCTCTGGGGTGGGGAGGGGCAGCTCGGCCACAGTCCCCCCTCCTACTGCTGCCGGGCTCCCCAACATCCCCTGGTTTCCTCTCTCTGCTGGCCCCACTTCTAGTCTCCCTCGGGTTCCTCCTGGGGCTCAGCGCCCAGTCCTGGCCTGGCCATGTGCAACCTCACCACGTGGGGGCTTCTCCCTGAGCTGCAGCCCCCATGGCTCCCGGACCGCAGGTTCCCGTCCCCCTGGGGCTGCGTGCAAAGGACTGCAGTTCTGATGCCAGGGATGCAGATCTGTCTCCACCCGCCCCAGTGGCATCGGTCCCCACCACCAGTGCTCAGGCAAAGGCCCTGGAGCTCTCCATGACCCCCACGTCGTTCTCTCACAGCTGGGGCCAGGAAATCTCAATGCCTTGACTTTCAACACCTATGCAGAATCCAACGACACCTAACCTGCAGCCACACGGCCCCCGCCGCGGCCACCTTGCTTGTGTTACAGGAGGAGCCTCTGCCTGGCCCTCCTCTGCCCTGGCCCCTCACCTGGTGCACACAAGGCCAGGGGGGATCCCTTCCGGAATGTGGAGAGGCCTGGGGATCTGCCCAACCGCCCACCTCCCTGTTCCTCCCCCTTGAGGTGCCACTCGGGTCCCCCTGCTGTCCCCTGAGGACACTCCTGCCTTGGTGCCCTCTCATCTGCTGCCCCTGCCTGGAGACTCTTCCTCCAGACCCCACGTGGCTGGGCCTCAGCCTCCTCTGCTCTCGGAGAGGCCACCCGGCTCAAATGGCAAGCAGCTCCTCCCTGCCACCCTGGGTCCACCCTGCACTCAACCCATCTTTGCCTCATGTTCTTTCTGGCTCCCCGGCTGGCATGCCTACCCCGTGAGGGTGGCATGCGTCCCCAGCTCCCACAGCAGGCACGGAGGGGCACCAGCCCAGGCCTGAGGAGTGAAGGGCTCCGAGGCTGCCCCTGCACAGTGGAGGGGAGAAGGGGCCTAGAGCTGCCCCACAGTCACCCTAACTCCCTCGGCCCAGGGGTCATAGACTCACTAGTAGGAACGGTGCTAATGCTGGGGAGCGGGCAGATTTGAGGGGCACAGATCCTACCCCAGGGGGTGGGGCAGTTGTCACCCCAGGCCATTTTTTAAAAATTAAAAGTAAATTTTTATTTTACAGATAAATACATTGACACTCAGAAAAATGAAGTGGCTTGTCAAGAAGCCCCAGCTCTAAGCAGACAGACAATGCTGCTTTGTGGGAACTCGGCTCCAGAGCTGTTTTTTCTTTTTTTGAGACGGAGTCTCACTCTGTCGCACAGGCTAAGTGCAGTGGTGCGATCTCAGCTCACTGCAACCACCGCCTCCTGGGTTCAAGTGATTCTCCTGACTCAGCCTCCCGAGTAGCTGGGATTACAGGCATGCACCACCATGCCCAGCTAATTTTTTGTATTTTTAGTGGAGACAGGGTTTTACCGTGTTGGCCAGGCTAGTCTTGAACTCTTGACCTCAGGTGATCCACCTGCCTTGGCCTCCCAAAGTGCTGGGATTATAGGCGTGAGCCGCTGTGCCTGGCCCAGAGCTGGTTTTTAAGAGGAGCTGTGTGTTAGGCTGTGGGGTTTTTTTTGTTGTTGTTTCTTTTTTTTTTTTTTTTTGCATTGCTATAAAGAGATACCTGAGGCTGGGTAATATAAAGAAATAAGTTTAATTGGCTCACGGTTCTGCAGGCTGTACAAGCATGGCATCGCCAGCTGCTCGGCTTCCGGGGGTCCTCAGGGAGCTTCCACTCAGGCAGAAGGGGAAGCAGGAGCAGGCACATTACCCGGCGAGAAGAGGAACAGGAAAGAGTGCGGGGCGGTGCCACACGCCTCTAAACAATCAGATCTTGGAGAACTCACTATGGCAGGACAGCACCAAGCCACGAGGGATCTGTCCCCAGGACCCAGACACCTCCCGCCAGGCCCACTTCCAGCACTGGTAGCCACAGTTCAACAGGAGATTTGGAGGGGATGAACATCCAACCTATAGCAAGCTGGAAGTCTGAATGTGACGAGAAGTCTCCTGATTTTGTTTGTCGGCTACTCCTACAACTGCCCCATAACACTGTGCCCCGGATTCTTCCCGAGGTGGGAGGACCGAGGGCAGAGGCTCCTGGCCCAGTCACCCAACCCCACTTCCGGGCTTCAGCTCTTGGGCCAGGTGGGCACACTCTGTCTTCTTTTTCTTGTGCAAGTGACATCCCAGGTGCCATTTCTCGAGGTTGCCAGGCTTCCCAGCCTCTGGCTCCTGCTTGTGTCTTTGTAGGGGAGGTGGCTATGATGGTGACAGCACATTCGAAGCAGCAGTGGTTACAGTTTCCTTCTAAAAATACATTGAAGACAGAGTCAAATGTAAGGGGGTGACTTCTGGTTCAGCACAGCGTGCAGAGCACACGCTTCTCCCTGGATCTTGGACCACAGAGGGGACACTGCTGACCTTGCTCCTCTGGGGCATCCCCTCCCTAGACTCACGGGAGGACCACAGAGGACACGGCTGACCCTGCTTATCTGTGGGCATCTCCTCTCTGGCTCAGCTGGAAGACAGACAGCTGGGCAGTACCAACTGGGCAGACCAGGGAGAGGCAGAGCCCAGGCACACAGGGTGGGGAATCCCCAGGACCCCAGAGGGACTCCATCCAGAAGGCCAGGCAGCTCTGAAGGTGGAGCATGGGGTGGACTGGGAGCTCAGACCCACCCCTAGGAGACTGCTTTTCCTACAGATGCAGGCAGAAGACAGGGGTCCAGGTGCTGCTCTCAGGAGTCAGGGCTGGGAGGTTCTGGGCTGGGGCCAGGGGTAGGCACAGCCTGTGAGAGAGCAAGGCACTGAGGAGGGCCAGGAGATCAGGTCACAGCCACATCCTGAAAGGTGGCCTGAGCCCTTTACTCTGCTCCCTCCCCGAGTGCCAACAGCCTGATGTGTCTCCCGGGTGGGAGGTGGGGGCTCTGTGGAATTGCGCTGGCCTCTTAAGAACCCTGACCACATATTCAGACCTTGCTGCTTCCCCCTCTGAGGTCCACCCTGGAGCAGCCCCTCATCCCCCTACACCCACACTGCTCCACCTCAGCACTTTTGAGCCTCTCATGAAGACACGTGGACCCCAAGGGTCACTGGACTTTGAAGAAGAAAAAGACCCCACACGAAAGACAGATCCCACATCCCCATGCACCAAAGAAGGGAGCTTGGGGGAAAGAGTAGCAACCTGAGGAACAAAAAATATAAAAAAGAAAAAACCTTATTGCTGATACCCTTGGAGAGAGAAGAGAAAACAGCACATCCATGACCTAAGAACAGGATGTAATAAAAAAGGAACAGTGAGAAATTAAGAAAGAGCTCTTGGAAATGAAAAAAAAAAAGCACAAATGAAAACTTCCATAAAAGATAAATTTCTCAGGCGGGGCGTGGTGGCTCACATGTGTAATCTCAGCACTTTGGGAGACCAAGGCAGGTGGACCATCTGAGGTCAGGAGTCCGAGACCAGCCTGGCCAACATGGTGAAACGCTGTCTCTACTAAAAACACAAATATTAGCTGGGCATGGTGGTGGGCACCTGTAATCCCAGCTCTTCAGGAGGCTGAGTCAGGAGAATCACTTGAACCCAGGAGGTGGAGATTGTGCCATGAGCCGAGATTGTGCCACTGTACTCCAGCCTGGGTGACAGAGAGAGACTCCGTCTCAAAAAAAAAAAAGATAATTTTTTCATAAAGTAGAGAAAATGAAATGAAAAATAGGGAAGAAAACATTAATAAGAGCTCCAGAAAGAGAAAACAGAATGGAGAGCATCGCCAAGCAAGTGATTTATGAGGAAACATCCTAAAATGTGGACGTGAGGCTCCAGGTTGAATGAGTGAAGGAAGGCCGGCATGGCATCATGAAATTTCTGAACACAGGACATGAAGCCAACTCTTGGCAGAGCAGGTCCCAGTCCCACGAAAGAGCTGGTGATCTGACTGGCACTGCCTCTCAGGTGGCTGCAGGTGGACAATGTCGGCAGCGGGCAAAACCTTCACAGCCCCGTGGGAAGCTACTCTGCATCCTCGTCCCCCGGGGGACCCTAAGACTGAGGAGGCCTCCAGGCACCTTTCTCAGTGAACTCCTAGAGAATGTGCAGGGAGTGAGCGGGGAGGGCAGTCGGGGGACCCAGGTTCCGCTCAGGACAAACCCCAACAGAGGTGTGGGAGCTCGTTGCCCATGGACAGCAGTGTGAAGAGCAGCCGCCTGGGGAGTCAGGGCCAGGCTGCCCATGAGAGCCCCTGGGAGGATGGGGCTGATGGCTTTCTTGCTCCCCACGTGGAAAGGTGGCCCAGGACACGCTTTCTAGAGTCCCTGGGGAGGTTTGGGATGGGAACAGGCAGACACAGGATAAACTGACCGCAAGAACGACTTACACCCAAAGCCTGGAGGAGTGCGCTGCTCAGGCCTGCGTGGGCCCAGGGGACCACCCTCTGCCGGGCGGGTGAGCAGAGGAAGTGCAGGGAAGCAGCAGCAGGACAGCAGGGCCGTGGGGCTGGGAATCCAGAGCAGGCAGGGCCACGTTCTTCTCTTCGTGGCCTCATCTGTGGCCTCAGATCGTTTTGATGCAGATGCAAAGGATGCCTTAGGAGAGTCAGCTCTGTCGCCATCAGGATTTCCGTCTGTATCAGAGGCAAGGGTGTACCCATGGGAAGCAGAGGTGGGTCCAGGGGTGCACGGAGGAGGGTGGGCTGCTCAGACAGCAAGCAGGTGGTGAGGACAAACCTGAGAGAAGCCGTCTCAGCCAATAGCAGTGGCCACTCAGATCATCCAGTCATTGGTTCATTCATTGATCTGTTGATGGACTGATCCCCCCATCACTGATGTACTGATCCCACAGACACTCATTGAGTGTGGGTCAACATACAATCCCCACGCTGGTGAGCATCGGGGCTGGGGTGGGGCTGGGCACTCTATGGTAAGGGCTCCTTCCTTGGTCTGGGACTGAGGCCTCCTACCTGCTGCACCCTGGATGTACCTCGAGGCTTCCAGGCCAACTCTAGGTGTGTGGTTTAATGGGCCTGGGTGTGGCTGAGTATGGGGTTTTATCCAAGCTTGCCAGGCATTCTAATAAGTAGCCGGGGGTATGAGCTGCGGGTCTAGGGAGAGCGGGGGAAGCTTCAGTGAGAATCTAGGAGGAAGGAGTGGGCAGAGAGGTGGGCTGCAGAGTCCCCTGAAGGCTGGTGTGGGGAGGCAGCTGTGAGGGTCTGAAAGGGGGTGTGGAGGGACAGGCCGGGGAGAGCCAGGAGGAGCCCCCACGGAAGGGCTGGGTTGAGGGAGGGCATGGGAGAGCAGAGCTGGGAGGTTACAGGAGAGCCTGGAGAGGACAGAGGGGACGGCCTCGGCATGGCAGCTGCACCCACAGAGCAGGCAGTACCACATGGCACCTATCGAGTGCTGCCAGATGCCCAGTGACTGAAGCAGGGCTAGTGGGGCGATCTGTAGGCAGGATGTCCATGGGGTCCTGGGTCTTGAAGTGAAGAACATGCTTCTAGACTGTTCTTCACTGCCCTGTTCAGCTTTCCCCTGTCCAAGACGCCGGCTCCCAACAGGTCGGGGGGTGACCTGGAATGGCGTGGAAATCCTCACCAGCTGGAAGATGGTGGAGTTGGGTCCAACCCAGCAGCCACCCCCTCCACCATGAAGTGGCAGGAGGTGAGTTCTGGGGAAAGCTGGTTGGTTCTAAGCAGCACCCTGTCTGTGGCAGGACAAACCCACCTGACCCAGTTCTGTGCTATTTTTTTCTTTTTTCTTCTTTTTTTTTTTTTGAGATGGAGCCTCCACTGTCACCTGGGCTGGAGTGCAGTGGTACAATCTCGGCTCACTGCAACCTCCGCCTCCCAGGTTCAAGCGGTTCTCCTGCCTCAGCCTCCTGAGTCACTGGGATTACAGGCGCCCACCACCGTGCCCAGCTAATTTTTTCTATTTTTAGTAGAGATGGGGTTTCACCATGTTGACCAGGCTGGTCTTGAACTCCTGACCTCGTGATTCACCCGCCTCGGCCTCCCAAAGTGCTGGGATTATAGGCGTGAGCCACCGCGCCCGGCCTGTTCCATTTTTAAACTCCCAGCTTGCGGGACTCCTTCACCATCACCTTTTGATCTCCCTGGAAGACAAGGGTTTTTTTGGTTTCTTTTTTCTTTTTCTTTTTTTCAAGAAGGAAATGTTCTAAAACAAAAGATTTGTCTAGGCCTACATCTCCTTTTCCACAAGATTCACCTGGGAGGAGGTGCAGGCCGGGCGCCGCTGCAGCATCTTTTCCTGCCGTTCACTCTGGTGCGGGAAGGGACGCTGGGGAGCCTGTGACTGAGGGAACAGTGGACCCCAGGCAGGCCCCTCCCCAACGGCACGCTGCAGGTCCAGCTTTGCTGGAGCCCTACGCTCGTCCTGGCTGCAGGGTCTGTCCTGAGCAGCCCGTGAGGCCGTCGGGGCCCTACCTGGCTCCTCTCCTGCTTCCTCCTGGCCAGTGTCCAAAGAGCCCCAGCCCCAGGCCCAGGTCCCCACCCTGGGCTCCCACGGATCTGGGCTCCAGCACATTGAACCCTGGGCTTTTCGGATGACTGTGTTCACTCTGTGTTTCAGAAATCCATTCTGACACCAGAAAAGCCATGGGCTGCCCTTCCCATCTTCCATTTCCCTGCAGTGGGGCCTGTCTGCCTGTGTGTAAAACGCTTCCTGGAATGTGCCCTCCGCCCGACTGTCCGCGGTGCCCCCACCCTGCCTCTGGCAACACCCATCCCCCTGCATGGGGGCACAGAATTCTCTCTCCCCACACCCTCTCCCACCTGCACCTGCCCCTTCAGAGCCATGCCCCCCCAAAAGCATGCAGATGCCTGCCTCATGCCCACCCTCTTCCTGGGAACCCTCATGCCCATGTCCGCAATCGCCTCCCACCCCCTACTCCACTACGTTTGCCCTGAGTGTGGTGCCTGCGTGGCCTTCCCGGAGCAGCCTCTTGACAACTGTTCTGCTGGGGCTCAAATTACCCATCACTGGACAGTGGGTGCAGTGAGCAGGGGGAGTCCCCAGTGTGAGGACAGGCGGGAACTGAAGTCATGTCGTGGGACGTGGTCATGGACAGGATGGTCTCCCACCCCTGGTGGGAGGACCCAAGGGTCTGGTCCCGTGAGGCCCCCAGGGCATTTTGTCCTTGGCTGTGCCCGTGGTGGCATCAACACGACTTCCCCAGCCTAGGGGCCTTCCTTCCTCTTTGAGACCGCCGCCACCCCCCACCCTGCTCTCTGATCCGACCAGGCAGGCCCTCCATTCCCCCGGTCCTTGCCATGCCCCATGAGGGACGCAGAGGTGGGACACTGTCCCTACTGCATGGATGAGAAACCCAAGCCCCAGGGCCCGCCTCGGGCCACACAGCCGGCGGGGACAGAAGAGGCGCCCAGTGCCATTCTGGGTGACAGGTAACCGCAGGGCCCAGCCCTTCCTGGATCCACTTCTCGGCTCCTGGCCTGGGCAGTGCAGATCCCCCTGCAGAGTGCATCCCTCCCCACGCCTGACAGTGTCTGTGCCCATGACACCTCAGGGAAGCCCTCCCTGGCTCCTGTCCTCCCCCTCTCAGCCCTGCTGGCTCCTCCTGCCGGCACAACTGTGCTTGTCTCCTGTCTCCCTGCATGGTGGGAATGTGTCCCTGGCGCCTGGAACGTGCCCGGCCCATCGTGGCACCTAGGAGGTGTCTGCAGAGCCAGTCAAGGTTGCAGAGGGGGAGCTGCTAGGAGCTCCTGGCCCCTCCTCTTTCCCCCGAAATGTCTGCCAGCAGATCTGAGAGGGCCTCAGATGGCGAAGAATGAGGGGACCTTAGGAAACCCCTGTGGTCCCTGCCGCAGGCCCCCAGGGGAGGGCTGGTGAGTGTGGTGGGGAGGGGGTGTAGCAGAGGAGGCAGGACTGGGGTCCCAGAGGGAGAGGTCGAGGTGGGGCGGTGGGCCAGGGCATGTGTGAGCATGAGCGTGCTCATGTGTGTGTATGCAAGGGTGTGCAGCGTGTGCACCACGCGTGAGAGTGCAGACATGTGCATGTGTCCGGCGAGGTCTCGGATTACCTGTTCTATGTTTCAACTTGGTGCTTTGGTCCTTTCTCCTGCAACTCAAGTCCAGGATAGAGGCCCAGTACCAGGCTCCTAATGAGCAGATTCTGGCCCTCATCCATTCCAGAGCAAGGCTTTCTGTCTGGTTTTGGGTTTTTGTCTTTTTTGAGACAACATCTTGCTCTGTCCCCCAGGCTGCAATGCAGTGGCATGGTCACAGCTCACTGCAGCCTCCACCTCCTGGGCTCAAGCAATCCTTCTGCCTCAGCCTCCCGAGTAGCTGAGACAACAGGCATACACCACCATGTTTGGCTAATTTTTAATTTTTTGGTGGAGACTGTGTCTCGCTATGTTGCCTAGGCTAGTCTTGAACTCCTGACCTACAGCGATCCTCCCACTTCATCCTACTGAGTAGCTGGGACTACAGGTGTGTACCATCATGCCTGGCTAATTTTTTTTTTAATTGTGTAAAGACAGGGGTCTCACTATGTTGCCCAGGCAGGTCTTAAACTCATGGTCTCAAGTGATTCCTTCCTCAGCCTCTCAAAGTGCTGGGATTACAGGCATGAGCCACTGCTTCTGACCTCCCTCTGCTGTGTTATTTTATTTTATTTTATTTTGTTCTGTTCTATTCTATTCTATTCTATTCTATTCTATTCTATTCTATTCTATTCTATTCGAGACGGAGTTTCGCTCTGTCGCCCAGGCTGGAGTGCAATGGCATGATCTTGGCTCACTGCAACCTCTGCCTTTCAGGTTTAAGTGATTCTCCTGCCTCAGCCTCCCAAGTAGTGGGATTACAGGCACTCACCACCATGCCTGGCCAATTTTTAGTAGAAACAGTGTTTCACCATGTTGGCCAGTCTGGTTTCGAACTCCTGACCTCAGGTGATCTGTCCGCTTCGGCCTCCCAAAGTGCTGGGATTACAGGCGTGAGTCACCGCTTCTGGCTTTCCTGTTTTTTAAGCTGAAAAAAAAAAAATGTGCCTGGCTTATCGAGGCAGGACATTCATTTTGCAAACTGTTTCTGAACCCCACACCCCATTTTATAAAATATGAACATTACAATGCAGATTGACATGAATTTGGGAAAGGTTTTAATGTATGAGATTACATTCATGAGCCTCTTCATTAATTCTAGCCTCGTACAGCACGTTACTCACTTTTGCTTCTCATGCGAAGAGCAAATGATGTGTTTCAATTATCCCTCATTTTGGGAAACCTGAGGGAAAAGATTTGAGAGCACGAGCACCTTTTGTTGTAGAGCAGGAGGTCTCAATCTCGGGGGCTGTGAGAATCATCTGAATGACCTTTGCAGAATATGCAGGCGGCTGGGTCCCACTGACACCTGCTGGCAGAGCTCCTGAGAGAGGCTGGGCACACCTGTGTGCACACCTGTGCAGGTGCAGGCACATACGCAAGTCTGTGCATGTGAGCATCTGCTTTACTGTTTAATGTTAAATGTTTCTAGGCCGGACGCGGTGGCTCACGTCTGTAATCCCAGCACTTCGGGAGGCCGAGGTGGGCTGATCACAAGGTCAGGAGATCGAGACCATCCTGGCTAACATGGTGAGACCCCGTCTCTACTAAAAATACAAAAAATTAGCTGGGCGTGGTGGCGGGCGCCTGTAGTCCCAGCTACTCGGGAGGCTGAGGCAGGAGAATGGCGTGAACCTGGGAGGAAGAGGTTGCAGTGAGCCAAGATTGTGCCACTGCACTCCAGCCTGGGCAACAGAGCAAGACTCCATCTCAAAAAAAATAAATAACAAATAATTTTTTTTAATGTTAGAAGAGTGCAGGCTGGGCGTGATGCCTCACACCTGTAATCCCAGAACTTTGGGAGGCTGAGGTGGCTGGATCACTTGAGGTCAGGAGTTCGAGACCAGCCTGGGCAACATGGTGAAACCTTGTCTCTACTAAAAATATAAAAATTCACTGGGCGTGGTGGCACCCACCTGTAATCCCAGCTACTCAGGAGGTTGAAGCAGGAGGATCACTTGAACCCAGGAGGTGGAGGTTGCAGTGAGCTGAGATCGTGCCATTGTACTCCAGCCTAGGTGACAAGAGCGAAACTCCGTCTCAAAAAAAAAATATTAAAAGATTACATATATCAGAGTGTGTATAAAAGAGTATATATATCACACATGCAACTAAAAAAAAAATAAGAAGAAAGTGCACACCCATGCACCCAACACACCACCCAAGAGGTAGAATAGAACTAACACTCTGAGCCCCAGGAAGCTTTCTTGATGGCTTCCCTTAGTGAGAGACTTCGTTTAGCTCACCTGCCTTGGTCTCGCATATGACAGCTCTATGGGCTGCCATAACAAAGTGCCATAGACTGGGTGGGTGGCTTATAAACAACAGGAATTTACTTCTTACAGTTCTGGAGGCTGGAAGTTTGAGATCTGGGTGCCAGCATGGTCGGGTTCTTGTGGGGGCCCTCTTCCAGCTTGCACCCTTCTCGGCATCTCAGTGTACCCGCACGTGGTAGAGAGCAGAGAGACTTGCTCTCTGGAGACTCTCATAGGGCGCTAGTCCCTCTTGGCGTCAGCTGATAATAATCACCTCTCAAAGGCCCCACCTCCAGATGCCATCACACTGGAGATCAGACTTCAACATATGAACTGTGGGGACACACAAACATTCCATCCCAACCTCTTCAAATGTATCTGTTCTTCCCATGTAAAATGCATTCATTCCATCCCAACAGCTTTGCATGCCTTAGGCTTGCTGCAGCTTCTACTCTGAAGGTGTGAGCTCCAAGTCTTATCTAAATACCATCTAAATCCGATCCAGGTGAGACTCAGGGAACAATTCTTACAAGGCAAAATTCCCCTCCAGCCTCAAGGCCTTTTAGCCAAACAAGTTATGTGCTTCCAGAATACAATGATCGGGGCTGGGCCTGGTGGCTCACACCTGTAATCCCAGCACTTTGGGAGGCCAAGGTGGGCAGATCACTTGAGGTCAGGAGTTTGAGACCAGCCTGGCCAACATGGCGGAACCCCGTCTCTACTAAAATCACAAAAATTAGCTGGGCATAGTGGCGGGTGCCTATAATCCCAGCTACTGGGGAGGCTGAGGTGGGATAGTTGCTTGAACCCAGGAGGTGGAAGTTGCAGTGAGCCAAGATCATGCACTGCACTTCATCCTGGGCAACAGAGCAAGACTCTGTTTTGAAAGCAGACAAACAAACAAAAATGGTGGGATAGGCATAGGATAGACATTTCCATCCTAAAAGGGAGAAATAGGGAAGAAGGAAGCGGTGGATCCAAGCAAGTTGAAACTTGGACTTGGAAAACTCCAAGGAAAACTCCAAGCCAAAATAGTATTCTTTGGCTCCATGCTCTTCCTGCCAGGTGCACCGGGGCGGCAACCCCACCCACCAGCTCTGCCAGGCAGGGGTCCCACCCCCAGGGCTCTGCTGGGCAGGGGCAGGCCCCCATGGCTTCGGGCAAAGGTCATCTGGTCTGCCGAAAGTGAGGTGAGACCCCCCCTTTTGAAACCTGGGAGGCAGCCGTGATGAGCTCGGATTCACCTATGGGGTCATTCTTCCACTGTCTTGAAGAATGGAGCATGTTCACACAGAGCAGCTCTATGGTCCTGACCCGTTAAATCCAAGAAGTCCAATTCCTTCATTCCTTCATTCCTTCCCGTCTCCTTCCCCTTCAGTTTAAGCTGCAGTATTCCCACCGGGTGGCTGACAGTCTGAGGTTCCCACCCACACGAATCTCCTTATCCACTGGTTGATGACTACACCCTTAGTCTTCTTTGTCAACTATGCTTTCTCATTTGTTGCAATACGGACGGATAAGCTGACCATTTTCCACATCTTTTTTTTTTTTTTTTTTTTTTGTGAGACGGAGTCTCGCTCTGTCACCCAGGCTGGAGTGCAGTGACACGATCTCTGGTCACTGCAAACTCTGCCTCCCGGGTTCACAACATTCTCCCACCTCAGCCTCCCGAGTAGCTGGGATTACAGCCGTGAGCCACCACGCCCAGCTAATTTTTTGTATTTTTAGTAGAGATGAGGTTTCACCATGTTGGCCAGGATGGTCTCAATCTCCTGACCTTGTGATCCGCCCGCCTCGGCCTCCCAAAGTGCTGGGATTACAGACGTGAGCCACCGCGCCCGGCCCATTTTCCACATCTTTAAGTTCTAGTTACTTTTTGCTTAGCAATTCCCTCATCAGTCATTTCTCTCTTCTTACGTTTTGCTATAAGCAGTCAGGAGGAACCCAGCCAGTCCTTTCACACTGCTTAGCAATCTCCTCAACTCAAATCGAATTTCATCACTGGCAAGTTCTCTACCTTTCCCGTAACACTAGAACATGAGCGTGATTCAGCCACGTTCTCTGCCTCTTTATAATAAGGATCATCTTTTCTCCATTGTCCAGTAACATGTTCCTCATTTCCGTCTGAGACCGCATGAGAATGACCCGACTGTGCACGTTTCTCCCAACAATCTGGTCATTGATTGCATATTCGCTAAGAAGACAGAGGCTTTCGCTCTGGCGTCCTCTTTGTTTTCTGAGCCCTCACCAGAATCACCATTAAAATCCCTTCATGACAATCTCGGCTTCTTCAAGCATGCACTTCACAAGTCTTCCAGCCTCTACACCGCTACCCAGTTCCAATGCTGCTTCCGCATTTTTAGGTATTTGTCACAGTGGCACCCCACTTCTTGGTACCACCTTCTGTGTTAATCAGGGTTTTCCAGCGAAATGGTGCCAATAGGAGGTATATACATATACAATCATGTGTCACTTAATGATGGGGCTATGTCCTGAGACACTTAATGATGGGGCTATGTCCTGAGAAATGTATTGTTAGGCAACTTTGTCCTTATGCAAACATCATGGAGTGTGCTGACACGAACCTGCACGGTACAACCTACTACCCACATAGGCTGTATGGTAGAGCCTGTTGCTCCTAGTCTATCAGCCTGTAGAGCCAGCATGCTACTGCAGTGAGCACTCCAGGCAAGTGCCGCAGCTCAACTGCTTGTCCCCTCCAAACCCACATACAAGCTTGATCCCAGGGTGGTAATATTGGGGGTGTGGCCTTTAAAAGGTGATTGAGTCATGGGGGCTGTGCCCTCGGAATGGATTAATTCATTCATGAATTAATTAATGAGTTAGTGGATTACTGGATTATCACAAGAATGGGACTGGCGGCTTAGCAATAAGAAAAGACCTGAGCTAGCAGGCTCAGGCCCTTCACCGTGTGATGCCGGCACCACCTCAGGACTTTGCAGGTTCCCCACCAGCAAGAGGGCCCTCACCAGATGCATCCCCTCCACGTAGAACTTCCAACCTCCAGAACTGTAGGAAATAAATTTCTTTTCTTTATAAACCAGTTTCAGCTGGGCACAGTGGCTCACGCTTGTAATCCCAGCACTTTGGGAGGTCAAGGCGGGCGGATCACGAGGTCAGGAGTTCAAGACCAGCCTGGCTAACGCAGTGAAACCCGCCCCCCTCATCTGTACTAAAAACACAAAAATTCCATGGGCATTTTGGCGGGTGCCTGTAATCCCAGCTATTCGGGAGGCTGGAGCAGGAGAATCGCTTGAACCTGGGAGGCAGAGGTTGCAGTGAGCTGAGATTGTGCCACCGCACTACAGCCTGGGCGACAGAGCTAAACTCTGTCTCAAAAAAAAAAAAAAATACCCAGTTTCAGGTATTCTGTTATAAGCAACAGAAAATGGACTAAGACAGCAATATGTATTTCTGTATTTAGACATATCTAGACAGAAAAGTTACAGTTGGCTGGACATGGTGGCTCACACCTGTAATCTCAGCATTTTGGGAGGCCGAGGTGGGTGGATCACCTGAGGTCAGGAGTTCAAGACAAGTGTGGCCAAATGGTGAAACCCCGTCTCTACTAAAAATACAAAAATTAGCCAGGCGTGGTGGTGAGCACCTGTAATCCCAGCTACTTAGGAGGCTGAGGAGGGAGAATCGCCTGAACCTGGGAGGGGGAGGTTGCAGTGAGCCATGATCACGCCATTGCACTCCAGACTGGGCGACAGAGCGAGGCTCCGTCTCAAAAGAAAAGAAAAGAAAAGAAAAGAAAAATTAAAGTAAAAATGTGATACAAAGATAAAAAGGGCACCTGTGTAGGGCACTTACCATGGATAGAGCTTGCAGGACTGGCCGTTGCTGTGTGTGAGTCAGTGAGTGAATGTGAAGACCTAGGACATTGCTATAACTACTGTTGGCTTTATAACACCATACACTTAGGCTACACTACATTTATAAAAAATAGGTTTTTTTTTTTTGGCCAGGTGCAGTGGTTCACGTCTGTAATCCCAGCACTTTGGGAGGCCAAGGAAGGAGGACCACCTGAGCTCAGGAATTTGAGACCAGCCTGGGCAACATAGCGAAACCTCATCTCTACTAAAAATAATAATAATAAAAAATATCAGCTGGGCATGGTGGTACATGCCTATAGTCCCAGCTGCTTGGGAGGCTGAGGTGGGAGAATTACTTGAGCCCAGGAGTTTGAGGCTGCAGTGAGCTAAGATAGTGCTGCTGGACTCCAGCCTGGGTGACAGAGTGAGATGCCATCTCCAAAAATATATATAATGTGTATACATATATATGTGTATATATATTCTTTCCTCAATAATAAATTAACCTTAGCTTACTACGACTTTTTTACTTTATAAGCTTTTAAAAACTTTTTGATTTTTTTTGTATTAACAGCTAAAAACACGAACACATTGTGCAGGAAAATATAAAGAAAATATTTTTCTTTATATTTTTATTTTATAAGCTCTTTCTAATTTTTAAAATCTTTTATTTTATTTTATTTTTACTTTTAAAACTTGCTTGTTTAAAAGTGAGACACAAGCACACACGTCAGCCTAGACCTACACAGGGTCAGGGTTGTCCCTGGCACTGTCCTCCACCTCCACACCCTGCCCCACTTGGAGGTCCTTAGGAGGAGCCATCCTCTCCCGTGATAACAGTGCCTTCTTCTGGA
This sequence comes from Homo sapiens, assembly GCF_000001405.40. Lineage (NCBI taxonomy): Eukaryota > Metazoa > Chordata > Mammalia > Primates > Hominidae > Homo > Homo sapiens. The sequence goes on along the minus strand of NC_000020.11, from coordinate 62,089,540 downwards.
TACCTCCTGAAGGGCCTGCCTCACTGCTTTACAGTTAATTTTTTTTTTAATAAGTAGAAGGAGTACACTCTAAAATAACAATAAAGGCTGGGCGCAGTGGCTCAAACCTATAATCCCAGCACTTTAGGAGGATGAGGTGGGAGGATTGCTCGAGCCCAGGAGTTTGAGATCAGCCTGGGCAACATAGTGAAACCCTGTCTCTACAAGACAGAAAAAAAAAATTAGCCAGGCATGGTGGCACGTACCTGTAGTCCCAGCTACCTGGGAGGCAGAGGTGGAAGGATCTCTTGAGCCCAGGAGTTTGAGGCTGCAGTGAGCTGTGATCAGACCACTGCACTCCACCCTAGGTGACAGAGCAAGACCCTGTCTCAAAAATAAAATAAAATAGGCTGGCGCAGTAGCTCACACCTATAATCCCAGCACTCTGGAAAGCTGAGGCAGGTGGATCACTTGAGGTCAGGAGGTTGAGGCTAGCCTGGCCAACGTGGTGAAACCCTGTCTCTATTAAAAATACAAAAATTAGCCAGGCATGGTGGTGCGGACCTGTAATCCCAGCTACTCAGAAGGCTGAGGCAGGAGAATGGCTTGAACTCAGGAGACAGAGGTTTCAGTGAGCCAAGATCGCGCCACTTCACTCCAGCCTGGGCAACAGAGTGAGACCCTGTTTCCAAAAAATAAATAAATAAAATAAAATAAAAATTATAGCATAGTAAACGTATAAACCAGTAACATAGACGTTTATTATCATAACCAAGAATTATGTGCTGTGCATAATTATATGTGCTAGACTTCTACGTGAGGGCAACACAGGTTTGTTTACAGCCAGGTCACCACAAACATGAGTCAGTAGGTTTGTTTACAGCCACGTCACTACAAGCATGAGTCATGCATTGCCCTAGGACGGCTATGATGTCACTTGGAGAAAGGAATTTCTCAGCTCCACTGTTATCTTATGGGACAACCATTATATATGCAGTCCGTTGTTGCCCCTAACGTCATTATGTGGTGTATGACTGTATCTGTGTGTGTGTGTGTGTGTGTGTGTGAACACACATGTACATATAGCTCACATATACAGTCACAGTCATACACACAGGAGGATGTGTGAGTATGTGTGCAACTGAGTATACAGGAGTGCGGGTGAATGTACAAGAGCACATGTGAGTGCATGCAGGTGAGTGTACAGGAGCGTGTGTGAATGCGTGTGCAGGTGAGTGTACAGGAGTGCATGTGAGTGTGTGTGCTGATGAGTGTACAAGAGCGTGTGTGAGTGCATGCAGGTGAGTGTACAGGAGTGTGTGTGTATGTGCAGGTGAGTGTACAGGAGCATGTGTGTGTGCAGGTGAGTGTACAGGAGCGTGTGTGAGTGCATGTATACGTTAGTGTACAGGAGTGCATGTGAGTGTGTGTAGGTGAGTGTACAGGAGCGCGTGTGTGTGCATGCAGGTGAGTGTACAGGAGCGCGTGTGGGTGCGTCTGCAGGTGAGTGTACGGGAGTGCATGTGAGTGAGTGCAGGTGAGCGTACAGGAGCGCATGTGTGTGCATGCAGGTGAGTGTACAGGAGCACGTGTGCGTGCGTGTGCAGGTGAGTGTGCAGGTGAGTGTACAGGAGTACATGTGAGTGCATGCAGGTGAGTGTACAGGAGCGTGTGTGGGTGAGTCTGCAGTGAGTGTACAAGAGCTTGTGTGAGTGCGTGTGCAGGTGAGTGTACAAGAGCTTGTGTGAGTGCGTGTGCAGGTGAGTGTATAGGAGCGCGTGTGAGTGCATGCAGGTGAGTGTACAGAGCATGTGTGGGTAAGCGTGCAGGTGAGTGTACAGGAGTGCGTGTGAGTGCGTGTGCAGGTGGGTGTACAGGAGCGTGTGCGTGTGCAGGTGAGCGTATAGGAGCATGTGTGAGTGCGTGTGCAGGTGAGTGTACAGGAACATGTGGGAGTGCGTGTGTAGATGAGTATGAGAGTGAGTGCTTGGGAGCAGAAGTGTGTGTGAGTGTGTTTTGCATCTCCCCTCTTGCCTTTCGTGGGGCTGGGGCAAACCAGCAGGGCAAGCTGGGCAAGAGCAGCTTGTCCCGGTGCGGTAAGCCAGGCTCCGCCCCTGGTCTCAGCAGGGTTGGATGGTTCTCAGATGTTTGCCGCAGCCTGAGTTGCAATGGACACAGCTGTTGCGTTGTTCGTTCGGGTCTGTTTCCTTTGCAGCCTGTGGGCTCCCCACCCAATGTAACATCCTCAGTCGTTCTTTAAAGACCCCCAAATTCTTGGAAGGGATGTGGCTGCTGCCCTCATCCCGACCTTGGCTGGGCTGGGGTCCCAAGGACTGTGTCTCTCCTTCCTTCTTGAGGCAAGAACTGGCTGCTGTGCCTACCCAGGTTTTACTGCCTTCAGGAGCTATGAGCCTCCGCTCCCTACTGGATGGGCCGGTGGTCTCAGAGACCCCTAAAACACTTTTCTGCGGGAACCTGAGGGGTTCCCTTTCCAAGGCGCTCTGTGCCTAGCAGTGATTAATACTGAGCTTTCTTCGTAAATCCCAACGGCTAGAAGTGGAGACAGAGGTGTTGTTGTTAGAGAGTGAGGGGTGCCTGCTACCTACTGACACACAACCACTCACCCCCAAACTTAGCAGGTAAGACAGCAACCATTTTATCCTCTCTGTTTCTGTGGATCAGGGATCCGGGCAGGGCACCATGAGGATGGTTGATTTCTGCTCCCTGGAAGCCTGTCCAGCCTCTGTGAAACCCCAGGCCCCCGCCTCTGTGTGACCCCAGTCTCTCTGTGTGCCCAGCTTCCATGTCACCCTCGAGGGATCCCATGGGTGGAGAGAAGTCCACCTCCTCCGTCCTAACAGGCAGAAAGAAGGCAAGGACAGACCAGATGCAGATCCACTCATCATGGTGGGAGCAGAGGGCCAGGGTGTTTGACAACCTCTCCCTTCTCAGATGAGTGGGGACCAAGGTGGAGGGTCAGGAGAGAGGGTTTTGCGGTGGTGTGGGAAGTTGGAGGAGTGTGGACAGTTTGAAATGCAGCAGTCGCTTGATCTTAAGACACAGAGTCTTTCTGCCATCAGTGTTCAAACTTCATTAACAGCATTTCTTTTTCATTTTCTGGGTTTTTTGTTGTTATTGTTGTTCTTTTTTTTGAGACAGAGTCTTGCTCTGTTGCCCAGGCTGGAGTGCAATGGTGCGATCTTGGCTCACTGCAACCTCTGCCCACTGCAACCTCCGCCTCTTGGGTTCAAGCAATTCTCCTGCCTCAGCCTCCTGAGTAGCTGGGATTACAAGTATGCGCCACCATGCCCAGCTAATTTTTTGTATTTTTAGTGGAGATGGGGTTTCACCATGTTGGCCAGCCTGGTCTCAAACTCCTGACCTCAGGTGACCCACCCTCCTTGGCCTCCCAAAGTGCTGGAATTACAGGCGTGAGCCACCGCACCTGGTCTGGCTTTTTATTTTACATAATTTTGATGACATAAATCACACAAGACCATCTTCTCCTGGTAAAACATCAAAATATCATGCAAAATGCGAACTTCCTGGCGGCCACTCCTCCTCGTCCAAAGACTCCTTCACAGGGAACCAAGCTGTTTAAACGAGGTTTTAAAAACATCATTGAAAAAGTAACATGGCTGGGTGCGGTGGCTCACGCCTGTAATCCCAGCACATTGGGAGGCCGAGGCGGGTGGATCACGAGGTCAGGAGATCGAGACCATCCTGGCTAACACGATGAAACCCCATCTCTACTGAAAATACAAAGAATTAGCTGGGCGTGGTGGCGGGCGCCTGTAGTCCCAGCTACTCGGGAGGCTGAGGCAGGAGAATGGCGTGAACCCAGAAGACGGAGCTTGCAGTGAGCCCAGATCGCGCCACTGCACTCCAGCTTGGGTGACAGAGCGAGACTCCATTTCAAAAAAAAAAAAAAAGTAACGTGCATAGGTAGAAGAAAAACATCCAACCGTCCAGAGGAGAACTGGCAGGGAGTGCGACTCCTCTTCAGCCTGGCTCTACCCCTGCGTGTCTCTCTGTGCAGTTCCTCAGTCACCCTCAGTCCAGGCTTCCTCCTCCCCTGTGAACTAGCACACATCTCTAGAGACCCTGAGAATTCTGCAGGCTGACTCAAGTCCAACACAGGGGCGCTGGCAGGCCTCCCAGACTCAGCCCCTCCAAGTCACCAGGCCCCATCCGCATCTGCTGACCCCGCCTTGAAATCCTCCGTGACATTTGAACAAGGAGCCTTCAGCGTGACCTGGGGCTGCTGTGACAAATCACCACAAGCTGGTGGCTTAAAACAGCAGACCTTCATCTCTCACGGTTCTGGAGGCTGGAAGTCCAAAATCAGGGTGTCAGCTCCTTCTGGAGGCTCCGAGGAGAATCTGGCCCAGGCTCTCCTAGCTTCTGGTGCCTTTGGCAACCCTGGGCGCTCCTTGGCTGGGGGCAGCAGCACCTGCCCCTGCCTCTGTCTGTAAGATGCTCCTGCTGTGTATTTCTGTGTCAAATCTCCCCCGGCCTCCTCTTAGAAGAACTCCAGCCACTGGATTTAGGGCCCACTCTAGTCCGGGATGATCTTATCTCAACATCCTTAATTACGTCTAGAGACCCTATTTCCAAATAAGGCCACATTCGCAGGAACCGTGCTGTCAGGACTTGGAGACACCTATATCTATATCAATATCTTTATCTATATCAATACCTATATCTATGTCAATATCTTTATCTATATCTTTGTCAATATCTTTATCTATAGATAGACAATCTTGAAAAACTGCAACTTTATGTCCATTAAAAAACAGCTCCCCACTTTTCCCTCTCCCCAATCCCTGGTAACCGCATTCTACTTTCTGTTTCTGTAAATTTGAACACTTTAATTTTTTAATGTTTATTATTTTATTTGAGACAGGGTCTCACGCTGTCACCCAGGCTGGAGTGCAGTGGTGCGATCTCAACTCACTGCAGCCTCGACCTCCCTGGGCTCAAGTGATTCTCCTGCCTCATCCTCCCGAGTAGCTGGGACCACAGGCAGGTGCCACCACGCCTGGCTAATTTTTGTATTTTTTGTAGAGATGGGGTTTCACCATGTTGCCCATGGCAGGTCTCCAACTCCTGGGCTCAAGGGATCCTCCCACTTCAGCCTCCCAAAGTGCTGGGATTACAGGAGTGAGTCACCGCGCCCGGCCTTGTCAAATTGACTACCTTAGATTTTTCTCATTTAAGTGGCATCACGCAGCATTTGTCTTTTTAGGACTTGCTTATTTCGCTTAGCACTTATTTATTTTCTGATTTTTTTTTATTATGGTAAAATACATGTGACATAAAATGTGTCATCTTAACCATGTTTGCAAAGATTTTATTTTTTATTGACAAATAATTGTATATATTTATGGGGTACAAAGTGATGTTTTCAGACATGTATACATGGCGGATGATCAAATCGGGCTAATTCATACATCTATCACCTCACAAACTTATCCTGTCTCTGTGGTGAGAAAATGGCAAACCCACTTTTTGGCAGTTTGGGAATCTGTAATGCGTTATTTCTCACTCGAGTCGCCCTGCTGTCCATCCGGCAGAGACTTCTTGTCCTTTGAGTGAGGTTTCCCTTTCCCGCCTGCCCTTGGGTGCCCACCATTCTCCTCTCTGCTTCCAGGAGTGCTTCAGCCAGGGTTCTCCAGAGAGACAGAGCCATGGAGAGGTGAGGGGTTTGATAGGGGACTTGTCTCCTAGAGGTCAAGGAGTCTGCAAGCCGGAGAACCGGGGAGCCTGGCGGCGGGCTCAGTCCAAGCCCGGAGGCCTTGGAACTTGGAACCTCAGATTGCAGTCACCAATCTGAGGCCAAAGACCCAGGAGCCCTGTGAGGCCCCACTGCAAGTCCCAGATCCCAAAGCCAAACGACCTGGAGTCTGATGTCCAAGGGCAGGCAGAGGAAAGGTGTCCCAATCCGGAAGCAGGAGAGAGGGAGAGAGAGGGAGAGAGAGAGAGAGAGAGAGAAGGAGAAAGAGGAGGGGAGAGAGGGAAGGAAAGAAAAAGAAGGGGAGAGAGGGAGGGAGAGAAGAAGAAGGGGAGAGAGAAAGAGAGGCAGAGAGACGGAGAGAAAGAGAGAGGGAGAGAGAAAGAGGTGCACTCCAGCCTGGGCAACAGAGTGAGACTCTGTCTCTGAAACAAAATTAAAAGATGAAAAGCCTCTAGAGATGGATGATGGTGAGGCAGCGATACCATTATGAATGTACTTAATGCTACTCGTACACTGAAATTGGGTAAGACGGATGCCCGAATGCCTGTTAGAAAGGCTACTGTCAAAAAGGTGAAAGGTAAGTGCTGGCCAGACGTGGTAACCTGTTCATCTAACAGCATTAGATGGGTGTTGTATTAGTTCATGCTCACATTTCTATAAGAAAATACCCAAAACTGGGTAATTTATTTTATTTTATTATTTTTTGAGATGGAATCTGACTCTTGTTGCCCAAGCTGGAGTGCAGTGGCACGATCTTGGCTCACTGCAACCTTTGCCTCCCAGGTTCAAGTGATTCTCCTGCCTCAGCCTCCTGAGTAGCTGGGATTACAGGCATGTGCCATCACGCCTGGCTGATTTTTCTATTTTAGTAGAGACGGGGTTTCACCATGTTAGCCAAGCTGGTCTCAAACTCCTGACCTCAGTTGATCCACCTGCCTCCGCCTCCCAAAGTGCTGGGATGACAGGCATGAGCCACCTCGCCAGGCCAACAGGGTAATTTATAAAGGAAAGAGGTTGAATTGACTCACAGTTGAGCATGGCTGGAGAGGCCTCAGGAAACTTACAATCATGGTAGAAGGCAAAGGAGAAGCAGGCACCTTCTTCACAGGGCAGCAGGACGACGGAGTGAGTGCAGCAGGGGAAATGCCAGATGCTTATAAAACCATCAGATCTCGTGGGATTCACTCGTTGTAGCAAGAACAGCAGGGGGGAACCACCCCCGTGATCCAGTTACCTCCACCTGGTCCCACTCTTGATATGTGGAGATTATGGGAATTATGGGGATTACAACTCAACATGAGATTTTGGGTGGGGACACAGCCAGACCATATCAGGTATGTTTGGTTTGAGAGAATGTGTTGATGTATGTCACTTGTCGGAATATGTCACACTTGAATGAAAGACAGTGAGGGAATGTCCAGCTCTTCTGAGCAGACTCAGCTTTCTGAGCTGGAAAACCTAAAACAAAACCCTTATTTTGTTTGAGAAGGAAACCAGAGTCCAGAGCTGGCAAGTGACCTGCCTAAGGCCACCAGGAAATGGTAGAATGTGGACCAAAACCCACGTTTCCTGAATTCCCAGATCAGCAGTCTCTCATCAACATTTTTAAAAATTGTAGTTAAGAATAAAGACAAAATTTACCATCATAACCAGTTTCAAGTGTAAGTTGGGGAACAGTGAGCATATTCACGTTGCTGTGCAACAGATCCCCAGGACTTGTTCATCTTGAAACACTGAAACTCTACACCCATTCAAAGCTCTCCATTTCACCCTCCCTGCCTTGCCTGGTAACCACCATTCTACTGTCTGTTTCCGTCAATTTGAGTGCTTTCGATAACTCATGTAAGTGGACTCACAGCATTCGCCTTTTTGTGCCCGGCTTATTTCACAGCATAGCAGCCTCACGGTTGATCCTTGCTGAAGGGTGTGTCCGAATTTCCTTCCTTTTCAGGGCTTAATAATATTCCACTGCACATTTTCCTTCTCCATTTCATCTATAGTTGGACCGTTGGGTTGCTTCCACCTCTTGGCTATCGTAAATAATGCTGCTATGAGGCCAGGCACGGTGGCTCATGCCTGTAATCCCAACACTTTGGGAGGCCAAGGCAGGCGAATCACGAGGTCAGGAGTTCGAGACCAGCCTGACCAACATGGTGGAACCCTGTCTCTACCGAAAATACAAAAATTAGCCGGGCGTGTGGTACACGCTTGTAATCCCAGCTACTCAGGAGGCTGAGGCAGGAGAATCACTTAAACCTGGGAGGCGGAGGTTGCAGTGAGTCGAGTTCATGCTGCTGCACTCCAGCCTGGGTGACAGAGCAAGACTCCATCTCAAAAAAAATAATAATAAAGCTGCTATGAACATGAGCGTGAAAATATCTCTTCGAGATGCTGCTTTCACTTCTTTTGGATATAATCCAAAAGTGGCCTCATCGACATTCTTTTTTTTTTTTTTTTTTTTTTCAGATGGAGTCTTGCTCTGTCTCCCAGGCTGGAGTGCAGTGGTGCAATCTCACTGCAAGCTCCGCCTCCCGGCTTCACACCATTCTCCTGCCTCAGCCTCCCGAGTAGCTGGGACTATGGGCGCCCGCCACCACATCCGGCTAACTATTTTTTGTATTTTTAGTAGAGACGGGGTTTCATCATGTTAGCCAGGATTTTCTCGATCTCCTGACCCTGTGATCTGCCTGCCTCGGCCTCCCTAAGTGCTGGGATTACAGGCATGAGCCACCGCACCTGGCCAACATTCATAAGTTATTTAAGACTTGTAGGTTTTACTACCTCAAGCAAACTGTGAGGCTCTAGAGTCAGACATTGACTATCTAGGTGGGTACTGCTAAGTGTTTAATAACTGTCTCCCTAAGGAAAAAAAGCCCCGAAGCATAGTGTCTGCCAATGCCCCCCGAGGCATAGCGTCTGCCAACGTCCTTGGTGGAAATGCCCCCACCCTGGCTGGTTTCAAGCTGTCAGTGTGATGTCACTGAACATGGCGTTGGGAAGAGACACAACAGCTGGTTCTTGCGAGCTGGATGTGGTGTATGTGGCACTCAAGTTACCCATTTTTCCTTAACACTTGCCCCAGTGTGAAGGCACACATGTCATTGTGGACAGGGATGACTCTTCTCCCATAGACACAGGAGGACTTGGCAGTAGATGTGAGCCAGGAGCAGTTCCAGAATTTGCAGAGGCTGGTGCAAAATGAAAATGTGGTGCTCTGGGGAAGGTTGAATAGTGTCACTGGAAAAGATATGTTCAGGGAGAGAGAATGAGGAGTTAGTGTTTAATGGGTGTAGAGTTTCAATCCTGCAAGACACAAAGAGTTCTTGGCATACACTTGCGGTCCCAACTACTCGGGAAGCTGAGGGGAGAGGATCACTTGAGCCCAGGAGGTTGAAGCCGCAGTGAGTGAGCTCTCTCACGTATCAAGAGTGGGACCAGGTGGAGGTAATTGGATCATGGGGGTGGTTCCCCCCTGCTGTTCTTGCGACAACGAGTGAATCTCACGAGATCTGATGGTTTTATAAGCATCTGGCATTTCCCCTGCTGCACTCACTCCGTCGTCCTGCTGCCCTGTGAAGAAGGTGCCTGCTTCTCCTTTGCCTTCTACCATGATTGTAAGTTTCCTGAGGCCTCTCCAGCCATGCTCAACTGTGAGTCAATTCAACCTCTTTCCTTTATAAATTACCCTGTTGGCCCGGCGAGGTGGCTCATGCCTGTCATCCCAGCACTTTGGGAGGCGGAGGCAGGTGGATCAACTGAGGTCAGGAGTTTGAGACCAGCTTGGCTAACATGGTGAAACCCCGTCTCTACTAAAATAGAAAAATCAGCCAGGCGTGATGGCACATGCCTGTAATCCCAGCTACTCAGGAGGCTGAGGCAGGAGAATCACTTGAACCTGGGAGGCAAAGGTTGCAGTGAGCCAAGATCGTGCCACTGCACTCCAGCTTGGGCAACAAGAGTCAGATTCCATCTCAAAAAATAATAAAATAAAATAAATTACCCAGTTTTGGGTATTTTCTTATAGAAATGTGAGCATGAACTAATACAACACCCATCTAATGCTGTTAGATGAACAGGTTACCATTTATTTCTCCATTTTACTGTTGATGGAAATTTTGGTTGTTCCTGTTTTGAATATTAACGTGCTGCTGGGATGTCCAGGGACTTCTCTTGGGGCACAGAAGGACTCATTTCTTCTGGGTGCATATGGAGTAGAGTTGCTGAGCCAGATGCTGAGCAGTTATACAACTTTAGTGGAAATGGCCAAGCAATTTCAACAGTGGCTGAACTGACTCCTGTCTCCTCAGTGAGTGCTCCTTACCAACACTAGGTGTTGTCAGTCCTTTTAATTTTGGCTGTGCTGGTGGGTCTGCAGTGGTTTTAATTCAAATTCCCCTGATGACTAATAAGGTTGAGCATCTTTTTACACCCCTGCTGGCCATCTGGCCATCCTCTTTGTGAAGTGCCTGTTCCAGTCTTTCGCTTATTTTTGTACAGTGCATATGTCTTCTACTCTGTCAGCTGTCTTTCCATTCTTGTAATGGTTTTGATGAGAGGTTCTTTTTTTTTTTTGAGACAAGGTCTCACTTTGTCACCCAGGCTGGACTGCAATGGCATGATCATGGCTCACTGCAGACTCAACCTCCTGGGCTCAAGCAATCCTCCTACCTCAGCCTCCTAAGTAGCAGGGACTACAGGCACATGCATGATGCCCAACTCATTTTGTACTTTTTGTAGAGATGGGGTTTCGCCATGTTGCTCAGGCTGGTCTCAAACTCCTGAGCTCAAGTGATCTGCCTGCCTTGGTCTCCCAAAGTGCTGGGATTACAAGTGTGAACCATTGCACCCAGCCCATGAAGAGTTCTTAACGTCACACAATTTATCAATTTTTTTTCCTTTATAGGGTTTAGCACTTTTTGGGGGGGATGGGACAGGGTCTCACTCTGTTGCCTAGGCTGGAGTGCAGTGGTGCAATCATACATCACTGCAGCCTTGAACCCCTGGGCTCAAGTGATCCTCCCAGCTCAGCCTCCTGTGTAGCTGGGACTACAAGTGTTTGCCACCTTGTGTGGCTAATTTTATTTATTTATTTTGAGATGGAGTCTTGCTCTGTCACCCAGGCTGGAGTGCAGTGGCGTGATCTCGGCTCACTGCAAGCTCCGCCTCCTGGGTTCATGCCATTCTCCTGCCTCAGCCTACCGAGTAGCTGGGACTACAGGTGCCCACCACCATGCCCGGCAAATTTTTTTTTTGTTTTGTATTTTTAGTAGAGAGGGGTTTCAGTGTGTTAGCCAGGATGGTCTCGATCTCCTGACCTTGTGATCTGCCCGCCTCGGCCTCCCAAAGTGCTGGGATTACAGGCGTGAGCCACTGCACCTGGCCATGTCTGGCCAATTTTTAAAGTTTTGGTAGAGATGAAGTCTCACCATGCTGCTCAGGATGGTCTCAAACTCCTGGCCTCAAGTGATCCTCCCATCTCAGCCTTCCAAAGAGCTAGGATTACTGGCGTGAGCCACGGTGCCTGGACAGGTTTAGCACTTTGTGTGCTTACTTTTGAGAGAATTTTTGCCCTAAGATTAAATGCATGCTTCATTCTAAAAGTTTTGCCTGTTATTTGACAGTCTACAAAGAGGTTAGAAAGTTTCATTTCAATATTTTAAAGATGTTTTTCCACCCTCTTCTGGTTTCCATAGTTTCTGACGAGGTCATGAGTTTTGATTCTTTGTTCCCCTGCCTGAACAATTACAGTTCACTCTAGCCTCTCACTCCTGGTCAAGTGATCCTCCCACCTCAGCCTCCCAAGTAGCTAGGACTACAAGTGTGTGCCACCATGCCCAGCTAATTTTTAAACTTTTTGTACAGATGGGGGTCTCACTATGTTGCCCAGGACGGTCTCAAACTCCTGGCCTCAAGTGGCTCCCCCACCTTAGCCTCCAAAAGCACTGAGATTACAGGCCTAAGCCACCATGTCTGGCCTTGAAACTGTTTTGAGGCACATATCAATTTATCATTTCTTTCTTCTTATGAGTTAACCATTTTATCATTATGCAGTGTCTCTTTTTATCTCTGAGAAGGTTCTTTGTGTTGAAGTTTATTTTATTTGATGTTAACATAGCCACCTAGCCTTGCTAGGCTTACTGTTTGCATACCATATCTTTTCTAAAGCATCTCTCTTGAAATCTGTAGTCTTGTCTTTCTATCCTTTTTAATTGACGTGCTTAATGCATTTAAATCTAATATGATGATTAAGGCCTGGCACGGTGACTCATGTCCTTAATCCCAGCACTTTGGGAAGCCAAGGTTGGCAGATCACCTGGGTGTATCACCTGAGGTCAGAAGTTCAAGACCAGCCTGGGCAACATGGTGAAACCCTGTCTCTACTAAAAATATAAAAATTAGCTGAGCATGGTGGTGTGCGCCTGTAATCCCAGCTACTCAGGAGGCTGAGGTAGGAGAATCACTTGAACCTGGGAGGCAGAGGTTGCAGTGAGCCGAGATCACACCACTGCACTCTAGCCTGGGCGACAGAGTGAGATTCCATCTCAAAAAAAAAAAATCTAATATGATTAATTGGTGGAATTTAGGTCTATCATTTTACTATTTGTCCTATGTTCATTCCTTCTAAAATTTCCTCTTTTTCTGCTTTTTTGGGATTATTTGAAAACTTTTAGCATTCTATTTTATCTATTGGATTTTTATCTATACCTCTTTGTGTTGCTTTTCTAGTGGTTGCTTTAGGGATTATCATACACATTCTTAATTTATAATAGTCTTCTTTAATATTGTGCCACTTCATATAAAATGTAGAAAACTTCCAATATCATAGTTTCATTTTTTGCTACAGTTGAGTGTATTCCATCTACAGAGTCAAAATCTCACAGTTTGATGTTGTAATTTTTCATTTATACTGACATATATTTTAAAGTAAGAGGAAAATTGTTTTTTAAAATTTAATCTACTATTTACCATTTCTGATGCTTTTATTCTTTCCTGATGATCAAATTTCCATCTGGGATCATTTTCCTTCAGCCTGAAAAATTTCTTCAGCAATTCTTTTTTTTTCTTTTTTGGACACGGAGTATCGCTCTGTCGCCCAGGCTGGAGTGCAGTCGCACAATCTTGGCTCACTGCAAACTCCATCTTCTGGGTTCATGCCATTCTCCTGCCTCAGCCTCCCAAGTAGCTGGGACTACAGGCGCCTGCCACCACGCCCGGCTAATTTTTTGTATCTTTAGTAGAGACGGGGTTTCACTGTGTTAGCCAGGATGATCTTGATCTCCTGACCTCGTGATCCGCCTGCCTCGGCCTCCCAAAGTCCTGGGATTACAGGCATGAACCACCGTGCCCAGACAGCAATTCTTATAAAACAGGTCTGGTGGTGATGAATTATGTCAATTTTTTTATGCGAAAATGTGTTTATTTACCCTGTTTTTTTTTTTTTTTTTGAGACGGAGTCTTGCTCTGTTGCCCAGGCTGGAGTGCAGTGGTGTGACCTCAGCTCAGTGCAAGCTCCGCCTCCCGGGTTCACACCATTCTCCTGCCTCAGCCTCCCCAGTAGCTGGGACTACAGGCACCCACCACTACGCCTGGCTAATTTCTTTTTGTATTTTTAGTAGAGACGGGGTTTCACTGTGTTAGCCAGGATGGTCTCGATGTCCTGACTTCATGATCTGCCCACCTCGGCCTCCCAAAGTGCTGGGATTACAAGCGCAAGCCACTGCGCCCGGCCTATTTACCTTCATTCTTGAAAGATAGTTCGACAGTCTACAAATGGGTTAAAAAGTTTTACTTCAATACTTTAAAGATGTTCTTCCACTCTCTTCTGGTTTCCATAGTTTCGGATGAGAAGTCATCAGTTTTAATTTATTTGTTCCCCTGCCTGAAATTTTCTTTTTTTTCTCTTCTCCAGACAAAGTTTCACTCTGTTGCTCAAGCTGGAGCAGTTGCATGATCTTAGCTCACTGCAACCTCTGCCTTGGGTTCAAGTGATTCTCCTGCCTCTCAGTCTCCCAAGCAGCTGGGACTACAGGCGTGCACCACCACACTCGGCTAATTTTTGTATTTTTGTAGAGATGGGGTTTTGTCATGTTGGCCAGGCTGGTCTTGAACTCCTGGTCTCAAGTGATCGGCCCACCTTGGCCTCCCAAAATGCTAGGATTACAGGCACGAGTCCCTGCGCCTGGACTTGAAATGTGTTTTTGTACAGTTACTTTTAGGAATTTTGTTTTTAGATTTGCTTTCCAGCAACTTGACTATGATGTACCTACACATGGTTTTGTTTGAGTTTATCCCAGTTGGGGATAATGAAACTTCTTAAATATGTAAATTTGTCTCTTATTATAGAAATTCTAGGCAGTGTTTCTTCAAATACTTTTTCCTGCCTCATTTCTTCTCTCCTCTCTTTTTGTAATTTTGACTACACATGTTATAGGCTTTTTGATATTGTTTCACAGGTCCTGAGGTTCTTCTTGTTTTCCCCCCATCCTTTCTTTTTTAGATTGGATACATTCTATTGATTTATCTTCAAGTTAACTGAGTTAATCTCCACTCTTCTGTTAGACTCATTCAGTTAACTTTATATTTAATATATTCTAATTTGCAGTTCTAAAATTTCCATTTTAAAAATACAGTTTCTGCCAGGCATGGTGGCTCATGCCTGTAACCCCAGTACTTTGGGAGGCTGAGGCAGGAGGATTGCTTGAGGCCAGGTGTTCAAGACCAGCCCGGGCAACATGGAGAATCCTCCATGCTACAAAAAATACAAAAGAGTTAGCTGGGCATGCTGGCGGGAGACTGTAGTCCCAGTTACTAGGGAGGCTGAGGGGGGAGAATCACCGTAGCTGAGAGGTCAAGGCTGCAGTCAGCCATGATTGTGCCACCGCACTCCAGCCTGGGCAACAGAGTGAGACCCTGTCTCAAAAAAAAATGTTTCTAATTATCTGTTGCGATTTTAAAATCTTGTTAAAAGTGTATTTTTGGCTGGGTGCAGTAGCTCACACCTATAATCCCAGCACTTTGGGAGTCAGAGGTGGGTGGATCACTTGAGCCCAGGAGTTCGAGACCAGTCTGGGCAACATGGTGAAACCCTGCTGTCTGTACCAAAAAAAAAAAAAAAAAAAAAAATTAGCCAGGTGTGGTGGTGCACACCTGTAGTCCCAGCTACTTGGGAGGCTGAGGTGGGAGGATCTCGAGTCTGAGAGTCAAAATCTGCAGTGAGCTGAGACGGTCTCACTGTATTCCAGCCTGGGCAACAGAGTGAGACTGTCTCAAAAAAAGAAAAGTGTATCTTCCTTTACAGCAGCAATTACAATAGTTGCTTTAAAATCCTTGTTTGCGAATTCATCAATCTGAGTCCTATCGGGTCAATTTCCAGTAGGATGGAGAATGTATAACAATTTTTTTCTTTGTATATTCAGTAATTTTGAATTTTATCCTGAACATTGTGACAGTTTGGAGTAGAGCATTGATATGTGTGTGTGTGTGTGTGTGTGTGTGTGTGTGTGTGTGGTAGCAAACAATCGGCTTGATGGAACTGAGACTGCAAACCCAGTCCCTTGGACAGTGGCTCAAATCTCATTTCTGTTGTTTTATTCTAGGTCGAGTTGCTTGGAGTCTGTCCCATACATGTAGTTCAGTGCTCAACTAGAGATTTAGACAAAGAGTATCAACAGAATTTGGATCTGCAGCTCTCTCCTTTCTGCGATGCTCCCATACTTTCAAGAGGTTGTGGTTAGTTCAACTAGCAAAAAGTTTGCTAGTGGGTCACTAGGGGTGATGGTGAGTGGTGCCACTTCCATTTCCACCCCTTGATTTCTGGTCCTGTGCATCCTGGCTATGGGAGAAACAGTACCATATGTCGGATGCTGATTCAGAGCATGCATGGCCTTCTGGAGAACTCTGCCCCAGTCTTGCAAAGTATTCTCACCTAGTTGCCATTGTGACCGTGACTTCAAAAGGCCATTCCACCATTCAATCAATCCAGCTGCTTTGGGATGGTGGGGAATGTGGTACAAGCAGTGAATTCCACGAGCCTGAGTCCACTGCTGCCCTTCTTTAGCTGTAAAGTGAGTACCTTGGTAAGAGGCAATGCTGTATGGAATACCATGATGGTGGATAAGGCATTCTGTGAGTCCACGGATGGTAGTCTTGGTAGAAGCATTGAGTGCAGGATAGGCAAACCCATATCTGGAGTAAGTGTCTATACTGGTGAGGACAAACCACAGCCCTTTCCATGGTGGAAGAGTTTCAATATAATCAACCCGCCACCAAGTAGCTGGCTGATCACCCCACTTCTGGTACCAATGTACTGTATGATCAGCGTTCTCTAGAGGGACAGAATAGGATAGTTGTATATAGGAAGGGGAGTTTATTAAGGAGAACTGACTCACATCATCACAAGGTAAAGTTCCACAATATGCTGTCTGCAAGTTGAGGAGCAAGGAAGTCAGTAGTGGATCAGTCTGAGTCCCAAAACCTCAAAAGTAGGGAAGCCGACGGTGCAGCCTTCAGTCTGTGGGTGAAGGCCTGAGAGCCCCTGGCAAATCACAAAGGCCAAGAGTCCAAAAGCCAAAGAACGTGGAGTCTGATGTTTGAGGGCAGGAAGCATCTAGCACAGGAGAAAAATGGAGGCCAGAACTCAGCAAGTCTGCTCATTCCTCCTTCTTCTGCCTGCTTTATTCTAGCCATGCTGGCAGCTGATTAGATGGTGCTCACTCACATTGAGGGTGGGGCTGCCTCTCCCAGTCCACTGACTCAAATGTTAATCTTCTTTGGAAACATCCTCACAGACACACCCAGGATCAATATTTTCCATCCTTCAAGCCAATCAGGTTGACACTCAATATTAACCATCACACTTGTCTTCTAGCTTTTCTAGCCAGAAAAACCTATGGCTTTTTATTGGAGTTTTATTTGCCCTGCATGGCATGGCCTGTTACCTGACTTTAGTCTAGGAGCTGTGAAAACCCGGTACCGTTTTCCTCTTCCAAGTGTTGACACCTTCAGAATGTGCCTGCTGTGTTCACGCTCTGGTGACTTCAGGTAAGTGTTGTTTCCTATTTTGCCCAGAGTTTATAGTGCTGCCTTTGGAAGGGTTAGTTCAATAGGCGTTTACTCCACCATACCGGAAACAGAAGCCCAGCTTGTCCATTTCTGTAAATAAATAAATAAAAAAGCTTGGATTTAAATATTCATTTTGTGTACAATCTGTAGATCATTTTGGGAGAAATGACATTTTTACAATATTGAGCCTCTGACTCTTTTTTTTTAAATTTTTTTATTATACTTTAAGTACTAGGGTACATGTGCACAACGTGTAGGTTTGTTACATATGTATACATGTGCCATGTTGGTATGCTGTACCCATTAACTCGTCATTTACATTATGTATATCTCCTAATGCTATCCCTCCCCGCTCCCCCCACCCCACAACAGGCCCCAGTGTGTGATGTTCCCCTTCCTGTGTCCATGTGTTCTCATTGTTCAATTCCCACCTATGGGTGAGAACACGCGGTGTTTGGTTTTTGGTCCTTGTGATAGTTTGCTGAGAATGATGGTTTCCAGCTTCATCCACGTCCCTACAAAGGACATGAACTCATCATTTTTTATGGCTGCATAGTATTCCATGGTGTATATGTGCCACATTTTCTTAATCCAGTCTATCATTGATGGACATTTGGGTTGGTTCCAAGTTATTGTGACTAGTGCCGCAATAAACATAAGTGTGCATGTGTCTTTACAGCAGCATGATTTATAGTCCTTTGGGTATATACCCAGTAATGGGATGGCTGGGTCAAATGGTATTTCTAGTTCTAGATCCCTGAGGAATCGCCACACTGACTTCCACAATGGTTGAACTAGTTTACAGTCCCACCAACAGTGTAAAAGTGTTCCTATTTCTCCACATCCTCTCCAGCACCTGTTGCTCCCTGACTTTTTAAAGATCACCATTCTAACTGGTGTGAGATGGTATCTCATTGCGGTTTTGATTTGCCTTTCTCTGATGGCCAGTGATGATGAGCATTTTTTCATGTGTCTGTTGGCTGCATAAATGTCTTCTTTTGAGAAGTGTCTGTTCATATCCTTCGCCCACTTGTTGATGGGGTTGTTTTTTTCTTATAAATTTGTTTGAGTTCATTGTAGATTCTGGATATTAGCCCTTTGTCAGATGAGTAGATTGCAAAAATTTTCTCCCATCATTCTGTAGGTTGCCTGTTCACTCTGATGGTAGTTTCTTTTGCTGTGCAGAAGCTCTTTAGTTTAATTAGATCCCATTTGTCAATTTTGGCTTTTGTTGCCATTGCTTTTGGTGTTTTAGACATGAAGTCCTTGCCCATGCCTGTGTCCTGAATGGTATTGCCTAGGTTTTCTTCTAGGGTTTTTATGGTTTTAGGTCTAACGTTTAAGTCTTTAATCCATCTTGAATTAATTTTTGTACAAGGTGTAAGGAAGGGATCCAGTTTCAGCTTTCTACATATGGCTAGCCAGTTTTCCCAGCACCATTTGTTAAATAGGGAATCCTTTCCCTATTTCTTTTGTCATGTTTGTCAAAGATCAGATAGTTGTAGATGTGTGGTATTATTTCTGAGGGCTCTGTTGTGTTCCATTGGTCTATATCTCTGTTTTGGTACCAGTACTATGCTGTTTTGGTTACTGTAGCCTTGTAGTATAGTTTGAAGTCAGGTAGTGTGATGCCTCCAGCTTTGTTCTTTTGGCTTAGGATTGACTTGGCAATGCGGTATTGAGCCTCTGACTCGAACCCAGTGTATCCCTCTGTGTATTTTTTTTCCCCTAATTTCTCTCAATCATGGTTTACAATCTTCTGACTATAGGTCTTACATTTCTTTTTGTTAGTTTGATATTCAGGTATTTGGTTTTTGATGCTCTTGTAAAGGGTCTTACTTTAAAAGTTTCATTTTTTACACTCAAATTGACGCTTGATGGTCAGCATCTATTATCTTAGCTTTATATGTCCCATCCTAACTATGCTTACTGAGCAAACTTTACCAATGACAAACCTGTGGTTTGTTAAATCTTCCAAAGCACCTGCAATGGAACTAAAGGTTTTTAGGAAGGTGGTTTTTTTGTTTTTGTTTTTGGCAGGGGGGCAGTGTCTTCCTCTATCACCCAGGCTGGATTGCAATGGCACAATCTCAGCTCACTGCAACCTCTACCTCCTGGGCTCAGTAGCTGGAACTACTGGCACTTGCCATCATGCCCGGCTACAGTTTGTATTTTTGTAGAGATGGGCTTTTGCCACGTTGGCCAGGCTGGTCTTGAACCTCAGATGATCTGGCCACCTTGGCCTCCCAAAGTGCTGGGATTATAGGTGTGAGCCACTGCGCCCAGCCAGGAGGTGCTTGGGTTTTATAAACTGGGTATGTGAACAGAATATGGGGAAAGTTATTTTAGGAAGTAACCAAAGCAACAATAGCACTCCTAAGAAACTCCTGGGTGGACCTCGTGCTTAGAAAGTGGAGCCCAGTAGCGTTGCACCTTTCCAGGTTAGGGAGGAGTCTAGAGGCCACAGGCTTCTCTCACCGGAAAGGTCATTTCTTGCTTGCACCTTGGGAAGGAGGAAGCGTCCCAGGAAGGCTGACTTGTTGGAGTGCCATCAGGACAACGCCGTTTACTCCTGAGCTTTGAAATGCGCTGCTGTCTGAGTTAAGCTAGTAAAATCCATCCGCGATGGCTATGGTTAGCCATTTGTGGGAGTCAGCCAAGAGGCTGTTGTAAATGAGTCACTCAAGAGTTTGCAGACAGCCCCGCTTGGGAGATCTGGGTCAATTTCAGGGAGGAAGCAGGCCTGACTCTTGACTATAATTTAGTGAGCAGGCATCTAATCCGTGGCGCCTGGTGTGTGGATGCATGGGCTGGTCAACTGCGCAGTGCCAGCTCTGCCAGCTTTGGGGTCCAAGTCCAAGGTTTCTGCCCCTTCCAAGAATGAAACCTGGGCTGCTGACTTAACTTCAAGCTCCAGTCCCCCCTCATCTGTACAACAGGCTCCACCTGGCCCTTGATCACGTGTCAGGCCTGATTAATGCTAGTGCCTGGCCAAGCCCTGACCCTGGCGAGAGAGTCCTGGCCGAGCAGATCTGAGAATCCTCATTTTCTTGGGAAAGCAGGGCAGGGGTTGGAGGTGTCTTGGCCAGTGGACTTCTCTACTCCGGAACTCTCAAGTCACAGGCTACTGTCTCAGGCTCCAGCCTCCCCAGACTTGTGTCCCAGGGTGAAGGGGCCAGGCTAAGTGCCTCTTACCAAAGGTCTCCCTGTAAGTGAACAGTAAGTAGCCATCCCGTATACTAGCTTGAATAGTGTCCCCTCAAACCATATCCACCAGAACATGAGGATGTGACCTTATCTGGAAGCAGGGGCTTTGCAGACATAATTGGTAAAGGATCTCATGATGAAATCGTTTTGGATTTAGGGAGGTCTTGAATCCAATGACTGGTATCCTTATAAAAGGAGAGGACACAGACACACAGGGAGAAGGTCAGGAGAAGACAGAGACTGGAGTGATGTGACCACAAGCCCAGGAATGCTTGGAGCCACCGGAAGCTGGAGGAAGCAGGAAGGATCCTCCCCTAGAGCCTCTAGAGGGAGTGCAGCCCTGCCCACACCCTGGTTCTGGCTTCTACAGCTGTGAGAATCCACCTGTTGTTGAAGTTGCATACGTTTGTGATCATTCGTTAAGGCAGCCTTGAGAAACGCATCCCTCTGCATTTACAGAGCAATTAGGTGGCCACAAGTTTCTCCCTGGGATGTGGATTCATTTGTGACCAGAGACATCCCCCCTGAGTCTGCAAGACTGACGAACGCTGCCAGCGGGGCTGGTGGACACCCCAAAAACATTCAGCTGCTATCTAGCTGCACGCCTTTTTCTTTGCGGAGTGGGTGGGGGGAAGGGGTCTCATTCTGTCGCCCAGCCTGGAGCGCAGTGGCACAATCATAGCAGCACGATCACAGCTCACTTGTAGCCTTGAACTCCAGGGCCCAAGTGATCCTTCTGCTCCAATCTCCCAAATAGCTGAGACCACAGGTGCACAACACCACGCTTGGCTAATTAAAAAAACCTGTTTTTAGTAGAGACCGTGTCTTGCTTTGTTGCCCAGGCTGGTCTTGAACTCCTGGGCTCAGACCATCCTCCTGCCTCAGCCTCCTAAAACCCTGCAGTTATAGGCGTGAGCTGGCGCTGGCTTTTTTTTTAAAAAATTGTTTTATGATGAGGGCTGTCAGGCAGACAATAAAAGCACAGGTCACCTAACAAACACCACAGAACTTTCACACAGCCTGCAGCTTGGAAATCACTGATTCCCTTTATTCTTAGATTTGTTTTATTCTTAATGTGTCTTAAACTTAATTCAAAACTTGTTTTTATTATTTTTTATATTTAAGTGAGCGTGTCTGATGCTCTATTTTATTTAAAAATACAAGACCCTGCTTAGTAAACTTGGAAGGCCCACTGAGCTGCCAGCCGCCGAGGCCACCTCTTTGCCCACAGCCTGGCAGCAAACATTTTTCCGGGTTGAAACAGTGCTTATGATTAACATTTGTTACAATTCCCCCTTTTCTCTTTTTATGCTGGGTGAGATTTTTCTTTCAAACTACACAAGTCCTAACTGCTTGGGGCAACAACTAAAATCACAGAGATACTAAAATTTGGCGGGAGGCCCCCAGGGTGACTCCCCACCACATGAACATTAGGAGGGGAAGTCACGTGCTGTCCTCACCCGCCTCCCCTCCCCCCCCCCCCGGAAGGCAGTGCTCCTGCAAACCCCAGACATAGAAGAGCTGCCTGGCTGTCTGCGGCTCCCACTTTCCCCAGGGCCTTCTGGTGCCCAACACCCTCCTTGCAAGGGAAGCTGGAATAGGTGGGCACAGACCCTTAACTTCTCGCAGTTCCTGCAGCTGCCAGGCTGGACGGTTCCCCAGAAGATCCTGCGAACACGTTGGAATGAAAGACTCCTGGCGGGGCCTTGGAGAAGAGGAGTCACCACTGTGCGTAGATGGCAGGAGACTCATTACAGATCTCAGTGGAGTAGCAGCGGACTTGAAGAGTGGAGGCCTGAGCGTGGGAACCTTCAGTTACCCCAGCCTTTGGGACCCTGGGGGCCTTGGAACCTGGTCTGTTTCCTGCGAGTCCTGCGTTCTGCTTCTGCCCCGACTCCAATCTGAGGGGTCTGTGGGTATGGGCTGTGCAGTGAGCCTGGTGCGCCCCACCTTGCAAGTTGTGCGTGGGGCCAGTTAGCCTGCCTGTGCTTTGACCTGCTTTAAAAATGTTCTAATTAGTTGTCAACACTCAAAAATTAAAAATCCCGAGATTTAATCATCACTTTATATTTCTGTTCTTTCTGGAAAACTCAGACTGTCCCCCTACTGAGCTCAAGGTGCTCCGTAGGTGTACCCACAGGGGCCCTCCCCGCCATACTCAGCTTGCTTCATTCATTTCCTTTCCTGCCTTCTGGGAGCCAAAGTTCAGGTACAAAACTCCAGCTGTACGTTTGCAGTGATTTCCCCCAAACACTGTTCCCCTATAGGGGAGGCACCTCTCCTAGGCTCCGTCCTCAATGCTCATTGGCTGCTGCTGCTGTCGAGAAACAAGCCTGGGGTGAAGTCCCGTATTCCAGTTATCAGTAAGTCCATTCCTTTGCAAGGCTACAGTTCGAACAGGCACAAGGGTCCAGTTCGGGTCTGCTTTCGAGACTAGCAGTCTCCTTTGTTAAAGCAATTAAAAAAATCATTTTCTTTGTCAGCAACGTCATTCATCGTCCCGAGGTCTCTGCTTATTGCGGCGCTGTCTTCAGCTGCGAAGACTGACCCTGTGGCCTCTTGGCCCCAGTGAGGTCCGAGGCAAGGAAGCGTCTCTCTGAAACCTATTCTGGGCTCTTAGGAAGAAATGAGAGAAAGGAAAACCACTAGAAATGTCCAATAACACCATCTTTTGGTTGGAAAATAAAACACGCAGAAAGAGGGGACTGGAACTTTTACTGAAGTATTTCTAGAGAGAAGGTGCTTGGGAACACTTTAGGTAACTTACTCCCCTCCCCCAGCAGAAGGTAAAAAAAGCTACTTCCAGACGTGCCGGCTTCAGGCTCGGGAACTTCGTTTGGCGCCTGGCAAGCACCGTGCTCTTACCTACGGGCTTATACGACACTCCTGTCTCCAAGGCAGCTGGGTGCGGGGACAGTCAGCCCGGGGCGGCTGGGTTTATTGATTAAAAATGGAGGGAAGGGCCAGGGGTGGTCACGATTGGAGGGCGAGAAGAGCCGTGCGCGCAGGACCCCTCCCCACCGCCCGGGACCGGCTGAGCCAGAGGCGGACCCAGCTTCCCCGCGGCGGCTTGGAGGGGCCGGGCGCCGGTCCCCGTCCCCAGGGCGCGCTGCGACAGTCCCCTCCCCGTTCCCGCCCGCCTCCCAGGCCCATCCACTCCAGGGCCTGCGCGCCGCCCGGCGGCGCCCCGGCATCCCCGCGCGCTGTTCCCCGGGCCTCGGACGGGCCCTGCGCCGCCGCTGCCACCGCGCACGGCGCCCGCCCGGCGCTCCCGTCAGCGCCGCCGCAGCCATTTTGGAGCGAGCCGAGACAAAGAGCGAGGCCCCGTCGCCGCCCCGCGCCCGCCTCGGCCCGGCCCAGCGCACCGTTCCCGCATCCCGCGCCCCGCCCGGCGGCCCCCTCCCCGTCCGCCACCGCCCCGGCGCCCGCGCCCCTGAGCTCCAGCCCCCGCGCTTCCCGCCGCTGCTGCCGCACCCCGGCCGACCGCCCGCGCCCCGGCCTCTAGCGCTCGCAGCCATTGGCCGCGCCTTTTAAGCGCGCGCCGCAGCCAATCGCCGGGCGCCCGCGGTCTCCGCGCCTGCGCAGGGCCGCCACCCCCGCTCCCCCGCCCCCCGGCCGCGCGCCCCCGCCCCCCGCCGGCCGCGCGCCGCCCCCCGCCCGCCCAGCGCCCGCCCCAGTCGGAACCTCCTCCTCGCCCAGGCGCGCTCGGCCCGAGCGGCGGCGGCGGCGGCGGCCGAGGAAAAAAGATGGCGGCGGGCTCGGATCTGCTGGACGAGGTCTTCTTCAACAGCGAGGTGGACGAGAAAGTGGTGAGCGACCTGGTGGGCTCGCTGGAGTCGCAGCTGGCGGCCAGCGCGGCCCACCACCACCACCTCGCGCCGCGCACGCCCGAGGTGCGGGCCGCGGCCGCCGGCGCGCTCGGGAACCATGTTGTGAGCGGCAGCCCGGCCGGAGCCGCGGGCGCAGGGCCGGCCGCCCCCGCCGAGGGCGCGCCCGGAGCGGCGCCGGAGCCGCCCCCCGCAGGTAGAGCGCGGCCGGGGGGCGGGGGGCCGCAGCGCCCGGGCCCCCCCTCACCGCGCCGCCCCCTTGTCCCCGCAGGGCCCGCGCCGCCCGCCGCGAAGCTGAGGCCGCCGCCCGAGGGCAGCGCGGGGTCCTGCGCCCCGGTGCCCGCCGCCGCCGCCGTCGCCGCGGGGCCCGAGCCCGCCCCCGCCGGCCCCGCCAAGCCCGCCGGCCCCGCCGCGCTGGCCGCCCGCGCCGGCCCCGGCCCCGGGCCCGGCCCCGGCCCCGGCCCCGGCCCTGGCCCTGGCAAGCCCGCCGGCCCCGGCGCCGCGCAAACTTTGAATGGGAGCGCCGCGCTGCTGAACTCGCACCACGCCGCCGCACCTGCTGTCAGCCTGGTCAACAACGGGCCCGCCGCGCTGCTGCCGCTGCCCAAGCCCGCCGCCCCCGGCACTGTCATCCAGACGCCCCCCTTCGTGGGCGCCGCCGCGCCCCCCGCGCCCGCCGCGCCCTCGCCCCCCGCCGCCCCCGCGCCCGCCGCCCCCGCCGCCGCCCCGCCCCCGCCACCCCCCGCGCCCGCCACTCTGGCCCGGCCGCCCGGCCACCCCGCCGGACCCCCGACCGCCGCGCCCGCCGTGCCGCCCCCCGCCGCCGCCCAGAACGGGGGCAGCGCCGGGGCAGCCCCCGCCCCCGCCCCGGCCGCCGGGGGCCCCGCGGGGGTCAGCGGCCAACCCGGGCCCGGCGCGGCGGCTGCGGCGCCGGCGCCGGGGGTCAAGGCCGAGTCGCCCAAGAGGGTGGTGCAGGCGGCGCCCCCGGCGGCGCAGACCCTGGCGGCCAGCGGCCCGGCCAGCACGGCGGCCAGCATGGTCATCGGGCCAACTATGCAAGGGGCGCTGCCCAGCCCGGCCGCCGTCCCGCCGCCCGCCCCCGGGACCCCCACCGGGCTGCCCAAAGGCGCGGCCGGCGCAGTGACCCAGAGCCTGTCCCGGACGCCCACGGCCACCACCAGCGGGATTCGGGCCACCCTGACGCCCACCGTGCTGGCCCCCCGCTTGCCGCAGCCGCCTCAGAACCCGACCAACATCCAGAACTTCCAGCTGCCCCCAGGTGAGTGGCCGCACGGGGCGGGAGGGAAGGGCGGCTCCCAGCAGCGCCAGCTGCCAGTTCCAGGAAGTTCTCCGCTGGTGGAATGCTAAGGTCATCTGTCCCGTAGGCCCGTGGCTGGAGCAGGCCGAGGGGCAGTCTCTACCCAGGTGCGGGGCCAGCCCGGGTGGCTGTCTGCGAGTGAGCCAGAGGGAGTCGGCATAGCCTGCGTCCCTGTCGCTGTCCCTGACGTCCGCGCTGGCTGCCTGTGCCTGGGGCTGGTCTGTTTCGGAGTGGCTCAGCCAGGACTCTTAGTGGAGTGGTCCTTACCTGCTCCCGCCCTATGCGTCCCTGCCCGGGTTGGTAGGCTCAGCGCAGGGGCTCCCTGGGCCAGGCGATGGGGTCTGCAGAGCTGAGGGCAGTACCTGGGGCTGTGAGTGGCAGCAGCTGTCCCCTGCTCAGTTCTGCAGTTAGGCGTGTGGCCTGTGTCCCCACTTAGCCTTTCTGCCCCTTGGTGACCCTGGGCTCGAGCCTCTTCAGTCTCCAGGCGAGGACGGGGGCGCGACGCCCCCTCCTTGAGGCTCGGGAACTCTGGATGGAAGGCTTGGGCTCCTCTGCTGCCACCAGGCAGGGAGAGATGTCAGGCGCATCCTGCGAGAGTCCTCCCGGCGCGCAGCCTTGCTGAGAGCCACGCTGTGGAGTAGGGTTTCAGCACCGTGTGTGTCACTGTCTCTTCCAGAGCTGCGTTGGTGCCTAAAGGAAGGAGCGCCTAGCTACTCTGGTTGCTGCCCCCTCGGGAGGGCAGTGGGAGGGCGGTGGCAGCAGATGTTCTCGCTCCGTGCAGGGGTCTCGGGGCGATACTGGCTATGCTGCGGATGCCTGGGGCTCCGACGCCACTTCCGCCTGGCAGTTCTCACGCTCCTGTCTAGTCTGCTGTCTCTGCGACTCCTCAGGGCCCCTCAAGTTTGACAGGAAAGATTGCCTGGCCAGCATTGCTGCTTTTGTCTGGGGCTCCCCGTCCCTCCCCAGCCGCCGTGGTGGGTGCTGGGCAGGGGAGCTCCTCCCCGGCCTGTGGTGACGCGTGCCGTGCAGTTGTAGCAGCGCGGTGGCAGCAGTAGTAGGAACTGCAAGGAGAGCGTGGGTCCCTCCTGCGTCCCCTCTCTGAATGGAGCTATTGGTCACTTTGACAGGGTTGCAGAATCTTCAGAAGTGAAAGGATTTCTTGTCCAAGTATGTGAGGTTCGGGGCTGGTGGTCAGACTCTGGACAGGGCAGGGGTGGGGAAAGCCTGTCTGGGCGGCTGCTAGGCTGCAGTGCTCCAGGGAGGAAGAGAGCTGTGAAGCTACTTCCCGGGGTTGCTGAGACGCCCTTTACGACAAGCTTTTGGGGTACTGAAGCGTTTGTAGGGGTGTTTTGCCAGAGGCTTGGTTTTGCTGTTATGTGTATGTTGACCTTTTAGTAGGAAACGTGGCTGATCTTTAGTAACGTTGTAAAAAGATGTTTGATGGCTGTGATCTATTATGTAAACTGTCACAATGCTTTATTTATAAAAATGTTTTTCCAGAGGTCCCACGTGTCTCAGCGCAGGCCAGGTGCCTGTTGCACCCCTTTGGGTAGGTATTGGACTCTGTCTTGTGGGGCTGGCCAGGTCCTCTTGCTCTGAGCCACTGCAGAGGTAAAGCCTCATCTGTCTCTTTCTTCTGGGAGGAGGTGAAGGAATACGTGGTTGGAAGAGGGCATCTCTGCTGTGTTTATCATGAGTGATCCTGGGACTCACTTCCATCTTCTGTTTTAAGATCAGTTTTAGGGTCGGGTGTGTTTGATGAAGAGACAACTTGAAAAACAACTGTAGGAGTGTTGACTGTGCGTGATTCCTGTGTGTGAGGACAGAGGAACAGCTCACACAGACGTTTGGGTGGCAGTGCTGAGAGCGGTGCTTTCAAGGAGCCGAATGCTACTATCTAAAAAAGTGAGAGATTTACCCCATCTCTTCATGGCCTCCTGCAGTTGATCTACTGATGAGGAATTTTGATTATGTTATTTGTTTCAATAATAACCAAAGCAAAAAAAAAAAGTATCAATAAAACTACCAGTATCCCAAACCAGAGTACCTTCTTTTGAACAGTACAACTTAATTCTGTAAATCAGAATGGCAAATTGCAAATACTCTGGTTACTTCCTGTAATCGATTGATCAGAGAATATTAAATTGTTCTAGTTGGTTCCGTTTTCATTGAAATATTTCGTAATAAAAATGTTTAGAACAAAGATGGAAGTAACTTATAAAAATAACTCTTGCTTGGTTAATAACTCATTCTCATTACAACTCAGTCTTGCAAACTGAGGAGGAGCCGGGAGTATTAGGGGTGGGCAGGGTTCTCAAAGCTGCATGTGGGTGTCAAGTGGAGTAGCAGACGGGTGGCAATTGGATGGGGTGTGAAAGGGCCTGCCCTTCCCAGCCTTCCCTCCGTGGAGGTCTTGGGTGGGAGAAGGGAGGGGACAGAGGTTTCACCCTGAAGTCTTTAAGGCTAAGCCTTAGGCCCGAGTGTTTCAGCCCCATAGTGCACACCGGGTATGTTGAATTTGGTTTAGGTAGCTGTCATGATATTCTTTGTCAGGACAGTGTTGTAAAGACAGTTATGTTAATGTAATTGTAATTTGCTGGTTTGAGGTGCCAGAGTTTAGATTTTATTCACTGAGGAAAAATGAGAAAACTCAGTCTTTAGTGAGATTGTTGCAGATGACACAGTTGTCCCAAGATCACGGAAAAGCACTAGTTATGTACAGCTTAGGATAGTCATAACGTCATAGTCAGGTTGTGATTACAGCTGAAAGAAGAAAAAGGTGATTTGACACCCACATTAGCATGTTGGTAAATTGTTGAGAGATCTTTTCAGATCGGTGTAAGGTAAAGAAGCTCATTTCTAAAGGTTATCTTTTGGCCTGGCAAATTCACATTTTCTTCAGTGTATCTTGGTCTATTGTGCTTTCATGCAGAATTTACTCTCCTTTTGCTCTAAGATTTGGCCCAAGTGTAGATTCCCATTCCAGGACAGAAAAGCACTTTCTCACCATGGGCCTTGATCCCTTGGCCTAGGGGGCGTGTGCTTGCTGCATGTTTTAGGATGAGTACTCCCAGGTGAATGTGTGTCTGTGGGTGCTGTCTGGAGCATTGGTTCCCATCTGTGGGGAAAGGGGGAAAATGTCCACTAGCCCTTAATCGCGCTGTTGGGACGGGTTGGATTTGGCGAGTCCAGGCCCATGCTGGGTGGCGGCATGCAGACGGCCACCCCTGAGGTTGCAGGAGCTGTGAGTTCTGGTGGCCAGTGGTGGCAGCCAGTGCTCTGGCACAAGGGACATTCCTAAAAGTTTAGATTTTGTGACTTGAGGGCCCTGTTGCCGTTTGACCTGGGAGGAATATGTTGTTCCTCGGAGCCTTGGCTTACCCAGCTGTAAAGTGGGGTTGCCCTTTTGGTGAAGAATGTGAATTCTGTCAGGTTGGGCCAGATAACATAGCTGTCAGGTGGCGCTCACTATTCCAAACTCTCCCAGTTCCCCTCATTTTTCACTGATTTTCACACATTAATCCAGACTGGATGTTTTCTCAGTGACTGAGGTGTTTGGTGTGGCAGCTGACTGGTTCTGTCAATGGGGAAGTTACCGAGGTCTGAGGTGGGTCACCCTGGGGCGGTGGTTGCCAACATAGGGGAGGGTTGCAGTGGCCTTTGGAGGCCTGGACCTGGGTGGAGGGCTCACTTTAGGCTAGAGGCCTTAATCTGGTGTTTCTTTTGACATACTCAGGTAGGAGTGACATTTGAAAAGAACAAAGAAAAAGAACTTTTGGGGAGCTGTGTAAAGACAGCCCTGGACAGCTCTGCCTAGCATAGGGCAAGGGCGCCGCTCTGGGTCTTCCCTTCCTCCCTGCCCCCTGCCCCGCGGCTGGGGTCGTCACCATCGCCTTCGGGATGAACAGAGTCATCTTGGTGACAGGTTGGGATGGACCTCACCTGCCTTTGGTGTCTCAGAGCTGGTGACCCTCATGGCTTAGTGGCAGCCAGGAGTCGGGGTCCTGTGACGCTCTTAGGAGCCTCTCTCCTCACTGCTTACTGTGCCCGAGCACTGCATTCACAGCAGAGGTCTATGAGTTTGAACAGAGGATGACGTTTGAAGTTCGTTACGGTTGCCCTGGTTCTTAGGGCCTGTGAGAAGCTTTGTAGGAGAGGGTGTCCCGCTTGCTTCTGTGGCAAATGGACCTGAGGCAGGCCCCGGGCGCCTGGGAAGTTGGCCTTCTCCCAGGGCAGAGAGCAGAGCCACCCTGGCTTCCAGGACTGCCCCCGGGCTCCCCGGTGTGCTGTGGAAGTTGCCCCTTAGACATCAGCACAGGGAGGCCGGGAGGCGGCGTCTGGTCAGAGCAGCACAGACCGGGCTCAGCAGAACAGACTGGTGGGCGTGTCCGCATCCCGAAATCAGAGTGGAATGGAGACAGTTCCTGTTCTACCTCCAAAGCCTTTTCTACTGTATAATGTGAGTTTTCTTCCACTTAAGGGATAAATTTGAAGAAAGCTTTTATAAATTGTTGGTTGTAAGTGAGTTGATCAAAGCATAATTAGCAGCTGTGTTTGAGGATCTTGAAGCAGAGGTGTAACAGGGCTCTGGAGAAGCTTGCCTGAGATTTGGGGTAATTTGCAGGGTTCCCGAAGTGCTTTGCTTTTCTTCTTCATGGTGCTCAGTAGGAACCTCCAAGCCCTCGATCATCCAGGAAACAGTTGCTGTTTAGGGTGTTCACCTGTGGTGCCCGGCTCAGGCAGCGTGATGGGGGCGTTTACTTAATCAGGCCTTTGATAGCAATAAAGCAGTTAAATAAAGGGGGCTTTTGGCTGCAGGCCCTTCTGTGCCGAGTGCTGTGCACCTGGGCTTCCTGGACGCTTCTGCTTCCAGGTGGGCCTGCGGTTGCTATGGCATTGTGGTGTCAGCTGCAAACACGTACACAGCTGTTCTTTCCAATTCTTGCGTGGAATAATGAAGTAGAATAAGTGCTGTCAAGTTATGTTCGAAAATGGGGTGCTTAATATTTCCATGGTTGGACCATGAAAGTTTTGAGTGAAAACTTTTGATTTTTACATATCTCAAATGAACATTTGCACCAAAGATGTACAGCTTTCGAAAAACAAAGAGATACATGTTGTCCACCATGAGGCCCCTCTCCCATTTGAGAAAGTACCTGGTGTCCGCTGTTGGTCAGTCCGCGGTGGTCCCAGGCTCTTCTCCAGGCCTGCCTTCTGCCTGGAGCAGGCCATGCTGCAGTGTGCAGGATGATGTAGTGAAGTGCCCCCAGCTTCTCCCACCGTGGGTGTCATGTTGTGGAGCAGAAGTTGTCGTTGGGAACCGCGTGTGAGGGCAGGAGAAATTGTTTGTTGGGAGCCGCATGTGGGGACAGGAGAAGTTGTCTGTTGGGGACTGTGTTTGGGGACTGGAGAGGTTGGCCCCCCGAGCCCCATTGTCTGTGGCCTGGTGTGTAGACCTGTGTCCGTCCTTCCTGAGGTCTTGCTGAGGTTGGCCCCCGAGCCCCATTGTCTGTGGCCTGGTGTGTAGACCTGTGTCCGTCCTTCCTGAGGTCTTGCTGAGGTTGGCCCCCGAGCCCCATTGTCTGTGGCCTGGTGTGTAGACCTGTGTCCGTCCTTCCTGAGGTCTTGCTGAGGTTGGCCCCCGAGCCCCATTGTCTGTGGCCTGGTGTGTAGGCCTGTGTCCGTCCTTCCTGAGGTCTTGCTGAGGTTGGCCCCCCGAGCCCCATTGTCTGTGGCCTGGTGTGTAGGCCTGTGTCCGTCCTTCCTGAGGTCTTGCTGAGGTTGGCCCCCCGAGCCCCATTGTCTGTGGCCTGGTGTGTAGACCTGTGTCCGTCCTTCCTGAGGTCTTGCTGAGGTTGGCCCCCGAGCCCCATTGTCTGTGGCCTGGTGTGTAGACCTGTGTCCGTCCTTCCTGAGGTCTTGCTGAGGTTGGCCCCCGAGCCCCATTGTCTGTGGCCTGGTGTGTAGACCTGTGTCCGTCCTTCCTGAGGTCTTGCTGAGGTTGGCCCCCCGAGCCCCATTGTCTGTGGCCTGGTGTGTAGACCTGTGTCCGTCCTTCCTGAGGTCTTGCTGAGGTTGGCCCCCCGAGCCCCATTGTCTGTGGCCTGGTGTGTAGACCTGTGTCCGTCCTTCCTGAGGTCTTGCTGAGGTTGGCCCCCGAGCCCCATTGTCTGTGGCCTGGTGTGTAGGCCTGTGTCCGTCCTTCCTGAGGTCTTGCTGAGGTTGGCCCCCCGAGCCCCATTGTCTGTGGCCTGGTGTGTAGACCTGTGTCCGTCCTTCCTGAGGTCTTGCTGAGGTTGGCCCCCGAGCCCCATTGTCTGTGGCCTGGTGTGTAGACCTGTGTCCGTCCTTCCTGAGGTCTTGCTGAGGTTGGCCCCCGAGCCCCATTGTCTGTGGCCTGGTGTGTAGGCCTGTGTCCGTCCTTCCTGAGGTCTTGCTGAGGTTGGCCCCCCGAGCCCCATTGTCTGTGGCCTGGTGTGTAGACCTGTGTCCGTCCTTCCTGAGGTCTTGCTGAGGTTGGCCCCCGAGCCCCATTGTCTGTGGCCTGGTGTGTAGACCTGTGTCCGTCCTTCCTGAGGTCTTGCTGAGGTTGGCCCCCCGAGCCCCATTGTCTGTGGCCTGGTGTGTAGGCCTGTGTCCGTCCTTCCTGAGGTCTTGCTGAGGTTGGCCCCCCGAGCCCCATTGTCTGTGGCCTGGTGTGTAGGCCTGTGTCCGTCCTTCCTGAGGTCTTGCTGAGGTTGGCCCCCCGAGCCCCATTGTCTGTGGCCTGGTGTGTAGGCCTGTGTCCGTCCTTCCTGAGGTCTTGCTGGGCCCTTTGTGTCCCCCACTGGGCATCACTGGAAAGCGCCGATGTGAGGAAGGCACACGTGGCATCTTGATCTCAAAGTTGTGAGAGGAGCGTAGCCAGGTAGGGTGGTGTTGGGGTACATGGATCTTGGAGGGACCATTTCCGAATAGTCAGGAAACCCCAGAAACAGTTTTTTCTGTCTATCAAATTTGACATTAGGTTTTAGAATGAGGGCCCTGCAGTAAGAAGGTCTGTGGCTCCCAAGGGAATTGTTTCGGGGTTGGGGTCAGAGGTCTGAGTGGACAGTGCGTGGACAAGGCAGGACACTAGGAGCCAGGGAGCTGAACCCTTCTCTGGGCGCTGGGTGTGGCCCAAGCACACCTGGGGCAGAGGCTTTGTGGGTCAGCTGGTCCACTGGGGGCTGCAGACACTGTGGGCAGAGGTGCTGCCGGTGGCAAGGTGGGCACCTTGTTCCATGGGGTCGGGGGACACAGCCTTTCATTTTCTGACTTTGCAGTAAAGTGTGTGGGACAATGACCTGTGAAAGTTTTTAAAGGAAGTTCTGTGTCTTCTGCGGAGGAGCGTGGTCTCCGTGGTGTTCATAGGAGCCACGCACGGTGCTCAGAGCATGCCCAGAACGCACAGGCCTGCCTTGCTTTGGAGCTTTGCAGAAGGTTACGAATGTCAGTGTCAGAAGCATCATGACAGGAACAAGGGTGACACGGGAAGCAGGCTCGATTGGCTTTTTTATGTAACTGTAAGTGTAAAAAATTATTAGTTACTTCAACATGATTTTTTTGATGATAAAATTAGTTTTTTTTTCATTATAGGAAGTTTGGGAAGTAAACTGTAAAGAAGAAAATACAGTCACTTGTAACGTCACCTGGCCCAGACTGCTAAAATTTCGGGGTGTCTCACTTCAGCCTGTGTCTGCTGCATATCTGCTTCTGTGTTTTTCTGTAATTACAGTTCTCCTGTGACCCAAGTCTGTGCTTTGCCTTGTCCTGTGTCTGGTGCACTTTCCCTTGGCCCTCGGTGGTCTCAGGCTCCAGCATTTGGTAACGGCCCCTGTGCCAGGGTGCTGTGCTGATGGCGACAAGTGGCCCCCTGTAGGTGAATGCCTTCATGTCTAACTGTGTGTGTGTCTGGTGGGTTGAGCATTTTCAAGGCTTTGATACATATCACCTTCCACCAGATTACACTTTTAAAACCATTGCCAGAATACGACTTTTGGGAATGGATACCATTCTAAAGGAAGAAAATCGTGTCTAGTTTTAAGTTGCATTTCTTTGAGTGAAATTAGACCTCGTTCATGTGGATGTTGGCTATTTATTCTCGCCAACTGTGCCTATTTGTATAAGCGCGTTCTTGTTTTTTTCTTTTTTTTCGAGACAGAGTCTCACTCCATCACCCAGGCTGGAGTGCAGTGGCGCAATCTCAGCTTACTGCAACCTCCGCCTCCCGGGATCAGGTGATTCTCATGCCTCAGCCTCCCGAGCAGCTGGGAATACAGGCATGTACCACCACACCCAGCTAATTGTTGTATTTTTAGTAGTGACGGGGTTTCACCTTGTTGGCCAGGTTGGTCTCGAACTCCTGACCTCAAGTGCTCCGCCTGCCTCTGCCTCCCAGAGTGCTGGGATTACAGGTGTGAGCCACTGCGCCTGGCCTGCATGAGCACATTCCGAGGGTGTGTACTGGGCCACGGGGGAAGGCTGATGAGGGTACCAGGGTTCAGCTGTGGGGGGTCCCAGGCTGACAGCCCCTGCTTTCATGGTGTGTCCGTTGTGGGGGCCAGGCAGTTAACAGGCAAACAGATCAGCAGGAATGTCTGATTGTGATTAGCACCCTTGGGTGAGAGGGGACTGCTGGGCAGGGTAGTCAGGGAAGGCTTTCCCAGGAGGCTGAGGGATGAGAAAGGGGTCAGCCACATGCAGCTGGGACCTGTATCCAGGCCAAGGAAAGAGTAGATGCAGGGGTCCCCCGTGTAGATTGTAGGGCTGCCCTCTGATAGTGTGAATTGATATTGTAGGGCTGCCTGTACACAGTGTGAATTGATTGTATCACAGGGCTGCCCCCAAGTAGTGTGAATTGGTTATATTGCAGGGCTGCCTCCAGGCAGTGTGAATTGATTTTATTGCAGGGCTGCCCCCAGGCAGTGTGAGTTGATTGTATTGCAGGGCTGCCTGCACACAGTGTGAATTGATTATATCACAGGACTGCACAGTGTGAATTGATTGTCTTGCAGGACTGCCCGCAGGCAGTGTGAATCGATCGTATTGCAGGACTGCCCGCAGGCAGCATGAATCGATCGTCTTGCAGGACCGCCCGCAGGCAGCGTGAATCGATCGTCTTGCAGGACTGCCCGCAGGCAGCGTGAATCTATTGTCTTGCAGGACTGCCCGCAGGCAGCGTGAGTCTATTGTCTTGCAGGACTGCCCGCAGGCAGCGTGAATCGATTGTATTGCAGGACTGCCCGCAGGCAGTGTGAATTGATTCCAAGTGCCTCAGTGGCTGGAAGCCATTGAGGGTTTGAAGCTGGATAGGGCATAATTTAAAGTTGTATGTTGAGGTCACTTTTGCGTCTGAGCTGTGGAATGTGGGGGTGGTTGTGGCAGGGGCCTGGGGCAGATGGTGGGGCTTAGGGAGGTGTGGATGGGCTGGAGGGAGGGGTGAAGACAAAGGCTCTTGTGGAATGAGATTGAGGTGGGCAGGCGGGGTGAGAGGGAATGTCGGTGGCTGGTGGGAGGCAGGAGCTCAGGGGAGCAGCTGGCACAGGCCAGGGTCTGGGAGTCGTGGTGTTGCTGGCTCTGATGGCCATGACGGTGTTATGAGCCTGTAGAGTAGACTAGAAGAGCCGTAGGAGGCTGCCCTGCAGGTGCCGGCACCTCCAAGGCTGGGCCAGCTTGGGAGCCAGAGAGGAGTGCCGGGAGAGGCCAGCATTCATAGGGTGCATCTGGCCAGCAGTGCTGGGAGTGGGGTGGTGAGGGTGGACACCTGGGTGCAGGAGCCTGGTGGAGGAGGTTGCAGGAAGGGTGGCCCAGAGCAAAGAGCTGTCAGCTCTTGGGGTGGAAGGACATGGCGTGGCCGTTGCTGAGAGCCTTATGTGGTGGAGTAGCATTTGTTGCAAGGTTGGCGTCTCTCCTGGCCTCCAGCGCAGCGATGGCAGAGGTAGCATGGCTGTGATGGAGGCCGCTTTGCTCTTGTGTGTGCAGTCCTCGCCTTCCTGCCGCATGTTGGCGTGCACAAATTCACAGATCTGTAGATCTCTAGAGCCAGAAAGTCCTGGAAGAGAGTCCCCTTCCACAGAGACGCTGAGGCTCACAGAGGTGACCAGCTTCTCCAAAACCCCGTGGCCCCTTAATGGAGGCTGCATGCCACAGGGCACCTGTCACTCCTTCAGGCCGCCTCCTTCATGCTTGTGCTGCTGAGAGAGACTGGAAATGGTTCAGCTTGGAGCAAACTTACAACTTAAAACCACTAAAGCACAGGGGCTTTCAAAGAGAAAATCCACAGAAGGGAATATCCTGAGTGCATGGTGAGGGGCTGTTGCACTGGGGTGGGTCTGTGTGGCGCGTGGCCTCACCCGACGATCCTACTGGGTCCTGTGGGCCCTCCAGTGCTTGGGCTCCCCCCAGCTGGTGGCTGTCTGCTAGGTCTGGGCCACCTCATCTGCCTGGGGAGGCTCATCTCCGTCAGTCCCTGCAGTCCTGCGGCTGCAAGGGCTTCAAGTGGCCAAGAGGCACTCCTGGTCTTAAGGCCCTTGCTCAGAAGTGATGCAGGCCTCTCCCTAGTTTCAGCCGAGAAGACTTGGTCATTGTCTGTGTCTGTCTGCACAGAGTGCTGGGTGGTTCGGCTTGTGCCTGGGGGCAGGGTGGGATACGGGTGGACAGCCAGCAGGCCTCAGACCGTGCTTGGCCTTGGTGGGCCAGGGGGATGAGTTTGGTTGGTTGGTCAACAAACGTTCACTCGGCAGTAGCTCAGGTGAGACCTTGTGGATCTGGCAGCTTGCTGGCGGAGTTGCTTGGGGAGTGCTGCAGGTCGGCGTGGACGGGCGGAGGTGAGGTGCACGGATGCCGCTTCTCAGCATAAACGTCGCTCGTGGCTCCCTTCTCCAGAGTACCTTCTCAAGGTGGGCATCTTCTCTGTTCAGATGTGGGTGCCCCAGTGTTTCCCTGCCGCTCCTGCCTGACCGGGCACTTAATGGAGCTGCTTAGTGACGGATCCAGAGCGGCAGAGAGCTGGGCCGGGAGCTCGTCACAGGGCAGTGCGAGGGCGGTCCTGGTCCTCCGGCTCCCGCGGCCTCATGGGCTCCTGGTTTCAGGATGGTGCTTGCACTCAGGGCCGCCGTGGCTCTCCCTTCGCCCCACCATCGATTAGACGCAGAGCTCTGAGAGTTGGGAAAGCACGGACTGGGCGTCTTGGAGGCTGTGATTCTGGACAGGTGATAGGGCCACCCTCTTCCACTTTCGGGTGCTCTGTGGGCCAGACGCAGCTCTGCCTGGGCCCGAAGGCTGGGCTTGGGGATGGCATCTCCTCAGTGCCTTGGAGGTTGTGGGCGTGCCACCAGAGTTCCTGTGTGGGAAGGGCTGCCACCTGCCTTGGGTCACATGGTTCCAGCCCTGGAGACCTGGTGTTGTGGGGGGTGGCGGAAGGGACCTGATGTCATGGGGTATGGTGTGAAGGAAATGGCGTTTTGTGGGGTGGTGTGAGGGACCTGATGGTACGAGTGGCAGCGTGAGGGACCTGGGGTGTGGGGGATGGCCTGAGGGACCTGGGATATGGGGGATGGCGCGAGGGATCTGGTACTGTGGGGGTGGGGTGGTGTGAGGGACCTGGTGTTGTGGGGGTGGCTTGAGGGACCCGGGGTGTGGGGTGTGGGGGGCGGTGTGAGGGACCTGGGGTGTGGGGGGTGGCGCGAGGCACCTGGAGCGTGAGCCTGCAGTTCACATAGGGGTGCAATGTGGGGACGGTGGTGTTCAAGCCATGGGACACTTGCCCATCTGTTGTGGGGGAGGTGACAAGATCCCAGCCCAGACACCTGGGCGGGGACATTCTAGTGATGCAGGGGAGGCAGTGACCCACAGGGCACACACGGGCTGGGGCTGGGGTGTGGAGCTGGTGCGGGGCAGGGCACCCTGGGGTTTGTCGATCTCAGCTGACTGGAGGCGGCTGGTTCCAGATGGCAGTGCTGGGGGTCAGGTTCAGGAGGAGATGGAGAAGTAGGTCACTGACTGTGGTGAGGGGGTCAAAGGACAGTTTCTTTGTTTTTTCCTGTTTGTATTTTAAGGAGAGATCTTGGAGCCATGCTCAATAGCGGAAACAAAGTGCGCCCCATTTGGATTCGTGCTTCGGGTCGGTGGGAGTTAGGCTGGATGAGGATGGGTGGGGCGGGAGGGGGAGGTTGAGCCTTTGACATGCTTCATGTCAGCCACTTCATCCAGGCCACTGTCATTTAGCCTGCACCCCGCTACTGCACCCCACTTGGAGCTGGTTGGCCTGGGCACGTCTGCGGTGCTCGGTGGCCATGCTGTGCTGCGGGGATGCAGGGAGTCCACGGTGCAGGACGCAGAAGGGGAAGGTGGCCTTCCTGTCATCTCTCTTCCTTGTGGTTGTGGAGGTGACATGGCCCTGCAGGGGTTTGGTCGTGTGTCTGCAGGCCCTAGAGCCTGGTGGGAGGCGGCAACCTTGGTTTGTCCAGGAAGGGGTGGCAGATATCCAGAATGGAGCATGTCCTGTGGGTGCAGGTTCCTCACGGGTGGATCTGTTTGTCATCACTGCATCCCTGCTACCCGGGACGCCCCTGAGGTATTGATGGCCTGGCCAGTGATGGCTGCAGGAGGCTTGGCAGGGGCAGCGTTGAGGGCCACAGGCCACCTGCCATGAGGTTCTGAAGTGGTGCCATGGCAGGGGCCAGGCCCCTCAGAGGAGGGACTGTGGGGACTGAGGGACTGTCTTGATGGCTGTGGGGGTCACCGAGCGGATGGGGAGGGAGGGTGGCCTCTGTGGATCAGGGCTCTTGGTGGTGGGAAAACAGGTCTGGGACAGGCCCAGCCCTGTGTCCTATGGCGGTGAGAGGGGTGGGAGTGAACGGTGGATGGGACTCATGCTGCAGGGCCGAGATGACGAAGTTCCCTCTGCACGTGCAGCCTGGGGAGGGCAGTCCCAGGGCCCTGTGGGGAGGGAGCATTGCTGGGTGGCTCCCTGCCTGACAGGAGTATCGTGTGAGAGGAGGCCTGAGAGTAGCCAGGCCGGGCGGTGACGCCCTGTGATTGCTTCAGGCACAGTGGGCCCAGAACCCCCGGTGTCCCACGTCAAGAGCTGAGCACCCTGGGTGTCTGGCCAGTGGGCAGGAAGGGGCCTCTGTGACTGGCTGGGGCGCAGGCCGGGGCCTCGCTGGAACCCTCCCAAGGCTGCCGGTCCCACAGGGGACTTGGTCCCTTCTTGCTCCTCAGCCCCAGCGCCTGCGGGGCTGCCCTGCACCCTGCCTTCCACTTGACACTGGGGGCCATGGGCTGAGGTTCATTTTGGACGTGATTTCCATGGTGATTTCCTCCCTTTCTGAACCTCCTTGTAACTTTTCGAGAGTGTGCTGTTGACTTCAGATGCTTCCCCTGTGAGGGGTGAAAATGTTTTCTTCCCAGCTCTGAGCTGCTCTGTGGGAGGGGCCCTGCCTGGGGTCTCCACTGATTCCCCAGTGCCCAGGGCAGCGTGGGTAGTGGCAGAAAGGGGCCTTGCTGGGTGGGTGCAGGAGGAAGCAGCGCTGGGCATGCCTTGTTCTGGGGGGCCAGGTGTGGGGGTTCTGATCTCTTGGGGCCAATGTGTGTGTGTTTCCTCGGCAGAGGTCCTTTCTGCCGTGACTTCTTCCTTCTGCCTGGAGCCTGGCAGGTGGCTCTGGGTGATGCCTAGATGCCCGTCCTATCAGCAGCAGGGGTGTGCCCTCCCGGGCGGGCCTCTGCTGTTCCGGAGCCCTGTGGCTCTCATGGAGCCTGCACTGGGTTTATTGAACTCTCTTGTCCTTCTCTTCTCTTTTTATTGGGGCTTTGACCATTTAAATTCCTTTACTCTTGTTTTGGTGGGTCTTGCTGGGGAGGGGTGGGGGAGAGAGGAGACTGTGCTGCCAGCACCCCGGGCTGCTCTCAGCGGGTGGGGGCACCTGTCTGGAATCTCCATGTACAAGCACAAGCAGGCATTGTGGCGTTTTGGGAAGAGTCGTCAGAAGTTGCCTCCTATGGGGCAGAGGTGCCAGGAGGAGACTCTTGCTGTGCCCAGGTCCAGACTGGCAGGAGAAGGGAGCGGTGAGTGATGGGACATGGAGTGGTCCATGGGGAGCAGAGCCAGGCCGGGACCCTGGAGGGGAGGATGATGAGAGGCCGAGGATAGGTCATGTGGGGGAGGAGCCCTTCCTTCTGCTGCTGTGCCCTGGTCGCTGCTGTGCAGAACCTTCTGGTCTGCAGTGTCCTCTGGGGGCTCTGGGTGTTACCTGTTTTGACTGTTGTGGCCTCATCTTCATGGAAGGTTGTAGAAAAACAGTTTGTCAGGTGTCCTCCGTGAGTACTTACAACTCCAGCGTGTGACAGTAGGCGTTGGGTGAAGATGGGGTGAGCGGGTGAGGCTGACTCCCTGCCTTGGGGACAGGCTGCTCCGTGGGGCTGCTGTGTGCTCCGTGACAGGTTGGGTTTCTGCAGCAGGTCTGAAGCAGTCACTTTGCTCCAAGCATCTTGAGTGCCGTCGTCTCTGGCACCGTGTTTAGTCTTTGTGACGATGGTGTCGTGAAACCTGCCTAGGGACGAGACACTGAGGCTCGCATTTCTATGAACTGCTCAAGGCCACGTGACTGGTGGGGCCTGGGGCTAGAAACCCGGGCTCTGGAACCTCTGCCCGGGCCCTGCCTCCCTCTGGAGTGACCCTGGTGGCAGCTGTGGACTGCTGGGGAGTTGGGAGTTGGGCTGGGGTGCACGGTGGATGAGGGGCAGGGTGCGGGGCTGGGGCAGGCAGGGATCTGGGCCGTGGTGCTTCTCTGCAGGTGTGAGTATGGGTGTGACTCAGGTAGATGAGACCCAGGACGATGTGGAGAGCAGGGCCTTCCTCTGCAGGCAGTGGGGACCCCTGAAGGCTGTGGAGTGGAAGAGCCAGAAGGTCTGGCCTGGGTTCTAGATGTTGGTCCTGATGACACACTGGAGACAGAATCAGAAAGAGGGCGGTGGTCACTGAGCAGGGGACGCAGAAGTGGGCCTGTGTGTTGTGGCTGCTGGATGCTGGCTGGTGCCAGGCACTGTGTGCGCCTCCCATGCTCACCACTGCCCTGCAGGGCACATGTTTGGGATCCACTTCCTGGACAGGTCACAGACACTCGCACAGAAGCTCAGCCTGGGAACCCCGCTTGCAGGGTCTCGGCACATCCTGATGGTGGGGATAGTGGGGGCAGATGTGGAAGGCGGGCGTGGGCACTGCTGCACCTGGAGAACCAGCAGCCATGATGGGGCTGGTGGGTGGTGCCAGTGGAGGCACAGTGCAGATGCTGCAGCTTGGAGTTGGGGGACGGAGCCTGGTGACCGAGGTGGTCATGCGGGGAGAGGACTGGGGGAGGGGGGATGGAGCCCAGTGACCGAGGTGGGCATGTGGGGAGAGGGCCCAGGGGGGGATGGAGCCCGGTGACCGAGGTGGGCATGCAGGGAGAGGGCCGCGGGACGATGGAGCTTGGTGACCAACGTGGGCATGCAGGGAGAGGGCTGGGGGGAATGGAGCCCGGTGACCGAGGTGGGCATGTGGGGAGAGGGCTGGGGTGGGGGTGTACGGAGCTTGGGGTGTACGGAGCTTGGTGACTGAGGTGGGCATGCGGGGAGAGGGCTGCAGGAGGATGGAGCCTGGTGACCAAGGTGGGCATGTGGGGAGAGGACCAGGGGGCATGGAGCCCAGGGACCGAGGTGGGCACGCCAGGAGAGGGCCCTGGGGGGATGGTGCCTGGTCACAAGGTGGGCATACAGGGAGAGGGCCTGTGGGGATGGAGCCTGGTGACGGAGGTGGGCACGTGGGGAGACGATCCTGCTTAACAGAGGTGTGGCCCCACACGAGGACCCTGGAAGTGCAGTGGGTTTGTGTTGCATGAGAGTGGGAGCACCTCTGTTAGGGGAAGAGCAGGGTCCACCCTGGGGA
Source organism: Homo sapiens (assembly GCF_000001405.40). NCBI lineage: Eukaryota > Metazoa > Chordata > Mammalia > Primates > Hominidae > Homo > Homo sapiens. The sequence goes on along the minus strand of NC_000020.11, from coordinate 62,048,468 downwards.
CAGGAGGGAGGGGCTAGCTAGGACCTGCTGGCCAGCTGGAGTCAGGGAGATTCCAGCCAGGCCTTGCAGGTGGCCCTGTCTGTGGTTGTCCTCACTGCTCTGCACTCGGGATGCCCAGCTGAGCAAATCACTTGACAACTCCCATCCTTTCCTAGGTGTGTCCAGGAGGAGCTAGTACAGGGCTGGGCTGCCTCTTGGTTTTTAGAAAAGCATTTGTGGTACAACAGAACTCCCAGAGGCAGCCCCCTTTCTCATCTGGGACTTGGGCAGGCACGCGCCAGCCTGCCCTGTGTGGGAAGGTGCTAGGTATGTCGCAGCCACAGGGAATTGACTCGGCATTGAGCCCCAGGGCTTCAGGGATTTTCAGAGGTGACTTTGAGACTTGATTTCTTCTACACACCCTTCCCCGTATTGTGACTCTGGGTGGGGGACCAGGCATCTTGATGAGGGGGTGGTCCAGTGAGGGTTTGGGTGCTGGGGAGCTAGGTCTGGGATGGCCCTGATGTGGGGCGGTCCCGGGGCAGGGTTGCCGGTGTCAGGCAGCGCCCGTGTTTGAACATCTCGGCGAGGAATCCCGGGTGCTGGTGTTTATAAAAATAGACCTGCGGCTTCCATGGCTGTGTCCTTTTTGGTATGATTGACATTGGATAGCGTGCGTTTGTATTCTGCCGTGTTCCTGTGATGGGAGCCAGGGGCGACTCTTCTCATGGCGAAGTCTGGTTGGTGCTGAAGCATGTTGCATCACCTGGGCTTGACGGTGCGCTCTGCGCTCACGGCAGAGGCAGAGGCTGCAGCATCTTCCGCCACCGTTTCCATCTCTTTTTATGCTATTTCCAGTGTGATGGTGCCTCTAGCGCTGTCCTGAGTGTGGCCTGTTGTGCATGTGATGGGGTCTTCACTTGCCTGTGGACTTACTCTTCTCAGCGCCCCTTTCTTGTGCGGGGGTGGGGAGGGTCTCGCTGTAGAGGGAAGAGGGTAGAGCAGGTGCCCTGAGACTGTGTGATCTCTTCCTTCTAAAGGAGCTCACGAATATTCATCAGCTTTAAGAGAAGTCCATGCTCTGAGTGCCTCGTTAACCAGACCTTGGTGTGACTCTCTCAGAAAAAAAGAATGTTTCTAGAAGGTCAGTGTTTCAGGGGTGTCAGTGCAGGCTGGTGGTGTGACCTCTCGGGGTAAGGAGGGAGCCTGGTCAGCTTTGGGATTGCAGTGGTAGCTACCATAGCCCCATGCTAGTAAGAGTGTGTCCCGCTCATAGTGACACTGAAGTTGTCCTTCTGAAAAGAGAGTAATTGTCGAAGAATAGATGAGTAAAATACAGTGATGGTCTTTATGACTGTGGCTGGAGAAAGATTTCCTAGGATACAAGTAGCATGAACTAATAGGGCAGAAAGTCGATACATAGGACTTCAAAATTAAAGGAAAACTTTTGCTGGTTGACAGACGTTGTTAAGACAATGAAAAGGCAAGCCGTCGACTTGGAGAAAATATTTATATCTAACAAAGAACTGGTGTCCAGAGTACGTAAAGAACTCTCACGACTAAATAACAAGACGACAAACAACGGTTAAAAATGGGCAGAAGGTTTGAATAGACCCAAAAGAAGGTACACAAATGGCTAGCAGGTGTACGAAAAGGTGCTCACATAGTTAGACTCCAGGACATGAAACCCCAGTGGGATGCTGCGGCTGATAACACACCCACCTAAAAACAGCTGGAGTTAAACTGACAGCCATCCCGTGTGTCGGTGGGTGTGGAGGTCCTGGGACCCTCAACGCTGACAGTTAGGAGAAGCGTAAAAAGTTAAGTACTGATTGACCGTGTGCGGCAGCCCCACCCAGGATATTTGGAAAGAACCGAAGTGTCCATCCTGCCATGAGTGGTGACAGGTGATGTGATAGATCCGTATGGTGAGATGCTGCTCAGCTCCACGCAGGAGCGGATCACGACACATGCAGCAATACAGTGAATCTACAAAATTCCCCAGCAGGTGCAAGAAGCCGGGAGGGAAAGACCGCCTATCGCACAATTTCATTTGTATGAAATTCTAGAAAAAGCTAAGCTGGAACAGTTGTGGTTGCCTGGATTGAGGGTGACGTAGTGTGGCATTAGGACATGTTTTAAGCGAATAGAAACGTTTTAAATCTTGATTGTGGTAGTGGTTACACAACTGTATACATTTGCCCAAACTTTTCAAATTGCACACTTAAAATAGGTGGATTTTGTTTTATGTAAACTGTATTTCAGTAAAGCCGTACCAAGTCCCTGGGGCCATGTTCCTTCCTGTTGCCTGTAGCGTGGTGTTTCGGGGAAGGAAAGGCAGTTATGGCTGTGGTTGTCATTTGTGTCTCATTTGTTGGCACAGAATCCCAATCCCAATGTCTGCCGTCTGCTGCACGGGGGCACCGCAGAGCGAGGGCTTTCAGCGGCCTGGCGGGAAACAGCCTAGTTAACTGCCTCTTAAATCTGATGCTGGCTGTGGAACTTTGCATTTCTTTAGGAGAGAATCAGTATTTGGAAGTGTTTGCGTGAGAGAAGGAAAATTTGTTCGTTATAGTTGTGAAAAAGAGGTTACTGCTATTCCTGCAGAGGACACAAATGAGGAGCTGTGTGTTTGGGACCTGTCTGTACCCCGAGCGTCAGTTCTGTCTTCCCTTCGTCCAAGCAGGAGCGTCTGCTCTGGATTAGACGAGAAAGAGTTTTCATGCCCGCCTGCTCTTTCGCCACAGATCTGTTGCGCTCTCCTCAGCGTTCACCCTTTCCAGGAGCAGGTGTGTGGCAATAGCTTATGTAGCCTTACACTCACAAACAAGGCAGTTTTCTGGCTTTTAAATAGTTATTTTCTTTCTGAGTAGTACGTACTCATCCTAGAAAATTTGATAAAGGCAAAAAAGTATGGAAAAGAAACGCATGCTAGTCTGTATTCCTGTCACCAAGGGAGAACTGTAGAACCGAGACCACGGGTGTGTGGCTCAGGCAGCATCGCTGGTTCATCCCACAGCACTCACGGAGTGCTTGCACGTGCAGGGATTCTGCGCCTGTTCTCTGAAGCTTAAACCCAAACAGGCGCGCTGTTGAAAGTTTCACCGCCATCGTCTCCACCAAGCACCTGAAGCGAGTCAAGGGTAGAGAGGAGCGGGCAGGCACGGCAGGCAGGGCTTTCCCAGGAAGGGCAGGGAAGAACATTCCAGACCTTGTGTGGCCGGTGGGGAGGGTGCATGGGCCAGGAGGTGCGGGACGGTTGTCCCTGTGACAGTCCTGAGCGGGGAGCATCCCGATGGGATTCCGTTTGAGCGGCATGGCTTTGCGAGTTCTCTTCCTGCAGTGTGGCTAGACTGTCTCTCCCTACCTGAGGTTATTTACCTACTCACCTGTGTTTTCATGTCGGCGTTGTGAGTTTTCTTTTCCTTGTAGTCACTAATCTGTCCAGGATTAATTTTCATGTGTCACTCAAGGTGGCCTCTTTTCTCCCCCTGGGCTGAGTGGCTTGTCCATTGCCATGTCGGACTGCTCCCTGTGCCCATGGGTCTCCTCCTGGCCTTCGCTCCATCCTGTTTGGTGCCTCTGGTGCAAGACATCAGCCTCATCCTGTATTTCCTGTCCCAGGCCTGTCTCTTCCCGGAGGAGCCTTGGAATGGCATTTAGAGGAAAATGACTCTCGAGCAGTTTCGGCAGCGCTGGGGGTGCTGGTCATGCTGGTCACATTTTTAACACAGCACATTCTCCCCCTCCTGTAAATTCTGTGAAATTGTATTTTTATCTCTTCTCTTGCACAGAAAAGCTTAGATCCTAGTAACATAAACATATTTACTTACTTGGCTTCTGCTACCCTATACTTAAACACAGATTCAGAATTACAACAATAACATGAGAGTAAAGTTTAAGGTTTCTTTGCACTCTTTGTCTTTAGAATTTATTCTTTAAGGATGTTAGATCAGTACTGTGTTCAAAACTCCACTGAAATGATCCTTTTTTGTGTTGGTTATGTTACCAATTTGATACACAATTTAGTTATGTTTTGGTTTGTTTTCAATTTTACTTTTTTTGTTTCATTTTGTATTTTGAGGGTATAAAACATTTATGTGGTTCAAAATACACATACTCGCATGCATACACACATATATTCTTTTTCTCCTATTATAACTAATGTAGCATATACGCTAATTTTTACCTTGACATTTTTTCTTAATATAATCTGGAGATCATCTCTGGTAGCATTTTATTTTAATTGAAAAACTTGAAGTTTTATGTGTAGTACACTCAGGAAATTACTCTGAATAGTGATGCTTTTCTGCATAATTCAAGCACTAAAACTTAAAAAAAATAATTTTGGAAGGAAATAGTTTAAAAAATACATATATTTTTCTCTGCCAAGGCAAAAAGCATATAATAAGCACAAGTTAGCTCTGCCTGGGAATATTGGGCTGGAGACAGGGGAGGCTCAGTCTTAAGGGAAGGCCAGGCAGGGTGGTCTTTGCATTGGTGGGAGGCTGAAGCCTGGGTTAGCTAACGGGCCCTGCCTCTGTGTCTTCCCGTCCAGCCTGCAGTGGGCTTAGAAATACTTCCTGGAATTATGTGTAAACCAGGTACAGTCGCGCGCCACTTAGTGATGGGGATACATTCTAGAAACGCATCATTAGGCAATGTCATCGTTGTGCGAGCATCGTGGAATATACTAACACAAACCTGGATGGCACAGCCTGCTACACTCTTAGGCTGTGTGGTGCGGCCCCTGGCTCCTGGGCTGTAAACCTGCATGGCTTGTGACGTGTACAGTTGTAACACGATAGTGAGTTTGTGTATCTAAACATAGAAAAGGTACAGTAAAACTAGGGGATAAAAGATGAAAAATGGTGCATCTGTGTAGGGCACTCACCATGAATGGCGCTTGCAGGACTGGGTGTTGCTCTGCGGGAGTCTGAGAGGCCTGGGACATGACTGTGCTGCTGTAGGCTCTGGGGCACTCTATGCTTAGGGTATGCTTAGGGACTATGGAATTTATAAAAACACAGTTTTCTTTCTTCAGTAATAACCTTGACTTACTATAACTTTATAAACTTAACTTTTTCAAACTTTTTGACTCTTTTGTAGTAACACTTAGCTTAAAACACAAACACATTATACAGCTGTGCAAAAAAATACTTTCTTTGTATCCTTATTCTGTAAGCTCTGTCACCCAGGCTGGAGTGCAGTGACGCAATCATGGCTTACTGCAGCCTTGACCTCCTGGGCTCAGGAGATCCTCCCACCTCAGGCTCCCGGATAGCTGGAACTACAGGCAGGCGTGGCCACCATGCCGGGCTAATTTTTGTATTTTTTTGTAGGTTTCACCGTGTTGCCCAGACTGGTCTTGGACTCCTGGGCTCTAGCGATCTGCCTGTCTTAGCCTCCAGAAATGCTGGGTTTACAGACGTGTGCCACCACGCCCAGCGAGCTTTTTTCCATTTTTAAAATTATTTATTACTTTTTAAACTTACTTGTTAGAAACAAGACACAAGCACACGTTAGCCTAGGCCTACAGAGTCAGGATCATCCACATCACTGCCCTCCACCTCCAAGTCCCGTCTCCCTGCAGTCTTCAGGGGCAGTAACACACATGGAGCCGTCATCCCTATGATATCAGTACCTTCTTCTGGACTCTTCCTGAAGGACCTGCCTGAGGCTGCTTTACAGTTAACTGTAAGTTTTAATAAGTAGATGCAGTATATTTCTGAAACAGTGATGGGAAGTAGAATGTAGTGAATATGTAAACCAGTAACATTGTTGCTAATTATCATTGAAACAGGAGAGTTCCCTGACCCGCTCTGGGTACTTGCAACAGGGGCTGTGGCTCATTTGCTGGAAGGGGAGCGTGCAGGGGAGCGTGCAGACGGGCAGGTGCAGGAGCCCGGGTGAGCCCTTTTGGGCTCCCGCCCCACAGTAGCACCTAGGGGTAGATTACAATGAATGCTCTTTTAGCAGTTGCCATTCTCAGATGGCTAAGTGTTAACCAGCTCAGCAGAGAGTCAGGCGACAGCCTTTTTCCCCCTGCCCTCTCGGTACCCGAGTCCTTGTGCGGTGTCCAGGAAGAATCAGGTCACACGGACTTGAAGGATGGCATTTGTGGGGATTTTATTGAGTGATGGAGGTGGCCTTCAGTGAGATGGATGAGCTGGCAAGGGGATGGAGTGAGAAGATGATCTTCCTCTGGAGTTCAGCCGTCCCGCAGCCGATCTCCTCCTGGACGGTGCCCAGCCAAACCCCTCTCGACATTCAGACGCTCCTTCTCTTTTCTCCTTCTCTGCTGCGCCACTTTGCTCTCGTCAGTGGAGCTTGGGGTTTATATGGGCACCAGATAGGGGCGTGGCAGGCCAGATTAGTCTTGGAAAAGGCAACATTTGGGCGCGGAAACAGGAATGCCTGTTCCCATTTAGGGCTGCAGGTGTCCAGGCTTGAGGGTGGGGCCTTTGCTGGGAAATTGCCCTCTTCTACCCAGTATTTCCTTGCCTCCTGTCTGTATCATTAGCCAGTATTCTGTATGCTACAGAATTGTATGTGGGAGGGTTTTTTTTTTTTAGGAGATAGGGCCTCACTCTGTCACTCAGGCTGGAGTGCAGTGGTGCCTTGAACTCCTGGGCTCATGTGATCCTCCTGCCTTGGCCTCCCCTAAGTAGCTGCAACTACAGCCACTGTGCCTGGCTGATGTTTCAATTTTTTTTTTTTTTAGAGAGAAGGGCTCTTGCTTTGTTGCCCAGGCTGGTCTTAAACTCCTGGCCTGAGGCAGTCTTCCCATCTCACCCGCTCAAAGTGGTGAGCTACTGCACCTGGTCAGTGTGCCATACTTTTCTTTTTTCTTTTTTTTTTGAGATGGATTCTCGCTCTGTTGCCCAGGCTGGAGTGCAGTGGCGCAATTTCGGCTCACTGCAACCTCTGCCTCCCGGGTTCAAGCAATTCTCCTGTCTCAGCCTCCCAAGTAGCTGGGACTGCAGGCGTATGCTACCACGCCTGGCTGATTTTTTGTATTTTTAGTAGAGATGGGGTTTCACCCTGTTAGCCAGGATGGTCTTGATGGGACCAGCGTCATGTATGCCGTCTGTTATTGCCAGGAGCATCATGATGTGAGGCGTGGCTGTACGTGGAGGCTGACAGTTTGAGGGTAGGGGCTCTCCTTTAAATAGAGGTTAACATGCATAAAAATTCTTGGAGGGGACATAATTTATATACAATAAAATGTCCCCCTTGTAAGTGCACAGATTGAGGATGTCTACCCCCATTTCGTTCAGCCCCCCAGAGGGTCTGCTTGTGCCCTCTGCTGTCGGCCCACAGCCCTGGACGGGAAGGTGTTCTCTGGGCCGCCTCTCGCCGTCGGTGTGGATCTGTCCTTTGGAGCGCTCAGGTCGCTGAAACCCCAGTTGTGTGCTCCCTGGTGTCCGGCTTCCTACTCAGAGTACTTGGAGGGGCATCGTGTGCAACACGTGTCCACAGTTTGTTATTTTTATGGGGAATGGTTTCTGTTTGGATGTACGCTATACATTTGCCAGCTGAGGAGTCTGGCATGTTTCCAGTTTTTGGCTATTACGAATAAAGCTTCTTTTTGAACATTTGTGTTCAAGCCTTTGTGCGAACATACGTGTAGACGTCCTTTTCTTTTGGGTAAATGTTAGGAGTGGAATCGCTGAGTCGTACGGAAGGTGTGAGTTTGGTCTTGTCAGAAACTGCCAGGCTGTGTTCCTGAGCGGCTCTGCGAATTTAGTTTCATCCGCGGGCTCAGTGCTGCTGCCGTGAGATCTTGCTGGCTCTTGGCGTGGCCAGGCTTTTCTGTTTTGCCTATTCTAGTGGGCATGCAGTGTTAGCACATACTACTTTTTAAATCTCCGTTTATGGAGGCGTAGTTGGCGCGTGGCAGAGCGCACCTTTCTCAGCCTGTAGGTCTGTGAGTTTTAACGATAGTCACGTCACCACCACCGTCGAGTACAGGATCGGAATCATTCTGTAGCCTCGTGCCCCTGGGGGTGAGCCCCTGCTCCAGCTTCCTCCCCGGCAGCCACTGAGCTGCTGCTGTCACTGTGATTTTGCCTCTTCTAGAATTTTGTATAAATGAGATTATGTAGTGGGAGCCTCACATCTGGCCCTTTCCCTTGGCGGGATACTTCTGCGTGGTGCCCAAGTGGTGTGTCGTGTGCGTGCCAGTAGCTGGTTCCTTTGCGTTGCTGAGCAGCATCCTGGTGTGCGGCTGGACCGCAGGTGATCTGGTTACCAGTTGATGGGTATTTGGGTTGTTTCTAGCTTTTGATTATTATGAGCAATGCTTCTATGAATGTTTCCTATAAATCTTTATATGAACATAAGTTTTTCTTTGTCTTGGGTAGATAACTAGGGGTGGGATTGCTGAATATGGCAAATGAATATTAATTTCTGAAGGAACTCCAAAGTGGCTGTCCTGTTTTGCATTGTGTCTCACCAGCAGCGCATAAAGGTTGACATCCTTGCGGAAAGCTGGTATGGTCAGTCTTGAATTTTAGCCTTTTCGATGGGTGCCGTGCCATTATGTTGTGGCTTTGATTTGCATTTCCCTAGTGACTAATGCTGAGCGTCTTTCCACCAGCTTATTTGCTCATTTGCCTATCTTCTTTCGGGAGGTGTCTTTTCAAATCTTTTGTCTGTGTGTTTTAAATTGGGTTGTTAGTTTTGTCATTATTGATTTAGTAAGAGTTTAAAATGTATTTTCTAGATGTAAGTAATTTATCAGATAGAATTGTTCTGTAACTATTTTCTTGGTCTGTGTTTGCCTTTTCTTTTAGCTGCATGCGTTTTAAAGTGCAAGTTTTCAATTTTAAGGAAGCCCAATGTATCATTTTAAGAATTCATTTTGTGCCTTCTTAAATAAATCCAGTGTATCATTTTAAGAATTCGTCCTGTGCCTTCTTAAATAAATCCAGTGAGTCATTTTAAGAATTCATCTTGTGCCTTCTTAAATAAATTTTTGCCTAACCCAAGGTACAGGAGTTTTCTAGAATGCTTATGGCTTTAGCTCTTACTCAACCCAATTCAAGTTAATTTTGGGAGAGTTGTAAGGTAGGGGGTTGAGACTCATTTTTTCTGTGGTTACCAATCATGCCAGCCTTATGTGTTGAGGAGACCTTCCTTTCTCTATTGAACGATGCTGCTGCCTTTATTGAAACTCAGTCGGCCACGTGTGAGGACGTCACTTCTGGGATGTGTTCTGTCCACTCATGTCCTTGTCTTCCCTTCTGCAGCTCAGCACTTTCCAGCCCATTTAGAGGGAGTGTTGATGGGTGGCAGGAGTCCTCCAGTGCTGCTTTTTCGAAAACGTTGAGGGCTGTTCTGGTCGTTTGCATTCATGTGTTTCAGAATCAGTTCGTCAACTTCTACAAAAAAAGCCTCTTGATACCTTGATAGCTTTTTGTTTGTTTTGAGACGGAATTTTTCACTCTTTCACATCTTTTCCTGGAGTGCAGTGGCACGATCTTGGCTCACTGCAAGCTCCGACTCCCGGGTTCAAGTGAGTCTCCTGCCTCAGCCTCCCGAGTAGCTGGGATTACAGGCACGTGCCACCACACCCGGCTAATTTTTGTATTTTTAGTAGAGATAGGGTTTTGCCGTGTTGGCCAGGCTGGTCTTGAATTCCTGACCTCAGGTGATCCGCCTGCCTCAGCCTCTCAAAGTGCTGGGATTACAGGTGTGAGCCACTGGGCCTGGCCAATACCTTGATATCTTGCTTGGGATTGTATTGAGTCTATAGATCGGTTTTATGATCATTGATATCTTAGCAATATCGAGTGTTCTGATTCACGAACGTGTTGTACCTCTTCATTGATTTAGGCCTTTCAGGATTTTTCTCAGGGTTGTTTCAAGTTCTCAGTGTTTGTATCCTGAACATACTTTGTTAAATTTATTCTTAAGTATTCATATTTTATGCCATGTACGTGGTCCTTTAAAAAATTTTGTTTCCAATTGTTGCCAGTATTTAGAAAAACAATTGCTTTTGGCCGGGCGCGGTGGGTCAGTGGCTCGGTGGCTCAGTGGCTCATACCTGTAATCCTAGCACTTTGGGAGGCTGAGGCGGGCGGATCATGAGGTCAGGAGATTGAGACCATCCTGGCTAACACTGTGAAACCCTGTCTCTACTAAAAATACAAAAAATTAGCTGGGCATGGTGGCACACGCCTGTAGTCCCAGCACTTTGGGAGGCCGAAGCTGGTGGATCACGAGGTCAGGAGATCGACACCATCCTGGCTAACACTGTGAAACCCTGTCTCTAGTAAAAATACAAAAAATTAGCCGGGCGTAGTGGTGGGCTCCTGTAGTCCCAGCCACCTGGAGGCTGAGGCAGGAGAATGGCATGAACCTGGGAGGCGGAGCTTGCTGTGAGCCGAGATCGCGCCACTGCACTCCAGCCTGGGCGACAGAGTGAGACTCCGTCTCAAAAAACCAAAAAAAAAACAACAAAAAAATTGCTTTTAAAAATAGTGACTTTATAGCTCTTCCCCAAGCGGCCTGAGATGATCTGTGAAAATGGTTCATTAGTCACTTGACCCAGAAATCCCCACAAAATCGTGCAAATCCAGAGGTTCAGGTCTTCTTGATCACTTTAAGAACGCTCGTGAAACTGCCCAGGCCATCAAGGGTATGCATACGTGAGAAGTCACCAAGTGTCTGAAAGACGTCCCTTTATAGAAACAGTGTATGCCATTCCGACTTGGCAGGGGTGGAGCTGGCAGGTGTACCTAGGCCAAACAGTGGGGCTGGACACAGGGTTGGTGACCCGAAAAGAGCGCTGAATTTTTGCTGCACACAATTAAAAATGTGGAGAGTCACACTGAATGTGAGGGTGTAGATGTAGGCTCTCTGGTGTTTGAGCACCCAGGATGCGCTGTGGGACTTCCAGGGCTGGTGGTCGGGTTCATCCATACAGGGCGCCCCGTCACATTGAGACGATCCTCACGGTAAAGACACTTGTTCCCAAGCCAGGTGAGGAAGTTGCACAGAGGAAAACTGTACCAGAAGAAACTGAAGAAACAAAAACTTGTGGCATGGGAATAAACTCAGCATACAATAAATGCAATTAAAATAAAAAAAATTGACTTTATATCCTGTGGATTTCTTAGGATTTTCTTCAAAGATAGGCGTGATCTGCAGTAAAGAGTGGTTCATGTCTTTTTTTCTGGTCTGTGCACCTTTTATTTCTTGTTCTTGTCTCATTGCACTGGCCACAACCTCCAGTGTAATATGACAAACAGAAGCGTTGAGAAGGGACATTTTGCCTTGTTTCTGATCTTGGGGGAGGCAGTCTGTCTTCTCTCATGACGCACATGATGTCAGCTGCAGGTTTTTCATAGAGGCCCTGTGTTAGGTTGAGGAATCCCCTTCTGTCATAGGCCATTCTGGCTGCTGTAACAAAATACCATAGACTGGGAGGCTTCTAGACACCGGAAATTCATTTCTCACAGTCCTGGGAAGTGCAAGATTGCCATGCTGGTGAGGGCCTGCTGCCTGCTCCCATGCAGCTTCTTGTGTGTCCTCAGAGTGTGGAAGGAAGGGGCAAGGCAGCTGTGGGACAGGCTCTTTCATAAGGGCGCTAATCCGGTTAATGAGGGCTGGGCCCCCAAAGTCCCCCCGCTTCTGCTACCATCACCTTGGGGATTGGGTTTCAGCATATGAATTGTGATGGCATTCAGTCTATGCACCTTCTTTTCCTAGTTTGGTGAGAATTTTTGTCGTGAGTGGATGTTTATTTTTGTTAAAATGCTTTTCTTCCTGTATTGGGATGCTTGTATGGTTTTTCTTTTTTAGTCTGTTAACATGGTGAATTACACTGATTTAATTTTGAGTGTTAAACCCTGGCGAGTTCCTAGCATAACCCCTGTTGGTCACATGTATTATCCTTTTTATATACAGTTGCATGCAGTTTGCTACAGTTTGGTGTGTAGGTTCAGGAGGGATACTGGCCTGTCATTTCCTTGCAGTTTGTCTTGCAGTACTGCATGAGTAATGTTAGTTGCAACAGTTCACTTGCCTCCCAGCAGTTTCTGTTATTTTATATCCTTGATAGCACTGGGTGTTGTCAGACTTTTCAATTCCTCGAATCTGGGGGTGTAAAATGCTCTGATAGTGTTGTCTTAATTTTCACTTAAAAATTAATTAATGAGCCAGGCGCGGTGGCTCACGCCTGTCATCCCAGCACTTCGGGAGGCCGAGGCGGGTGGATCACCTGAGGTCAGGAGTTCGAGACCAGCCTGGCCAACATGGTGAAACTCCATCTCTACTAAAAATACAAAAAATTAGCCGGTTGTGATGGCGGGTACCTGTAATCCCAGCTACTCAGGAGGCTGAGGCAGGAGAATCGCTTGAACCCGTGAGCGGGAGGTTGCAGTGAGCTGAGATTGCGCCACTGCACTCGAGGCAGGGCAACAAGAGCAAAACTCTTTTTTTTTTTTAAAAAAAAAAAGAAATTTGATTAATTTCCTTTAATTCCTTAATGAAAATTAATTTCATTTAACTTCTTTTCCTTTAATATAGAGGAAATTAATTTTCTATGTTTATTGTTTGTGGGTAACCTTCTGTGAAATGTCTGTTTGTGTCTTTTTGCCCCGTTTTCTTTAAATTATTTCGTATTAATTATAGGAGTTCTGTGCATATTCTGGTTACTGTTCCTTTGTAGGTCATCTGTATATGGCCAGTATCTTCTTCCAGTTTATATCTGATCTTTTCACTTTCTTTATGGTGTCTTCTGACGAATAGGACTCCTTGATTTTACTGTAGTTGAATGTATCTATTGTCTCCTTTTTGGTAAGCTTTTTCAAGTCATCTTTAAGAAGTCCTTTCTAACCCGAAGGTAATAGGAATAGTCTTCTGTATTTTCTTCTAAAATGATAGCTTTTGCTTTTGCTTTTAAGTATGTAATCCTCCTGGCATGGGGTTTGTGTGTGGTGTGAGTTAGAGCTCCATTTTCATTTGCCTCCTATTTGGATTGACAGTTGTCCTGGTGTTATTTATTTGAATGGTCCTTCCTCACCTCTGTGGTCTCCATGGCCCGTCTGTAACATTTCAGGTTTTATATTATGTGGCATCCGTTTCTAGCCTGTCGGTTGTTTTCTCTTGGTTTATCTGTCTGTCCTTTCATCAGTAGCATCCTGTCCTTAAATAATTTAGCTCCATACTAATTCTTGATATCTACTAGAGGTAATACTCCATTCTGTTGCTTTTGAGAATTGTCTGTGCAACTCTTGGCACTTTGATCTTCCTTATAAATTTTAGAATCAACTCTTCGGGGCCCATAAAAGTCCTTGTAGGTTATTTTAATTGAAGTTGTATCAATCTGTGGGTCAATTTTGGGAGAACTGAAATCTATGGGCCGGGTGCGGTGGCTCACGCCTGTAATCCTAGCACTTTGGGAGGCCCAGGCAGGCGGATCATGAGGTCAGGGGATCGAGACCATCCTGGCTAACATGGTGAAACCCCGTCTCTACTAAAAATACAAAAAATTAGCTGGGCATGGTGGTGGGTGCCTGTAGTCCCAGCTACTCGGGAGGCTGAGGCAGGAGAATGGCGTGAACCCGGGAGGCGGAGCTTGCAGTGAGCCGAGATTGCGCCACTGTACTCCAGCCTGGGTGACAGAGCGAGACTCCATCTCAAAAAAAAAAAGAAATCTATGAGATAGTGACTATATCCATGAATATGGTATATTACTCTATTTACATATTTTGTAATATTTTTCAATCAAGTTTTATGTGTCTTTTTCATATAGGTCTTACACATATTTTGTTAGATATGTGTAGGGCATTCCAGGACATTCTGAGTTCATTGCTGCTATTTTAAGTATTTTTTTTAAACACATTTTCTGGCTGGGAATGATGGCTCATGCCTGTCATCTCAGCACTTTGGGAGGCTGAGATGGGAGGATTGCTGGAGGTCAGGAGCTTGAGACCAGCCTGAGCAACATAGTGAGAACCCCTGTCTCTACAAAAAATTAAAAAAAAATTTAGCCAGGTGTGGTGGTGCATGCCTGTAGTCCCAGCTACTCAGGAGGTTGGGGTGGGAGGATCGCTTGAGCCCAGGAGTTTGAGGCTACAGTGAGCTATGATTGTGCCACTGCACACTAGCCTGGGTGACAGAATGAGACCCTTGTCTAAAAATAAACAAAAAATTGCGTTTTCTAATTCTTCTTTGATAGTGTGTTGAATCGCAGTTGAATTTTGGATATTGATCTTACTCTAGCACTCTTCAACTCTTCCATTAAAAATTTGCAATTTTTTGAGGGTCGCACCTAGAGAATTTATTACATGCAATTAATGACAATTGTATTTCACTGACGTCCTGTGCTTCATTCCCTTGTTGTCTTCTGGTATTGGGCTTGTTGGGGTCTCAGGTGTAGTGTTGAGGGGAAGTTAAGGAAGTTCTTTCCCACTCATTTTCTTTTTTTTTTTTTTGGAGACAGAGTCTTGCTCTGTCGCCCAGGCTGGAGTGCAGTGGCGCGGTCTTGGCTCACTGCAAGCTCTGCCTCACGGGTTCACGCCATTCTCCTGCCTCAGCCTCCCAAGTAGTAGGGACTACAGGCGCCTGCCACCATGCCCAGCTAATTTTTTGTATTTTTAGTAGAGAAGGGGTTTCACCGTGTTAGCCAGGATGGTCTCGATCTCCTGACCTCGTGATCCACCCGCCTTAGCCTTCCAAAGTGCTGAGATGACAGGCGTGAGCCACCTCACCTGGCCCTTTTTCTTTTTTTTTTTTTTTTGAGACGGAGTCTCACTCTTGTTGCCCAGGCTGGAGTGCAATAGCACAATCTCATCTCACTGCAACCTCTGCCTCCCGGGTTCAAGCAATTCTTGTGCTTCAGCCTCCCGAGTAGCTGGGATTATAGGCATGCGCCACTATGCCTGGCTAATTTTTGTATTTTTAGTAGAGACGGGGTTTCGCCATGTTAGCCAGGCTGATCTTGAACCCCTTACCTCAAGTGACCTGCCTGACTTGGTCTCCCAAAGTGCTGGGATTACTGGCGTGAGCTACCCTGCCCAGCTCCCACTTCTTATTTTCTGAAGTTGCTTTCTGTTTGCTTTTCTTGGGGCAGGGGATATTTGTTAGTTTGTCTCAATGGATGTTGGATCGTATCAAATGCCTTCCTATTATTTAAAACCCACCAGGGCCCTTGTTAGCTCCTTTGTCCTGCCACCTCCCTCTTCTGCCTTGGTCTCTGATTCCTGCCACACACGCATCTTGGCAGGTGGCTCCCCTTGTTGCTTCATGGAGAGCACCAGAGCCATCCGCTGGGGGCTGAGGCCACCCTGCCTGACCCCGCCCTGCTGAGAGCTGAGGGATCTCATCTGTGGCCTCACTCTTCTCCTGTGGGTGGCCCTCTGCCCTGCTCTTCCTAGGTCACTCCCTCACCGTATCCTTGCTGCTTTCTTTGCCCTCCTGCCTCTCACCACGTCCAGACAGCTGCCTCCCCTCTTTTTTTCCCCCCGCATCCATCATTTCCCAGCTGCTTCCTTCGAGAAGCCAGTCTCGGTGCTCAGATGAGGCCAAGAAGATCTGCTGGTGGCAGGTTCTTAGAGGGCTGGGCAGCTTCCCTTCCTAGCATAGACTGATGAATCGGATTGATCGGAAGCTCTAGGAGGGTGTGTACCATCCACATGTGTTTCTGATTTGGGGCCAGTGCCCAGTGTGTGCTGGTTGGCCACCGGCTGCTCAGAGCCCCTGCTTTGCTGTCTCCCTGCCAATGTGTTCTGATAAGTGAGGTTGTCTGAAAGTTGGGTTCTGGAGAACTGACGTTTTGCTGTAAGTCATTTAAGGTCCATGTCATCTGCCAGCTGACCTCAGTTTTCTTGAAATTGTGCATGGGATTGGCACTATTTAAAACATTTTGAAAGTAAGCAGAACATTGGGAGTTGAGTGCTGGGGATGTGGTTTCAGGTGCTGAGAGCCGAGGCCCTGGTGGGCCACCGGGCCTTCTGGAAGCCCATCCTCTGCAGACAGCAGGCGCTGCCTGTGGCCCCGAGCTCCTCTTCTTGCCACTGGCACTCTCAGATTGGTCTCCCTTCCCCAGCCTCTGTGGATAAAGCTGCCTTAAAACACAGTGAACATGTGGAAGAGAAGCGATGCTTGTTGCCATCTGGACAAACGTGTAGACTTTAGGTTAGAGAAGTCCTGTGTCCTGGCCCATCAGGGGACACAGAAACTGCTGAGATGGTAGCTCAGGGAGCAGGAGTTCGGGGGTGGAGGGAATCTGAGCATGGTCCTTGTCCTCTCAGAAAAGCAGAGCCGACTGCTTGCAGAGTTGACTGCCCCCACCGCTGGCCTGGAAGCACCATCCAAATGGTGACTTCACTAACTGTTTTTAAGTTAGCAGATCAAACGTATCCAAATATGTGAAGTCTTAACATGGAGACTCCAGAGGTGCTGAGATACTGCTGGCTTCAGGAAGAGTGCGAGATGGGAGGTGCAGGCTCGCAGAAGGACAGTGCTGCGGGGGAGCTCTGAGGAAAGGAGGGTTGTTTCCTTCTTGCTTGCTGATGGTGAGAAGAATCTGGAACTTTTGTTTGGAAGTGTCCTGTGCGTTCCGTGTCTCGGTGTTGCTGGGCCAGCTGCCCTCTTCCCGGGCTGTTCCACGGGGCCTTCCCTGCGAGCCCCGTCTCCGGGTGCCAGGGGCTGCATGCCCTGCACCCCGGCGTCTCCCTGGGGTTTTGGTGGGAGCCTTTGCTTGTTGATTATTTTATTTGTTGACACATGTGCTTACTCTAGTAAGAACTTACGGTGACTAAGAAAAGTACTCATAACCCAAGAAGATATGATTAATGAGAAAGTGAGGGGAGAGGGAGAATAGAGTGAAAAACGCCCACCTTGGGCTCTGTTCAGCTGCTAGTGGAGTAGGGTAGGGGGAGGCTGGGAGGTGGGCACAGAGTTGGAACTGAGCTCTCAGTCAAGGCAAAGGGAATGCCCAAAGTGTCATTTGAATGAATTCAGAATCTGCAGATGAAAGAGCACATGTTAAAATTGTGCAGAAGTGAAGGCTCTCTGTTAGTGCAGGATTTTTAGAGTCTTGGGAGTTAAATATGTGCAGATGAATATGCTTTATCCTGAGGTTTAGCAAAGTGTCGAGAAGGCACCCTGGGCCCAGCCAGCATGCTCACTGCTGTCGGCGGAAGCGAGCACAGCCTGATTCTGCACATGCTGGGCCTCAAGGTGTGCGGTGCCTGGAGGACGAGGGCTTGGACGCCCAGCCTGGAGCAGCCTGGCCACGTTCCGACCTTGGACCCAGGCTCCCTGAAAGAGGGAGTCAGTGAAGTCACATGAGGCTTGTGGGTTTCAGAGATTTTAGAAACCTGAGAAAATTAGAAACCAGGAATGGCTGAGAATATAAGGGAAGGCTTCACGAAGGCAGAAGTGATACCAGGTGCTCAGTGTTTTCAACAGAAGCCTTTCACCTAAAGCCGTGGAGAAAAACCTGCCTGAGACCAAGTGCAAGTCATTTCCTGTTTGTTGCATGTTGTGTCTGTCAAATAGACTCAGGCATTTCAGGAAGCTCAGGTGCAGTTGGGCAAGTGAATTGAGTACTGAGAAGAGGTGAAGGAGGCCATCGTATTGTGGAGGTGGTGGGGTACGGAGAGCCTCCTGAATCAGGCCCTGCCACGTGTTTATCCATGAGGTTCCACATCTGTGCTGTGTGGCCCTTGGTGTTGCTTTCGTGGTCACCTGATACATTTTGTGGGGCCAGTTTAAAAAGTAGATAAGACAATTCAACATTATTGGCAACTTAGTAAAGTTTTTGGACGAAATTTGTTTTCAAAAAATTATTACTCTAAGCATGTTAATTGGAAAATTGGAGGCTGTACTGAGGTGTGTGGAGTAGGGCAAGCAAGACCCTTCCCAGCACTGTCCAGCCCATCCTGCGAGTGCGTCCTCTGGCTTCAGGGCTAATTGAAAATGTGCTTCGAGGCACGACAGGCCGCAGTGGGGTGTGACAGTTAAGAAAAAGCCGAAATGGGCACTGCTGGGCAGGGTAAACTTTATTAACTGTTGAATGACTGGAAAATCATTTTAATGTTTCAGAGCTGTTTTAAATTATGTGTCTGTCTACGCATGAAAGCGAATCTAAATTAGTATTGGGCTTTGGCATGAAAAGGCTGTGGTGTCCTGACTCTGGGTGGTGACGTCTGTGATGCTTGTGATGCTGCTGTGTCGTCCTATCCAGGACACCAGAAACTCAGATTCGTTGCCTGCACTGACCGGGCACTGTGGAGATGCAGGTGTCCAGTTTCCTGGCGGGCTCGTTGGCGTCCCTGCCTGTGATTCCGCTCCCTGGAGTGCTGCAGAGGCCTCTGCTGCCTCCTCTCCTTGTGCACGTGGCCGCACACCCCTATCGGGGCTCTGGCCCGCTGCGCTGCTCGCCTGGCCTCGCAGCGCTGGCATTGTGCGTCTTTCCTCCACCTGGCCAGCTCCTGACACCCACATGGGCAGCTTCACCGTGACCATGCCCCTGCGGCGCACTGTTCTTCCTTCTGGCCCAGCCCTGAGGCTTCCCCTGACCACTGTGGGTTACCTGTGCCTGCCATTCTTTTTTTTGTTTTTTTTGAGACGGAGTCTTGCCGTGTCACCAGGCTGGAGTGCAGTGGCGCGATCTCGGCTCACCGCAAGCTCCGACTCCCGGGTTCAAGCGATTCTCTTGCCTCAGCCTCCCAAGTAGCTGGGATTACAGGTGTGTGCTCCCACGCCCAGCTAATTTTTGTATGTTTAGTAGAGGCGGGGTTTCGTCATGTTGGCCAGGCTGGTCTCGATCTCCTGACCTCGTGATCCGCCTGCCTCGGCCTCCCAGAGTGCTGGGATTACAGGCGTGAGCCACCACTCCCAGCCTGCATTCCCATTCTTTACCAGACTGTCAGCTCCTGGAGGCCAGGAGTCAGGCCTTCCTTACCCCGCCCCACCACGGCAGCCCCAAGTACAGGTGATTGGATGGAGTGTGCATGTATGAGTGTGTGTGTGTGTGTGTGTGCGCGCGCGCGCACGTGGGCACTGGGCCCTGGTGCTGCAGAGCTAGCAGGGCTCCCTTCGAAGGGCTTCTGTGTCAGAGTTTACCAGGAGTCCCACTGTTTACCTTGTTACTCCACTTGCCCACCGCCCCCAAGTGGAGATTATCACACAGAGTTGCATGTCTAGATAGCAAAACAGTCCTTGCCTCCGAGTTTTATCTTGCAAAATTTCAAACTTAAAAGAATGAGTACAACAAACAGCTATGTACACCTTCCCTAGATCCATTAATTCCTAAGTTTTTTTTTTTTTTTTTGAGACAGAGTCTCGCTCTGTCGCCCAGGCTAGAGTGCAGTGGCGCGATCTTGGGTCACTGCAACCTCTGCCTCCTGGGTTCACACCATTCTCCTGCCTCAGCCTCCTGAGTAGCTGGGACTACAGGCGCCCACCACCGTGCCCGGCTAATTTTTTGTATTTTTAGTGGAGACGGGTTTTCACTATGTTAGCCAGGATGGTCTCGATCTCCTGACCTCGTGATCCGCCTGCCTTGGCCTCCCAAAGTGCTGGGATTACAGGTGTGAGCCACTGCGCCTGGCCCATGAATTCCTAAGTTTTGAGCAAAGCAGTTTTAACCTGTAGCTGACACAGGGGTTGGTATTTATGGGATGCAAGCCTGTGCCTTTGTTGAGTATCATTGGAGGCTTAGGCAGGTGCTTTATGGCACTCCTGAATGTGAGCTCACTGTCGGGAAGGAGATCTGTGTTGGAGGTCAGGTGGATGCCAGCCTCACTGAAGGCTGCTCACGAGCTTTTTAGAAGCAGCTTTGGGTTGAAGTTTGCAGCAGGGCTCTGCTCCCAGGCTGTGGCTTGACAGACACGCATGTGCACTGTACCTGTTCACGGAGGTGTGTCCATGTGCTAAGAATTTCCTAAAGTGATGGCGCCAGATACAGTCGCCCCGCAGTGTTCTCGGGATGGTTCCAGGGCCCCGTACGCACATACAAGTTCCCTGTGGAACCCAAGCGAGCAAAACGTCAGCCCTCTGTGTACGTGGGTTTCATGTCCTGTCAATGCCGTATCTTCAGTCCTTGCTTGGTTGAAAAAAATCTGCATGTAAGTGGACCCTGGAAGTTTGACCCATGTTTTTCAAAGGTCAACTGTAATATCCTGAAGTATTTTTACCAAAATACCTCAGCCATTTAAAGTTAACTTAAAGAGAATTCAATTCAAGGAGGTAGCATTTTTTTGGGGGGTATGTTTGAGTTTCCAGAAGCCCTGGTAGGCAAAAAGGCCAGAACCCGTGTGTTGGGTGGGTCTGTCCCTGTTGGTCACTCTGACCGGCCCCCCTTAGCACCTCCAGCATCCCAGAGCAGGTGCGGCTCCTGGGTGTCCAGGCCTCTGCTCAGTGCTTTAGGGAGGCTCAGCTGCAGGAGCAGAGCACGTGTGGGACCCTGCACCATGGAGAGGTGGCTGTGAGCAATCAGATGGCTTAGAAGCTGCTTTTACAACCTGGAAAATGCAATTCAGAATGATACAACTCCTGGCCTGGCTGACTGGTTGCACGACCTAGGCCGCCGAGGTGAGGGGAGAGCAGCCCACCCAGCAGGGAACTGAGAGGGGTCAAGGGGCAGGCGGGAGGCTGTTTCTCAGTCACTGTTTCTTTGCCCCGTGCGCATGGAGCGATGTGGGCCATGCCTGCTGTGCCCTCCGTTGTGTGTTGAGGGCTTGGTGACAGTCAGTGTTGCATAAACACCTCTTGAATGAATATGTGATTTAGATGTTTGTGAGGTAAAGTTAATGATTTTTTTAGGAATCCAATGCAGAAAATTAATTATTTGCCAAGGTTATTTTATCCTGTTCTGAAAATGGATAAATTTGACACAGTTCCAGTAGTATGGTTTTGTGGTTGGCAGGAGAAACGGAGACAGGTAAGGAATTAGCATATACGGTGGGAGAGGATGGGCCTGGGGTAGGCACAGCACACCTGTGCATTCACTAAACTTTTCTCCAATCTGTTCATTTGTGTGAACTTAAGAGATTTAATCCCTGAGCCCAGGGAGCTTGCGTTGAGGGGGGAGACAGACGTTAGGGAATGACTAAATCACAAAACAGTCACCGAATTGCAACTGTGATAATGCCAAGGGGGAGGAGGGACTGTGTAGGCCGATGCTGAAGGCTGGGTGAAGGTTTTCCAGGGGCAAGTCCCATCAGTCACAGTGCCCGTTTAGGGTTTGCACCTTGCTCTTTTGACGACGCTGCTCGGCTCTCAGGGCTGCGAGGCTGGCTTCTTCCCAAACTTCATTCCACTCCAGGTTTCTGCACTGGGCCCTGAGAGCCACATCTGGCCATCACTACAGATGCACTTTTGCAGTGCCTCTGCATTTTGAGGTGAAAGACAGTCTTTAAACTTCAGGGTGAACTTCTCACTCGGAGTTTGGTGTATTGTTGCCATTTCTTTTGTGTTGATTTGCACGTAGCTCTTTTGTACACAGGCACGAGGGTAAGCATTCCTGTTGAGTCGCAGAGGAATTAACGAGTGAAACAAATCATGAGTAGAAGTCTCCACGGGTTGGTGTTTTAACTTTGCTCTAAGGTGAGCAACTGCGTATTTGTGAAATTTGGCCAAATGATGAGGGGATGCTGAGTTGGCTGACTGCTGTGCAGACCACCTAAGGAATAAGGATAAATCCTAGAATCAGAGCCCGGGGGAGAGTGTTGGGCCCAGCTCTCCACTCACGGGGCGGCAGCAAGCCGTGGGTGGGTTGGTGGAGGCCCCATTTCTGCCTGCGGAGCAGAGCTGCTGATCCTTCAGGAGAGGCTGCTCTTTCCTGTGCCGAGTGTGGCCTGCTGGATTCGTGTTTCTGCGGAGCCTGGCTTTCCAGAGGGTGTGGAGGGTGCGCGCAGTCTGTCCACCTGCGGCTTTGTGGAGATGGGGGCTGGAGCCAGCTCCCACAGAGCTGGTACTTTGTGGCCTGCTCCTCAGGCCTGACCACGGTTCCTTCTGCGTCATTTTGGGGGATCCCTTTTCCATCAAAGGAGCTAGCTTGGTGTTATTTTTCAGAGACTTGAGCACGCACTTTCATTCGGAGGCTGGGAGCTGAGAACCCCTGCAGCTGTTTCATGCTCCGAGCTACTCAGTGAGATACTCTGTTAAAAAGGCAGTGTGGTGGAGGGTGTGATCGCTTGGGGTGCCATCGACAGCACACTCACGTCCCTGTGTTGCTCACGGGGTCAGGTAGAGTAAAACTCATTGAACGTGGCCTGGTTTTTGTGTGTGGTGGTGAACAGAGTTGTTAATACGACTCTCGGGCAGCTCCTAGTGTTCTTAAGAGGCAGGGCTGGTGGGGGAAGGTCGTGTGCTAGCTGTGAACTTGGCAGTTATTTTCACTCGGGAAGGACGTTGGGAGGAAGAGGATTAAAACTATGCTTTCCGTTATTTTTTGCCGGGAGGGTTGTACCTTTTTCTTGCTCTCTAAGGGCTCTCTGCGTGTGTTTTAAGAGCTTTACTGGGGTGTGATCCACAGCAATAAACTGAGCACATGTAAAGTGACTGGTGAGTTTCGACAAATGTGCATGCACGTGGAGCCATCACCCCAGGGTCAGCATGGTGAACCCTACCCCCAGCACGGCCTCTGCCTCTCTCTAGCCCTCCTTCCTGTCCCTCCCACGCCCCTTGTCCCATCTGCTTTCTGTCACTGCAGGGGAGTCTGTGTGTTTTAGAATTTTATATAAATGCAGTCAGACAGCGTAGTAGTCTGTTCTTACATTGCTATAAAAAAATACCCAAGGCTGGGTGACTTATAAAGGAAAGAGGTTGAATTGACTCACAGTTCCACATGACTGGGGACAATCATGGCAGAAGGCGAAGGGGAAGCAAGTACCTTCTTCACATGGCGGCAGGAGAGACAGGAGGGCAGAGGAAACTGCCATTTATGAAGCCACCAGATGTCGTGAGAACTCACTCGCTATCATGAGAACCGCCTGGGGGAAGCTGTCCCCATGATCCAGTCACTTCCCTCCCTCCACACGTGGGGATTACAGTTGGAAATGAGGTTTGGTGGGGACACGGAGCCAAGCCATATCACATGGTGTGTACTCTCTCTTTTCTGGCTTCAACTCGGTGTGATTATTTGAGAGTCATCTGTGCTGTATCAGTAGTTCATCCCATTTTATTTGAGTGCTTTTCCATTATAGATACACCAGAAATTGTTTATGCTTTCATCCTTTGGTGTACTTTGGAGTTGCTTCCAATTTATGGCTATCAGAAATAAAACTGCTTGGAATGACCCAGGTACAAGCCTTTGTAAGGCCACACACTTGCCTTTCGCTTGCTTAAAACACCTCAGGTGGAATGGCAGGTCCTACATGAGGAGTATGTTTAACTTTCTACAAAACTGCAGGGCTGTTGTCAGAGAGGCTCCCACCAGTGGTGCCCAGGAGCTCTGGTTGCTCCACATCCTGGAGAGCACCTGATCTTTTTAGTTTTAGCTATTTTAGTGAGTGTGTAGTGGTGTCGCTTTAAGGATTTAATTTATGTCTCCCTAATGACTAATGATGTTGGGGCTCTCTCCGTGTGCTCATTTGCATCCGTCTGCCACCTTTGGCGAAGGGTCTATTCAATTGCCCACTTTTTTTTTTTTTGAGACGCGGAGTCTCTCAGTGTTGCCTGGGCTGGAGTGCAGTGGCATGATCTCGGCTCACTGTAAGCTCCGCCTCCTGGGTTCACGCGATTTTCGTGCCTCAGCCTCCCAAGTAGCTAGGACTAGAGGTGTGCACCACCACGCCCTGCTAATTTTTTGTATTTTTAGTAGAGATGGGGTTTCGCCATGTTGGCCAAGCTGGTCTCGAACTCCTGACCTCAAGTGATCTGTCCTCCTCGGCCTCCCAAAGTGCTGGGATTACAGGCATGAGCCACCACGCCCAACCTGGGTTATTTTCTTACTGAGTTTTGAGGATTCTGCATACATTCTGGATCCAAGCCCTTTATTAGATGGATGCTTTCTAAAGAGTCTGTCCGTTCTGTGCCTTGTCTTCTCATTCTCTAGCAGTGTCTGCTGAAAAGCCGAAGTTTAACATTTTGATGAAGTCCAGTTTATCCTTTTGTTCTTTTATGCATTTCGTTTCTGATGTTGTTTCTAAAATTTCTTTGCCTAACCCTGGGTCAGAGAAATGTTCTCCTGTTTTCTTCTGGAAGTTTTAGGTTTTACATTTAGGTCTGGATCCATTTTGAGTTGATGTTGGTACACACTATGGGGTGTCGGTCCAGGGGTTTGCCTGTGTCTGTCCAGTTGTTCCAGCATGTGAGAAGCCCGTCCTCACCACTGAATTGCCTTTGTCCATCCGCGTGTGGGCCTGCTTGTGGACTCTGCACGGCCGTGTTGATCTGTTTAACTTTGCACCAACACTGTGCTGTCCTGGTTACTGGAGCTTTTTTTAGACGGGGATCTCACTGTGTCACCCAGGTTGGAGTGTAGTGGGGTGATCTCGGCTCACTGCAGTCTCTGTGTCCCGGGCTCAAGCAGTCTTCCCACCTCAGCCTCCTGAGTAGCTGGGACCACAGGCGTGCCCACACCGTCTAATTTTTGTATTTTTAGTAGAGATGGGACTTCACCATGTTTCCCAGGCTGGTCTTGAACTCCTGACCTCAGGCGATCCGCCTGCCTTGGCCTCCCAGAGTGCTGGGATTACAGGTGTGAGCCCGGCCCTGAGATTACTGGAGCTTTCTTTTTCTTTCTTTCTTTCTTTTTTTTTTTTTTTTTTTTTTTGAGATGGAGTCTTGCTCTGTTGCCCAGGCTGGAGTGCAGTGGCATGGTCTCGGCTCACTGCAACCTCCACCTCCCGGCTTCAAGCGATTCTCCTGCCTCAGCCTGGCGAGTAGCTGGGATTACAGGTGTGCGCCACCACGCCCAGCTAATTTTTGTATTTTTAGTAGAGACAGGGTTTCACCATGTTGGCCAGGCTGGTCTCGAACTCCTGAGCCCAAGCAGTCTCCCCGCCTCGGCCTTCCGAAGTGCTGAGCTTTCTAATGCATCTTGAGATCAGCTCGTGTCAGCTCTCTGACTTTTTCTGGTTTGTTTGGTTTGAGAGGGAGTCTCATTCTGTTACCCAGGCTGGACTGCAGTGGTGTGCTCTTGGCTCACTGCAACCTTCGCCTCTCTGGTTCAAGCGATTCTCGTGCCTCAGCCTCCACTACAGGGGTGCACCACCATGCCCAACTAATTTTTTGTGTTTTTAGTAGAGACAGGGATTCACCATGTTGGCCTGGCTGGTCTCGAACTCCTGGGCTCAAATGATCTGCCCGCCTTGGCCTCCTGAAGTGCTGGGATGACAGGCGTGAGCCACTGCGGCCAGCCTGACCTTTTTTTACAGTTGTGTTGGTTAATCTAAGACTTTTGCATTTCTGTATGAATTTCAGAATCACCTTGTCAGTTTCTACACAGGAGGCTGCTGGGACTTTGGGATGCATTGCTTCTGCAGATCAGTTTGGGAGGAGTTGACATCTTAACTATTGTGAGTCTCCTGACCCATGAACACAGTGCACGTCCCTTCACTTGCTCGCATTTTTGTTTTAATCAGCATTTTGTAGTTTTAGGGGAGGATGAATCAAAGTTCATGATTTTACAATAGTATCTGCAATGTGCGGGGGGGGGGCTGCAAGTGCTGGACCAGGAGCTGCGTCAGAAGTTTAATTTTTAGCAAAATATTCGGGTTACAGTGGTGGTAGCGCCTGCGCCGGGCAGCACATGTTCCCCTGTGCTGCTTTGCGCCGTCCCTTATGCCTGCCAAACCCCGAGAGGTGGGAGAGAACACTTGCTTTAGCCAGAACAGGTTAGAAGGAAGATGAGGCTGTGCATCTGTCACAGCACAGCACCCGCTTAGAGAGAAAGCCAGCCTGTGTAAGGAGCGCACGCTGGATTCTGGAGGGGCCCTTTCCACATCTGGGCCATCACCACGTGTGTTCTGTCCACCACTGGTCCCAGCTGGTAGCATGGAGAGGGTTCGAATGTCCTAGTTACAGAGGGAAGTGGGCCTGCAAACCCTCAGGCTTCAGACCACCCCTTTCCACTGCAGGGAAACACCACTTTTGCTCATCTCTTTGGCCCTTTTGGTAGCTTATTCCTTGAGGACCATGCTCCTCTCTGCTGGGGATGAGGCTGCCTGCTGGTGGCTCCGTTTGTGTTTTCTGGGCCTTCCAGAGGGGCTGCCTTTATTCTGCAGCCAGCCCTGACCCTTCCCACCTCTCCATGCTTGGGTGAAGAGTGAGGCCCAGGGCAGCTGACTGACAGCACAGCTGTCCTCTGCGTTTTCCTGGACAGAAACCATCGCAGGCCCACCCACCTCCTGACTGCACAGGTCTCCACGGCGCAGACACTTTCGTGATACCATTATAAATACAGCTGGGAAAGGGAGGGAGGGATTTTCTTAGATTTGTGTCCCCAGGGGTCCATCCTGGGGTGTTCTTGCCCCTCTAAGACCTTGGCGGGCCTGGAGGGCCCGCTCCGCCTCTGATGCTGTCCGCCGCTGGCCGCTGTGTGCCTGAGTTTCGGAGCGCCCTCCCGGGCTTTGGACCTGCCCTGCTCCCCAGGGATGCACTCACTCACAGAGCGGCCACTGCACACAGTGCCTCTCTGTCGCCGTCTGAGGTGCCGGCTGTCTTTTTTTTTCTTTTTTTAAATATTTAAAAATGTAAAACTTTAAGTGAGACTCTGTTTCAAAAAAAAAAGTATAGAACTTTAATCATATGCCTGTTTTGAAGAGCAGAGCTTTCAGTGAGAAACAAACTCTGCTGGCCCACCCACCCCCTTTTAACTGCCTCTCAGAGGGGACCACTTTGGAACGTGTATCCACATGGCCCTGCCTGTACAGCCACCTCCTGAGGTTGCCGAGTGAGTGTCAGCTAGCGACCGTCTGGCTGCCCAGCCGCAGTCCGCAGAGCCCCGGCCCAGCCCACGCAGCCCTGGCCGACTCCGCGTTGGGCGCGCACGGCCCTTGGCTGTGAACACGCTGTTTGAGTCGAGCCAAGTGCTGTGCTGCTTCTGCTCCCTGTGCAGGCAGCTGTGTCTCAGCAGCTAGAAGGGCTGTGGGTTCCCAGGTGCTTACTGCCCTGTGGCCAGCCCCAGCGCCCTGGCCCTCCGGACCCTGTGCCTGGCCATGCCTGTTCCTCCCTTCTGCTTCATCCTTGAGAGTCCCCTTGTTTCCTTGGGGTTCAGTCCCATGTTTCCTGGATCCTGTCTTTTGTTTTCTTCACTTATTCCCTTGTTTAAGTGGCTTCTCCCTTCTTACAGAATATACCTTTTTTGAGACCTAGTGTGTCTGAAATGCCTTTTTTTGCCTCTGAGCCTTGGTGGGTGGTTTGGCCTGGCGTTGAGTTCCAGGTGGAAGGTAATTTCCCGGGGGGTTTCGAAGGTGCTGGCCATCTCTTCCCGTTTCTGTGGAGCTCTCAGGGCTGCTGAGCTCTCCTTCCCCGTACTGTGGCTGGGATCTGTGTTTTTCCCCTGGAAACACGGGGAAGGTCTTTCCTTCCCAGTGGTCTGGCTTCTGTGGTGAGGCTGGTGTGCGCCTCCTTCCTCATGTTCACGCTGGCTCCAGCAACTGCTGTCCTTTCTGTCCTCCTAGAATTTCTGTTGATCACCTGTTGTGTTTTCTGGAATGCTCCTTCACATTTTCTCATCTGTTCTTCCAAGTTTCCACTCTCTTTTTCTATACTGTATTCAGGGGGAATGCCTCGGTGCTGTCGTCTGGTCATCCCAGGAATTTTTAATTTGACTGTCGTATTGGATAATCTTTGTGATTTTGAAGAGGGTTTCTTGCTTATTTTGATCAGTTCACTGCTTTGGTGTCTGGGTTGATGCTGGGCCTTCCTCAGGTGGCTGGTGGTCCCTGGCTGTTTGCCCATCTGGTGGAGGGGCTGGTATTGAGCTGCGACATGACGGTGAGATGGGACAGAAGTCCTAACAAAGCTTCCCATTACCAGACACCCAGAAAGGCTGGGGAAGTTGGATAAATGTTCTTTTAAATGAAGAGTTTAGCGTTCTAGAAGATAAGGAAAACCAGCAGGGCTCAGACGTGGAGCTGGACAGCAGCTGAGGGTTGGGACCTTGTGTCCCCGTGGGCTGGCAGGGGCGACTGTTCAGCGCCTGGCTCCGTGCCCCTGATGCTTGTGCCAGAGAGTCCTGTAGCCTCAGGAGGAGAGCTGGGGCTGAGAGCCCCTCAGGACCAGAAAGAGCCCCCCCACCGGCAGAGGGCACAGCGGTGCCTGCAGCCTGTCCTGTGCGTTGGGAGGGAGGAAATGCCCCTCTGAGAATCCACAGGGGCCTGTCGTCCTGGGCTGGGGCTGGGGCTGGTGCCATGCTCCGGAGTGACTTGCATAGCAGGATGGTCACAGCCCTGGGTTTGGCAGAGGTGAACATGGACCCCTGTGGAGGGATGTGTCCTGACCTGGGCTACACAGGAGAGCCACAGACAGAGCCAAGCCAGGGCGGGTGGTGCAGGGCCAAGAGGTAGCCGGGGCTGGGCCTCAGGAGGCCAGGGCGGAGTCCACAGCCCCAGGCCCAGGGCCGGGGTTTGTGCTGAGAGTGCGGGGCGGCCTGCGGCACCCGGCAAAGGCATTTCCCCCACAGGTGGGGGTTCCCAGGGTGCAGGTGCCCGTGTGGTTGTGGCACAGCTTCGCATGCTCTACATTTTGGCTTCAAGTACAGTAAAAGTGTTACCTACAAAAGGAATCAGGAAAACTGTTGTGTGGGGTAAGAACCCTGGTGTTTCTCCTCAGGGAGGGTGGGATTCACTCACACTGTGGGAATCGGTGGCGGCATGCTGAGCTGGGGACGTGGGTCCCTGGAAGGCTCTGGGGGAGGCACTGGTCACCACTGGTCACCACTGGCCACTGGCCAGGCTTTGGAGGAGTGCACGCTGCTCCTTCCCCAGGGAGGCGTCTCGTGGCCACTGCTGGCTCTGCATTGCCCGCCTCAAGCAGTGTGGCCTTGAACCGCTGGGAGAGTGGAGAGTTTCACACTGTTTCAGTTTCAAAACCTACATTTTCACCATAATGAAAAATAGAAAATAGCTTAAATCTTCACCAGAAGGAAATTATAAACACAATTTGGATGAAATAGTATGTAGCCACGGACAGTTACGTTTCTGAAGAATGTTTACTGCCATGGGAAGTGCGCCCGGGGAGCGGGCAGGGAACGGGGGAGCTGGCAGGGAACTCGGGCGGGTGGCCTCCGTGGTCCTTACGGCTTCCAAGTGCACGGTGCACACTGAGTGGCACCTGAGCTGTGCCAGCCAGGAGAGGGGCTTCAGGAGGTTTCCATTGTTCTTGTACTTCTCTGCACTTATTAAACTTTCTGTGAAGAACACTTCTTTCTGTGGTAAGGAAGATATTAGGACAATTGGAAGCCCCAGTGCGGTTCTGTTAGCTGGACCCTGACCCATTGTGGTGGTTGTATGTGCACATTGGCTGGTGTGGGGTTTTGGCTGTGCCATGAAGGAGTCTCCAGGAAGGTGGGGTGGGGCAGAGAGAGGGGCTGTGAGCTGGGGAGGTTGCGGGGGAGGCGGCGGTGGCCACAGTGGCCCGGTCAGGAGGCAGGGTCCCAGGCCCCAGCTTCCTGACCTTAACTGTTAATGACCTTCAGGGCTATGCCCCATCCCGTCACCACCTGGAATTGCCCATCTTGGTTGGACGAGGATGCTGAGGGTCTTTGGGACGGATGTCGTGTTTCTTGTTGCAGGTTTGACTGCTTCCTCCCTGACTCGAGGGCTGGGTGCGTGGAGCCGGTTGTGCCTCTGTATCCGAGAGCCCTGCTCCCTGTCATCCTTGGCTCCTCTCTGCATTCCTCACAAAGACCTGGGTGGGGACACGGCCAGTGTCCCACGTGGCTCTCTCTGGGGAGCTCTCAGACAGAACCCTCCGCCCTGGCCTTGGGGTCCCATCTGTGGGGCGGGGTGGGGGCCACACCTGCCACGTGTACCCTGCTGCAAGTGCAGAGAGAGGAGTAGAGGCAGGAGGGGCGGCTGCCTTTCGTAGGTCAGGTGCCGCCCGTAACCACGGTTGATTACTCTTAAATTAGTTATGTCTTGAGACGGAGTTGCACTTCTTTGCCTTGGCGTGAATAGATGCTGCTGGATTATTTGTCCGTAAACAGAGCTCACAGGACCCAGAACTGTGAGAACCTCTCGGAAACATGGCGTGGATGCAGCCGTTGGTGTTCTGAGTGTCCTCAGATCATCACACAGTGTCTGACTTTGCTTTTTGGTACAGTCAGGCTGTGATACAATAACCAGGGAGGCGGACAAGAAAGTCCCCAGTGACAGCGCCTCTTATGTGCTGTTTGTTGGAAGCAAACCTCAGTTCGGCTTAGGAGACGTGGCCACTCGCGCTTGGTTCACAGATATTTTCAATGCCTCGAGAAGCTACGTTGTACCTGCCTGAAGTCACATGGTCACTTCTTGTGGGACGTTTGATTCCTTCTCCAACTTTCCTGACCACAAGGGACACTGGGCCCGACCACAGGGCACATTTTCACAGTGACCCATGGCTGTTTCCCTACACTTCTGTGATGTCCAGAATGCCACTTTTATTTTGTTAGAATTTTAACCACATTGCTATTTTGTTAATACTTTTTTTTTTGAACGTATTCCTTTAAATATATCTGGATACTTTTTTTTTTCTTTTTTTTTGAGGTGGACTCTTGCTCTGTCGTCCAGGCTGGAGTGCAGTGGTGCAATCTCGGCTCACTGCAACCTCCGCCTCCCAGGTTCAAGCGATTCTGCTTCAGCTTCTGAAGTAGCTGGATTACAGGCATGCACCACCACACCTGGCTAATTTTTTGGATGCAATTTTTTTAAATTATTATTTTAATTTTTTGAGACGGAGTCTCGCTCTGTCGCCTAGACTGGAGTGCAGCGGCACGATCTCAGCTCACTGCAAGCTCTGCCTCCCAGGTTAATGCCATTCTCCTGCCTCAGCCTCCCAAGTAGCTGGGACTACAGGGGCCCGCCACCATGCCTGGCTAATTTTTTTTTTTTTTTGTATTTTTAGTAGAGATGGGGTTTCACCGTGTTAGCCAGGATGGTCTCTATCTCCTGACCTCGTGATCTACCCGCCTTGGCCTCCCAAAGTGCTGGGATTACAGGCGTGAGCCACCGTGCCTGGCCTTGGATGCAATTTTTTAAAGCACAAAGCTCCTGATAATTAAAGTCTCTTCACTCACTATGAGAATGTCAGGTTTGACATTGGGTGTGGAGGCACTGGGACGGACACTGAAGCCTCCTTTGTCCTGTTTCCGTCCCATTCCCATGTGTGCACTTAAGTCTGCGTCCATTATTGGCTTCTCAGAATTCCTTAAAAACATTTTTTTTTTTTGTTTTTAGGAGATGGGGTCTCACTCTGTGGTCCAGGCTGGAGTGTGATGATGCGATGGTAGCCCACTGCAGCTTCCAGCTCCTGGACTCAGATGATCCTCCCACCCTAGCCTCCCAAGTAGCTGGAACTACAGGTGTGCCACCACGCCTGGCTAATTAAAAAAAAATTTTTTTTTTGCAAAGATGGGGTCTCACTATATTGCCCAGTCTGGTCTCGAACCAGCCTCAAGTGATCCCTCCATCTTGGCCTCCTAAAGTGCTGGATTTCAGGTGTGAGCCACCACACTCACCCTGGCTTCTCAGAATTCTTGAGGAGGAGGAGCAAGGTGTCTCCGAATGCAGTGAATGAAGTGTTGGGTTTGAGGACATTGTATTAGCGTACTCTAAAGGGACAGAACTAATAGGAGAGATGAATCTATGAAGGGGAGTTTATTAGGAGAATTGACTCTCAGGATCACAAGGTGAAGTCCCTCAATAGGCTGTGTGCACCTGAGGAGCCCGGAAGCCAGTCTGAGTCCCCAGATCTCAAAAGTAGGGAAGCCGACAGTGCAGCCTTCAGTCTGTGGCCAAAGGCCTGAGAACCCCTGGCAAACCACTGGTGTAAGGCCAGGAGTCTAAAAGCTGAAGAACTTGGAGTCTGAAGTTCCAGGGCAGGAAGCATCCAGCTCTGGAGAAAGATGGAGGCCGGAGGACTCAGCCAGTCCAGTCCTTCCACGTTCCTCTGCCTGCTTTATTCTAGCCACGCTGGCAGCTGATTAGATGGTGCCCAGCCACATTGACGCTGGGTCTGCCTCTTCCAGTCCGCTGACTCAAATGTTAACCTTCTTTGGCAACACCCTCACAAACACACCCAGGAACAATACTTTGCATTCTTCAATCAAGTTGACACTCCATAATAACCACATACATGGGGGTATTTACCAGGTGTCTTGTTTTGGGGTCCCCAGGCGCCGAGTGTGCTTGGGTGAGAGTGGAACTCTCCCTCGTTACGCGCAGCAGCTCTGGCGGCCACATGGCTGATGAGTGCCCACCTGGCTTTGAAGGCTGTCCTTGGGCACTGTGGGCACAGACTCGGAGACGGAGCCTTGGAGGCCTTTCCTGTTACTTCGTTCCCGAGCTCCAGGCTTGGAGATTCCAGCAGGTTATTTGCTGCAGCTGGGTGTTTGGTTTTTGTTTGATTTCAGCATGGTTTATTTTGAAAGGGGCGTTTTGGGGGGAAGTTTTCTTAATGGGCATAAATGTGGCTTTTTGGATCAAGAATTTTAGATGTTAGCCCAGGAGAGGCATCACCATTATTCTTGATACCATGCTGAGTTTCGAAAGAGCTGGAGCCGACAGCCCTGAGAGTGCCCCAGCGTCATAGCGCAGGAGGAGGAAGCCCCACGCTCATTTGTCATCATGACCAACAGGAGGTTTTCAGGCCTTACTTCATCTTTTTCGAGGTTATCATTTCCCATTCTCCATAAAGGGGAGGAAGGAGAGGCTGGGAAACGCAGTGGCCGCCCCCTGTGCCCCGTGGCTTGGCCAGTGTGTGATGGGTGGTGGGGACGGCCGGTGGCGGTGCCTCATTGCACGTGTGTTTAGTTTCTCAGCTCCTTGGTGCTGGGCTGTCTGCCGAGGCTTCACTCGGGAAAGAGTGCAGTGTTTATAGCCCTGCTCCCACGGCTGCATCCCCACCTCTGTCATGGGAAGTTAAATTTAAAAGTTGGACAATTGTGTTGCTGTTTCTAATGGAATTTATGATATAACTGGTTGCTGTTTTTTGAAGCTAACATTAATGCCAAACCTGAATGGCAGGATTTGCTTTCCTGTGGTTTAGCTCAAGAACCATGACGGGCAAATGGTTCTCCTGTCCTAAGGGTTGCGTCGCATCTGCGCCTGTGTTGTGGTTGTCAGGGCAGTGTGGGGGCAGCACTGCCCTGCCTCCCGAGAGGAGGGTTCTGGTGAGGAGCCTCGTGGCCCACCCTCCCTCTGTTGGGTCTGGGTGTCACAGGACAGCAGGCTGGGAGACCCTGGAGTATGGGCCGTAGACATGGTTGTGCCCTCTAGGCCCAGCCCAGCGGACGTGGCCCTGGCACAGGCAGGAGGTGGGGGCAAGGAGACTGGCATGTCTGTGGGGTGTATGGGCTGGTTGGGGGCATGGGGGCACGTGGTGTGGCCGGTGGAAGCCATTGCTACACTGCCTTGCTGTCCAGCTCATTCATAAAAGGAAGGCTCAGGTGCCATTTTTTTTCCATGGCCTTTTAACAACCTTTACAGTTTTTTTGTCTTGTATACCATCTTGACTCACAAGTGTGTTTTGAGTTTGGGGGATTCGTGTGTTTAAGACTTGATTTCCTTTGTTTCCTTCTCACAGCTGTCAGCTTCCCCTGGGTCAGGCCAGGGCCTCCTCATGGCTCTGGGGTGGTTGCGTTCCTGACGCCAGGTCTCCTTTGTCTGCAGGAATGGTCCTCGTCCGAAGTGAGAATGGGCAGTTGTTAATGATTCCTCAGCAGGCCTTGGCCCAGATGCAGGCGCAGGCCCATGCCCAGCCTCAGACCACCATGGCGCCTCGCCCTGCCACCCCCACAAGTGCCCCTCCCGTCCAGATCTCCACCGTACAGGTGAGTGCACGTGTGCCCTGGAGTGCGAACCCCTTCCCTGCCCAGCCCCTCTCCCCACGCATGCTGGGGAAACCTGCAAGGGCCAGGCACAGCCATGGGAGTGAGGACTGGGAAGTGTGGGCGGCGTCCCAGTCCCATCCGTCCCATCTAGGATGGGCCCGGGACGGCGCTGCTCTCCTGTCCTCCTCTCGGTGGCAGGGCTGTGCCTGTCTCAGAGACACCAGCTCCCGCAGCCCACTGCAGGGCGGGCCGAGTGGGGTCAAAGTGAGCAGTCCAGGGTTGGCCGCTCTGGCCCCTTCCCTTCTCTCCCTGTGGCTTCACCTTCCTGTGCCTGTCCCCTCATCTGCAAAGTAGAGATGGTGCTAGGACTCCACTGGCAGGACCGCCACCAGCGCCGCATGGAGACTTTTAAGGCACCAAGAGTCCTGGAGCCGCTGTGTGCGAGTGGGGTTGGCTGCTGCTGTTAGGGGGTGCCAGAGGGACACACACACACACACACATACACACACACACACACACACACACACCCACACCCCCGCGTCAGCCTTCAGGGCCGAAGCTCCCGACTCCTGAGCTGTGGTAGGGAGCACGGATTCACACACACACACACACACACACACACACACACACACACACACACCCGCGTCAGCCTTCAGGGCCGAAGCTCCCGACCCCTGAGCTGTGGTAGGGAGCACGGATTCTGACTTGGAGGGCAGAGTGCCCAGGACTTGCCTCTCCCGGCGTGTGTCTGTGTCTGGCCCCATGACTGTCACCTGCACGTGCCCGCACGCTGCGTGTTCCTGCCCCGTCTCCTGCCGTGTTTCCCTGGCACTGTGATGCTGCTGCTCTGAATGACCTGGCAGGTTTGTGAAGACTGGAATGACTTGATCAGCATCCTTCTCCTGCTACGTGAGCTGCGTACCCTCTGGAGTTGTGCCTCTGTCCCATAGACAGGGACGTGGACGGACGTGCCGGAGGCTGCCAGAGACCACCCAGATCTGAAGTAGCACAGAACGGTGTCCTCAAGTCTGCAGCATCTGTCTGCTGAGTGGGACACTGTGGAAGACACTCGTGGCTTCACTTGCACTGTGGGCATCCCATTGCAGTCTGCCATCTGCTCTTTCCATGTCAGTCTCTCTCCGACAAACTTCATGGGCTCAGGACTTGTGGCGTCCCTCTGTCCTGGGCAGCCACCTTCCTTCCCCTCTCTGGCACTGACTGGCCATCTAGCCTAGGGGCGGCCACCTCCCTACCCCTTTGCGACACTGACTGGCCGTCTGCCTTTGCATCCTTTTTAGTGATTGTTAACGAGGTCACAAGCCAGCAGCACGAGGATTGATTTCTAGATACCTGCGTTCTTCAGAGATGACCTTTTGTAGACTCTGTTAAGAAGCCTAATGATATGTTTATTGTAGTATAGGAAAATGTTTGTCATACACTTGTTCTTTGGTAAGAAAACTTTAGAATTACAGTGGCTTCATTGCAGATCACGGATAAGCCTGGGACCCACTTGGATATACTAGTTACATATGGAAGGAATAATTTCTGTGTACCTGGGGGTGGGAATTCCTTTTACTTGCGCTCGTTTTAGGTGACTCTGCTTATTTTTCAGGCACCTGGAACACCTATCATTGCACGGCAGGTGACCCCAACTACCATAATTAAGCAAGTGTCTCAGGCCCAGACAACGGTGCAGCCCAGTGCAACCCTGCAGCGCTCGCCCGGCGTCCAGGTGAGAGGGCAGGCGGCGGATCTCTTGAGGCTGCAGGGGCCACGAAGTGTGATTTCTTTGATGCAGAGATCAGGCCTTAGGAGTTTTTTTTTTTTTTTAAACTGGATACTACGTCAAATCTGGGGAGGAAGGTTCTCTGTGAAGAAAGTGCTTTTTCTTTGACCACCAACATGGGATAAGTCAGGATTTCTTTTTTTCTTTTTTCTTTTTTTTAGTCACACAGAATTTAACACCAGCAGCACTGTTCAAGCTTTCCACCATGTTGGAAGCATTAAAACTATGTCCTTACTAGTACTTGATCATAAGGCATGTCTGAAGCAGAAGCAGCCTGCGGTGAGGACAGTGTGTGTGTGCACATGTGGCCTTGTGTGTAACTTGAGGACGGCGGCTGTCGCTAAGGTGAACGTGGCCGAGGCGTCGCTCTCACTGTTGCAGGCACATGGACCGTAACTTTCACCGCACCCTGGGAAGCAGATGACATCGCTCCCTTCATCTCGTGGTGCGGCGCTTACACTGAGGCAAGGGAGGCTCTGGGACTCACTCCCGGCCATGCCACCTGCACGGTGCCTGCCACGCCACGCTGCCACCTGCCGCTCACATCCCTCGTCTGTAGTGAGAGCATCGTTCTAGAAGGGTTCTGTATCCACCCTGGTGGCCGCTGGTTTCTAGAACAGCGTTTTCATCTGCAGAGAGGAGCGTGTCCCAGAGCAGGTGCTGGCCCCTCTCCTAGTGGTGCTGATGCTCCTGACAGCTCAGCCTTTGGCCTGCAGATCCCAGAAGGGTTTGTGTGCAGGCCAGGCTGTTCTGGAAGGGGTGGCGGAGGTGTGTGGAGGGGAAGGGGCTGGCCGGTCAGACGCACCTGGTGAGGGAAGCAGCTTTCTCTGGGCAGTCAGCAGGAAGCAGCTGGGAGAAAAATGGTTCAGGGGTTTTTCTTGGTCACCTGGTGTCTGTGAGCATCCGTGGATGCGTAGGTCTCTATGGTGTTGGTCGCTGCTGGTGAAGCACCTGCCATGAGCCAGGCAGTGGGCCTGGACGCTCTGCAGAGAGATCCAGAGTCCTTGCCTCAGTGCCACAGGCCCTTTTCCCATTGCTCAGTGGTGAAATGGAGGCTGAGCCCCAGGGGGTGTGGACTCCAGGGGCAGCTCCCCCCGCAACCCCGGCTCTTCTACCCTCACTGGGTCATGTCCTGGCTGGCTGCAGCTGCAGTGGGTGAAAGTGGGTGGAAGGGCGGTTCAGTACCAGGGAGATGTGTGCTGGCCTTTGGTGCAGGCCCCGCCCTTGGTGTTTTCCCTGAAGGAGCTTGCTCAGTCCTGTGCTCTGATTGGTGCGTCTGGATTTTTGGTTACAGTGACTTTTTTGAGAAGGTAGTTGGAGCTTATGGTTAAGTTTTTGCATTATACTTAGTGGCAGACACAATCTGGATATCATCTGAGTGAAATATGTGTTCTTAGGAGTGGAAGTAAGTGTGAGGAGTCAGTTTTGATGGGAAAGAAGACTCCCAAAAGATGAGGTGGGTCCTGGGTACTCCCAGGGTCCAGAAGCAGCAGCTTGGTGTGTCCTTTTATGTTTTCTTCACTGGAGGTTTTTATTTGATGTTTTTCAGTTAAAAAAAAAATCCATGCTTATTGTTACAAGTGAAAAGATACACAGACTTAGAAACAGTCCCTCCACCCTGCTGCCTCCTCACAGCCCATCCGCACCCCTCTGGAAGCGGGGCTGGTTCAGAGTTGCTTCCCACGTGCTGGCGGGGCTGCACCCACCGGGAGAGAGCTCGCTGCTCCGGAGCCATTCTCAGGCTTACACTGCCCCCTGCTTTCAGAAGTTGCAAAGGAGTGTTTAAAAAATTGGAGACAGAAAATGTTGACTGCTAGATTTATACATTGGAAAAGTACTAGTTTAAAATATCAGTAAACATTTGCATTCTGATTATTCATGTAGAATGGAAATGTTAGGAATCGAGTACAGGCCACTGAGTTGTCTGAGCTACCTTTTGGCGTCTGGCTGTTCATTTGCTTAGCAAAGCAGCCCCTCCTTTCTGACAGTTTGACACTGATGACCCATCCTCCATTGCTCGAATCTGCTCTGAAAACTCCCCTCTGTGGGAGGCTTCTTGTTGACACTCACTTTTGGGGAGTAAAGAAAGGTGGGTTTGGGTGATTGCAGGGAGCTGGGGACCCTCCCCTATGGGAGGCTGCGGCTGTGGAGCCCTGACCGCCCTGTAGCCAGCCTCTGCACCTGGGAGGATGGAGCTTTCAGGAGCCGTTCTTCTGTTTGTTGTTTTGATTTCTGAGAGATGGGGATCTGGGTTGCCTGTTAGGATTATTTACTCTGGTCTCTATGTGACTTTTTCCATGGACTTCTGAGGACTGGGGTCTCTGCAGTGCCTGGCTTTGTGAACGTCCGTTTTTGATGCAGGTGCAAATCATGCCTTCCTCACCCGCTCAGGACTGCGATCGTCAGGGCACAGGGCAGGCCTCCCAGCAGCACTCCCGTGTCCAGCGGGCTGGCAGGTGGCCGGGGTCCTTGGCTTCCTGGGCGTCCTGGCCACCGCAGGGAGGCTTGTTTTCTTTTGCTGGGCGTGAGGCTGGTCTCCCCCTCGTCAGCTGGTGGCGTGAGATGCCCTTACCTTGTGTTTTTGGATTCTTGTAGCCTCAGCTCGTTCTGGGTGGCGCTGCCCAGACGGCTTCACTTGGGACGGCGACGGCTGTTCAGACGGGGACTCCTCAGCGCACGGTACCAGGGGCGACCACCACTTCCTCAGCTGCCACGGTAAGAGCCACTCCTTTCCGTGCCTTCAAAGACGGTCAGGCCCGTGGCGCAGGTCAGAAAATGCAGCCTTGAGACCTCAGGCCGGCTTCTGTCCCAGACCGCTCACTGCTTGCTTCACAAAGCAGTGAACAGTCTGGGGCCCACGTGAGCACGTGGGGCTCTGCTGCTGTGCTGTGTGAGGTGGGCTCCGAGGGCCTTAGACCGCAGAAGTCTGCAAACAGCAAAAGCCCAAACACCTGCCTTTGAAAAAGTCACTGGTGCACTGTCGCGTTGTATGTAAAACAGCAGCGCCACCCGTTTGTACACACTCGTAGTGTCGGCCTGTATCGATACACATCTTTATTAAAACAGAAGAGTCACTGGTGAACTGTTGTGTTCAGTGTGTAAAACAGCAGCGCCACCCGTTTGTACACACAGTGTCGGCCTGTATCGATAGACATCTTTAAACAGTGGGCCCCACTTGACGCCTTTTTGGTGTTTCTTTGCTGCGTACTTTTCGTTGCTTTAGTGACCGCATCCTATTTGGTTCCTTCTGTGTCCGTTTGGATTGGCATAGGTTGTCCTTATGGTCAGCAACATTGTAGCAGGCATCTTCGCAGAGTCTCTTTTCACTTTTTTAATTATTTGCATAGCTGCATTCCTAGATGTGGCCTTGCGGGGCTGAGGGAGATGCTGACTTCGGTGGCCATGTGACTGATGTGGCTGGCCTGCCCCATGGCCCAGGGTTCCAAGAGGTGGTGCGTTTTCTTGAAAGAAGTTTAGAGAAGAAATATATGTATCTTTTGTACATATGCATATTTTAGTAACCAAAGGCTGTGACAAAAATCTGCCTTTTAAGATTTTTCACTTATATCTTTTTACTTTAATCCAGGAAACTATGGAAAACGTGAAGAAATGTAAAAATTTCCTATCTACGTTAATAAAACTGGCTTCATCTGGCAAGCAGTCTACAGAGACAGCAGCTAATGTGAAAGAGCTCGTGCAGAATTTACTGGTGAGAAACCTTGACTTTACATTCCCTTTCCCCTAAAGCCTGTTGCATAGGACAGACACCTGTTGCTGCTGTGACCTGTGCCCGGGAGGCCTGTGCCAGCAGGGAGAGCTCCTCTGGAAGGCTGCAGGCGAAGGGGAGGGGTGCACACGTGTCGAAGGCGTGTGTGGCCTAGCTAAGGAGACTCCTTCCTGGGGCTGGGTGTTCTGGGGCCGGCGCCTGGAGGTCTCCCGGGCTTTGCCGTTTTCTGGTGCCTGCGTCCCTTGTCTGTGGCTCTCTTCTCCTCTGGCTGCCCCAACCATGCTGCACTCTGGTCAGGGTCTCCAGCAACTCCCTTCTGGCCCTCTCCCCACTCCTGTGTGACCTCTTATAAAATTCCCAGGTGTCCGCAGTCCCGGCTGGAACAGGCATTCTGCACCCTGAGCCACCAGAAGCCCCCTCCCCATGGAGCAGACCAGCTGAGGCACATTCGCGCTCCAGTGGCAGAGCCGTCCCCCCCACCCCCACCCCTCCCGAAACCTCTGTCGCAGAGAACAGCACTCTGTCCCCTGGCCGGAAGGTGGGAGGGAGGATTCCTGGCAGCCTCCCCTCTCCTTAACCCACAGTCCCAAGCTCCAGATCTCCACTCATGGCCGAGCTCTCGGCTGTCCACCTTCCTCAGCCTCATGGCTGTCTCGTGGCTCAGGGCTGTGCTGGCGTCAGTGGGATGGCCTGGGGATCTGGAGTGGCTGGTCTTACCGTGCCTTCTCCTTGTCCGCCTGACCATGTCTTCCGGAGTCTCTTAGGGTTCAGTCCAGGCACCGCCTTCCCGCCTTGTCGCCTGTCTTCCCGACCTTTATTCCACACTGGCCTCTGTTTCTGAAACAGGATCTGGCCCTCTTGCTCTGGGCTCCCTTTTGTCTGACTGTAGACTCTGGGCACCCTGGCCGCTTGCAGGGGTGAGCACAGCTGTCATCTGCTCCTGAAGGCGCGGATGCCCTGACTGTGTGGATCCTGTCTGTGTGGCCCCTGGCACGCTGTGACCTCCTGCAGCACCGCACTTGCAGTGCTGGCTTTGATAATGGAGTTACTTTTAGGCTGATCTGCCTCCTAGCAAAATGCCTGACACCGAGTAGGTGCCTGGTAAGCACTGAGTAAAGACTGGCATTGAGTAAGAGACTTAGAAAAAGACGAGAAGTAGACAGGTGACCCTCCCAGGAGGAGACGTGGTCCGCAGCTGGCTGCACTGCAGTGTCCAGGGTGAGCGCCTGTCACACATGTACCTGTGAAAGGTGTAGCACGCAGACTTTCCCATCTCCTCTGTCCAGTGAAACTCGGGGCGGAATCAGCCGTAAAATACGAGACCAGAGTGATGCGGGATTCAGAAGTGTGTGTGGAATCTCATTCACCAGAATTTCAACATGGATTTTATTTTTAAGGATGGAAAAATAGAAGCAGAAGATTTCACAAGCAGGTTATACCGAGAACTTAATTCTTCACCTCAACCTTACCTTGTGCCTTTCCTGAAGGTAATTTCAAAGGCCCCGGTGCCTGCGAGCAGTAGGGCCAGGGAGGGGTGGGGCGCAGATGCACCAAGTGTGCAGGGCGAGGATGCTCCAGGCACGGAGGGTGCACAGCGCTTGTGCTGCCTACGGGGGTGGGGCCGGGGACTCAGTGCCTGGGGACAGAATGTTAGTTTTTTTTCTGTAAAGCAGGAGCTCCCCTGACACGGTGGCCTTGTGGTTCTGTCGTGCGCAAGGTGGTGAGAAGGGCGTGTGCTTCCTGAAAGTGAAGGGGACGGGGAATGGGGTAGCGTTTGCAAAACTGGATAGGACCAAGGGTTTCAACAGCGTCAGGCTGTCTCTGTTGGGTAATCATTGGTATCAGCACATTTTAAAAATCAATACGTATATTTGTACACATTTATGAGGTGTATGTGATGTTTTGTTACAGTCATAGATAGAATCAGGATATTTGGGGTCTGTCACCTTGAGTACTTATTTCCATGTGTTGGGAACATTCAGAATCTTCTCTTCCAGTGATGTTAACATATTTTAAAAAGTTTTTTAAAAATATGTCTCTTTTTGTTTGTTTTCTTGAACACATTTTGGACATTTGCTATCAGGAATAATCCCACTTAGTGGGAGGGCAGGATGGGGTCCTGGCCCTTGACATCCAGACATGCTGCCGTGAGGGCCAAGATCCATCTTACTTAGCTCAAAAGCTTTCTGTAAAAGTTGATATTTCTGAATTTTTAAGCAAGGAAAACCGACGCATGAGCAGCCGCCTGACCCCTCGTGTCTGTCTTTCCACCCAGAGGAGCTTACCCGCCTTGAGACAGCTGACCCCCGACTCCGCGGCCTTCATCCAGCAGAGCCAGCAGCAGCCGCCACCGCCCACCTCGCAGGCCACCACTGCGCTCACGGCCGTGGTGCTGAGTAGCTCGGTCCAGCGCACGGCCGGGAAGACGGCGGCCACCGTGACCAGTGCCCTCCAGCCCCCTGTGCTCAGCCTCACGCAGCCCACGCAGGTCGGCGTCGGCAAGCAGGGGCAACCCACACCGCTGGTATGGAAGGGGCGCCTGACTGGTCTGCACAGCCCACCGTGCCTCTGCTCCCGCCCGCTTCTTAGATAAATTGGCCACGGCTCAGAAACCTTTTCCAAGCATGCAGGAAGCCTCCTGCTAGAGGAAGCTTGGGTATTACCTTAAATAGTTAAAATAGAAACCAGAGGTTGAGGCCCTGGGATGTTGTATTTTGTC
Source organism: Homo sapiens (assembly GCF_000001405.40). Lineage (NCBI taxonomy): Eukaryota > Metazoa > Chordata > Mammalia > Primates > Hominidae > Homo > Homo sapiens. Next base: position 62,006,314 of record NC_000020.11, on the reverse strand, counting down.
TCAGTAAAATGAAATAGTTGAGTTGGCTTTGAACCACCGGCACGTCCCCGCCCTGCCTTGTCTGGGGATGTTACTGGTGTAAATGAATGCAGCGTGCTTTTAGAGGATCTTGTAGATAGATGTTCTCTTGGATTAGGAGCAGCGGTCCAAGCGTAAGACACGGGCACCTGCGTGGGACAGGTGGGCAGGAGACTGGAGGCAGGGTAGCAGCTCACAGCACAGGGTGGATTTAGGTGAGTCCCGGGAGGCGAAGCCGCGGCTGCTCATAGCGGTTCACTTATGTGCAGTTTGGATCTGGCTTTCTTGGTTTTATAGTCATGACGTTTGCTCTGCAGCTAGAGAAAGGATGTCTTTGCCAGAAGAATTACATTTTGAGCACATTCCCTTTCATGGGCAGAGGGATTCACCAAACGTAGAGGGGCAGTTTTAAAAAAATTTCAGAGGTGTTTTCTTCCTCTAAAGACAGCTTAAACAACAAAATGGTGCGGGCTCCCTCATCATGAGCTGGTATGTGTTGTGATGGTGTACACATCAGAACCAGCTGGGTGAGGAGTAGCCATTAGGGGGCTGGCTCTTGTGCTCTGTTCAAGTTGCATTTGTTTTTGTCTTGATAATAGCGAGGAGAACAGGGTGAAATGGCATGGAGGGAGGGTGTCCCTTATAAAGGCCAGGGAAGGGCTGAGCGCCTGTGTAAAGAGAGGGCTTCCTTGCCTGCCTTTTGACTCCAGAGGGAAAGAGATGTGCCGTGCCTCTTGCTTTAGTGTAAGGACAGAACTTCCCTGTTCACTAGTCAGTGGAGCTACTTTACCCAAAAAGGTGGGTTCTGTTTAAGCAGGCACAGCCTGTGGGCAATCATTTTCTTGCCAAGTTTTGACCTCTGGTGCTTAGTCACACACAAGCAGCATGGGTGTTTTTAGAATTAGGTGCTGTGTTTGGCAGCAGGATCACCTCTGCATTCTGCTTCCCTGGGCTCCTCCTGACCACGTGTGAGTCTGCAGAGCACAGCCAGTGGGATCCAGGGCATCCAATCCATTGCCTGCACCCTGAAGCCTGTGGAGGCAGAACCCAGGCTTCTCCCTGATTCGATGACAGGCTCCCTGCACCGCAGGGCCTGGCCCGGGCATTTGATGGCAGGTTCCCTGCGCCGCAGGGCCTGGCCTGAGCATTGCCTGAGCTGCCTGAGGCTCTTCCTGTCCAGTGTGGGTGTTCCTGTTTCGTTGGAGACATGTTTGCATTATAGGCCGCTTCCCCAGGTCCCCACACATGTTCTGCAGCATAGAGTTTACCTGCCAGGGCACCTTTGCAAAATGGTAGCGACTAAATTCTGAAGCACCTGGGCCCAGAGGTTTGAGGCCAGGCCTTATGGACTTGAGCATTGGCTTTTGACAAGGATGCCAGTGTCTCTAGGCCCCAGCATCCTGGGGACAGGGCCAGAGCATAGGCCATGGTCAGTGCTGCCAGGTTTTGGATCTCTGCCTTGTGCCGGAGGTGAGAGTGAGAGGCAGGATGACAGCAGAGCTGGGCAGACCCTGCCACGAGGGGCCCAGCAGGGGCTGGGCGGACAGAGCTGGCCATGCTGGGAGCAGTGGGTGGAGGCCCTTGAGGGCCAAGTTCAGGCAGGACTTAGGAACTCTAACCCCACTCCAGTAGAAAAGCCCTCAGCCGCCTTACAGAAAATTCAGAAAGGGAGCTGGGTTTGGTAGCTCATGCCTGTAATTCAGCACTTTGGGAGGTCAAAGTGGGAGGATCGCTTGAGCCTAGGAGTTCAAGACCAACCTGGCCAATGTGGTGAAACCCCATCTCTACAAAAAAAAAATTACAAAAATTAGCCAGACATGGTGGGTGCCTATGGTCCCAGGTGCTCGGGAAGCTGAGGTGTAAGATCACTTGAGCCCGGAAGGCAGAGGTTGCAGTGAACCGAGATCATGCCACTACACTCCAGCCTGGGCGACAGAGCGAGACTTGTCTCAAAAAAAAAAAAAAAAAGAAAAGAAAAGAAAAAAGAAAATTCAGATGAGATAGAACCACTTGACCTGTAGCCACCAGGCAACAATGTCACCTCTGCTAATATTTGGGGGGCAGTGGTCTGCTCCATCCTGGGTTGCTGAGGTCAGCAGGCATCAGTTTGCCACCCGCCCCCTCCAGGCCCTGACCAATGCCCAGGGGCAGCTTCTAGGCAGCAGATCTGCTCCCGCTTGCCCCTTCTGTGCTCACACGGGCACCCCTCGCCCACGTCCTGCCCTGGTCTGGCCGAGTCCATGGCCAGAGCATGGTCCTGCAGCCTGCTGGGGCTGAGCTGCACACGGGGTCTTCCTAGGACTTCTTACTGGGGGCGTGGGGTGCAAAGGAAGGGAAGGGAAGAACCTCCTGCTAGGGACTGAGTGGCCCCTGGCCCTCGGGGAGCATGCTCACCATTCTCTGCTGGCTCTGCCTCAGGTCATCCAGCAGCCTCCGAAGCCAGGAGCCCTGATCCGGCCCCCGCAGGTGACGTTGACGCAGACACCCATGGTCGCCCTGCGGCAGCCTCACAACCGGATCATGCTCACCACGCCTCAGCAGATCCAGCTGAACCCACTGCAGCCAGGTGAGGGCCTCGCGGGCCCCTGGCCGCTCAACACCAAGGGCTGCTCCCAGAGCCAGCTGCCATTGGGCTTTTATTTAATTGGGTAAAATGTACATTTACATAAAATTGGCCATTTTAAGTATCTAGTTCAGTGGCACTGATTTCATTTACTGTGTTGTGTAACCATCACCACTGTCAGTATGATTTTTAATTTTATGTATTTTCCATGGTTAGCTTCTTTATCTGTAATCATTCCTGCACTTTAAAAACCTTGATGAAATACAGGAAAATAAATGCTCGAGAGGTACAGCTTACACTTTGTACTGTAATTTAGAGTTATTAATATGAAGTTTTTGGAAACTTTCTTGTAGCTAATTAGGAGAGTGGTAGCTGTGCCCTTGAGCCTGTAAAGCACCAAAGCACATAGTTGATCTAATAAAAGCCTTGTGTGGTTTCCACTGTGTGTTTGTTTTGTAGTCCCTGTGGTGAAACCCGCCGTGTTACCTGGAACCAAAGCCCTTTCTGCTGTCTCGGCACAAGCAGCTGCTGCACAGAAAAATAAACTCAAGGAGCCTGGGGGAGGTTCGTTTCGGTAAGGAATGGGCCTGTGTACGTTGGAGAAGCGTGGCCAGAGCGGAGAAGAGTCCAGAGTCCGTGCTGCTCCATTCCCGCCCACGGGTCTTTCCCACGTGGCCCTGGCGGCCGGGGCTCCAAGGCTCCTGCTTCACGCTCACTTTGACCTCACGTTCACACAAGTGTGTTTTCCCATACAGTTGGCTCAAAGAGGTTTTGCTTCATACACATAGCCAGAAAGCGAATCAACTGATTATTTTTATATGAACTAATAGGAAATTCATTTTTTAGTATAACATCGTATTTTGAGTTCATTGCATTCCTAGTATAGAATGCTTCACTTTCCATGTATTCAACTTCAGAACCCTCAGAAATGCTGTACTGCTCCAGGCGTAGTGGCTCACGCTTACAGTGCCAGCACTACAGGAGGCTGAAGTGGGAGAATCGCTTGAGCCCGGGAGTTTGAGACCAGCCTGCACAACATAGTAAAACCTTACTCAACAACAACAAAAAATAAAAAATTAGCCAGGCTTGGTGGTGTGTGCCTGTGGGCCTAGCTACTTGGGAGGCTGAGGCAGGAGGATCACTTCTGCCCAGGAGTTCAGTGTTACAGTGAGCTATGGTTTTAGCAGTGTACGCCAGCGTCGGTGACAGAGTGAGGCCCTGTTTCTAGAAAAATAACTGCTGTGCTTTGCCTGGGCCTCCTGGAAAGCAGGTGGTCTGAGCATCACCTCAGTCAGGGAGGTGCTTATGGGACCTGAGCAGTGGGAGAGTCTTGGAGTGATCTCTGTTGTGATCAAGGGGCGGTGGAGTTGTGTGTATTTCAGGAAGTCTTACTGTGAATTTTCCCTTTCCCAGACACTTCATCCCTAAAGGCATCAGGCAGGGCATAGCAGGCCTGGGGAGTGGCTGTGGCCTGAGCCAGAGTCCCAGCCCAAGCAGGGAGAGGTGGCCAGCATGCCTGGGCCCAGCGTGACGCTGATACTTCAGTGAGAAGGGAGGGCACTTAGGGACATACACGGGTGAAAGAATTAATCAAGGCTGCAGGAAGCCTTGGTATTTTGCTGTCAAGGAGTCAGCGGCCTGGCAGAAGGGATAAAGGAGAGTGACCCCTGTGGGCTGGCTCAGGATTGGAATGCTGACGCAAACCCCTGGGTTTCAGTGTGTCGGCAGGCATGGATAACCATGGGTCTTGCCGTAAGTTTCTAGCTTTGTTCACCGCAGGGTCCTGGGAACAGTAACGCCCCAGTAACACTGAGCACACCTAGTGTTCAGATGTTGTCTTCTAAAAACCGTTTTCCACTAAAATGACAAGGACTCCTGAGAGAAAAGGCTGATTGCGGGACTGGGATAAGGAAATACAAGATGAGCGGAGACCGTCCTGTGTCAGAGAGCAGTGGACATGGGCATGACGTGGACGTGGATGTCAGCAGAGCAGCCTCCCTCCCATGGCCGGGTCCTTCAGCTGGAGCCCTAAGCTGTGCAGCCCAGCCACAGCCCGTGACCACCAGGGATGCCAAGACCCTGAGTGAGCACCTGGAGCCCATAGGAGGACTGGGCATGAGAACTGCTGTAGAGCTCTTCCCCGAGACACAACGACCCCAGGAGACGCCAGGCAGGCCCCCGGCCTCACGTTCAAAGCCCACTGCTGGAGGCGGCAAGTGGAGGCTGCGTGCATGTGGAATTCCCGGCAGGACTCTTAGCTCACATCTCCTCACGAGGGGGCCGAAGTCAGCCTGGAAGAGGACGTCCTGCACACAGCTGGCCTGTGCCTTCCAGGTGTCAGGGGCAGCCCAGGAGTCAGGAGAGGCTGAGGAACCTTCCAGCTTGAGGAGCCGGACAAGACGTGGCAGCTGGGATTGGGATGCAGACTGTCCTGCAGGGAGAGGCGCTGCTGGGACCGGGTCCTACGGGGGAGGGCCTGGGGAGGGGCCATTCATCATGGCCCGGTCTCAATGGCATCCTGCTTCTGGAGGGGATGCCCTTGTCTGTAGGAAACACGTGCAGAATGTTCCGGGTGGAGGAAAGTCAGGTTAGCAACTTTCAGGTGATTCAGGAAAAAATTGTGCGTACTCTTCTTCCAACTTCTGAGCCTTTAAAAAGAATTTAATGCTGCCTCTGGCTTTAAAAAGCTTTGCATAGATCAGACCCCCACAAGTCCCCGCGCTGCTCCCGGCTTTGCTTTCTCTGGACTTGAGTCCCCTGCGCATCTGTGTGTAGATGTTAACCCGGCGCCAACTCACAGCTCTCCTTCCGCAGAACAATCGAGCTTTCCAGGAAAGCAGCGAGGCACCCTCTCTGCTGTGGCAGATGCAGCAGGTGCAGGTGCGGGGAGGACAGAGGCCTGGCCTCCTCACGGCCCTGCCTTCCACGTGGGGTTTCCTGCCCTTACCACCCCAGCCCACCTCCCGATGAATTCCTTGTACAGTTAAAGTGATCTTCCCTTCTTTCCTCAAGGGACGATGATGACATTAATGATGTTGCATCGATGGCTGGAGTAAACTTGTCAGAAGAAAGTGCAAGAATATTAGCCACGAACTCTGAATTGGTGGGCACGCTAACGCGGTCCTGTAAAGATGAAACCTTCCTCCTCCAAGCGCCTTTGCAGAGAAGAATATTAGAAATAGGTACGTTGGTGTTTAATGACTGAGTTCTTATTAAACAGCTGCGCTGCTGGGGCATGGGAGCTTCAGGTGAGCACACCTGACACCTGGTCATGTGTTTTGTCTGAGTTTGTGATTTCCACATGGTTGCTGGTGGTGGTTCTTGGGTAAAATATGGGTACCACTGCCTTCCACCCCACCAGCCTTTCTGGGCTCCCCTTGGGTTGTATAAAAGCAGTAACTGCTGGATCAGAGATTAGCCGTAAAGAAAGAACTGTGCTTAATGATTTTAAAATACTGTTTTTCTTGCCTGACCTTTAGGTAAAAAACATGGTATAACGGAATTACATCCAGATGTAGTAAGTTATGTATCACATGCCACGCAACAAAGGCTACAGAATCTTGTAGAGAAAATATCAGAAACAGCTCAGCAGAAGAACTTTTCTTACAAGGTAACAGGCTGTTTGCCGAGGAGAGCGTCTTTATGTTGTTGGCCCCCACTCTCTGCTGGCTGGGAGCCTCCTCCCCACACCGAGGCAGAGGGCGGTGGGTCCCAAGTGCCTCCATGTTCCTTACGAACGTGTTTTGGATTTCTTATAGGACTAGATTTTGGAAAGATTTCTTTTTGAGGTAGGGTCTCACTCTGTTGCCCAGGCTGGAGTTCAGTGGCGCAGTCTTGGCTCACTGCAGCCTCCGCCTCGTGGGTTCAAGCGATTCTTGTGCCTTCGCCTCCCAAGTAGCTGGGATTACAGGCGCACACCACCGTGCCCAACTAATTTTTGTATTTTTAATAAAAGGGACAGGGACTCGCGATGTAGCCCAGGCTGGTCCTAAACTCCTTGCCTCAAGTGATCCTCCTGACTTGGCCTCCTTAAATGCTGGGATTACAGGCATGAGCCTCTATGCCTGGCGGGTTTACCTTTTGGAAGGCACCTGCCTCTCTCTCTGGGCCATGGGCTGAACTGGCAGACCCTGAGGTGCCGCAGCCCTATTCTCATGAAGCAGCTCTTCCAAGTAAAACGTGCCTTCCTCACCAGCAGTCACATATGAACACTCTTCCAAGGGCACACTGGGTGAGGTGGTGCCTGCTGCCACAGCCGGGAGGCAGTGCCTTCAGGGCAGCACTGAAATAAACACACTTAGCCCTTGCTGTAAAAGTAGTTCTGTGTTGCAGCAAAAAAGGTAAATGTTACTTTAAGAAATCTGACAGCATCAAAGTGTATAAAAGGGACACTCTCCCACAAGTGTGCCCCTGAGACAGCCAACACGAGACTTCGTTCTGTGGACGTGAGCATCGATAGAGCTCTCGGGCGCAGCATTTGCAGGGTGGGAGGGATCGGGTCCTCGCCGCATTCAGACTGGACGGAGGGAGGGCGTTGTGCACGGATGGTCCAGTGGTGCTAGACAACCCCTTTGCTTGCTGGGCTCTCAGATTTATGACAAGCAGTATTTTAACTTTCTTCATAGGATGACGACAGATATGAGCAGGCGAGTGACGTCCGGGCACAGCTCAAGTTTTTTGAACAGCTTGATCAAATCGAAAAGCAGAGGAAGGATGAGCAGGAGCGGGAGATCCTGATGAGGGCAGCAAAGGCGAGTGCTGGGTGTCTGCTGCTGCCGTCTGGGCACCTCCGTCTCAGCCACAACCTGATGAGCTCACTGAGACAGTGGGGTTTTGGGTGGTCAGAGCATGTTTTGGGCTGGCCTTGAAGCAAAGGTGATGGGTGCTGTCAGTGGAGCTGCAAAGAGAAGCCTCATTCATTTGGCACTAGCGTAGATGCTTGAAAAGCGGGGCTTCTTAAGATTCCCAGCACCTCACGCTCCACACAGTCACACCCAGGTGTGAAGCACATGTTCCTAGAGCCCCCTGTGTGCGCTGGACTGGACTCTTCACACTCACGTTGTCCTTGTTCTAGAACATTCACAGCCAGGCGAGGCACTGCTCATTAATAGAATCAGACAGGAGACCACAGTTCCCCAGGGACGGGGGTGGGTACTGTGGAGTGGGAGGAGCACTTGCTTTGATCACAGCCACAGGCTGTCCCGTCCCTGGTGTGTGGGACAGGACAGCAAGGAGCCTATGAGGCCCATTCTGCCTGCCATCATGCGGTCACATCAGGTCAAGTCAGAGCCTGCGATTGGTAGATGTGTTTCAAAGACTGTATCTTACATCCAAATGTTACTGACTTTTCTCAAGATTACTGGCTTTTTTCATGGTGTGTGATGTAAATTTTCATCTTTGGCTATAAGCATTTCACAAATTTGCTATGCATTCTTTAACATTACCTAGATGTTATTGTATAGTAAATAAGATAACACATTTGTTAAATGATAAACATTTAGTTCATAACTTACTTTTCTTTTCTGCCTCTTTCAAAAATAGTCTCGGTCAAGACAAGAAGATCCAGAACAGTTAAGGCTGAAACAGAAGGCAAAGGAGGTGAGCCCTGTTAGTCGTGAGTGCTCGTGGGCACTTTGCTGTGCACTGTAGCGCCCCACGGGAGGGGGGCTAAGGAAACCGTGGCACTTCTGTACGATAGGCATTTGCGTGTCTGTTTAAAATGTTTGCCAAGTTTAAATAAATACAACATCAGAGGTATTTTCCTGTGCAAACAGTTGGTGTCCTACTTTTAAATTCAACGGTGACTTCCCTTTGCGGGGGGCATTAGTCTCTGTGCTTTTGACTTGCGTATATTTTCTGAGAGTTTTAAGACAAACATCTGTTGCATTAAAAAAAATCTTATTTTTTGGATTATAGAATATGCTTACTATTGAGAAAGTCAAAACATTAAAGAAGTTATGATTTAGAAAACTACAGAAAACCCTTTCATATCTATGTATTACTTTTGTAGTAAGTAAAAAACATGCAAGAAATGATGCTCCTTGTCTCCTTTTCAAAATAAAAGATGCAGCAACAGGAACTGGCACAAATGAGACAGCGGGACGCCAACCTCACAGCACTAGCAGCGATCGGGCCCAGGAAAAAGAGGAAAGTGGACTGTCCGGGGCCGGGCTCAGGAGCAGAGGTACGGCAGTGTTGTGGGATCGAGGTCCTGGGGGAAACATGGGGAACATCTTAGAGCCACCCTCTTCTAGGGGACGGACACACATAGGGGAATTTGCTTTCTTACCATTTACATTTTGTCTCACCTTTTCTGGAGTATTTGTTTTACGTTTGACATTTTAAATCCAAATCAGCTTATTTGTGGCTATCACTTGAGCTGAAAGTCTTTTTCGTGAGGAAGTTTGATTACTGTGATGAGGTTTAGGCTGGATTTGAAAAGGATGTGGGGAAGTTATAACTGTCAGAAGAATGATCCGAATAGGGATCTTGCTGATTGTGCTTCCTGCACAGTGTCTGTGGGATAAGCTGCTGTAGGAGAATGGACAGTTCGTGGAATGAAGGGGAAGAATTGCTGCCCGCTGCTGTTTCTCCAAATTCCATTAGTTTCTCGTCTATGTTTGTGGTTGTATCTTTTAGTCTAATAATTATAAACCCAGCCTTGACATGTTATTTTTGCTTTCAACTGTCAGTTGTTTTTTTTTAAGTAAATTACAGGAAGAAAGAAAACGGTCTTTTATGTTTCCCTCCTTATTTGCCATCTCCGGTACTCTTCATTCCTTCCCGTGGGTCTGTTTCCGTCTGCCACCATTTCCTTTTGGCTTGAAGGAGAGCTGTTGGGATTTCTTGTGGTGCAGATCTACTGGTGATGGATTCTCTGGTTTTGTTTACTTGAAAAATTGTATTTCACCCTCATTCTCTTTTTTTTTTTTTTTTTTGAGACAGTCTTGCTCTGTCGCCAGGTGGGAGCGCAGTGGCGTGATGTTGGCTCACTGCAACCTCCGCCTGCCAGGTTCAAGCAGTTCTCCTGCCTCAGCCTCCCGAGTAGCTGGGACTATAGACGTGTGCCACCACGCCCTGCTAATTTCTGTATTTTTAGGAGAGACGGGGTTTCACCATGTTGGCCAGGATGGTCTCGATCTCTTGATCTCATGATCTGCCCACCTCGGCCTCCCAAAGTGCTGGGATTACAGGCATGAGCCACCACGCCTGGCCTTCACCCTCATTTTCAGAGGATATTTTTACTGGTTACAAAATTCTGGGCTGATTTTTTCTTTCTTGCGAAACTTTCAAGACCTTGTTCCACTGTCTTCTGATGTCCTGCTGTAATTTTTAATTTTTAATTTTTTTAGACGCAGGGTCTCACTGTGTCACCTAGGCTGGAGTGCAGTGGTACGATCATGGCTCACTGTAGCCTCGACATCCCCGGGCTCAGGTGATCCTCCTGCCTCAGCTTCCCGAGTAGCTGGGACTACAGGTGCGTGCCACCATGCCTGGCTAATTTTGTAGTTTCTTTTTTTTTCGTAGAGACAGGGTCTCACCATGTAGCATGGGCTGGTCCTGCTATAATTTTTAAGCTTGTTCCCTGTACGTGGTATGCTTCATGTCTCTGGCATGACTTTCAATCTTTGTTTTGAGATGTTCTTTATTTTTTAGAGGTTTGTCTGTGTTGTGTTTTGCTGTGGTTCTCTGGATATTCAGTTTAGAGGTTTGTCTGTGTTGTGTTTTGCTGTGGTTCTCAGGATATTCAGCCTGTTTCAGGTTCTCTGAACTTCACAGATCTGTAGGTCAGTGTCTTTCATCAAATTTGGAACATTTTGGCTAATACTTCTTCAAATTTTTTTTTTTTTTTTTTTTTTTTTTTGAGACGGAGTCTCGCTCTGTCGCCCAGGCCGGACTGCGGACTGCAGTGGCGCAATCTCGGCTCACTGCAAGCTCCGCTTCCCGGGTTCACGCCATTCTCCTGCCTCAGCCTCCCCAGTAGCTGGGACTACAGGCGCCCGCCACCGCGCCCGGCTAATTTTTTGTATTTTTAGTAGAGACGGGGTTTCACCTTGTTAGCCAGGATGGTCTCGATCTCCTGACCTCATGATCCACCCGCCTCGGCCTCCCAAAGTGCTGGGATTACAGGCGTGAGCCACCGCGCCCGGCTCAAATTTTTTTTTCCATTTCAATCTTACTTTCTTCTGCTGGGGCTCCAGTTACATGTATGTTAGACCTGTTGATGCTGCCCTGCAGGTCTTTGAGCCTGTGTTCCTGGACTTCAGTCTGTCTTCTCTTTGTTTTCCAGACTGGAAGATGTCTACTGATGTGTCTACGAGGTCCTTGGCAGATGGATTTCTGCCATCTCCAGTTGAAGTTTCCATTTTGTTAACTTATTTTGCAATTCTAAGATTTCCATCTAGTTCTTTTTTACAGTTTATATTTCCCCTAATTCTTTGAGCTTATTATTAAAGCTGTTTTATAAGGTTTTTGTCAAGTTCAACACCTGGGCCATCTCACATTCAGTTTCTCTCGACTGCTGTTTTCCTCGGCCTTGCACACTTTCTTGTCTCCTTGCATGTCTCATGCTTACCTGCCAAGAGACTGGACTCTGTGATCTCCCTTGAAGAGTTGATTCTTGCAGGCGGTTGAGTTACTGGCTGACCATCTTGAGTTTGTGTGGTTTTGTTTTTCATTTTGTCAGTAAGGATCTGGGGAAACCTCAAGGTGTTTCTCAAGCCCCTTTAACTTAGTGGGACTCAAGTTGCAAACTCTGTCTTTCCTGTCTGGGTTTGGCTTTAGGCTTTGCTAAGGTAGGTCTTACTCTAGGGTGTGATCCTTACGTACAAGGAAAGGTCTTGTTACTCGGGCAGGCTGGACTCCCATGCTTCTGGACTGCCCTCTACTCTGCCCGACCCCTGACTTCTCTGTTTCGCTCTCAGCCCCGTGGCAGCTGCTGTCTGATGCACATTGGCTGGTCTTGCACCGCTTCTTGGTATGCAGGTGCACTCTGGGACAGGGTCAGGGTAGTGACCTGATGAGGACAGAGCTCCCCCTCCCCACCAGGACTGTTGGAAATGTGTGGGTGGGATGTCCCAGACCTCCGTGCTGGGGCTCGCCTGCCCACATGCTAGCAGTGACCTCTGAGAAATGGCTGCCTGGTGTGGAGAGGAGGGACTCCAGGTGTAACAGACACTAGAGTTTTGGCAATATGGCATCCCAGAGGTTCAGAGAAATCCCTCCTGGGACAGTACAGGTTAAAATGTCTGGTACAATGTAGGAAGAAAATAAAGATCTTGTCTTTATAAATGCGTGTGTGAGATATAGATAAAATAGGGGGATTCTTCTCTGGGCCAGAAATAAGTAAGTAAGTACAGATTCCCAAGGCTAACACGGGCTCTGGCCACTGTGTGGCTGGGAGTCTTGGCCCGGGATGGGCCCCAGCAGGAACCTGCACTCACCTGGGCCTAGGCCTGAGTGCCCACTGGCTGTGAGGCCCGCAGCCCACGCTGAAAATGTAGTTGTATACCAAGAAAGAACTGAAATTCTGAACAACAACAACATATATCGAGAAGAGCACTTAGAGTTAAGGACTTACTTTTTTGTGGGGGAGGTGAAAGATATTGATTAGCCTTTTTTTTTTTTCCTGGATTTCTTTTATGGTTAACTGAATTCTCAAAGGCATAGATTTTGTAGCCCATCATCAGTTCGAGAACTAGAACGTTGTAATCCCAGCACTTTGGGAGGCCGAGGCGGGTGGATCATGAGGTCAGGAGTTCGAGACCAGCCTGGCCAAGATGGTGAAACCCTGTCTCTACTAAAAACACAAAATTTAGCCGGGCGTGGTGGTAGGCACCTGTATTTCCAGCTACTCGGGAGGCTGAGGCAGGAGAATCACTTGAACCCTGGAGGCGGAGGTTGCAGTGAGCTGAGATTGTGCCACTGCACTCTAGCCTGGGTGACAGAGCGAGACTCCATCTCAAAAACAAAAAACAAACAAAAAAACCAAACTAGAACATGCCAGTCACCTGGGAGATCCCCCACCCTTTTATGTGCCCCACCACATCACAGCTGCTTTTACCTCCCTCCAAAAGTAACTGCTGCCCTGACTTTATGGCAAAGCCAGGAAGAAACGCCAGGACCTGCCAGTCCCCAGTTGTGCAGCGAGACACTGGTTAGCCTTGCCGTCCTTTCCCATTAAACTTGACTTAAAAGGAAACCAGAATTTAACATTTTTAAAAATCTGTAGGGCCCTCCCACCCCTCCATCACTTTCTTTTTCTTACAACTTGTCGGTTGAAGGACCAGGTCGTTTGGCCTGGGGTGTGTCCTGCGTCAGGATTGCTGGCGGTGCCCTTGTGGTGCAGTTCTGCCTGTTCCTCCCTCCTCTGAACTTCCTGCGCGTTGGTGGCTGGACCCAGAGACTCCTCCAACTCTGGCTGCCTCCCTGCGGCAGGACGCTGGCTGCTCTTGTGTCCCCTCATTGCGAGGACACGGGTCTGGGCTGTGCGCCCCGGGGACGGTGGCTGGTCATGCTTCATGCCTAGGGCCACTAGTCCCTTGAGGTTGGAGATGGCGGTGCTCTTAGTCTGTGAGTTCCTTCTCACTTCCTCTTTGGGGTGTTCTTTTGGAGACTCTTCCTCCACTACTGTTTGGCCGCTTGGTGGGTCCAGCTCATAGAGGAGACGCAGGGTAAACGCGAGCATGTTTTCTTCCATATATCCAGGTGAAGATAATGGATCAACAGGTTGTCACCCTCAGAGGGTGACCAGTAGTTTTACGTTTTAGTGTGTTGTTTTTATTTTTTACCGTTGTGATCTCAAGGACTTGCACATAATCCATCTATTACAGTTCTCATTTTGGTTGCAGTTCAGACTGTGCCATCTTTGGCCAATGGAAGCATCTCCAGGTTGGTTCCTGAGTCACGCTGGGACGTGGGGCTGATGTCCTTGCCGTCTGGACGTTAACATGTGTCAGGCTCACCTTACACCTTTCCTGTTTCAGACCGAAAAAGTCATTTCTCCAAGAACTGGTTTCTTCTAGTGGGAAATGGCGTTTGAAGACCACTCGCTGGGACTAGGGATGTCATTGCTGCTGGGGTGGGTTGGCCTTTTCAGTGGACAGCACTGGGAAATGTGTGTAAAACATGGTCTCATGGGCTTATATGGGTATTTCCAATTCAGGTAGTTCAAATTCAGAGGTGTAGGAGTTACCATGTTCAAAATGACGTCTTTATCTTCACAGTAAGAATTCTGGCTCTTGGCTGCCCCAAGGGCTTGGGGGGTGGGGAATTGGAGGGGAGGGCAGGAGAAGGAGAGATTAAAATAAAAGGATCCTGGTTATGGACATAGGAGATAATAGAATTAAAATATCTCCTACCTTTGGACATAGCCTGAGAATAAGAATATGGGCACTCCTGCCGAGGGTGGTGAAAACAGCCGAAAGTTGTTCATGTGCTTTCTCCCTTGGCCCCGTTTTGTATTTTGTGCTGTATTTATGTTGTCGAAACATTTAGCTGTTACACACCATAAGCTCTCCCTTTCGCCCTCTTTGAGTTTTAGTGCCATAAATAATGACATGTTTAATGCCGTGACTCGTCTTTATGTTGTGTCTCTGTAGTCATTTTGATTTTTCCAAATCTCATTCTCTGCTAGATTCTTTTGGAACGCTTCATGGGAGCAGCCACTCCCAAGTTCCCACCTGCTGATGAGTTTGTGCCCTTTGTACCTGAAGGTCTGTTTTTTGGCTCACGTTGTATTTACTGAAGTGTCTTAAGGATGTTACTCTGGATTATTTCCTCCCTAAAGTGTTACTGTCCAAATCTAATGAGAGCCTCATTTTACCTCCTGTAGGCCACGTGTTTTTCTTCCCTGGGTGTCCTTTTTCTCGGAAGCCGGCTCATCCCACTGGAGTGCGTGCTGGGCTTGGTTGTGCTGGGGTGGTGTTCTCAGTACTGGCTGTGTTCTTTCAGTGCGGTTCAAGTCTCCTTAGGAACATCTGCAATAATGATCCTTTGTGTTTGTTCTGTTCTTTTGTTTCTTTCTTCAGAGAGTCCCATTTTCCACGTGTTGTATCTTCTTTGCCTGCTGGAGCACTTTTTACAGTCTCTTAATTTTTAAAATCTCTCTCTCTCTTTTTTTTTGTTTTTTGGTTTTTTAGAGACAGGGTCTCTCTCACCCATGCTGGAGTGCAGTGGTGTGATCACAGCTCACTGCAGCCTCGACCTCCAGGGTTCAAGCAGTCCTCCCACATTGGCCTCCCTAAATGCTGCTGAGCCACTTGTGTCCAGCCTAATTTCTCTCTCTCTTTTTTTTTAATTTTTATTTTTTGAGACAGAGTCTCCCTCTGTCACCCAGGCTGGAGTGCAGTGGCTCTATCTCGGTGTGATCTCAGCTCATGGCAACCTCTGCCTCCTGGTTTTCTTCTGCCTCAGCCTCCTGAGTAGCTGGGATTACAGGTGTGCACCACCACACCCAGCTAATTTTTTTGTATTTTTAGTAGAGACAGGGTTTCACCATGTTGGCCAGGCTGGTCTCAAACTCCAGACCTCAAGTGATTTGCCCGTCTCAGCCTCCCAAAGTGCTGGGATTACAGGTGTGAGCCATTGTGCCTGGCCTAATTTTTCTCTTTTTTAAAAAATTATCTTTTTTGTCCTTTTTGGCTTCCATTTCTCTTAAGGCGTGATTTGCTGTTTACCTGCTGTTTTGAGTATGTGTTTCTGAGGTCTTCTGTGGTCTGTAGGGATGCTCTTCTGCTTTTTATCCTCTTTTTCTCTCATGGGAGCCTGTCTGGGATTTGACCTGAATGTCTTTCTGTTGCTAATTTCGACGTGAGTTTAGGTTTCTCGAACTTGTAACAGGACACGTGGTTTGCAGCGTTTGCTGACTTTGTGGTGCTCCTCTGTGGTTACTTTCCCGTGATGTTAAGAACGGGAGTCCTCAGCGTCTGTGGCTCCGGGGCTCTGTGCACCTCCCAAGCATCTGGACTTTGCTTTGCCTTCCTTGTCCCTGTCCTGCTCAGTACTGATTCACTCCCAGCAGGTTCTCTCCTGCGTGAGGCCCTGTGCTGCAGGAGCCCTGGCAGGTCAGTGTGGGCATTTGCGGTGGCCAGGCTGCCCTCCCTGGTCCTCCCCTGCCCCAGGTTTGACTGCGGCTCTTGGAGGGACCTGCTGCTCTTCCCAGGAAGTCTGCTGGCTCCTGGGTCCAGGCCCGTCGGGGTCCAGTTCTGCAGCGTCCTTCAGGTGATGGCTGCTTGTGGTTCATCTTCATCAGTTTTGTTCTAAAGATTGTCCGCTGGCTTTTGGTTTTGCTGTGTCGTTGCTCTTTTATGTGGAACTTTGGGAAGATCCAGAAACTATGCTACCCCTGTCATCGTCTTCCAGAATACATTAACTTTGAAAATTACTTATTTTAGTTTGAAGTAGTTTTCAAATCTACAGAAAAGTTGCAAGAACAGAGTAAGGAGCTCCGTGCAGACTCCGGTGTATGAGCATCACGCTGTCTGCTTCGTCCCCGCTACACCACATGTGTTTGCGTGCACTCCTGTACTTTTTCAATATGTACACTTTAATCCTTGTTCTGACACGATACCCAGCACCCTAAATGCTCGTGCGGCTGATACCTTAGGTGGCTACTAGGCAGCCCTCCTGGTCAGGTGCTTAGCACTGATGCTACCACCCCCAGCATAGCACTTGCTGTGGGCTGTGTTTCTCCACAGCGTCGTGGCCGATTCCCATGGCCGTGTTAGCATTTCACACGTTCCCACCTCACACAGATGCCCCACCCTTATCGCACCTCCACCCACAGCCTCAATGTTATTAACCGCCTGCCTGTGTCGCCACCCCTGGGGCTGCTCAGTCGTGGGGATGCTTCAGGCACCCCTTCTGTTACTGCTGGTTGCCCTCTGCTGGGAAGCAGAGCTTCGCCCCTCCTCGTTGGTTTATTCGTTCGCTCATGGATTCGTTCACTCACTGCAGTGCTGTGGATGCCAGGGTCCCTCATTCACTCACTCACTGCAGTGCTGTGGGTGCCGGGATCCCTCATTCACTCACTCACTGCAGTGCTGTGGGTGCCGGGATCCCTCATTCACTCACTCACTGCAGTGCTGTGGGTGCCGGGATCCCTCATTCACTCACTCACTGCAGTGCTGTGGGTGCCGGGATCCCTCATTCACTCACTCACTGCAGTGCTGTGGGTGCCGGGATCCCTCATTCACTCACTCACTGCAGTGCTGTGGGTGCCGGGATCCCTCATTCACTCACTCACTGCAGTGCTGTGGGTGCCGGGACCCCTGTTGTGTTTGGTGGGCTCTGATCAGCACTCTCATTATTTCTAGGCTTGCTTGGTGGGAGCTTCTTGTGGCTGGAGTCTGTATCCTTTGACACTTCCCTCGTCTGTGGCATTCCTTATTGCCACGTGCACTTTCCCTGCCCACTCTGCAGCTTCCCCTGGTTCCTCTAGTAGAGTCTGGTGTTGAGAGGCCAGGATCGGGGCACTTGGTGTGCTGATTGCTGGGGCCCCTGCTCCCAGGCCGTGCCAGCAGCCAGAGCTCGGGACCCAAATGCATGTAGGGGAGTGTGTGGTGTGCGCCCTTCCATGTCGAAGGGGTCCTGTGTGTTCGTGTTGAGACTACGGTCCTTGCCTAGCACGCCAGGGCTTCCGTTTAGCCGCCCCCATCCTTGTCTATTGGTCCCTTCTCAGACAGTGAGGAACCTGGTTCCCATCATTCAGTGTATTTGTTTTTTTCTTCCGTGTAACCAGCTTCCCAACCATTTTACCTGCTGGGGTCGCGGCGCCAGGAGGGAGGATTGGATGGGAAAGGCACATTGATGAACTTTGGATGTGAGTGTTAACGTGTGTGGAGTAGCCTCTAGGGAAGAGTAAGGGAGCTCGTGCGTCCTCACTCATGAGAAGGGCCGGGGTGTGGGGCTGGGAGGTACGTGGAGTATCGAGAACGCCGGACCTGGAGGACCCAGGTGAGGCACTGCCGAGTGGGTGAAGATTGGCGCCGGCGTCTGTTTGGGGAGCAGTTGTTTCGCAGTTGTTTCGCTTGCCTTTTGTGAACTTTGGGGATCTTTGTGTGTTATCTGTGTAACAATTCACACAAAACCCAGAAAGTAAAAGTCCTTCAGACACCTTTCTTCATCAAAGATGATGCTCAGTCATTCTTTTCTTCTTGTAGGATACCTCTTAAGGGTAAGTCTTCTTTTTTTAACTTTTACTTTTGAATTCTATACTTACAGGAAAGTTACAGAAATAGTACAGAGAGTTTCCATCTACCCCTCACCCAGTTTAGCCTCATGTTAAACGTGGGTATGATACTGTTCATTGAAGACCTTATTTGATTTTTTCCCTTAATTTAACTTTAAATAAATTAATAAACTATTTTTTAGAGCAGTTTTAGGTTCACGGAAAAAGGAGGGGACTTTTTTAGTACAGAGACTTCCCATACCCTCCTCCCTGCAGGTGCACAGCCTCCCCCGCTTGGCCGGGTGGTGCGTTTGTTAGAATCCATGAACCCACGTCAACACGTCCTTCTCACCCAGCTTCCATAGTTCCCATCAGGGTGCACTCTTGGTGTGTACATTCTGTGGGTTTTGACAGCTGTAGAATGACGTGTTTCCACCAGTACCGTATCATGTGGAGTCGTTCCACAGCCCTGAATTCCTCTGTGCTCTGCCCGTTCATCCCTCCCCTCCTGTCAGTCCCTGGTCCACGGATCTTATTGTCTCCTAGTTTCGCCTTTTCCAGAATATCATGTGGTTGAAATTATGCAGCCTTCTCAAACTGGCTTCTCTCATTTAGGAATATCCACCTGAGGTTCCTCCGTGTTTTTTCATGGCTTGATGGCTCATTTCTTTTCAGCACTGAGCACTATTCCAGTGTGTGGCTGTGCCACAGTTTATTTTATCCACTCACCTACTGAAGCACATCGTGGCTGCTTGCAAGTTTTGGCAATTATGAAGAAAGCTGGTATAAACATCTGTGCGCAGGATTTCGTGTGGACATAAATTTTCAGCCCCTTTGGGTAAATACCAAGGAGCACGATTGCTGGACCGTGTGGTAAGAGCACGTTTAGTTTTGTAAGAAACCGCCAGACTGTCTTCCAGCAGCCGCGCCATGTTGCCTTCCCAGCAGCCACGGCTGAGGGTCCTGTTTCTTCACATCCTCGCCAGCGTTCGGTGCTGTCCGTGTTCTGGGTTTTGGCCGCTCTAGTAGGTGTGTGCATCTTGTTTTAATTTGCATCTCCCTGGTGACGGAGGATGCGGAGCAGCTTATTGTTGATATTGTTGAGTTTCAGGAGTTCTTGGTATATTTTGGATAATAGTCCATTATCAGATGTGTCTTTTGCAAATATTTTCTCCTTATTCGATTCTTACCAGTGTCCTCGACGTCCTTTCCTGCCCCGGGACCCTCGCGGCTCCTCGGCTCCTTGGTCTCCTCTGCTTGGTGGTAGCTGCTCAGTCTTTCCTGGTCTTTGATGGCCTTGACGTGCTGGAGAGCTCTGGTCCTTGTCTGGTGGACGTTTCCTTAGTTTGCGTTTGTCTGGTGTCTCCTCGTGATGACGTCCAGGCTGTAGAATCTCAGTTAGAATGCCGCGGGCCGGCTGGCGTGTCCTCAGAGCACTGGATTGGGAGGCAGGTGGTGTCGCCTGGCTGTTGCTGCTGCTGCTGCTGACTTTGAAGCTTGGTTAAGGTGGGGTTGGCTGGTTACTCCATTGTCGAGTTACTCTTTTTCTCTGTGTAATTAGTAGGTATCTCAAGGAGACACTTGGAGGCTGCTGATACCATTTCTTATCAGGCCTTTGGCCCCTGCGTGGGCATTCGCAAGGACGCTGCCAGTGGAGGCTGCTGTGGCGTCTGATGCTGACTTTCTATTTCTGTCTTTCTGTTTACATTTATTAATTGGAATTCTGTAAAGAGAGCTGCCCCGTCTCCCTTATTTTTCCCACTTGTTAATTCATTCAGTTACTTACTTATATTAGCATGGATATTTATTTTTTTCTGTAGGTAACAAGCTGCTGCTACAGTTTATTTATTTTGTTGCTTGAGCAGCCCGGCTCTGGCCATCATGAGCTCCTTCAGGTTAGTTCCATGTCCTTGTGACACGACAAGAGGATTTGGTGACTTTATGACACCACAGAATGTTCCAGCACATCTTCTGTTTTCCATGATTTCTTGGAGGGGCATTGCTTCCTTTGACTGGGGATGGTGTTTCCTTTGATGGGGGATGGTGTTTCCTTTGGTTGGGAATGGTGTTTCCTTTGATTGGGGATGGTGTTTCCTTTGATTGGGGATGGTGTTTCCTTTGATTGGGGATGGTGTTTCCTTTGGTTGGGGATGGTGTTTCCTTTGATTGGGGATGGTGTTTCCTTTGATTGGGGATGGTGTTTCCTTTGATTGGGGATGGTGTTTCCTTTGATGGGGGATGGTGTTTCCTTTGATGGGGGATGGTGTTTCCTTTGATGGGGGATGGTGTTTCCTTTGGTTGGGGATGGTGTTTCCTTTGGTTGGGGATGGTGTTTCCTTTGATTGGGGATGGTGTTTCCTTTGATGGGGGATGGTGTTTCCTTTGATGGGGGATGGTGTTTCCTTTGATGGGGGATGGTGTTTCCTTTGATTGGGGATGGTGTTTCCTTTGGTTGGGGATGGTGTTTCCTTTGATGGGGGATGGTGTTTCCTTTGATTGGGGATGGTGTTTCCTTTGATGGGGGATGGTGTTTCCTTTGATGGGGGATGGTGTTTCCTTTGGTTGGGGATGGTATTTCCTTTGATTGGGGATGGTGCTTCCTTTGGTCGGGGATGGTGGTTCCTTTGGTCGGGGATGGTGCTTCCTTTGGTCGGGGATGGTGGTTCCTTTGGTCGGGGATGGTGTTTAGAACCATACTCTGGGCAGCAGGTGTGCTCATTGCTCCTGGGGTGTCCCTGCATCCAGGCCTTCCAGGTGGACTGGGGCATGTGCACACACACAAACACTCGTCTGCACCTGCACCTGTGCTGAACACAGCGGCCTTCTCACTTCTCCTCAGGCCTCAGGATCTAGTCTGACGTCACAGGCTCATTCTAGCTTCCCTCGTGCCTTACATGGGAACCTGGTTCTCATCCCCCACAGTAGATGTACTTCTGTGTTCAGTTCCAACATACAGATAAAGGACCTTCGGGATTGCCAGGCAGTGTGAGAAACAAACGTGCTAACTACCTGGAGTGTAGCATTTCTGTGCGGCCCTTTTATTTAACCTCACAGGTCAAAATAGTACATTTCAAATTTACATAGATGAGTATTGTTCTTGTTTATCCTTTCATTTTTACTTTTTATGTTTAAATTTTTATTATTTGTTTTTAGAGATGGAGTCTTGCTCTGTGTCCTGGGCTGGCCTGAGGCTCCTAGACTCCAGCAATCCTCCTGCCTCAGCCCCCACCAGGAGTTGGGACTGCAGGCACACACAACCAGGCCTGGCTTCCTGCCCACCCTTCAGTGTGGCCGTCATTCACCTGCAGCACAGCTCGGGTTTAGTCCCTCAGTGTGGCCGTCACTCACCTGCAGGACAGCTCGGGTTTAGTGGTTACTGTTTGTGTTCCTGTTGGTTTCCTCCAAATCTTGGTTGATTTTTTGTTTGTGAGAGGTGGAGCGTTGCCATGGTCCGGAGAGTCAGAACTGTACAAAAACGTATAGAAAGAAGTGCCCCTTGGAGTGGTGTCCTGCCACACCCTCCACCCATCCTCCCACCCCCTGCCCCGTCCTCCTGCTGCGCCCTCCCTCCCCCCACCACATCCGTCCTCCCCCTTCCGCCCCCTCCCACCCCCGCCACCCCTGCCCTCCTCCCACCTTGCTCGCCCTCCTCCTGCTGCACCCTCCCTAGTCCTGCTGCACCTTCCCTCCTCCTGCCCTGTCCCCGTCCCTCCATTTTTGCATCCCGTTTCTACTCACCATGCAAACAGATGAGCTCCTGCATCTTTTTCCTTCCCTGGCAGTGCAGCACAGGTCAGTGACAGTCTCTCGCTCTCTGCAGCTGACAGAGTTCCCGGGCACTGCCCTCGTGTCACTGCATCAGGAGCTTCCTCTTTCCCAGCTGGGTGCTGATGTCCCGGGCACTGCCCTCGTGTCACTGCATCAGGAGCTTCCTCTTTCCCAGCTGGGTGGCACTTCATCGTGCTGATGTCCCGGGCACTGCCCTCGTGTCACTGCATCAGGAGCTTCCTCTTTCCCAGCTGGGTGGCACTTCATCCTGCTGATGTCCCGTAGCTTTTCACCCTCTCTCGTGTGCACATCTGGGCTGTCGACACGGTGACAGGTGATGCCATCAAGAGTCGCCTTGTACGTGTGTCTTCGTGCTGTTGGAGGCCTGCTGTTGGGGCTGAGTTCCGAGAGATGGGATTGCTGAATTGAGGGGTTGGTGCGTGTGCACTTGTGTTAGGTTTTGCCAAGTCCCCCTGTTGCGTGTGAGAGAGGCAGCTCTTTCCCCAGCCTCACACGTGTCCCACGTGTGTTGTCATAGTTCTTGTGTTTGCTGGTCTGGGTGGTGCAGTCAGCGTCTGTGGGTGTGCTGTGGGTGCGTAGGGCTGAGGCACGTGATGAGCGGGTGGACATCCCCGAGCCGCTCCTCAGTGATGAGGTCGCTCAGTCTTCCGGCTGCTGGCTTAGTTTTGTCCACTTGACCTGTTCTGCGGCAGGCATGCTGTTCCATGACTGCTGCTAGCATGTTTCTGTCTCGTCGCATCTCCTGCGTTTTTATTGGTAGGGGCTGCTGTGTTGTTTGGTGCATAAATATCCACGTGTCATATCTTCATTGGCAGCTGTGACTTTTTGCATTAGAAAGTATCTGTCTTTGTCACACGTCAGACCGTCACCCTGGGTGTCTTTCTTGTCCCCCAGCCTACAATCCCTGAGATCCTTACTTTTCACCTTCTGAATCACTTTGTTTTCCGTGTCTCTCTGTAGCATATGGTTTGGTCTCAGTTTATGAGCTGAATTGAAAATCTTTCTCTTTTAATAGGTGAGTTAAGCCCATTTACCTTTATTGATAGGACTGACATGTTTTGTCTTGACTCTATCATAATATTTTATAATTATGTAAATTTTTATCTATCTTTTGAGACATGGTTTCACTGTCACCCAGGCTGGAGTTTGGTGGCGTGATCATAGCTCACTGCAACTTTGACTTTCTGGGCTTAAGAAGGATCCTCCTGCCTCAGCCGCCCCAGTAGCCTGGGACTACAGGCACACAGCACCGCATCTGACTAATTTTTAAAATATTTTGTAGGAATGGGGTCTCGTTATGTTGCCCAGGCTGGTCTTAAACTCCCAGCCTCAGGGAATCCTCCTGCCTTGGCCTCCCTTTTCAAAGCATTGAGATTACAGGTGTGAGTTGCCGTACCTGGCCTGAATTTTAAATATTTGCTGTGTTTCTTTTTCTGTGAGATGTTTATTCTTTGCTCTTTTAATTGATTTTTTTTTTTTTTTTGTATTTAGGAAGGTTTGTATCTGTGTCTTCCTGGTTACTTTTGTACTTAAACTAGTGACGACGCCCTGGTCTCCTGTCTCACAGGACTGTTCACGCTGCAGTCGAGCAGTTTGCACGGGCCTGGCAGCTCCACTGTTGGCCATCGGCGTCTGTGAGCCCTAGTGGCTTCTTCCTCTGCCTTTTGGTGACAGGACCTCCACAGGGGAGGCACACTCTGGTCCTCAGCCTCCCTCTCCCGCCTCCGCCTCACTCAGAGCCTGAGGATGTCTCTTCCCTGCAGTTTCCCGCCCAATAGAGGAGGCTCTTCCTCCCATTCCTGAGGCTGTTTCTGGGCCCTGACCGGAGGCGGCTTGGCTGGCTCAGAAGTCTTTTCTGTTCTTGCCTTGTGGGGGACGGGTGGGGAGGGGGGTGCAGGCTGGGAGGAGCCATGGAGGCTGATTCCTTCCCCTTCATGGGTTCTCTTCTCTTCCTCCCCGGCAGCCCTGCCGTCGGCTCTGAGAGCCCGTAGTGTATGAGGTTGCATCTCAGAGTCCCGCCGCCCACTGGGCCCTCGCAGTGCATTGGGTTTGGTGTCTCCTCTCGGGTGGGGTGTGGGTTTGGTGTCTCCTCTCAGGTGGGGTGTGGGTTTGGTGTCTCCTCTCGGGTGGGTGTGGGTTTGGTGTCTCCTCTCGGGTGGGTGTGGGTTTGGTGTCTCCTCTCGGGTGGGGTGTGGGTTTGGTGTCTCCTCTCGGGTGGGGTGTGGGTTTGTTGTCTCCTCTCGGGTGGATGTGGGTTTGGTGTTTCTTCTCAGGTGGGTGTGGGTTTTGGTGTCTCCTCTTGGGTGGGGTGTGGGTTTGGTGTTTCCTCTTGGGTGGGTGTGGGTTTTGGTGTCTCCTCTTGGGTGGGTGTAGGTTGTGTGGGTTTTGGTGTCTCTTCCGGGTGGGTATGGGTTTGGTGTCTCCTCTAGGGTGGGTGTGGGTTTGGTGTTTCCTCGGATGGGGTGTGGGTTTTGGTGTCTCCTCTCTGGTGGGGTGTGGGTTTGGTGTTTCCTCTCAGGTAGGTGTGGGTTTGGTGTTTCCTCTCAGTGGGTGTGGGTTTGGTGTCTCCTCTCGGGTGGGGTGTGGGTTTGGTGTCTCCTCTCGGGTGGGGTGTGAGTTTGGTGTCTCTTCTAGGGTGGGTATGGGTTTGATGTCTCCTCTCCGGTGGGTGTGTGTTGTGTGGGTTTGGTGTCTCCTCTCGGGTGGGGTGTGGGTTTGGTGTCTCCTCTTGGGTGGGGTGTGGGTTTGATGTCTCCTCTCGGGTGGGGTGTGAGTTTGGTGTCTCCTCTCGGGTGGGTGTGGGTTTGATGTCTCCTCTCCGGTGGGTGTGGGTTGTGTGGGTTTGGTGTCTCCTATCGGGTGGGGTGTGGGTTTGATGTCTCCTCTCGGGTGGGGTGTGAGTTTGGTGTCTCCTCTCGGGTGGGTGTGGGTTTGATGTCTCCTCTCCGGTGGGTGTGGGTTGTGTGGGTTTGGTGTCTCCTCTCGGGTGGGTGTGGGTTTGGTGTCTCCTCTCGGGTGGGGTGTGGTTTGCTGTCTTTTGTGAACGTCTCCTGGGTCATGGTGTGAATGTCCCACTCTGCCTGAGGGGGAGATTCGCCCAGCTCTCATTTGCCCTGTTTTCTCCTGACCCTTTTCCTCCTTTCTGTGTCTCGATTCTGTCCTCTTGGCTTCCTGCCTTTCGTAGGTTCCTTACTGCATTTTCACCGCCTCCCCTCCCTCAGACTGTTTGCAGTTTATTCATTTCTGAGATAATTTTGTCTCTTCCTTCCATTACTTTCTTAAGTCCAGTCAACTCTTATTTCCTTTTGGTGTTGCATTTGTAATTTTATGGTTTTTATAAAAATTTGTCTCCTAGTTTTTGAGGTTCTGATTTGAGGTGATGATTTTCATATCCTTAAGTGCACACTTAAGCAGATTTTCCTGTATTGAGAGTGTTGTTAATTTTCTTGTTGTTCCAGGGTAGGTTTTTCTCTGATGTGTGTGGAGCCCCCATTTTTTGACTCTTCTCTGACTTTCCCGTGGCTCTGGGTGGCTTTACCGCCTCTGTCCCTTTGCCCTGGTGGCCTTGGGGTATTTGCCACATCTGTGGTTTCCTGGTGCCGTCTGCTGGCCACATGGGGAAGTCCAGGTCTTGAGCGGGTCCTTGCTGGTGTGCAGGACGGAAGTTGTCCTCCAGTTCTCCCGGCCCTTTCCTGCAGGACCCAGAACTTCCCCCTTTCCTTCTTTTCTGCCTCACCACCCAGTGGCCAAAGGGCTCCTCTCAGGACATGCTGTGTTGCCTTGACAACCCCTTCCCGTCTTGTGCTCAGTGGTCCCTGCCCTGTGGTCTGCACTGACCTTCCTGGACACCTCTCAGGCCCTGGGACTTGGGGTGGCTTAGCCTTTCAGCAGTGGCTTCCCACAGACCCCTGTCCCACCCCGCCCCACCGCGGCCTTGCAGGGGAGAGACTGGGGGGTCAGGCTCAGGCGTGTGTTGACTCTGCGCCGACTTGCAGTGATTTTGAAGTCTAGGCGCCCTCGTCCAGTGCAGACGGCGATGCTGGTGTAAACCTGCGTTCCTTGCTTGTGCTGAACTGTGTTTGGAAGAGAGGCTGGGAGACATCAGCTCGGCAGCCACGTTGTCTTCGGCCTCCCGGAAGTGATGCTAACTTTCTAAGCTGTGTGTCTGAGTGTTTTTCGCTACTACTGCTGTTCTTCAAAACGTGCTGCCAGTGACCTGGCCTTGTGTGTGTGACACCCCGTAAATGGTTAGGCACGGAGAGGGCACGTACGCGTTCGGGGCGGAGGTGGCTGGAGTGTGTGCGGCATAGGCTATTGTTACCCGCCGCCCGGGGCGGCTGTGGGCACAGCATTCTCCACCCATTGCTCGGCTGGGGCTCCGTGGCGGAGTAAAGGACGGACCAAGGGGCTCCCGCCCCGGGAGCAGACGCGCTCCTCCCGGACAGCCCCCAGGTGCTGACCGTGTGGGGCCTGACGTTTGGGTGGCGCAGACCCTGCACCGGGCGGTTCCGCGGACGGCGACTCTGCATTTGGCTTCGATACTGAGTGTCTATGGCACATATGCGGTGGAGAGACCTCCTCCTTTCATTTGATCCTTTTGAGAGCCCTGTGATGGGGCGAGGGCTGTCTGCAGCGCCATGCGTCAGAGGTGGGGACCTGCAAAGGGAGGGCTCACGTGGTATGTCCAGGGCCGCGGGGATTTTGCTTCGCTTGCTTGTTTTCTAATCCCAGCACCTGTACCTAACAAACCCCAAGCCCCTGTGTTTGGAGTTGTTTAGGCCGAGGCCCCCAGGGCTCCATGTTGGTGCCGGCCCTTGTGGAGCTGTCTGTCGTCCCAGGCTCTGTTTTGCGCCATTGCGCCTGCACATGCCGCAGTCCCTCTGGAGTGGCCGTCGCGCCTGCACGGGCCGCAGTCCCTCTGGAGTGGCCACGGCGCCTGCACGGGCCGCAGTCCCTCTGGAGTGGCCACGGCGCCTGCACATGCCGCAGTCCCTCTGGAGTGGCCACGGCGCCTGCACATGCCGCAGTACCTCTGGAGTGGCCACCGCGCCTGCACGGGCCACAGTCCCTCTGGAGTGGCCATCGCGCCTGCACGGGCCGCAGTCCCTCTGGAGTGGCCATGGCGCCTGCACGGGCCGCAGTCCCTCTGGAGTGGCCATGGCGCCTGCACATGCCACAGTCCCTCTAGAGGCCGTCGCGCCTGCATGGGCCGCAGTCCCTCTGGAGTGGCCATGGCGCCTGCACGGGCCGCAGTCCCTCTGGAGTGGCCATGGCGCCTGCACGGGCCGCAGTCCCTCTGGAGTGGCCATGGCGCCTGCACGGGCCGCAGTCCCTCTGGAGTGGCCATTGCGCCTGCACGGGCCGCAGTCCCTCTAGAGTGGCCATGGGTGCCTTGACCCTGGTCCCCACAGGCCCTTCTTTCTCAGGAGTCCCATGGAGCTGGAAGCCCCCACTAAGCACTCTTCTCCAAGCAGGCTCCATGACCAGTCCCTGCCTGACCCCTCTGGCTGCTACGCCCACCATGGGCACAGCCCGTGAGGGGTTTGGATGAATCTAGGGAGGAAAGCCACTGCCACTGCCGTGTGGGTTGGGCACAGAAGGCCTTGGTCCGCTGGCAGCCCCAGTCCTGAGAAGAGAGGGGGAGGTTCCTACGAGATCTCCACTCCATCTTCAGAGCAGTTTAGCAACAAACTCTCTGCGGGAGCCAAAATCCACATAGAATTCTGCAAGCAAAGACCCTATGGGAAAGACAGGGAGTCTGGACCCCTCCTGCCTGGGGCGAAGTGGGCTGGGGAGAAGCGGGAGTGTGCCATGTAGAGAAAGGCAATTGGAGTATCAGGTAGGTTAGATTTGCGTTTTTCTTTTAAGATTTAAGAAAAATTTGAAGAAAAATTTGTATTGATAAAACTCACAGAATCTGGAGAAGTTATATTGTTCATTCATAGTGCACCTTCAGAGCTTGGTGCAGAAGCAGGGCCTGGCATCAGTTTCTCAGCGTGCTGGGCCCTGGGGGTGGCCTCAGCCCCAAGGAGGCACCGTCTGGCCTTGGTTGGTCTCGCCCCCTCCCTTGGTTGGTCTCGCCCCCGGCCTTGGTTGGTCTCGCCCCCGGCCTTGGTTGGTCTCGCCCTCGGCCTTGGTTCGTCTTGCCCCCGGCCTTGGTTGGTCTCGCCCCCTCCTTTGGTTGGTCTCGCCCCCGGCCTTGGTTGGTCTCACCCCCTCCTTTGGTTGGTCTCGCCCCCGGCCTTGGTTGGTCTCGCGCCCTCCCTTGGTTGGTGTCGCGCCCTCCCTTGGTTGGTGTCGCGCCCTCCCTTGGTTGGTGTCGCGCCCTCCCTTGGTTGGTCTCGCCCCCTCCCTTGGTTGGTGTCGCGCCCTCCCTTGGTTGGTGTCGCGCCCTCCCTTGGTTGGTGTCGCGCCCTCCCTTGGTTGGTGTCGCGCCCTCCCTTGGTTGGTGTCGCGCCCTCCCTTGGTTGGTGTCGCGCCCTCCCTTGGTTGGTGTCGCGCCCTCCCTTGGTGTCGCGCCCTCCCTTGGTTGGTCTCGCGCCCTCCCTTGGTTGGTCTCGCGCCCTCCCTTGGTTGGTCTCGCGCCCTCCCTTGGTTGGTCTCGCGCCCTCCCTTGGTTGGTCTCGCGCCCTCCCTTGGTTGGTCTCGCGCCCTCCCTTGGTTGGTCTCGCGCCCTCCCTTGGTTGGTCTCGCGCCCTCCCTTGGTTGGTGTCGCGCCCTCCCTTGGTTGGTCTCGTGCCCTCCCTTGGTTGGTGCTGACACTTGCGTTAGAATATCTTGATTTCTTACCCTCGGCAGCCTTTAAATTGAGCACCTGAGATGAGCGTCTCTCCTTCACCCCGGTCCTCTTTTTTAGCTGCTGAACTATTTTGAAGATAGAAACATCAAACACAGTCCGGAATTTATAGCAGGTGTCACTGGGTCACACAGCCTGTTTGGGTGGTGCCTGTGAGAGCCCTGCCCTCACCCTGCAAACTGTCACTCACCTCGCCTGAGTTCTCTTTTGGGAGGCCTGGCCCTCAGGTGCGGATCACTTTATAATGAGCTAGTGTGGAGTGCGGAGGCTTCAGTAGCAAAGGGACCCCGGGCAGGTCTGAAGAAGGGCCCTCACAGCGCAGGGCGTCTGAACGGAGACAGGTGCCCTCATCTGTTTGAATCTCACAGGAATAAAGAAAATGCAGTGGGTCAGAGACACACTTGCATGCCATCACACAAGGCAGCCATGCTCCCAGCCTGAACTGAAAGTGGCAGAACGGGGAAGGGGGGAGGAAGGACGGCATGAGGGGCGGGGCCATGTCAGGGCTGTTCACAGCAAGGCTCCCACTGGCACACACAGCAGAATCCGCTCCTTCCAGCATCTTAACTTTGGTTGAGAATGTGCTGTAAAGATGCCATCGTAATCTTTGTACTTAAATATATGTGAGCAGCTTTCACCATCGGAGCAGAACTTAGTTTTCATGCCAGCTGGGGGAAATGACAGCTGTTGGGAGTTGTGTGGCACGTGCCCCGCTGGGCGGTGTCGTGTGTGTGTGGTGCGCGCCCCGCTGGGCGGTGTTGTGTGTGTGTGGCGCGCGCCCCGCTGGGCGGTGTCGTGTGTGTGGCTCGTGCCCCGCTGGGCGGTGTCGTGTGTGTGGCGCGTGCCCCGCTGGGCGGTGTCGTGTGTGTGGCGCGTGCCCCGCTGGGCGGTGTCGTGTGTGTGGCGTGTGCCCCGCTGGGCGGTGTCGTGTGTGTGGCGCGTGCCCTGCTGGGCGGTGTCATGCAGGTGTCATCAGCTGAAACCGCCAGAGCTCTCCACAGGAGCTGGCACGCAGCAGCTATG
The DNA here is from genome assembly GCF_000001405.40 of Homo sapiens. NCBI lineage: Eukaryota > Metazoa > Chordata > Mammalia > Primates > Hominidae > Homo > Homo sapiens. Next base: position 61,976,956 of record NC_000020.11, on the reverse strand, counting down.
CTTCTCCAAGCAGGAACACATCTGAGGCAGCTCGGGAGACACCTGGTCACCTGTAGGGGCTGACGGAGGCGGCGTCTGTGCAGCCAGGGCCCAGCCAGAGGCTCAGGGATCACTGTGGGAGCCACTGAGAAACCCAGCCTTCCCAGCTGACCCAGCATGCCCAGTCCCAGCCAACCCCAGGCCTCCCAGTGCAGGAATTCAGCAGCCAAGCGGGGATGACACACACAGACCTAGTGTGGCTTTTGTGCCCCAGCTGAGTCCACAGGCAGTCCAGCTGTGGTCACATGGAGGGTGGCCCTGGGGCCGCTCAGCCATTTGCCTTGGGTGGGTGCCACCCCCTAGTCCATCCTCAGCCCCAGGACCAGGTCCAAGCACTGTGGGGCATTGGGCAGCATCTGAGTGTGCCCTGTCCTGAAGGTGCAGCATGGGGCCTCCTGCCCTTGCCCCTGCCCTGGCAGGGCCCTGGACAGCACCCCAGCTCCAGCTGTGGGCCTACCGGAAGGAGCCCGTGCCAGGCCTGGCCTCCTCTGGAATCGGGGTACTTGGCTCAGATACACAGGCTCATTGCAAGCCCCACTCTGAGCCCCACTAACACACTGTCTTCTCCTTTTTCATCACCAGGGGTCGGGCCCCGGCTCAGTGGTCCCAGGCAGCTCGGGTGTCGGAACCCCCAGACAGTTCACGCGACAAAGAATCACGCGGGTCAACCTCAGGGACCTCATATTTTGTTTAGAAAATGAACGTGAGACAAGCCATTCACTGCTGCTCTACAAAGCATTCCTTAAGTGACACAGGAGGACGCCTGGGGACTTTTTATATATTTGCAGATTACGCCTTTTTGTAACGAGCAAATGGGATATTGTTTAAAAAACAGCCACCTCTTTACAATGGAACAGTTTTATATTCCTGTTTCTAAATCAGCTCTTCAGTGTGAAAGAAAACACGTTTCTGTAACAGAGAGAACACAAAGGCCTGTGGATACTCTTAAAGGACAATTAAATCTTAACTCATCTTGATTGAGTGGCCTTCCTGCCAAACAAGCCATATATAAAGACTGATGGAATCGTTAGCAAATAATTAGCTGCCCTCTGTCAACTCATAGCAGTTTCTGCATTATTTGTGCATTTTGGTTTAGTTCTACCTAACTTACTATGTAGGTGTATGTCTACAGCCGATGACCTCATTTCGTTTATTTTATTTTTGTAATAGTCAGTTGGCAAAGCAAACTGATTTTTTAGACTATTTATCTTCCTTCCCTTCCCCTCCCACCCCGCTCTCCTCTCTGCCCCCTGCCCTCCCCTCCCCTCCCTTCCCCTCCACTCCGCTGAGAATCCTGGAGGAATACACAATTCATCGTTGCACCCCCACCTCAGAGTGTAATCGCATTTCTGCTTGGTAGAGGCCGAGCCCAGCAAAGGTGGCTCCTTCTGAATGTGTGGTCAGCATCTGTACAAATGCATTTTATTTGCTATAGTTTGTAAAGCTGTAAAGTTAAAAGAGATGAAAACCTTTTCAGCATAAATATATTTTACTTGCACTGTGTTTTTTAGCTAAAAGTGAAAACCTAGATTAAATAAAATCAAAGTTGAGAAGAATCATCAAAAGACTGTTTCTCGGTGTGAATCAAGTGTTGAAAAATGGTTGGTGTATTTTGTCAGTAATTGTACATAACTTTTGGCACATGACATAGAAATGGCTATGTAAACTATAATTATTTTGCTAAGAGACTGTATGCAAGCCTTGGGCCGACTTTACAGACGTCCAGAGCAAAGCCCCTTCTTTGTACCTATTTTTTTATTACAAATATACTAATTGGTTCTTTCTATTTTCAGAGGTTATTGTATGAAATTGTCTATTGATAGTACTTTTATGACTGTAAATACTCTGGCTTTCTCCGTGTGAATTCTCACATTAGACTTTAATTCGAGCGCGTGTGAACTGAACGCTGATCAGTATTTTTTATCAACACCTGAGAACTGTTACACCTTTTATTTTGTCTTTTAGGAAATCCCTGTCTTTCCATTTTTTCATGTAAATTTTGCACAGTTACTTGTTCATATGTAAATATTTTACTTTCAGAAATGAAGTTTTTAATTGCTATTGTTTTATATAGGATTGAAAGAAAATTAACTCCTTTATTAAAAACAAATTTATCTGTATTTGTTTTGCCTATTTTTCCTCCGTTTTCCAGTTTTAGATTCTACTGCCAGATTGCACTCCGGCTCTGCTGAGGTGCTGGTTTCTGAGCCACCTGTTGGAATCTGTAGCTGAGCCCCATCAGAGCCGGGAGAAAGAACTTTCTCTGTGAGGACAGGGGCCGAGCTACTCTCTGCGTGGAGTCTGGGGGCTGGCGGCTGCGCTTAACACCTTCTGCTGTCACAGGTGGAGATGAGCTGGGCACAGCTAGGAGGGGCGGCGGGAGGCCCAGTGCTGGGGGAGATGTACACAGAAACGCACGTGGCGAGCCCGGCTGAGGTGCCCAGAGGGCCCCAGCCTTGACGCAGACCTCCTGTGGCGAGAGAGGGCGTCTCCAGGGCAGTTTGTGGTATTGGTTGGTCCTGACAGGTCACAGCTCCTGCTGGGCCCTCAGAGGCTCAGCGCCAATGTGTACCGCTCCCTGCCTTCGAGCACCTTGGAGAGCCTTTGGGAACGGTCTCTGATGCAATTGGAGTTGGTCTCCCATTGTGACGTTCACTCCACCTACTGTGACGGACCCACAGCGATATGCAGGTTTACGTACACGTTCTGCTGGAGACACTGCCCCTGTTCCCACACCTGTTGCACTGCCCCACTGGGGCTGCCATCACAAAGGACCACAGATCGTCCCACCGCTCTGGGGGCCACGGTTGGAGATCAAGATGCCAGCAGGGTGGGTTTCTCCCCAGGCTCTGGGGAAGGGTCTGCTCTCCCAGCTTCTGGCAGCTGCTGGCACCTTTGGGTTCCTTGGCTTAGACACAGCGCCCGATCTCTGCCTCTGCCTTTCCACAGCTTCTCCCTTGTGTATGTCGGTCTCTGGGTCCAGCTTCCCCTCTCTGTAAGGACCCCCAGTCCTGTTGGATCAGGTCCCGCCCAAACGACCTCATTCTGACTGGATTATCTCTGTAAAGACCCTAACTCCAGATAGAGTCACATTCTGAGGACCGGGGGTAAAGAGTCCTCCGTATCTTTTTTAGGGAGGAAACAATTCACCCTGGATACGTGGCCACACTGAGAGTCTCGGCAGGAAGCACTGGGGGGCGCCCTCTCCAGCTTCCCGCTCTAGGCCGTGCCAGGGTCGTTCACTGATGGGATCACATCTGTGCTTTCCATCCATGACCCATACCTGCCTTTCACAAAGTTCTTGACCTGAAATAAATTAGTTTAATCAGGTACAAAGGGCAGTTGCACTTGAATTTCTGCAAGTATGATTGATTTCATTCCAGCTCTTCTGCTCTTCTGTCGGGTCCAGTCAGTCTGTGTGGGACGGTCATGGTGACTTGAGGCTTAGGCCAACATGAGAGAGATTCCCCTCAGCCGGGCACTGCCAGAAGACCGGGTCTGCAGGCATGTTTGTTGTACTCTGTTCTTGAGACCCGTAGCTGCTGTTTCGCATCTCATCACAGATTTGCTGGCTGCCCTCAGTCTGATCTGGGTGTTTGCCCAGGCCTGGGGCACGAGCAGCCTCGTGAACATGACTGGGACGGCCACTCTTGCTGCCTCTGCTCCCCACGTACAGGCAGCTCCAGTTGGGCAAAAAAGGCAAGAAAAAGAGGCATCAAGTATGGAGAGGAAGAAGGTGAACAAAGGATTCAGAGGTGACACGACTGTGTGTCTTGGAAATCCAGACGAACTTACAAACACAACACTGAGCACGGCGCGTGAACTCCCAAAGAGGGCCAGAGGCGAGGCCGGTAGCTGGAGGTGTCTGTAGTTCCGTGTACTCGCAACCAACAACCAGAAGGTTAAAAACATGCCGTCAACAATAGCACGGAGAACACACGCCCAGGAATACACCGAATGAAAGATGTATGAGATCTTACACTGGAACTGAGAAATCAAAGCCCTCAGCGGAGGCCGACACCACAGTGCTAGTAGGGAAGACTCTGTGTTGCTGAAGACAGCAAGTCTGTCAGGACTGAGAAACAGATGCAATGCCAGCTCAACCAAATCCCAGCAGGATTTTCCTAGAAACTGACAATCTGATTCCATAAATGTATATAGAAATGCAGAGGACTTAAATAGCCAAGACAGCCTAGGACAGAATGGAGCACTTGACCCTCCCACATTTCAAGACTTCCCCTGAAGTGACAGCAATCAGGATGTCGTGCCGTCGGAGCAAAGACAGGCGTGGCTGAAGGCCCTGGTGCAGTTCTGTGCCCTGTGGGGGAAACGTGATCTTGGAGTCCATCTTCACACTGTACGTAACCATCAACTTGAGGTGGATCAGAGATCTGGAAAGCGTCAGAGGTCTTCATGACTGGGAGTGGGCAAGGATTTCTAAGCACATAGAAGGCACACATCCTGAAGAAGAATGCATAAATTGGGCCTCAGCTACAGCCTTTTGCTCATCAAGATGCCCTTGGAGGTTGGTCAGCGTTTAGTTCAAGGTCAGAGTGGAACCTTTGCTTTTTGGCAGTCATGTTGTGGTCCGAGGCACGGGACGCACAGATTTTCTTTAGACTGGCTTCTTCGCCACACTTACACGGGACGCAGAGGAGATTTTCTATAGACTGGCTTATTCACCACACTTACGAATGCCACAATCTATCATTTAGATTTCATGAACACAGTGGGAAAAAAGTGTCTATTCAATTTTTATGAAATACATTGTTTCTGAAAAAGTTTAGATACTAATCTCTATTTTTTTCTTTATAGTTTTGCTATGTTACTGAGGAAAAATGGAATGTAAATTTCTCTTTAGAATGTTAAAAAAAGGTATATAAAGTAAAAAGGCAAGCCACAGACTTGGAGAAATATTTGCAATATTTATACATGACACAGGAATAAAGAATTCCACTACTTAGTAATAAAAAGATAACACAATAACAAATGTGCGAGACACTTGAACAGGTGCTTTAGAAAAGATACACAAGTGGCGAATAAGCAACTGAAAAGGTGCCCACCGTTACTGGTCATTAGAGAAATGCAAATGGACACCACAGCGAGGCTCCACTGTGTGCCCACCCTCAGGGCTTGAATCTGAAAGACTCTCATCCAGTGGTGGCATGTTGTGTGACACAGGAAGCTGAACGCACGTCTGCCCGGTGTGTGACGCAGTGATGAAGCTGAATGCCCGTCTACCCAGTGTTGAATGCACGTCTACCCGGTGTGTGATGCAGTGATGAAGCTGAATGCACGTCTACCCAGTGTTGAATGCACGTCTGCCCGGTGTGTGATGCAGTGATGAAGCTGAATGCACGTCTACCCAGTGTTGAATGCACGTCTACCCGGTGTGTGACGCAGTGATGAAGCTGAATGCACGTCTACCCAGTGTTGAATGCACGTCTGCCCGGTGTGTGACGCAGTGATGAAGCTGAATGCACGTCTACCCAGTGTTGAATGCACGTCTGCCCGGTGTGTGACGCAGTGATGAAGCTGAATGCCCGTCTACCCAGTGTTGAATGCACGTCTGCCCGGTGTGTGATGCAGTGATGAAGCTGAATGCACGTCTACCCAGTGTTGAATGCACGTCTGCCCGGTGTGTGACGCAGTGATGAAGCTGAATGCACGTCTACCCAGTGTTGAATGCACGTCTACCCGGTGTGTGATGCAGTGATGAAGCTGAATGCACGTCTACCCAGTGTTGAATGCACGTCTACCCGGTGTGTGATGCAGTGATGAAGCTGAATGCACGTCTACCCAGTGTTGAACGCACGTCTGCCCGGTGTGTGATGCAGTGATGAAGCTGAATGCCCGTCTACCCAGTGTTGAATGCACGTCTACCCGGTGTGTGATGCAGTGATGAAGCTGAATGCACGTCTAACCGGTGTTGAATGCACGTCTGCCCGGTGTGTGACGCAGTGATGAAGCTGAATGCCCGTCTAACCGGTGTTGAATGCACGTCTGCCCGGTGTGTGACGCAGTGATGAAGCTGAATGCCCGTCTACCCAGTGTTGAACGCACGTCTGCCCGGTGTGTGATGCAGTGATGAAGCTGAATGCCCGTCTACCCAGTGTTGAACGCACGTCTGCCTGGTGTGTGATGCAGTGATGAAGCTGAATGCCCGTCTACCCAGTGTTGAACGCACGTCTGCCCGGTGTGTGATGCAGTGATGAAGCTGAATGCCCGTCTACCCAGTGTTGAATGCATGTCTACCCGGTGTGTGATGATGCAGTGATGAAGCTGAATGGGCATCTCTTCAGTGTGTGACACAGCGACGAAGCCGAATGCACATCTATCCTGTGACCAGCAGTTCCAGTCCTAAGCATCTACTTGAGAATGAGTTCCTTTGTCCGCGGAAAAGTCATACAAGAATGTTCACAATGGCCGTATTGATGCTCAAGATGGAAGCAGCCCAAATGCCCTTCAGCAGGTGAATGGAGAGTCAAACAGATGCATATTTAGTCAGTGAAACGCCCCCCAGGAATAAAAAGGAACGAACTACTGATATGCTCCACCAGGTAGCTGAATCTCAGAGGAGCTACGCTGACTGGAAGAGGCCGGACACAGAAGCCTATGCATTCTGATTCCGCCTGATGGAAGTTCATGGGTGGGTAGAAGCAGGGTGTGGGGCTCCGGTGAGGAGACTGTCGGGAAGGGGCGCCAGGGCCCTCTGGGGTGATGAAAATGTTCTGTTTTGATCATCATGGGTGTCACACAGGCGCGTGCCAATGTGAAACACTAAGCTGACAGGTAATATCTGTGCATTTGAGCCAGTGTAAGGGCACCTCAGTTAAGCAACCGGGAAAGGCTTGGGCCCCACCCAGGTGGGTCACCTGGCCCCGCACTAGGGATCTGACACCAAAGGACTCGTGGCATGTAATGGCCCCGATGGTGGGCCGAGTGCCCCGACGGGGGGCCGAGTGTTCCGACGGGGGGCCGAGTGCCCCGACGGGGGGGCGAGTGCTCCGACGGGGGGCCGAGTGCCCCGATGAGGGGGCCGAGTGTTCCGATGGGGGGCCGAGTGTTCCGATGGGGGGCCGAGTGCCCCGATGGGGGGGCCGAGTGTTCCAATGGGGGGCCGAGTGCTCCGATGGGGGGCCGAGTGCCTGAGAAGTTGTCATCGTTTTTCCAGTGCTGCTCTGACTACAAATCTGGTGGTTCTCCACAGTCAGTTGCTGGCGTTTTCCCTTCTATCAGACGGTGGCCTCCAAATGTAATTAAAAAAAATCTTTTTAATACTAGGTCTACAAATCAAGTGTAATTTTATCTAAAAAAGAAAAAGTCTGGGTGGATGTGGTGGCTCATGAGGCCTGTAATTCCCAGCATTTTGGGAGGCCGAGGCGGGCGGATCACCTGAGGTCAGGAGCTCGAGACCATCCTGGCCAACGTGGTGAAACCCCATCTCTACAAAAATAGAATTATCTGAGCGTGGTGGTGTGCTCCAGTAGTCCCAGCTCCTCGGGAGGCTGAGGCAGGAGAGTCGCTTGAACCCAAGAGGCAGAGGTTGCAGTGAGCCAATGTCATGCCACTGCACTACAGCCTGAGGACAGAGCAAGACTGTCTCAAAAAAAAAAAGGAAAAGGTCCCCTGAGCCTTCACCTGGCCCTGGCCTCAGGGCACTATTCACCCGGGGCTGCCACTGAGGCAGTGGCATCTGTGCTGCTCTAGGCTTTCATTGGTCTGAGCAGCTTTGGGGACCCATCGGGGCCTCCTGTGTCCTCAGTGCCATACAGACAGCAAGTGCTCAACCAGTGCCTGATCTCACGATGGTGGTTATGCGATTCGAAAGACCCCAGTCCCTATGCAGCCTTCCGAAGCCCCCTCCCTGGCGGCGCTGGCTATGCCCAGCAGAGCGTTGACACAAAGCTGGGCTGGGCATAGTCCCTGTGATGCTGAGCTCACCAGGAAGGTCGAACGGGAGCTTCCTAGAGCACCTTCAAGACTTGCTTGGAAGACAGATCACACTCCTTGTTAGAAACGCAGCTAGCTGCTTGTCAGGCTGTTCACTCCTAACTGCTAGAATTTGTTTGAGAAGGATGGGCATGCGTATATCTGTCTGCTAGAATTTGTTTGAGAAGGATGGGCATGCGTATATCTGTCTGCTAGAATTTCTGTTTGAGAAGGATGGGCATGCGTATATCTGTCTTTTCTCAATGTTCTTACTCAGCAAGTGCTGTGAGCGCCTCTCAGGCATGGGAGCCCTTCCAGGGGCTGCAGGGGCCGGACCCTGGGGAGCCTCCTGGCTGGCGAAGGGGCTGGGTAGAGGCTTGAGGTGGAAAAGGCTGGGGCTGGGGAAGGGCGCAGGTGGACAGGAGAGCTCTCAGGTGTGAGCAGAAGAGAGGCGGCTTCTCTCTGGGTGCATCTGAGGAGGATGTTGAGAATCATGTTTCCTGAGCTTATTTAGAAATTAAAAACGCAACAAAATACCAGGAACACACTCGTGAGGATGGGACCAGGACGAGTGTCGGGAGGGCACGGAACTCCTGGAGGTGCTGGGGTGTGGACTGTGGTTCACACCCTTCTGGCAGTTTCTTAAGGGGTTAAACATGCGTCTCTCACCGCTGCTTCTGGAGAAATGAACACAGGTGTCCAGCAAAGCCTTGTACAAGGTTCACAGCAGCTTTATTTTACCCCGCAGTGGAACGCTTGCGACAGCAGGAGCCCGCTGCTTCCACTTGTGGGAGATGCTGGGCAGCGCAGTGATGGGAGTGAGGAAAGGCCCTTGGGCACCTTTGTCGATGGGGTGGGAGAGGCCTGCCAAGGGCGTGAAGAAACTTGGGTGATGGAGAATTATCTTGACTGTGATGGTTTCACAGGTGTGCAAAGTGTCGAAACTTTCCGCATTGCACACTATAAATATATGCAGGTTACCATACGTCAATCAGGTCTATCTCAATAACGCTGCAAAAATAAATGAATGAAAAATAAAAAAGCTGCGTTCGTGTGTGGAGACAGGAACATGGGAGGTGCCAAATGGAAGAAGCAGAGGTGCGGGTGGGGAAGAGGTGAGGGTGGGGCACTGGGGAGGGGGAAGGAAGGTGCAGGGAAGGGGAAGGAGGGTTCAGGGAGTGGGGAGGGGGTTACAGGGAGGAGGGATGGGTGAAGGGGGAGGGGAGCAGGGGGTGCAGGGAGGAGGGGAAAAGGCAGCAAGGGGAGGGGGAAAAGGGAGGGGAGGGGGGAAGGGAGGACGGGGGAAAGGAGGAGAGGGGGAAAGGGAGGGGGGAACGGAGGGGAGGTGGGGAAAGGGAGGAGGGGGTAAAAAAAGGGGAGGAAGGAAGGGAGGGGAAGGGGGAAGGGAGGGGAGGTGGGAAGGGGTGCAGGGAGGTGGCAGGTTTGATGGTGCTGAGGGGCGGGGTGGGGGGCACTGCTCCTGACCCTGGTCCAGGTCCAGCACTGTCTGCTGATGCTGGAGGTGGGGTGGGAGGTCCGAGGTGGGAGGAGGGAGGAGGTCTGGTCCTGGTGGAGGGACCTTTCCATCTCTAGGCTGCAGGGGTGGTGGGGAGGGAGGGACGTACAATATTGTTTCGCCAACAAGCGTCCAAGGAGCTGGAGCTTGCTGGGCTGCCAGAGTCCCCTGAATGTGGCCCAGTTCTCTAGCAGGGCCTTCCACTCTGTGCTGCTCTTCCCCTATGTCCTCTCAAATGCCACCAGCTCCAGGAAGCCCTCCGCCTCCGTCCTGAGCACTCATCCCCTCACCAGCAGCCCTCTGGGTCACTTCAGACTTCACTTCTTGGCCACACTGGAGCCCTGGTGGTCCCTGGGCCGCCTCAGAAGCTTATGAGAAATGCCACGTGATGACTGAGGGGGCCCCGTGTCTCCCGGCACAGCGCCTTGCACGGGCACATGGGGCCAGCAGGCCCCACCCATCCTACCCGCTCGGGGTGGACCCAGGGGGGTGGGTCATGTGGCCTGGCTTGTCTTGGTCACTGACACAAGCTGAGGGATGGCCGTGACCTCAGCCTGGCCAGTCCTGTCTCACCCAGACATGTTACAGGAACTCCCAGAAGGACACTTCATGTTTGGGGGCTGGCAGGACGTCAGCTCAGTTGTCCAAGGACTGCCACCGTGGCCACTGCGGGGCAGAGTGTGGCTGAGACCAACACAGAGGCCGAATGAAGAGCCAGCCTTGATGGCATCCCGGAGCGCCTGGATCCAGCCGTGCCTGAGGACTGGCGCCTGGATCCAGCCGTGCCTGAAGACTGGCACTGGGTCTGTTTTCATGGTTGGGGGCAGGTGGCTATAAGAATGCCACACACCAATTCCAGGCTGCGGTGGACCCAGCCAGCCACGAGAACGAGCTCCCAGGAGCTGAGGATGGAGGGGGAGCCCGACATTGCAAGCCAGGCCCTGGAAAGCCAACTGCCCAGTCCTCGCTGCTGCCCTGCCAGGGCCCCTCCCCGCCCTTCCCCTCCCAGGGTAGATTGAGGGGAAAAGAAGCGTGGGCCCCAACCCTGGTGGTGCCGAGAACCCTTGCCAGAGAGACTTTGGGGAGCGCTCCCCCTAGAGGGGATGTCAGAGGCTTTTGGACACTCGGTGTGTGGGGAGGTGCTGAGACTCCTGGCGGGTCCTGAGGGCTGGATTGGGGCCACATGGTGGGGCTGAGGCCCACCCCTTCTGAGGGCCCCAGAGGGAAGGGTCCCCACACCCCCTCCTCAGAGCACCCACTTGCTGCGTTTGGGGAGGGGCTAGTCGAGGCCTCCCTGTTCCTCCAGGGAGAGTCTGGCTTAGGCCCTCCTCCGGATGCAGATGGCCCTTTCCCCTGTGAGCCTCAGTCTCCTCATCTCTGAAATGGGGACAGTGGCAGCACCACCCAGCGCCCGGGTGGCCGAGGGTTGACCTCAGCGCACTCGCCCCCACCTGGCCGCAGAGACAGGAACACAAAACACGCAGCTGCCCTGCGGGGTAGGGGACACGTGGCAGGCCAGGGGAGGGGCGGGGCCGGAGGGTCGGGGTCGGGGCTAGAGGGCTGGGGGCGGGGCCGGGGGCAGGGCCGAGGCGGCAGGTGGCAGCGCGAGTTCGCGGCGGGTCTGGGGCGGACACAGGCTGTGCCTTGTGGGAGCCGAGGAGGAGCCAGGGGCGGGGGGCCCGGGGAGGAGATCAGGCTCGAGCCCGTGGGTAAGGCCCGGGGCGGGGCACCTGGGCCTGGGATGCTGGGTGCATGGTGGGGGCCAGGTGGGGGGCAACGGGATGTGAGTGGGGGCGGCCGGGGGGGCCAGGGAGGCTGGGGAGGCGGGACGCGGCCCGTGTGGGGACGCGGGTGCCGGGTGGAGGGTGCCGGGGACTGGAGTCCCGGTGCGCCCCGCGTCCTTCGTGGAGGACACCTTCGCCTCCTCCCACCCTGCCTGTGTCCGTCTACACCTCCCCAAGCAGACACCTGGCCCGTACCCCGGGGTTTAGAGCCCAGGGCAGTCGCAGTCACCCAGGCTGACTCGCGGGAGGGCTGCCGATGTGCCAGGCTCTGCGGGGAGGGGAGGGGTCACAAACCTGCCACAGTCCCTGCACGTCGGGTCGTTGCCGGTGGAACTCCTGAGAGGGCACCAGACGTTGGAACCCAAGAGGCATTTGGCACCACAACCCCCAGGTAGAAGAAAAAAGGAAAAAGGGGCCCAGGAGGACGCAGTCCTGCGAACCCCGCGAAGGCTTATCTCCAGGGAGTAAAAGACTCGGGGACCCCCCGCCTTCCCGGACCTCAGGGCATCTAGGGTCCTGCAGTCGCCTGGGGTGGTGACACCCGGAACGGTGTGCAGGCAGGGCAGGGCAGGCGGAGCCAGCACCGACCGCATCTCCAGGGGATCTTGCTTCTCAGAGAGGAGACTCTTCCCAGAAAGCAAAACAGGCGGGGACACCCTAGATTCGGCAGCAGCTCCCAGGAGGAGGGACTGCAGGGACAGACTCGGGGCTTCCTGGTAGGCAGGTGGGTGGGAAACTGGCTCAGCCTCCACCACAGCAGCTTGAAGCACAGCCACCAGTGCCTGAGAAAGGACCTCTGCTCTTCCTAAAGCCAAGGAGGCTCCGTGAGGGTGAAGCGGGGCCAGACCCCACCCCAGCCACACAGGGCTTTGGCTTGCCGTCTTGACTCCTCCAGCAGTGACTTGAAGTTTCTCAGCTCAGTTTAAAAAAACAAAACAAAACAAAACAATAAAAAAAAAATTGGCCTATTGCGGTGGCTCACGCCTGTAATCCCAGCACTTTGGCTGGCTGAGGTGGGAGGATTGCTTGAGCCTGGCAGTTTGAGACCAGTCTGGGCAACAAGGCAAGATCCTGTCTATATAAAAAATACAGAAATTTTCATGCATGCCTGTAGTCCCAACTACTCAGGAGGCTGAGGTGGGAGGATCACCTGAGCCCAGGAGTTCAAGGTTGCAGTGAGCTGTGATCATGCCATTGTACTCTAGCCTAGGGGTGGACCCTGTCCAGGACCTAGGGTCTTGAGAGCAAGACCCTGTCTCCAAACAAACAAACACCACCCCAAACAAACTCAACTAGGAATTTTACTGGGATTGCATTGAATCTACAAATTGATTTGGGGAGAACTGACATTTTACATTATTGAATTTTCTAATCCAGGAATATGGCATAGCCATTTATTTATGTGTTTAATTTCACTGTGTAGTTTGCAGGTGGAGGTCTTTCATGTCTCCAATTAGATTTATTTCTAAGTATTTGGATGCTGATATGGTTTGGCTGTGTCCCCACCCAAATCCCATCTTGAATTGTAGCTCCCATAATCAGCACGTGTTGTGGGAGGGGCCTGGTGGGAGGTACCTGAATCATGGGGGTGGGTTTTTCCCGTGCTGTTCTCGTGATAGTGAATAAGTCTCATGAGATCTGATGGTTTTATAAAGGGCAGTCTCCCTGCACACGCTCTCTTGCCTGCCGCCATGTAAGACGTGACTTTGCTTCTCCACCTTCCGCCATGATTGTGAGACCTCTTCAGCCACGTGGAACTGTGAGTCCATTAAACCTCTTTTTCTTCATAAATTACCCATCTTGGCTATTTCTTCACAGCAGTATGAAAATGGACTAATACAGATACTGTTGTAAATGCTATAATTTTAAAGTTCGTGTTCTGTTTGTTTGTGCTAGTCTACAAACACTTGATGGATTTGTTTTTTGGGTATATTGACCTTGTCCCCAGTGACCTTATAACTCCACTGATTAATTCTAACAGATTGTTTATCTATTCTTGAGGCGTTCCTCTGTATGCAGCTGTGTCATCCGTGAACAACCACATTTTATTTTTTTCCCTTCCAACCTTTACATCTTTTATTTTTTCTTGCTTTCTGCACAGGCTGAGGCTTCCAGGCCAATGCTAAGAAGAGTGTGGTCCGGGGCCCTTGCCTCCTTTCCATCTCCAGAGGAAGTCTTCCTGTGCCTCAGTAAACTTTCTGATCTTCATGCAAGTCCTGTGCTTGGCTGGGTGGGCTTTCCTAAGGCAAGTCCCTGTGTACTGTCCTGATATTTGTTGTACCCTGGGCACGGAGGGGCTCAGCCAAAGCCTCCTGTAGCCCAGCCCCCCAGTTGCTCCCCTCCCTTCGGGATTGAGAGAGGGAAGCAGGCCCCGGCGGTGGGTGTGGTTTGGTGGCGAGCGGCACTCCTGTCTCCTGTGCCTCCCGGGGTCTCTGTGTGTTTTGTCAGCAGTCTCCTGAGCCATGGGGGGCTTTCCTCCTAGATGTGCTCACGTGGTCAAGGTGGGCTCCTGGTTTTTTTTGTTTGTTTGTTTTTTTCTGAGATGGAGCCTCACTCTTCGGCCCAGGCGGAACGGCAGTGGCGCCATCTCGGCTCACTGCAAGCTCCGCCTCCCGGGTTCATGCCATTCTCCTGCCTCAGCCTCCCGAGTAGCTGGGACTACAGGCGCCTGCCACCGTGCCCGGCTAATTTTTTGTATTTTTAGTAGAGATGGGGTTTCACCGTGTTAGCCAGGATGGTCTTGATCTCTTGACCTCGTGATCTGCCTGCCTTGGCCTCCCAAAGTGCTGGGATTACAGGCGTGAGCCACCGCACCCGGCCGTTTTTTGTTTTTGAAACAGGATCTCTCTGTCGTCCAGGCCGGAGTGCGGTGGTGCAATCATAGCTCACTGCAGCCTGGAACTCCTGGCTCAAGCAATCCTTCGGCCTCAGCCTGTAGCTGGGACTCCAGGCATGCACCACCACACCTGGCTTGTTTTTAAAATTTTTTTGTAGAGATGGAGTCTCCCTATGTTGCTAGCATTGGTGTCAAACTCCTGGGCTCAAGAGATCCTCTTGCCTTGGCCTCCCAAAGCGCTGGGATTACCGGTGTGAGCCACCATGCCTGGCCTAGGCGGGCTCATTTTCGCTGGGAGTGTCTGCTTTCTGGTCATTATCGGTGCCTGCTGTTCCTGAATCACTGCTGCCTGGAGACATCTTCCTGTTCTATCTGGAAAACTTCCTGGTCCTACAGCCTGTGAATGGCTGATCAGGGCTCATGAGCCAAGTAGAACTCTGGGACCCAATCCAATTAAACAATGGTGGAGGTCACTGTGCACAGTGTGCCCCACAAACTCTGCTCCACGCCCTGTGGCAGCCTCTCCTCTGGCCTCAGCCCACCCTGCACCACACTCCCCAGGCCCATCCGCCTTCCCCTTATCAGGGAAACATGACCGTGATTTTGGGCTTCTTGCCTCCAGAACTGAGGGAATACACTTCTGTTACTTTATACCACCTCGTTCATGTCCTGTGTCAGTGCAGCCCCGTAACATGAGCCCAGCTGGAGAAAGGACCACTCGCTAGGGTTAGAGGGAACAATCCCCAGAGCTCACACAAGGCTGGGAATAGGGCGTCTAGCCATCAGTCAGAGGCAAACACCTCCTCATTCGTGGGGCGTGGCATAGAGCACCCAGAAGGACTTTTCCTCACCACCGAGGAATGCTCTGCTTTCCTACCTAACAAAGCAAGGTCCCCAAGGATGAAACTGTTAAGTGACGTGATAGTGTCCCACAGCAAAGCTCAAGAATGTTTGGAATACAGAAACATCCAACACCCAGAAACGTAACAGTCACAATGTATGGCATTCAATTAAAAAAAAAAATTACCAGGCCAGCAGAGAAGCAGGAAAATACAACCCGTAATGAGCAGAAAATCCAACCCATTAAAATTGACCTAGAAATGTGATAGGTGAGAGAATTGCTATGCAAAGAAATTCACACAGTCACTGTAACTATGATGCATGCTCAGGAAGCCAGCTGAAAGCCCAAGAAGAGACAAAGAACGTATAAAAAGGCTCTGACAAGACTGGGTATGGTGGCTCATACCTGTGATCCCAGCACTTAGGGAGGCCAAGGCAGGAGGATCGCCTGAGCCCAGGAGTTCAAGACCAGCCTGGGCAACACAGCAAGACCCTGTTGTTAAAAAAAAAAAAAAAGTCTCTGACGAAACTGCTGGAGATAAAAACCACAATGTCTGATGTGAAAATCACACTGGATGAGGTACGACATGAATGGTAGAGTGGACTTGGCGGAGGAAAAGAGCAGAGGACCTGAAGATGTAGCAGTAGAAATCATATAAAATATAACACATGAGGGGAAGGGAGGGAAAAAGACTCCAGAGCATCAGTGGGCTGTATGAGGATGATGCCAACGGGTTAGTATGTCTGTAAGGGAAGCTTCCCAAAGAGGAGAAGCAAAAAAACATTTGAAGAAATAGTGATTAAAGTTATTCCAAATTTGGTGAAATCTAAGAAGCTCATACATAAGAAACACACAAAACATAAGAAACACACACAAAAACCCGACATCAGCCAGGCGCGGTGGCTCACGCCTGTAATCCCAGCGCTTTGGGAGGCCGAGGCAGGAGGATCGCTTGAGCCCAGGATTTCGAGACCAGCCTTGGCAACGTGGCAAAAACCCAACTCCACAAAAAATACAAGAATTTTCCAGGCATAGTGATGCACACCAGCAGTCCCAGCTATCTGGGAGGCCGAGGCAGGAGGATTGTTTGAGCCTGGGTGGCGGAATGAGACCCTGTTTAAAAAACAAAACAAAAACTGACAGCAAGGCACGTAAAAAATCAAATGGCCTTAAAAAGAAAATTTTTAAGGAACAAAAGGATGACAATATTTTTGTCAGAATATTTGCATTGTTGGAAACAACACAGGCTGGAAATGGTGGAACGGCATCCCGAAAGCACTGAAAGAAAACAACAGTCGATGTAAAATTCTTTTTTTTTTTTTTTTCCAATGGAGTCTCGCTCTGTTGGCTGGGCTGGAGTGCAATGGTGCAATCTCGGCTCACGGCAACCTCCGCCTCCCGGGTTCAAACTATTCTCGTGCCTCAGCCTCCTGAGTAGCAGGCACATGCCACCATGCTCAGTTAATTTTTGTATTTTTAGTAAAGACAGGGTTTCACCATGTTGGCCAGGCTGATCTTGAACTCCTGACCTCAGGTGATCCACCTGCCTCGGCCTCCCAGAGTGCTGGGATTATAGGCGAGAGCCACCGCGCCCAGCCAATTTAAAATTCTTTACCCAATGAAAACATTTTTTTCTTTAGAAAAGGTGAAATTAGTTTTTCAGAAACACAAAAATTGAAAGAGTTCATCGCCATCAGACCTGTGTCCCGGCAATGTTAAAGTGATGTCCCATTGTTACCGGGTGGAACGTCTTGACTGTGGGTTGTCCAGGTTCTTGGTGTGTTGAACAAAGAATTGAACAAAATGCACAAACAAAGCAACAAAAGAACGAAGCAATGAAAGGCAAGCAACGAAAGAAAGGAGTAACGAAAGCACAGATTTTTATTTATTTATTTTTAAAATGTTTACTGGAACGCCATGCATTGCCTTCATTTATTGTATTTCAAATCACTGTACATTTACTTTTGTGAAAACACTGCCTACATTTTCTACTACAAAAAAAAAACCTTAGAAATTGTTTCAGGAACGTGGATAACTAGTCGACTTAAATATTACCGCTGCACTACAGCCATTTCTGCAATTCCCGTTTCTTAAATAACTGTCTTGTCTGAAAACACACAATATATGGAGCAATTGTGAAAAACAGACATTTACATATACTTCTAAAGTCTTACTGAAAATGTCTTTTTGGCCCGGGATAACCAATCATAGGTGCGGCTGCAGTAGCAGGATATGAGGGTTCCTGTTGGTTCTTACCATCGTGCGTATTTGGAATATTATTTCTGTTTTGCTGAGTCGAAGGCACAGCTACATTGAGGCGGAAGTACATTCCGCAGAGTGGGAGCGGACTCGAGCAAGTGGCTCAAGACACTATCCCCCCCATTGCAATGCTCCCCAGGTTTTTATAAAGCTAAAAGATTTGGTAACACCCCTAGGTGCCCTTTAGAAGCCTCCCATTGGTTACACCCTATGAAGGATTGATCTGCGGCCAATCAGAGGCTGACGTGGAGGCTTCTGTCTTGTCATCACAGGGGTGGGGATGCGGCCTGTGTGCCGCCCAGTCTTGCCTGGAGCTGGCGGAGCCTGCTGCTCTTTTGCTTCTGCCTTAACCCTTGGTTACCCCAATTCCCTATTCTCCTGCCTCAGCATCCTCAACATATTAAGTAAGGTTAAAGTAAGCTCTGTAAGCAGAAGGAAAGTCATATCAAACGGACACAACAGTAAAGAAATAGCACCAGAAATGGCAACTATGTAGCCAAATATAGAGACGAACATTCCTGTGAGACAAGGGATTGGAACAGACTTCCCCAAAGAAGAAGTACAGATGGCAAATGAGCACACACAAAGATGCTCAGCGTCATTCGTCATCAAGGAAACACAAATTTGAACCACAGTGGGACACTGCTGCGCTCCTCCTGGAAAGGCTGGAATGTACAGGACGGACCATGCCAGCGCAGGGAAGGGTGTAGATTCGCTGGAACCCCCAGACCCTGCATGGGGGAGTGTAACATGCTACAGACATTTTAGAAATCAGCCTGGCAGTTTCTTGAAAAGTTACACCTCAGTCACCACGTGATCCAGCAGTTCCACCCCAGGTGGCCATCCAGGAGAAGGCCTCTGTCCATGTAAAGAACTTGACTTCGACATTCATAGCGGCTTTATTCATAATAGCCGTGAACGGGAGACAAGCCAAATACCCTTCAACAGGTGAATGGATAAAATAAATTGTAGTACACCCACATAAGGAAAGTTTTTCAGCTAGAAAAACAGAATGAGCTACCCCAGGGTGCAGCAACGATAACTCTCAAAAGCATTATGTTTGGTGATAGAGGACAGACTCAAAATGCTGCATCCTGGGTGGTTTCATTTATATGAAAGTCAAAACTACAGGAATAGCGAATAGAATACAGGAGCCCAGGGCGAGGGTGGAGGAGGGGATTGAGTGTAAAGAGGCCCAGGGAGGGAAAGTTTTGGTGTGATGGGAATGTTCCACGTAATCATCGTGCTGGTGGTTACACAACTAGTTTTGGTGTGATGGGAATGTTCCACGTAATCATCGTGCTGGTGGTTACACAACTGTGTACATTTGTCAGAACTCATCAAATTATATTTAAAATTGGTGAATTTTGTTGTATGTAAATTATACCTCAGAGAGTTTTGTTGTTGTTTTCTGAGACGGGGTCTTGCTCTGTCATCCAGGCTGGAGTGCAGATGTGTGATCACAGCTCACAGCAGCCTTGGCCTCCTGGGCTCAAGTGATCTGCATGCCTCAACTTCCCAAGTAGCTGGGACCACAGACGCACGTCACTACACTAGGATATTTTAAACAATTTTTTTTTTTAGTAGAGATGGGGTCTTGCTATGTTTCCCAGGCTGGTCTTGAACTGCTAGGCTCAAGCGATCCCCCGCCTTGGCCTCCCAAAGTGCTGAGGTTACAGGTGTGAGCCACTGTGCCCAGCTCTAGTTTTTATTTTATTTCAATAGCTTTGCACAGGTGGTTTTTGGTTCCATGGATGAATTGTGTAGTGGTGAAGTCTGAGATTTTAGTGCACCCATCACCTGAGTAGTGTACATTGTACCCAATAGGTAGTTTTTTTTTTTTTTTTTGAGACAGAGATTCGCTCTTGTTGCCCAGGCTGGAGTGCAATGGCATGATCTTGGCTCACCGCAACCTCTGCCTCCCAGGTTCAAGTGATTCTCCCGCTTCAGCCTACTGAGCAGCTGGGATTACAGGCGTGCGCCACCACACCCGGCTAATTTTGTATTTTTAGTAGAGATGGGTTTCTCCATGTTGGTCAGGCTTGTCTTCAACTCCTGACCTCAGGTGATCCGCCTGCCTCAGCCTCCCAAAGTGCTTGGATTACAGGGGTGAGCCATCACACCCGGCCTCCCAATAGGTAGTTTTTTGTCCCTCATCCCCATCCCTCCCTCCTCCTCTTTGATTCTCCAGTGTTCATTATACCACTCTGCATGCCTTTGTGTACCCACAGCTTAGCTCCCGCTTATAAGTGAGAACATACAGTATTTGGTTTTCTATTCCTGAGTTGCATCACTTAGAATAATGGTCTGCAGTTCCATCCAAGTTGCTACAAAATGCATTATTTCATTCTTTTTATGACTGAGTTGTATTTCATGACATATATATGTGTGTATTTCATTATCTGTCTGTCCGACCATCCGTCCGTCCATCCTTCCATCCATCCATCTATCTATCTATCTATCTATCTATCTAAATCTATCTCACACTTTCTTTATCTGCTCATCAGCTGATAGGCACTTGGGTTGGTTCCATGTCTTTGCAGTTGTGAATTGTGCTGTGATAAACACACATGTGCAGGTGTCTTTTTGAGGTAATGACTTCCTTTCCTTTGGGTGGATGCCCAGTAGAGGGATTGCTGGGTCGAATGGCTAATCTACTTTTAGTTCTTTGAGAAATCTCCATACTGTTTTCTATAGAGGTTGTATTAGTTTACATTCCTGCCAGCAGTGTGTAAGCATTCCCTTTCACCACCTCCACACCAACATCTATTGTTTTTTGACTTTTTAGTGAGGCAGAAATTTAAAAATAAATATGCATTCATTCACTCTAAGAAAAGTAACAGGCAAGGCAAAGGTTAAAAAGAAAAGAACAAGTTTTCCTCTGCCTAGCAGGGGAAAGTGCAGCAGGCTCACTTCAAGGACAGTTATAAGATAACACTGTTTGAGTAGCCACCGCCAAAGGAATGGGCTCCAGACACCCCCACTCCAGAGCAAGGTTGAGGGAAAAAAGAAAGACAAATTCTTTTACTGTTACTCCTTTCCCAGGCTTCTTAAGCATGATTATGTTTTACAAATGTCTGTATTTAGCTAGTTCTTGT
Organism: Homo sapiens; assembly: GCF_000001405.40. Taxonomy (NCBI): domain Eukaryota; kingdom Metazoa; phylum Chordata; class Mammalia; order Primates; family Hominidae; genus Homo; species Homo sapiens. The sequence goes on along the minus strand of NC_000020.11, from coordinate 61,956,651 downwards.
TTTTCTTTTGACACAGCTGTGAGGTCACTAGCTATGCAAGGCCACAAGTTATGCTAAGTCAACAGTTACGCTATAGATTACGTGACCTGTCACTGTACGATTAACTGCTTTGTTTTACTCTTGTAAGTCCGCTTATAAAAACCCTGCTCAGTCTTTGTTCAATGCTCAGCTTTTTGGATGTGAGTCCTCTGAGCCGGTACGTACCTAAAATAAACAACAATCCTCCTGTACTCCATAGTGGTCTCTCCGTTCCTCAGTTTACCGCAACATTAATAATGGCCATTCTGGCTGGAATAAGGTGGTATCTCATTGTGGTTTTAATTTGCATTTCCCTAATGATTAGTGATGTCAAGCATTTTTCATGTGTTTCTTGGCCATTTGTTTATCTTCTTTTGAGAAATGTCTATTCGTGTCATTTGCCCACTTTTTAATGAGATTGTTTTTCTTTTCTTGCTGATTTGAGTTCCTTGCAGATTCTGATTATTAGTTCTTTATCAAATGCATAGTTTGCAAACATTTTCTCCCATTCTGCGGGTGTTCTGTTTACTCTAATGATTCTTTCTTTTGCAGTGCAGAAGGTTTTTAGTTTAATTAGGTCCCACTTATTTATATTTGGTTTTGTTGCATTTGCTTTTGGGGTCTTGGTCATAAATTCTTTGCCAAGGCTGATGTCCAGAAGAGTTTTGCCTAGGTTTTCTTCTAGAATTTTTATGGTTTCAGATCTTAGATTAAAGTCTTTAATTCATTTGAGTTGATTTTTGTATATGCTGAAAGATAGGTATCCAGTTTCATTCTTCTACACGTGGCTCACCAGTTTTTCCTAGCATCTATTGAATACGGTTTTGTTTGCTTTATCAAAGATCAGTTGGTCGTAAGGATTTGGCTTTATTTCTTCATTCTCTATTCTGTTCTATTGGTCTGTTATCTACTTTTGCACCAGTATCATGCTGTTTGGTAACTATAGCCCTGTAGTATAGTTGGAAGTCAGGTAATGTGATGCCTCCAGATTTGTTCTTTTTGCTTAAGATTGCTTTGCCTATTGAGGCTCTTTTTTGGTTCCAAATGAATTTTAGCATTGTTTTTCTAATTCTGTGAAAAAGGAATGTTGGTATTTTGATAGGAATTGCACTGAATCTGTAGATTGCTTTGGGCAGTTTGGTCATTTTCACAATATTGATTCTTCCAATAAGTGAGCATGGGATATATTTCCATTTGTGTCATCTGTGATTTCCTTCAGCAGTGTTTGTAGTTCTCCTTGTAGAGATCTTTCACCCCCTTGGGTACATATATTCCTAGGTATTTTATTTTTTTGCAGCTATTGTAAAAGGGATTGAGTTCTTGATTTGATTCTCAGCTTGGTCATCGTTGGTGTATAGCAGTGCTACATTGATGTTGTGACCGAGGCTTTACTGAATTCATTTATCGAATCTAGGAGTCTTTTGGAGGAGTCTTTAGGGCTTTCTAGGTATAAGATCATACCATTGGCAAACAGGTAGTTTGAATTCCTCTTTTCCAATTTGAATGTCCTTTATTTCTTTCTCTTGCCTGATGGCTCTGGCTAAGAAATTCAGCTAGTTTGCAAAAGCAAAGAAAAGAGGGTATCAGCCTGGGAAAAGGCATACAGGAAGATAGCTCAAAGTGAGCACATTAGATTCAGGGCGAACAGGTGTGTGTGGAGTAGGGTTTGAGGGCTACTGAGTGGAACTCTCAGATCGCAGAGGGAGGACCCATTCTCCCCCACCATCGGGGTGGCTGGGCTGGTCATTGTGGGGAGCTGGCTCGTGGCCAGCGTGGATGTCCTCCCCTCTGTGAGTTGGCTCTCTGCCCCGCGCCACCAGGAGGATGTCCTTTGTTATTTCACACTCAGCCTGCACGTGGGCAGCAGATGCAGGAGACAAGGAGACACGGGACACCTGGGGGTAGGTTTGGGATGGGCAGGTGGAGAATCCGTCTTAGTTGGTGGTAATGGAATGGTTTTAGTAGGTGGAAGTTACAAAGAAGCTTGTTTTGGTTTACCATGGAGTACAAGGGTACCATGGGGAGCCGAGCTGTCCAAATACAGAACTGGCTCTTTGCAGGCTGTCTGGTTGAGTGTGTGTTGGGGATGTTGCTGAGAGGATCTTGTCCTGCTGAGGGCTAGATAGGGCTCTTGAACGGTCCAAGTCAGCTTCCCATGAGGGGTCCCAGGGCCCCACAGCATCCGAGACTGAACCTGACAGGCCCACGGAAGGGCTGGTAGCTAACAGTCAGCACCCCAGCTGCAGTGGGACCCCTTGGCCTCCCTCCTGGGCTCCAGCTCCAGGCCTGGAAGGGCTGAACAGGCGGATGCAGTCCCAGCTGACAGGAAGTCTGAGGAGCAGCTTGTAATGAGCTTCGTTGGCTGACAGGTTTTTTTTTTATTAAAAAAATTTGTTTTTTTTGAGACAGAGTCTCGCTCTGTCACCAGGCTGGAGTGCAGTGGCATGATCTTGACTTGCTGCAAACTCTGCCTCCTGGGTTCAAGCAATTCTCCTGCCTCAGCCTCCTGAGTACCTGGTATTACAGGCATGCACCACCACCTGGCTGATTTTTGTATTTTTAGTAGAGACGGGGTTTCGCCACGATGGCCAGGCCAGTCTCAAACTCCCGACCTCGGGTGATCCTCCCGCCTCAGCCTCCCAAAGTACTGGGATTACAGGCGTGAACCACCGCGCCCAGCTGGCTGACAGTTTTATGTTACCACGAGTGCAGCTCCTTGTCAGGGCAGGTCTGTGATTGTGCTACGGCTCATTAACGAGATTGCAAATCATGCGTCTCTCCTGTGTGTGCCCACTCCCCCTGCAGGCCTCCGTGGCACTCAGTAAGCAGCGGGCTCAGGGAGAGCGTCCTGGATGGTCACCATGCAGGTAAGATGAGGAGGACACTTGGAACCAGGCATTGGATGCGAGCCCCACCCCATGGGAGGGGGACGGGGGGATGCTGGGCACCAGGGGGACCTGTGGGCCAGCTGGCCCTGGGCTTGTGCTTGGGGAGTGAATGATGGGTTCTGACCCCCATGCACCCCTGTGGGCCCCTGGCATCACTGGCCCCATCCTTCACCCCTGCCAACCACGCTTGCCCTGTGCCTCTGAAGCTCCCCCACTAAGGGGGTGGAGTCTAATTCCCTGCCCCTTGACTGTGGGTTCAGCCATGTGACTTGCTTTGACTGAGGGGATGTTCACGGGGCATGTGGTGCTCTGAACTGAGAGCTGCGGTGACCAGGCTGCTGTCCTGTGTTGCTGCCATCAGTGAGGGTGGCTAGCCTGCTGGTCAGGGGGAGGATGAGGGAGTGGGGGGCAGAGCTCAGCTGCCCCAGCGGCCTGGCCTGGACCAGCCAACCAAATGCTGACTCTGTGCTGCTGAGATCGTGTTTGTGTTTGTTACTCAGCAACTAGCTGATACACGGTCCCAGCAACAGACAAGGAAGCCCAGAGGTAGCTAAGTGACACTCCCAAGGCTACACAGCATCTCCTACTGGGAGCTGTGTAAGAAATGACCCCCCCCAAACCCTCCATCCTGGCAGCTGAGGGATGAAGGAGAGACCCAGTCCTCCTGTTGTCCACCTCCTCAATATCTAGGTGGGACCCCTACAATATCTTGATTTTTTAATGTTGACAATTGTGGTCAGCTGAAAAATCCCCCCCCCCCCACCCCCACCGCCCTAAAAGAAAAACAGCCCGTGAAGGTGACCTTATTTGGAAATAGAGTCTCTGCAGATATGATCAAGTTGAAGGTCTCAAGATGAGATCTTTCAGGACTAGTCATAGGCCCGAAATCCAATGGGAAGTGTCCATATGTAAGAGGGAGATGGAGGGAGGTTACACTAAGATGAAGTGAAGATGGAGGTGGAGACGGGAGTGATGTGGGCGTGAGCCAAGGAACTGGAGGCTGGAAGAGGCAGTGAGGGCTCGTCCCCTAATTCCCCGGAGGGAGCTCAGCCTTGCCGACCCCTTGATTTCGGCCCAGGGATACTGATCTCAGACTTTTGGCCTCCAGGACTGGGAGAGCATAAATGTCTTTCTTTTAAGCCACCGAGTTTGTGGGACTTTGTTACCTCAGGAAACAAATACAACAGTATATTCAACACTGTGAAGTGTGCTGTGCCAGGTGGACCGTGCCTGAGGCTGGGCCGGCCTGTGGTCTGCAGCATTGACCCCTTCTGAGCCCCCTGAGGGAGCCCCTGCCTGCCCCAGGCCAGGGTCTCAGTGCATCCGGCTGTCTCTGCCGAGGCCGCAGACCCTCCCTCTTGCACCTCCGTGTGCTTGAGATGAAGAGCCGGCGCTGTGTCCTCAGGCTGCTGAGGGGTAGCCCTTGGGTGGCTGGCCGTGGTCTCAGGGGCAGGAACGGCACAGGGGGCTGAGCAGGGATTTCAGGTGCTGTCCCTGCCCGACCCTCCCAGTTGGCCCAGCTGACTTCCCCTGCCTGGCTCAGCAGCGAGGGGCCCAGCAGCAGGGAGGTCAGTACCTTGGACAGCGTCCTGCAGCCCCCTGTGAGCCGAGGAGGGCTGTGTGTGTGTGCGTGTGTGTGTGTTTGCACGTGTGCATGTGTGTGCATGTGCACATGTGTGAGTGAGTGGGGGGTGCAGGGTCCCGCAGCTGGCTGGGCCATGCCTCTTTTGTCTGCCCTGCGGGTGGGTCTGTCAATACCTGGCTGAGTGGCCAGTGCCGTGGATGAGTGGCTCTGCCCAGCATAGGCCTGTGAACTGACCTCTCTGAATCCTCCTGGGACAGAGGAGTGACAGCGACCCCCATCCTGGGAAATGACCCAAGAGAAGGCCTCTGGGGCTCCCTGGAAAGGGCCTCAAGCTGGATTTTTCAGGTCGTTTGCCAGGCCCTGACCTCTAGGCCTGTAAGCTCCCCACTTGAAGCTGGGAGGGGGGTGCTTCGCAGATCACCTGACCCTCACCCCCACCACAGGGCCTCACCCTGGGAGTCTGATTACAAGGAGTGTCCCCCCACCAGGACTCCGGTCCCAGGCCTACAGCAGTTGCCTAATTGTGAATGTAATTAACTGCTCGCACCCTCAAAATTAGCAAGTGGTTAATTGTGCCTGTAATTATCAACTGCACCCATGATTAACCGTGTGAGTGGTTTTTTTTTTTTTTTTGAGACGGAGTCTCGCTCTGTCGCCCAGGCTGGAGTGCAGTGGCGGGACCTCGGCTCACTGCAAGCTCCGCCTCCCGGGTTCACGCCATTCTCCTGCCTCAGCCTCCCAAGTAGCTGGGACTACAGGCGCCCGCCACTACGCCCGGCTAATTTTTTGTATTTTTAGTAGAGACGGGGTTTCACCGTTTTAGCCGGGATGGTCTCGATCTCCTGACCTCGTGATCCGCCCGCCTCGGCCTCCCAAAGTGCTGGGATTACAGGCGTGAGCCACCGCGCCCGGCCGTGAGTGGTTTTTTGTTATGCAAGTCAGTGTACATGTGAATTGTGCCCCAGGAAAAGGAAGGTGGGGGGGTGCCCAGGGCTGGGGGAGGGGAGAGGGTGGGAGGGGGCCCAGGGCTGGGGGAGGGGAGAGGGTGGGAAGAGGGGCCCAGGGCTGGGAGGGAGTCCCAGGGCTAAGGGAGGTGAGAGAATGGGACAGAGGGGCCAGGGCTGGGGAAGGGGAGAGGGTGGGAGGGAGGTGCCCAGGGCTAGGGGAGGGGAGAGGACGGTAGGGGGAGGCCCAGGGCTGGTGGGAGGGAGGGTGGGAAGGAGGGGCCCAGGGCTGTGGAAGGGGAGAGTGTGGGAGGGAGGGCCCAGGGCTGTGGAGGGGCGGTTGCAGGGCTGGGGAAGGGGAGAGGGTGGGAGGGAGGGCCCAGGGCTGGGGGAGGGAAGGGGTCACCACTGGGCCCAGCCCTGTGGCCTGCCCTTCGGGGAGCTGGGACTGACTGGCTCCTGAGGCGGAGGTGGAGGCTGCTGGGTTGGGCACCAGCGTGGGGCTCAGGTCAGACTGCTGCTGCCCAGCAGGGGCCGGAGGGCTGCCTGCTTCTTCGAGCTCAGTTTCCTCAGCCTTTGAGCTCAGCCTCCACAGGTCCAGGGTGGCTGGCACTGACACTGTGCAGGGGCTCCACTCTTGAGCCACTACCAGTGTGGACTCAGGCTCTCAGGGCAGGTGGGGTCAGGGGACTGGGCCAGTCGTAGAGCTTTGAGGACCCAGAGTCTGGTGTGGGAGAACCCGTTTGTGCCTGGACTCATGGCCTGGAGGGCTGGGATTCTATAGTGGGGAGGCGAGGCCAGGGCGCCAAGGTGATCAGAGGGGCACATTGGCTTGTGAGAGGCAGGCAGAGCAGGGGGGCAGATCATGGGGCTGTGAGCCCACGACCCCCAGCTTGGCTGGGACTTGGCAGGAGAATGTCCTTCCTGGGCGGCGCCCATGGCAGACCCACCTTACAGCCGTGTGCCAGAGCGGGTGCAGATGGGTGGGATGGCTGGGAGGCTCAGCCTGGGCAACTGGGGTATTGGGGCAGCCTGGGGGGTCCTGGATAGTTGTCTGCAGTGATGGGCAGTGAGTGGCCTGGCCCAGCCACACACGGGCAGTCTCTCAATGCACAGACACCGCTGCACTGACCCTACATGGGGCCTGGCTGGTTTGGGATGGAGGCTGTCCCGGCTGGGTCCCCTTCATCATAGCCAGGCAGGCGCTGGGAGCTGATGCTTGTGCCCTCCAGAGGCCCACAGGGAAGGCGGGTCCTGACCACTGAGGGCCTCCGAGGTCAGGCCCAGGACTGTGGACTTTGTCTCAGGTGTGTTGGGAGACTCAGCGTTCCCCTAGAGTTGGGAATGCAGCTCAAGTTCACGTCCAAACTCAATATGCTCTGGAGGGACCCTTCCCCCACCCAGTACCACAGCCTCCTGATACAGTGCTCTCTGCGTCCTGGAGGTGTCCTGTTGCTGCGTCCTCCAGGGACGCGGGTGCTGTGTTCTCACATGGACAAGAGCAGAAGGCGAAGGGGGAGCCTCTTTTATCAGAGCACCAATGTCATGCACGAGGTGGGAGCCCCTGGGACCAGGATGGCATCTTATCAAAGGGCAGGAGGTAGAGAGCTGGGCCTTTCTGCCCCTCACCTTCCACCATGTGAGGACACCTGGATGGCACCATCTGTGTGGGGCAGGCCCTCACCCAGCACCAACCCTGTGGTGCCTGGATCCCGGACTCCCGGCCACCAGACCTGACCCATGTTCCCGTCCATCGTGATCAAGTACCCAGTCCCGGCAATAGGTGGTTACAGCACCACACATGAGACAGCTGGTTACTGGACATAGTGAGTTGGCCTCCTGGGCTGGTTAGTATGGATAATAGGCCGGCTTCCTGGGCTGGTTAGTGTAGTTAATGGACTAGTTCCCACCCGGTTAGTGTAGTTAATGGCTTGCTTTTCTGGGCTGGTTAGTGTAGTTAATGGACTAGCTTCTCACATAGTTAGTGTTGATAATGGGCTGGTTGATAATGGGCTGATTAGTGTACTTAATGGGTTGTTTTCCTGGGCTGGTTAGTATAGTTAATGGACTAGTTTCCCACTGGCTTAGTGTTGATTAGGGCTGGTTTCCAGGGTAGTTAGTATAGTTAATAGGTTGTTTTTCTGGGCTGGTTAGTGTAGTTAGTGGACTACCTTCCCACCTGGTTAGTGTAGTTAATGGGTAGTTAATACCCCAGAGCTTCTGGAGGCTGGGCAGGTGCTGTCTTTCAGGAGGTGGTCATCAGGGCCCTGGGCAGCCGCTGAGCAAGGGTCCCCCATGCTTCTCAGTCCTGGAACCCAAACCCTCAGCTCCCACGGTGCAGAGAGTCACAGTGCTCCTCATCGTCAGTGAGACAGGGAGGCCACAGTACAGACAGTCGCAGTGCTCCTCGTCGTCGGTGAGAAGGGGCGGCCACGGTGCAGACAGTATCGGTGCTCCTCAGCATTGGTGAGAAGGCGCGGCCACGGTGTAGACAGTCTGAATGCTCCTCATTGTCAGTGAGAAGGGGCTCCCATGGTGCAGACAGCCGCGATGCTCCTCATCGTTGATGAGAAGGGGCGGCCACGGTGCAGACAGTCACAATGTTCCTCATCGTTGGGGAGAAGGGGCGGCCATGGTGCAGACAGCCGCGATGCTCTTCGTCGTTGGTGAGAAGGGGCGGCCACGGTGCAGACAGTCGCAGTGCTCCTCATCGTTGGTGAGAAGGGGCGGCCACGGTGCAGACAGTCACAGTGCTCCTCAGCATCGGTGAGAAGGGGCGGCCACGGTGCAGACAGTCACAATGTTCCTCATCGTTGGGGAGAAGGGGCGGCCATGGTGCAGACAGTCGCAGTGCTCCTCATCGTTGGTGAGAAGGGGTGGCCACGGTGCAGTCAGTCACAATGCTCCTCATCGTTGGTGAGAAGGGGCGGCCATGGTGCAGACAGTCACAATGTTCCTCATCGTTGGGGAGAAGGGGCGGCCATGGTGCAGACAGCCGCGATGCTCCTCGTCGTTGGTGAGAAGGGGCGGCCACGGTGCAGACAGTCGCAGTGCTCCTCATCGTTGGTGAGAAGGGGCGGCCACGGTGCAGACGGTCGCAGTGCTCCTCATCGTCAGTGAGAAGGGGCGGCCACGGTGCAGACAGTCGCAGTGCTCCTCATCGTTGGTGAGAAGGGGCGGCCACGGTGCAGACAGTCACAATGTTCCTCATCGTTGGGGAGAAGGGGCGGCCATGGTGCAGACAGCCGCGATGCTCCTCGTCTTTGGTGAGAAGGGGCGGCCACGGTGCAGACAGTCGCAGTGCTCCTCATCGGTGAGAAGGGGCGGCCATGGTGCAGACGGTCGTAGTGCTCCTCAGCATCAGTGAGAAGGGGCGGCCACGGTGCAGACGGTCGCAATGTTCCTCATCATCAGTCGGGGCGGCCACGGTGCAGACAGTCGCAGTGCTCCTCGTCGTCGGTGAGAAGGGGCTCCCATGGTCCAGACAGCTGCAATGCTCCTCATCGTTGGTGAGAAGGGGCGGCCACAGTGCAGTCAGTCTCAGTGCTCCTCAGCATCGGTGAGAAGGGGCAGCCAGGGTGCAGACAGTCGCAGTGCTCCTCGTCATCGGTGAGAAGGGGCGGCCACGGTGCAGACAGTCTCGGTGCTCCTCATCGTCGGTGAGAAGGGGTGGCCACGGTGCAGACGGTCGCAGTGCTCCTCGTCGTCGGTGAGAAGGGGCGGCCATGGTGCAGACAGTCGCAGTGCTCCTCGTCGTCAGTGAGAAGGGGCGGCCACGGTGCAGACAGTCGCAGTGCTCCTCGTCGTCGGTGAGAAGGGGCTCCCACGATCCAGACAGTCGCAGTGCTACTCATCGTCGGTGAGAAGGGGCGGCCATGGTGCAGACAGTCGCAGTGCTCCTCATCGTTGGTGAGAAGGGGCGGCCACGGTGCAGACAGTCGCAGTGCTCCTCGTCGTCAGTGAGAAGGGGCGGCCACGGTGCAGACAGTCGCAGTGCTCCTCGCCGTCGGTGAGAAGGGGCGGCCACGGTGCAGACAGTCGCAGTGCTCCTCGTCGTCAGTGAGAAGGGGCGGCCACGGTGCAGACAGTCGCAGTGCTCCTCGTCGTCGGTGAGAAGGGGCGGCCACGGTGCAGACGGTCGCAGTGCTCCTCATCGTCGGTGAGAAGGGGCTCCCACGATCCAGACAGTCGCAGTGCTACTCATCGTCGGTGAGAAGGGGCGGCCACGGTGCAGACAGTCCGAATGCTCCTCATCGTTGGTGAGAAGGGGCGGCCACGGTGCAGACAGTCGCAGTGCTCCTCATCGTCAGTGAGAAGGGGCGGCCACAGTGCAGACAGTCGCAGTGCTCCTCATCGGTGAGAAGGGGCGGCCACGGTGCAGACGGTCGCAGTGCTCCTCGTCGTTGGTGAGAAGGGGCGGCCACGGTGCAGACAGTCGCAGTGCTCCTCATCGGTGAGAAGGGGCGGCCACGGTGCAGACGGTCGTAGTGCTCCTCAGCATCAGTGAGAAGGGGCGGCCACGGTGCAGACCGTCGCAATGTTCCTCATCATCAGTCGGGGCGGGCACGGTGCAGACAGCTGCAATGCTCCTCATCATCGGTGAGAAGGGGCGGCCACGGTGCAGATGGTTGCAGTGCTCCTCAGCGTTGGTGAGAAGGGGCAGCCACGGTGCAGACAGTCGCAATGTTCCTTATCATCAGTCAGAAAGGGCGGCCACGGTGCAGACAGTCGCAGTGCTCCTCATCGTCAGTGAGAAGGGGCGGCCACGGTGCAGACAGTCGCAGTGCTCCTCGTCGTCGGTGAGAGGGGGCGGCCACGGTGCAGATGGTCGCAGTGCTCCTCGTCGTCGGTGAGAGGGGGCGGCCACGGTGCAGACAGTCGCAGTGCTCCTCGTCGTCGGTGAGAAGGGGCTCCCACGATCCAGACAGTCGCAGTGCAACTCATCGTCGGTGAGAAGGGGCGGCCATGGTGCAGACAGTCGCAGTGCTCCTCATCGTTGGTGAGAAGGGGCGGCCACGGTGCAGACAGTCGCAGTGCTCCTCGTCGTCAGTGAGAAGGGGCGGCCACGGTGCAGACAGTCGCAGTGCTCCTCGTCGTCGGTGAGAAGGGGCGGCCACGGTGCAGACGGTCGCAGTGCTCCTCATCGTCGGTGAGAAGGGGCTCCCACGATCCAGACAGTCGCAGTGCTACTCATCGTCGGTGAGAAGGGGCGGCCACGGTGCAGACAGTCGCAGTGCTCCTCATCGTCGGTGAGAAGGGGCGGCCACGGTGCAGACAGTCGCAGTGCTCCTCGTCGTCGGTGAGAAGGGGCGGCCACGGTGCAGACAGTCGCAGTGCTCCTCGTCGTCAGTGAGAAGGGGCGGCCATGGTGCAGACGGTCGCAGTGCTCTTCGTCGTCGGTGAGAAGGGGCGGCCACGGTGCAGACGGTCGCAGTGCTCCTCGTCATCGGTGAGAAGGGGCGGCCACGGTGCAGACAGTCTCGGTGCTCCTCAGCATCGGTGAGAAGGCGCGGCCACGGTGTAGACACTCTGAATGCTCCTCATTGTCAGTGAGAAGGGGCTCCCATGGTGCAGACAGTCACAGTGCTCCTCAGCATCGGTGAGAAGGGGCAGCCACGGGGCAGACAGTCTCAATGTTCCTCATCATCGGTGAGAAGGGGCGGCCACGGTGCAGATGGTTGCAGTGCTCCTCAGCGTTGGTGAGAAGGGGCAGCCACGGTGCAGACAGTCGCAATGTTCCTTATCATCAGTCAGAAAGGGCGGCCACGGTGCAGACAGTCGCAGTGCTCCTCATCGTCAGTGAGAAGGGGCGGCCACGGTGCAGACAGTCGCAGTGCTCCTCGTCGTCGGTGAGAGGGGGCGGCCACGGTGCAGATGGTCGCAGTGCTCCTCGTCGTCGGTGAGAAGGGGCGGCCACAGTGCAGACAGTCTCGGTGCTCCTCAGCATCGGTGAGAAGGCGTGGCCACGGTGTAGACACTCTGAATGCTCCTCATTGTCAGTGAGAAGGGGCTCCCATGGTGCAGACAGCCGCGATGCTCCTCATCGTTGGTGAGAAGGGGCGGCCACGGTGCAGACGGTCGCAGTGCTCCTCGTCGTCGGTGAGAAGGGGCGGCCACGGTGCATACAGTCGCAATGCTCCTCATCGTCGGTGAGAAGGGGCGGCCACGGTGCAGACAGTCGCAGTGCTCCTCATCGTTGGTGAGAAGGGGCGGCCACGGTGCATACAGTCGCAATGCTCCTCATCGTCAGTGAGAAGGGGCGGCCACGGTGCAGACGGTCGCAGTGCTCCTCGTCGTCGGTGAGAAGGGGCGGCCACGGTGCAGACAGTCGCAGTGCTCCTCATCGTCAGTGAGAAGGGGCGGCCACGGTGCAGATGGTCGCAGTGCTCCTCGTCGTCGGTGAGAAGGGGCGGCCACGGTGCAGACGGTCGCAGTGCTCCTCGTCGTCGGTGAGAGGGGGCGGCCACGGTGCAGACGGTCGCAGTGCTCCTCGTCGTCGGTGAGAAGGGGCGGCCACGGTGCATACAGTCGCAATGCTCATCGTCAGTGAGAAGGGGCGGCCACGGTGCAGACGGTCGCAGTGCTCCTCGTCGTCGGTGAGAAGGGGCGGCCACGGTGCAGACGGTCGCAGTGCTCCTCGTCGTCGGTGAGAAGGGGCGGCCACGGTGCAGACGGTCGCAGTGCTCCTCGTCGTCGGTGAGAAGGGGCGGCCACGGTGCAGACGGTCGCAGTGCTCCTCGTCGTCGGTGAGAAGGGGCGGCCACGGTGCAGACGGTCGCAGTGCTCCTCGTCGTCGGTGAGAAGGGGCGGCCACGGTGCATACAGTCGCAATGCTCCTCATCGTCAGTGAGAAGGGGCGGCCACGGTGCAGACGGTCGCAGTGCTCCTCGTCGTCGGTGAGAAGGGGCGGCCACGGTGCAGACGGTCGCAGTGCTCCTCGTCGTCGGTGAGAGGGGGCGGCCACGGTGCATACAGTCGCAATGCTCCTCATCGTCAGTGAGAAGGGGCGGCCACGGGGCAGACGGTCGCAGTGCTCCTCGTCGTCGGTGAGAAGGGGCGGCCACGGTGCATCGTCAGTGAGAAGGGGCGGCCACGGTGCAGACGGTCGCAGTGCTCCTCGTCGTCGGTGAGAAGGGGCGGCCACGGTGCAGACGGTCGCAGTGCTCCTCGTCGTCGGTGAGAAGGGGCGGCCACGGTGCAGACGGTCGCAGTGCTCCTCGTCGTCGGTGAGAAGGGGCGGCCACGGTGCAGACGGTCGCAGTGCTCCTCGTCGTCGGTGAGAAGGGGCGGCCACGGTGCATACAGTCGCAATGCTCCTCATCGTCAGTGAGAAGGGGCGGCCACGGGGCAGACGGTCGCAGTGCTCCTCGTTGTCGGTGAGAAGGGGCGGCCACGGTGCAGACGGTCGCAGTGCTCCTCGTCGTCGGTGAGAGGGGGCGGCCACGGTGCAGACGGTCGCAGTGCTCCTCGTGGTCGGTGAGAGGGGGCGGCCACGGTGCAGACGGTCGCAGTGCTCCTCGTCGTCGGTGAGAAGGGGCGGCCACGGTGCAGACGGTCGCAGTGCTCCTCGTCGTCGGTGAGAGGGGGCGGCCACGGTGCAGACGGTCGCAGTGCTCCTCGTGGTCGGTGAGAGGGGGCGGCCACGGTGCAGACGGTCGCAGTGCTCCTCGTCGTCGGTGAGAGGGGGCGGCCACGGTGCAGACGGTCGCAGTGCTCCTCGTCGTCGGTGAGAGGGGGCGGCCACGGTGCAGAGGGTCGCAGTGCTCCTCGTCGTCGGTGAGAGGGGGCGGCCACGGTGCAGACGGTCGCAGTGCTCCTCGTCGTCGGTGAGAGGGGGCGGCCACGGTGCCGACGGTCGCAGTGCTCCTCGTCGTCGGTGAGAGGGGGCGGCCACGGTGCAGACGGTCGCAGTGCTCCTCGTGGTCGGTGAGAGGGGGCGGCCACGGTGCAGACGGTCGCAGTGCTCCTCGTCGTCGGTGAGAGGGGGCGGCCACGGTGCAGACGGTCGCAGTGCTCCTCGTCGTCGGTGAGAGGGGGCGGCCACGGTGCAGACGGTCGCAGTGCTCCTCGTCGTCGGTGAGAGGGGGCGGCCACGGTGCAGACGGTCGCAGTGCTCCTCGTGGTCGGTGAGAGGGGGCGGCCACGGTGCAGACGGTCGCAGTGCTCCTCGTGGTCGGTGAGAAGGGGCGGCCATGGTGCAGACAGTCGCAGTGCTCCTCATTGCTGGTGAGACGGAGCGGGACTGCTCCCCTGACCTTGGATGCTCCTGAGCTGGGCTGCCCAGAGGGAGGCACCTGAGGTCCCCTCTCCTAGGGGAGAGGGGACTCATGGTGGCTGCGTGCCGGACCAGAAGCCTGTCCGGTATCTGGGTCTCTTCCCCCGTACCTCAGCCCTTGCTCCTCCAGCCCCCTGTCTCCATCGCCTCTCCCAGGCCGTCCCTGCCAGCAGCTTTGGTCGCCAGCAGCTTTGGTCACCCTTCCTGGCCCTCCCCCATGTGTTGACCTGTCTGGAGCCCCTCCCCCCACCATATGGAGGCAGAACTGAGGAGGGGACATGTTTGTTGCAGGGTCCCGTGCCTGGTACAGGGTTATGCTGAGTGTCACCCCCAACCCCCAGCACCACCCTTGTTTTTACAGGGGAGGCAGTGGAGGGCTTCGCAGAGCATCTTCCCTGCTGAGGAGGGTGGGCTGGGCTGGGCCTGGCTTCAGGCGTCGGAGAGCTGGGGCAGTCAAGTCTATGTCTCTAAGGAGCCCCCCAGTGACTTTGAGGCCAGAGCTCTGTGGGGTGAGGGAGATGCCTGGGCTATTCTGCTGGTTCTGTGTCCTGGGAGGCCCCCAGGGACACAGGGAGGCCTGAGTTCAAACCCCGCTTGCAGTGGGCGACTGCCCCTCTCTGAGCCTCAGTTTCCTCATCTGTAAAGTGGGGGTGACCATAGCCTTTCCACGGCAGGTTCTGTGGGACCCAGAGTAAGGCCTTGGGAAAGGTGGCATTGTCTGTGCCTGTCCTCTCCATCCGAGGGGGCTCCCTGGGCACGGTGGATGGGCATGGAGTGCCCGTGAGCCTCTGTGTAGGAGCCTGGTCCACAGGGCATTGCGCTGGGGAAGCCTCCAGAGCTCACGTCCCCTCCCCTACAGAGGACTAGGCCTGAACATGGCCCCCAGAGCTGCCCTTTGGGGACCAGCGGTGATGGCCTCAGCTGGAAGGGCCTGGGGAATGCTGGACCACATGCCTGCAGAAGGCCCAGCTCACTGCCAAGGTGAGCCCCACTGAGGGGTACAGCACTGCTGCATGGCCTGTGCCGACCCTGCGGGGCCACTGAGATGGTGTGCCACCGTCCCCTGGCACCCAGGCCTCCAGCAGGGCACCTCTGGCTGCAGTGGTGACCAGCCTCCTGCCTGGCCATCCCAGGAGGCCCGGCCCAGGGACTTGAGCCGCCTCATGCCCCCCGCCTAGGATAAGGCAGTGACAGGAAAGAGGGAAGCAGGAAGCGTGGAGAGGACAGGAGGCACGGAGGGCAGAGGGTGGGAGAGGCACCTTCAGAGGCCCAGCTGGTGTCACCACTGCAGGAGAGCCTCCACCTGAGACTGGGGAAATGAAGTGGGGAGGGAGTGATGCATGCAACACCTGGCATCCGTGAGTGGGGCTCCGGGGCTTGGTGGTTTTATCTGCTGATGTCGGCTGTGGCTGCGGAGGGTTTGCATCCAAACATGTCGGTGGCCAGAGGCCTGTCTCAGTGCATGTGCTGCCTATGTTTGCAAGTATGTGAACGAATGTGTGTGTGTGCACACGTGCATTGCATGCATGTGCATATACACGTGGGTATGCATGTGTGCTCATGTGTATGCAAGCATATACATGTGTGCACGTGTCCGCTTGCTGGCACTTCAGCCCATTTGACTGTGCCCCCACCACAGGGGGAGGAGTCTACAGGGCTGGGGGCCATGTGCTCGCCCCTCCAGACACCTCTGGGCACCAGGACCCTGAAACTCCTCACAAAGTGCCTTGAGCCCCCTCTCTGGTCTGCTTAGGCCTCTCCTGCATTTTCACCAGGTGGACCTGTCCCGAGGCCCAAGGGATACTGTTTGTTGGGGGCTTAGGTGAAGCCTGGGGCATCCAAATGCCTACACGCAGGCCCCCTGGGGCACTGGGCAAAGCCGGAGGTGGGAAGAGACGGAGGTGGGAAGAGCCACAGGCCCAGGCCAGCTCCTTCCTTGCTGCCACTTTTGGCACCACACTCCAAGGAGTCTGATAATTCCAAATTGGCCCGGGCATTCCATGGAGTCCGGGAGGTGTATATGCCAAGGTAGGAGGGGAATGTGATTTTGCTTGTTAGTTTCATGGATACCTTCTAAACCCTTTAAAACATTGAGACAGATGGCATGTGGGCCCACAGGTGTGAGGAGCGGGCCTGGCTTTGTTCTTTCTGTTTTCCCGCAGCCTAGGACAGCGCCTTGAGCTGCACAGGTGTTCAAGAAGTGTGTTCAGCATGCATGGAGCTCATGGTGGCCGCCACCTCCCCCGTGTGCACCCACCTGCTGTCCCGGAGCACCATCTGTTTCTCGAATGCTTGGAAGAAAATCAAGCCAGGACGATGCCGACTACGGAAAAGGGGGACTTTATTCATTCTCTGGAGCAGCGCGCCCCGCCTGCCCGCGCACAACCGCTCCGCAAGGGTCTACTGAGTTCAGGACCAAGACTGTCTGGCACTGGAAACACACTGAAAACATCAACTCTCTTCCCTTTTTTTTTCCTTTTTTTTTTTGGTACAAAATGATACAAACAACAATACAAAATAGTTGTGCTGTTGACGATTACAAAAAAAGGTGGAACGTTTAACCTCGCGATGCTCAGATTTGCAGGTGTGAGTACATCATACTCCAGTATCTTTCCCCAAAACAACTGTGCTCATGCAGGCTGCTACACATTTTGCCCATTTCAAAAAGAAACATGCAAAAAAAATCGGAATGAAAAAAGGAGAGAAAAGAAAAGTAAAACGCATTCCAATTGTACAGAGAGGTGGTCCCCCGCTGGGCCTGTTGTGAGGTACTGTCCCTCCTACGGACCCACGGCGCCACGAGCTGGGTCACGTGTGTCTGGGAGATTCTGTGTTGATTCTTTTGGTGTTATTCCTTTGAGCACTGACAGAAATTGAGACTACCCCTCGCCCAGCTTTTTGCTTTGGAGAGAACAGAATTATCATCTCAGTGGACTGTGTGTGTCGGCTGGTGCTCATGCTAGGGAAACTGAGGCATCTCTGAGAGCCTGACAGTTGGACATTGCTCTGACACGTTGGTGGCAGGAGGCCTAGCATTTTGGATGTGCTGAAAGACACTACAAAGAGAAACCTGCTGGGCCAGAAATTGGGGCTGCCCAGGCCCTGAAGAGGACTGTGGCCCTAGGCTGGGGGCTGCCTGCTGACCAAGGCCAGTCGTTCCTGCCACTCCAACCTGCAGCACAGGTTTCTCCTGTTTGCAAAACAAAAATTCCCTAAAGGAACCAAACCATGCCCTCGCACCTGGCCAGCATTGGCCTCCCGGCCTCCAGTGGGAGTCCCCTGATTATAGGCAGTCGTATCTACAAGCTTAAGGAAGAGAGACGTTCGACACTGATTGTATGCTTAGCTAACGCTAACTCAAGTTCAGAGGTGGAGCTGGGAAGGTGCAGGAACCCCATCTTTCTCTGGCCCCCAGGGGCTCACCAGGGTGGGGGTAGAGGGGAAGCTGTCCAGCTGTTTGGAGCAGGGATGGGCACAGGAAGCCCTATGAACATCCCTCCAGCTGGCACTGCAGCTTCCGCCTGCGTGATTTGGGCAAAAGGAACGGGGGCTTGGCAGTGACAAGAGGCTGTGGGCGAGGAGGGGGAGCTAGTGGGAGGCGGCCAATGTCGCCCAGCCCTCCTGGGTAGCGGCGGCTGCTGGCGGGACTGGGGTCTCCTGGTGCTGGGTCCTGGGAACATCAGCCCGGAGTTCAGGGAACCCAAGGAGGCCTCGAAATTTCAGAGAAAGGAGTTCATGCTGCCCTGGCTCCCGGGCCATAGTCACACTTCGAACAATCCACGCATACTCCGAAGGACTGAAGCATGGACTTCCCCAAACAACAACAGAGATTTCCAGTCCTTCCACTACCCGCCCAGCTATACCTCCAACGGCCATGCCCCCCCACACAGGAGCATTCTTGTTTGCATAGCACAGCTCAGAACTCGGGGACCCCGGTGCGGCCTGGCCAGCTGCCCCTTGACCTCTGTTGGTCCATCTCCTGGACTGGCTGTCTGCAGAGGGGGGCACCCAGCACGTGGCACAGTGAACCCCGCCCTCCCTGGGCAGCCATGGGAGGGTCAGAAAGGACAGGTTGGAGACTGAGACCCCAGCTCAACTCTGAAGGCTGCACAGGGGCAGCTGTGAGTTTGGTTTGGACAAGGACCCTGACATCCAACGGGAACATGCCGTGAGCCTGGCACAGATGTGTGCACTCAAGGCCAAAGCTGTTCAGAAAAGGCATGACCTTAGCCATGGGGAAGGGCCATAGGCTGAGGTGGGGGCCGGGGCCCCTGGTGGAGCTCATGCTGCCCCCAAAGGCACCCCGAGACACTCCCTGACCCCAGTGGCAGGTGCAGGGTGGGGCTCCGGGAGGGCTCCCTGTCCTTCCCCAGTGCTGGCACCGCCCTGCCCGACACCAGGTCCTGCCCAGGGTCCCTGGTACCTCACCTCCTTCCTCGGGAAGCCAGTTGTCACTGGCCTGGGAGAGACAGAAAGCTGACCAAGCACGAGGCTTCCCCACGTGGGGCCTGCCCCCTGCCGCAGCCCAAGGCGCCCAGACACAGCCATGCCAGAGGGAGAATGCACCCTCTGAGTTTTCTCATGCAGTGAGCACAGGCAGCCGAGCGCTGTCCCAGGGGTGCCGGGACACAGACCCTCTCACTGTCCTGCAGAACCAATTCCTTCCCCCTGTCTGGCTTGAGTCAACCCAGCCCTGGAGATAGCAGTGCCAGCCTCGAGGACAGCAGCAAGTTTGGACCCGGCCGCTGCCTGCCCCCGACGAGGGTCCATAGGAGAGGAGAGGCACCGTCTGCAGCGTGCAGAGGCATCTGTGCGACAGGTAGGCACGGCAAGACGGGGCCTCCTGCCACCCACACAGGCTCACAAGCGTCTGGCGGGAATCAGGAGCACAGGCTGGGGACGGGGAGGCTTCGCAGGCTGCTGGGTGTGTTCTGGTCACCACGCCCAACCGTAACTGCCCTCTTCAGCTGCCAGGGAGGGTCCTTGGTTCCTGCCATCTGCACAGCCCTCCGGATGGTTGGAGCTGTCGAGAGTGTCCTGGGGTTTGAATTGATGCCTGTCGCGGGGCCGTTGATGGCACCCCATGGGGTCTGGTCGCCAGGGTTGGAGGGCTGGAGCCAGATGCTGGCTGGTTTGGACAACTCACTCTTCTGGACCAAAGGCAGAGGGGACCTGGTGGCACTCAGGGTGACAGGTGTCCCTGAGGGAGGCCTGGGTTGACTGGGGGTGGAGCCCCTTCAGGATGACCCCTGTTCCCCTCCAGGCCCCTGCCTGAGCTCCTCACAGCATCCGGGAGGGGTGGGGAGCAGCCACAAGGTAGGGGTATTCTGAGCCCCACCAGCCCCAGGGCCTTCTGCTGGGGCTGAAGGGCTAAGCCTCCCAGCTGGCCTTGACTCCCAAGAGGCTCAAGAGACCCCCAGCTGTGTACAGCAAAGGCTGCTGGGATTTGAACCCCACTCTGTTTTCAAACAAGTCACCCACTTTCTTTTTCTTAATAAAAGACCAAAAAAAAAGTAAGAAAGACAGACACAGTCTCCCCCATTTCTGAATGATGCCTTCAGAGCTGGGACTAGCTGGGGTTGGAGGCCGCTCGGGATGGGAAGGTGGGGACGGTCTGTCTGCTTTAGACACTCCTGAGTTTGAGGGAATCTGATACATGTACCAAAAGGCACTTTCTTTTTTTTTTTTTTTTCTTTCTTTCTTCTTTTTTTTTTTTTTTTTTTAAAAACAGTGCTTCTGTTCTAGGAAATTCAAGTGAAGACAGAGTGCCTCTTGCTGTCCTTCAGTGCCAGCCAGCGCGGTGCTGGGCAGCGGCCGGGTGCAGGGCGCTGTGGGGGTGGGTGCTCATGCTAGACAGCTCAACGTGGGGATTGGGGGGCCTCCTAACAGCACTAAGGACACAGCCGCAGGGAGTCGGGAAGACCGGCCGCCTCTGCTCAGTCCTGCTCCTCCGGCGTCCGAGCACGGCTCTCACTTCGGTCCGAAGATGCGAGGTCAGTCAATCCTCTTCACCACCTCCATACATGTCCGCCAGCTTCTTGAATCTGGGCCCCCAGTCGTTGAGGTAATCGTAGTCTTGGTCCCCGGAACTGGATGAGTTCAGGGAGCTGACGGAGCCTGCGGTGGAGCCGCTCCCCTCGTAGTCGAAGACCAGCAGGGAGTCATAGGGGGGTGCCGTGGGGTCGTTGTCAGCAGCGCGGAGTCCCTGGGGGTCACAGACACAGAGTTAGGGTGCAGGACGCGTTGTCTCAGCCCCGGGATCAGATGGAACGGAAAGCGAGGCCCAGAAGAAGAGGTAGGGAGGTAGGACGTTGCATAAAGTAGGTGTCCAATAAGGGCTCTCTGCATTTAACTGAAGGGCATTTCCGAGTAGAAAAGGGCATTTGTGAAGATGGAGCGTGGGAGTGTTGAAGGGGCAAACTCAAATCCAGCAGCAGTCTGTGGGCAGGGGAGGCGGAGGGTTGGGCAGGGCCCGTGGCTGGAGTTCAGCTCCTCCCAACCCAAGGGCAGATGGGGGGGGGGGTGTGGGAGAGGGGGGAGGGGGTGTGGGGGAGGGGGTGTGGGGGAAGGGGAGGGGGTGTGGGGAAGGGGTGTGGGGGAAGGTGGAGGTGTGGGAGAGGGTGGGGGGCTGTGAGGGTTTATAGGGGAAGGGCAGGGGGGTGTGGGAGAGGGCAAGGGGTGGTGTGGGGGAGGTGAGGGCTGGGCCATGTGGCTGAAGCTCAGCTCCTCCCTAAGGGGGCAGGCAGATGGTTCTCCAGTCTAGCTGACCATTGTCTGGAGGGAAAGTGGACCTAGGGTGGACAGAAGTCAGAACCTGGCAGTTATGAGTGTGGCACTCCCACGGACAAGCTTTGGCAGTGCCGTGGGTGTTGCTGGAGCCCCGTCCTCTCCTCAGTGCCCGCGGGTGCCACCTCCATGCCAGCACCTGCTCCTCCTGTGACCCTGGGAGAGGGTACTCAGTGTCATTCAGTATGGACTGGTTTGTTGTTTTCATTTTTAATTTCTCCTAAGACCTATCTAACAGTGGGCTTTATTTATTTATTTTTAGATTTTTCTGAAATGGAGTTTTGCTCTGTCTTGCAGGCTGGAGTACAGTGGTGCGACCTTGGCTCACTGTAACCTCTGCCTCCCACGTTCAAGCGATTCTCCTGTCTCAGCCTCCCAAGTAGTGGGATTACAGGTGCCCGCCACCATGCCCAGCTAATTTTTGTATTTTTAGTAGAGACGGGGGTCTCACCATGTTGGCCAGTCTGGTCTTGAACTCCTGACCTCAGGTGATCCACCTGCCATGGCCTCCCAAAGTGTTGGGATTACAGGCCACCACGCCGGCTAATTTTTGTATTTTTAATAGAGACGGGGTTTCACCATGTTGGCCAGTCTGGTCTTGAACTCCTGACCTCAGGTGATCCACCTGCCTTGGCCTCCCAAAGTGCTGGGATGACAGGCCTGAGCCACCGCGCCTGGCTAACAAACAGTGGGCTCTAAATTAATTATAGACTGGGCAGGGCAAACGTTTGGGGATCTTTACGTTTTTATTATGTCATAGACGGTAAGCGTCATGTTGTCAGAGCAGCTTCTGCGTGGGCAGTTGTAGGAATTTCATCTGTGGCCCAGAACACCATCTGCTTTGGGGAAACCTTTCTGTCTTTCTGTTGAATCACTGCCTGGGTTATCTTCTGTTTAAATCAATTCCTTTAAAGTGAGATTCTGACCTAGGCTGAGGTCTAAGTGTTGCTAAACCTCCTTTAAAATGCAGTGGGCATCGGCGAGCAGGTGATGAAACCACAGGGGCTCACGCCGACTAGAAGCAGCACGGAGGACACCGTGATCCCTGCAGAGCCACAGGCGAGGCCAGTCTGGAGCCTCAGAGTCACTGCCCGGAGGACGCTCCCTGGGAGGAGTCTGCCCTGTTTGACTTGCTCCTCTGTTCTCTTCACCGCAAAGGAAGATGGAAGACGGGAACGAAGACAGGGAGCTGCGCGTTGGAAGTGGAAACTGAGTGTTGCCCTGGCGACATTGTAAGCGATGTTTCAAATGTTTCTTGCAAAGGGGAAGATGGAAGGCTGGGGTGTGCTGCTTGTTGGTCAAGTCAAGTCCCCTCCAACCCTCAAGTGTCAGGTTGGGCAGGTGGTCAGGCGGCAGCCCTGGAAGGCAGCCACCTCTGTGTGGCTCCCACCTGCTGTGTCCTGATGTTTGGGGTGTGGGGTGGGGTGGGGAGGGGGGGCAAGTTGGCCTGGGCCCTGAGACCAGGCTTGGGCCTCTGCCTCTCTGAGCATCTGGGTGAGCCGAGCCCGGGAAGGCCATTCACAGCGGCAGTGGGCTCTGTGTAAGGTTAATACTTGGAGGGCTCATAGCACCAAGTGCGCCTTCCCCGCCGTCGCCCCGCTGATTCTCCTCCTGAGGCCTGTGCTTGCTACTGGCGCCTCTGCTGCAAACCCGAATTCTTACGAAGCCCCTGCTGTGCACCCGGCCCTGTGTGTTGATCCTTCGCCTAGCCTACAGGGAGGAATCCTCATCCTTGGAAAGAGGGCCTGCTGAGGGAGGTGATTTGCCCAGGCCACCCCGCTGGAGGGGCAGAGCAGGGCCTGGAACCCGGGTCTGAGCTGCCTCCCACCCACGGCAGCCGCCGGCACTGTGGAGATGGCTTCTGTGTGTGTTACCAGAATTTAATTTTTAGAGGAGACACCTTGCCCGGGCCCCCCACTGCCGAGAGGCACACACCTCATTGATGAAGTCACCGATGTCGCCTGGGTGCGGCACCATGGGCCTGATCGGGTACTGGGGCTCAGCGCCCACCGGCCGCTCATCCACGCGACGCACGCCAGGGGCTTTGCTTGGCACGTGCCCCATGGCTTCCGGCTGCTGCAGCTGGCTGAGGTCGTAGTCCTGGGGGAGGGAGCCGGGAGGAGTCAGGGGCATCAGAAGAATCCGCCAGCCCCCCTTCCACCCTGCATCCTTTTCTGTCACCTGGGCCACAGATGCACCTGCTGCCCTGTGGCCTGGTCTCCAAGCATCCCACAGAACCATGCTGTCCCCTGCTGTGCCCCTCCACAATGCCCCACCTCCTTGCCCTTTACCCCAATCCCTTGGGCAGGGATAGGGGCTGTTCTTGGCTGTGTTCCATGGCCTGGGGCTCTCCCCGAGTGACCTCACCACCACGCTGCTCACCAACCACGTGCCCCGAGTGCTCAGGGGGCCAGGAGCTGGGCCTCCGCAAGGCACATGCCTCACATTCGTTATGGTCGTGTTGCGGGAGGGGCGGGGAAGGTGGCCAGGAGCTGGGCCTCCGCAAGGCACATGCCTCACGTTCGTTATGGTCGTGTTGTGGGAGGGGCAGGGAGGGGTCTGAGCTTTAGACGGGTTTAAGGACTTGACTTGCCCCGATTCCCTGAAAGGCCAAGGGTAGACTCAGATTCCAACCACCAGCTCTCACAGTCTACCCTCCCGGGCGCCTGGTGCACTGCCCCTGGTCAGTCGACAGCCCTCTGCACACAGCAGCATCCGCGAGTGGGCATCGGTGTGCTTGGCCAACCCGGAGCCCCCTCCCCTCCAGGGCACAGGGCAGCACTGGGCTGGGGCTGGTGATGGGAGGGAAGAAGGCGAGGATGGGAGGGGTCCCAGGATCCCCCGTGGGGGATGCAGGTGCAGTGTACACAGCTCAGCCCAGGCTAGGAAACCGTGCGCCCCTGCCTGGCACCTTCACTGGTGAAAAGGTTGAAATGTCTTACTGTTAAACCCCAGGGCAATCCCTGCTGAGACACTAGTACACGTGAGAGCCGGCCTCGCGTGGGGAGGCGGGGGCGGGCCGCAGTCTCACCTGGTCCTCCTCGCCACCGCCTTCCTCGTCATACTTGAGGATGTTGTCGCGGACGTCGTCCTCGGGGTCAATGAGCAGCTGCTTCGTGTGGCGCTCCTTCTCTCGCCGCTTCATCCACATGACAAACAGCAGGACCATGGCTGTGGGGGAGGGCTGCCCGTGAGCAGGGTGTGCTGCGGGTGTGCGCATGTGTGCCTCTGTGTTTGCCATGTGTCTATGTGGGCATGTACATGCAGGTGGCACACAAGCATGACTGTGCCCATGTGTGCATGCACACCTGTACTGCACACGCGCATGTCTCTGCACATGCAGGCCTGGATGTGCAAGGACACATCTGTGCACATGTGCGGCCCACGTGCGTGTGCATTCGTGGATGTAGGTGCTTCATGCATGTCTGTGTAAGCATGCATACGTGTATCCGCAGGAGTCGTGGATGTAGGTGCTTCATGCGTCTGTGTAAGCATGCATACGTGTATCTGCAGGAGGACGTGTGTATGAAGGCTTGCACATGCGTGTGCCTGGGTGTGAGCGTGTAGATCTGTGTGTGTGCTCGTGTGTTCATGTGTGTAGATGCACACACAAGCCTGCACAGGTCTGTGTGTGCATGTGTCCATGTGTACTTCGTGTGTCTGTGTATGCTCATGGGGCGTGAGTGCATGTGTTCATGTCCATAGTACATGTGTGCCCATGTGTCTGTGCGTGCATGCATGCCTGTGTGCGTGTGCATGAGTTTCCAAGGCACAGCCGCACTGGCTCAGGCCCTCTCCCCAGCTCACTGCCTGGGCACTGGGCTACATTTTGAGTCATTGATTTACAAGCTCGCCCTCCTCTTGCACTCCCCTTTTGAGAAGGCAGCCAGCTCAGGGTGCCTCTCACCGCCTGGGGACGGGAGGACATGGGGGGCTGAGGGGCCCACCCACAAGTCTTTCTGAGTCCCTCTTCTGAGCAGCAGGAGGGAGATGGCTTTGTCAGAGGAGGTGGAAGTGAGGTTTTAGGCACACAGTGTCTTGGTAGGAATCACTGAGAGAGGGAGATGGACTCCCCCATATTGAAAGAGGCTCTGCCCTGGGAGGATAGGGGCCCAGAGAGGGGATCCAGGGATCCTGCTTCCTGAGGGCCCCTGGGGTGGGGTCAGTCCAGGGCGTCGCTGGACAGAAGGGCAGCCCCACCCAGTACCGAGGGGGTCACTCAGAGGGGCTCTTTCCACCACTCAAAGGAATTGGGGTACAGGCTCAGAAGTTCAGGTGCATGTGGAAATTGAAGAGAGGTAAAGTCCCCTTGTGGGGTGGATGGAGGGACCCTCTCCCCCAAGCTGAACTGGATTCTTCCTGCCTTCCGAGGTCCGTGTCCAGCCCTGGCTCCCCTAAACAGCCTTGCTCACTCTGGACCCCTGGCTGCCTCTGCTGCAGGAAAAGCCTGGCGCACCCATCTGCAAAGCTCCAGGAGCAGGTAATGCAGCCCACGCCCCCAGTAAATGCCTGCACAAACCACTCCACTGCATCCTCCTGAAGCCTCCCGTCACCTCCCATGTCACAGATGTAACGACTGAGGCCCAGAATCACAGGTGCACTCTTATGTACCGCAGAGGGTGAGCCCGGAGGCGAGAGGGGCGGCGACCCCCCAGTCAGGAGGGCTGTTTTTTGCCAACCCGATTAATTGGCTGTGGCTGCCTGATGTCGTGAGGAGGATTCCGAAGCGGAGTGGAGGCTTGGGAGGAGCTCTGTGGGTATTGGCGGCATCGCCCTGCCTGCAGAGGGTGAGGTGACAGCCGGGGGACGCTTCCTGACCTGGCCCAGATCGTGGAGAGGGAAGTGCAGGCGGAGGGAGGAGCCACGCACTGCAGGTGCAGCTCCGTGAGAACCTGGAGCCTGGAGCCCGGGCCTAGTCTTGGCTCGACGGAAGCCACAAGGCCAAGAACCTTTGAAGAGGTCAGCTCCACTCTCACAGCTGGCATCCCAGGCTCATCCAGGCAGACAAGATGAGCGAGGGTTGAGAGGAGGAGTGTGGAGGAGGGGAGGCCACTCCGGGTGCCCCCCATGCACCCCACCAGGGCTGAGGTGCCCACGACTGGGCAGAAGCCGGGCAGCAGGCGGATCTGCTGTTGACCGTGGCCCCGGCCCCACTGCGGATGCCCTCCACTGCGGCTGCCCTCGAGAGTGGCCCAGGTCTCCTGCACGGGCCAGGCACTCAGCTGAATTGGGTCTCACAGCCCTGCCCACAGAGGGTGCTCTGGCTGGGGCCTGGCCCCCGGTGTTTCCAGAGCAGGGGACATCGGTGAGAATGCCTCCACCTTTGCTACAGAGACACCTCCCAACCTCTGTGGGGCTCTTTCCACTCCTGATCATACAAAGAAGCCCACGACACTGAACGGCTTTCAAAACAAGCCTCAGAAATGAAAACCGGCTTTTCAAGGGGTGATAGGTCTGGAAATGGGGAAAAAAGCAGAGTCCTCATAACTCAGACATCCTTTGGACAGGGCTCAGGTTGGTCCCTGGGGTCTCAAGTCAGCCGCAGGCCAGGTCTGCAGGAGGGGCCTGCCGCCTGTTCTGGACGTGGTGGGGGACCCTGTGGTTTGGGTGTGAACTGGGGAGGTGGTAGCCCAACCCTTCCCCGCCCTGCCTCCCACTGGGATCCCTGGGGTATCACAGACCACGGTGACTGTCCATGAGGGATGATGGGAAGAGGGACCTCTGGGGTCATTTTCAAGCACCTCCCCTGGCACCGCCCCCCCGCCAGCCCTCAGACCTGTTGGGAACCCACAGTGGTTGTGGGAAACTCAAGAAACTACTAGAGCATGTGATCTGGGCAGAGCCAGTGAGAACACTCCATTGCTTGGCTGGTGATTGGCTCCAAGGTGTGCATGTGACCCAAGCCAGTCCAATCAGAGAGTGTCCTGGGACTTTGGATGGGGACGCTAACAGGCAGGGCTGACCTTCCCTCTGCTAAGTCCACCTGGGAGCTGCCCACAGGCGTCACAGGTCCTGGAGGGCAACAGCTTCAGGACACAGGGGCTCTGGGAGGCAGAGTGGAGCCGTGGAAAGGGGCCAGGCCATGGGAGACACCTGGGCCGGCCTGCACCTCCAGACTTGAGAGTAACGGGAGGCTCCAATTTCCCATTGTCATATGGACCAGTTCAGCTGCATTTCTGAAAGGCTCCTGACAGATGAGGCTGAGAGATGAGGGCTGAGGGGCAAATCCAGGCCCCCCTCTGCCCACCATGCCTGGGACAGGGCACTCATACCCACAATGCCCCTGCCCACCCTGGTGCTCAGCCACACTCACTCAGCAGGATGAGGATGCAGATGAGGATGGCCACGATGGCACCGGTGCCCAGACCAGCCGCTGCCACTGCGCCAATGGTGGTGCAGTCCCCGTTGTCATCACATGGGCACACCTTGACTTTGATGATGGACGTGTTGGACAGGGGAGGGTTTCCAGAGTCTGTGACGATGATGGGGACGTCATACATCCCGGCCTCCAGGTACAGGATGCGCAAGCTGAGTTGGGCATAGTCACCTGGTGCAAAGCAACAGTAAACATTCAACCAGAGCCCGGCCCTCGCTTCCAAGCAAGACGTCCAAAGGAAAAGACTAAAAGTCCGATGGCATGGAAATCTGAAATGGCTGCCTGGTTACCACACATACATACATACACCTGTGCTACATCATTAAGTTAAAAGACATTGGAGGTTGGGTGTGGTGGCTCACGCTTGTAATCCCAGCACTTTGGGAGGCTGAGGTGGGCAGATCACTTGAAGTCAGGAGTTCACGACCAGCCTGGCCAACATGGCAAAACCCTGTCTCTAGTAAAAAATACAAAAATTAGCCGGGCGTGTGGTGCAAGCCTGTGATCTCAGCTACTTGGGAGCCTGAGGTGGGAGAATTGCTTGAACCTGGGAGGTGGAGTTGCAGAGCTGAGATTGTGCCACTGCACTTCTGCCTGGGCAACAGTCTCAAAAAAAAAAAGACATTGGAGACACAACCAAAAAGCAATTGCAACATGTAGGATGAAGAAATAATTTCCTGAATATATAAAGAGTTTTACCAAATCAATAAAAAGAAACTCCCCAAAGAAAACATAGGCAAAGTCATTGAACAGACAATTCACAGAAGAAACAAAAATGGCCAATAAATATATATAAAAAATTTCCACTGGTAATCAGGATATACAAATGGAAATAATGACTTTGGCCTAAAGGTGGCAGAATAAAATATTATTTTAAAACAATAATGTTCAGTGTTGGTGGGGTTTGAGGAAACAAACAGGCACTCTCCCGATGGAAGTAGACATGTTTAGAGCACATTTTCACAGTACTGCCAAAACTTGAGAATTTTGATATCCTTTTATACCACAGATCTGCATCCAGGGAAGTATTCTAAGGAAACATATCAGTCAGGGTCCAGTCAACTGACAACCGGCACAGGAAGTTGTCATGGATGTACATGGGCAGAGCTGCAAGGATGTTCACGGCTGGCCTCATTAAAGCAGCAAGAAATTGGGAATGACTTGGTGGCCTCCTCAAGGCCAGGTGAAGGAGGCTGAGCAGCTGAAGCGTGGCCAGTGTCCCCAGCCTTGGTGGGACAGTCCTGTTGGAGGACTGTCACCCACCTCTGGTGCCCACTCTTCCAAGGCCAGCTGGGTCTCCCAGGGGCCTGCACCCCAGGCTAGTCTGACCCTCCCCGTGGCCTAAGGCGGGCTCACCGTTCAGGCGGGTGATGGTCCAGTTCTTCCGCACGGCCGCCGGGACAAAGGGCAGCTCGAAGACGTAGGGGCCGATGTTGGGGTCGACGTCAGCGTCGGCCGCCGTGATGTTGATGGCGTTCAGGTTGGGCTTCTCGCAGATCTGCGCCTCCTTGGGCAGCAGCTCAGGGGCGTTGTCGTTGATGTCAATGAGATAGATCTGGAGGGTCCCGGTGCCGCTGGCCGGGGGTATCCCTGTGGAACAGACACAGGTCACCACACGGGCCACTCCTGGTACTCCATGACCAACCCACAGCTCCACACAGGACACGCACACAAACAACCACGTGCAACATACACAGGGACACATGTGCAGACCCCCAGCCGGACACGGCCGGCCATCTCCCAACACAGCTGCACAGGGACTGACCCACAGTCCAGCCATGGCTCCTGACCGACACCCTGCCACACGCCATGGGCAGCCACACCACTGCGTACGGCACCTCAACAGACACGGCAAAGCACACGGCCACACCCACACCCGCAGCTGCACACACGCACACAGCCACTGCGCACGGCACCTCAACAGACACGGCAGAGCACACGGCCACACCCACACCTGCACACACGCACACAGCGGGGTGTGGCATTCACGTGGAAACTCACAGCCACGGAGGTCACAGCCACGCACCGGGGACTCACTCCCACTGGGGAGCCAGGGAGGGGTTCTGCGGGTGCTGGGCTCTGCACTGGCCCCTGAGGGCTGGGATCCGCCCACCACATCTTGCCCCCATCTGGGACTTCTTAGGGCAAAACCTTTCCTTGCCTCCCTGAGTTTTGCTGGCCCTGCCCAGCAGAGCCCCAGGGTGCTGGAAGCCCTGAGCCCAGACGCATGATCGCGTGGAAGAACTGCTGCTTTTGGAAGTGTCTGTGAGAAAAGCAGGCGCGGCCGCTCCAGATGAGCTTTGATGGAAGCTCCCTCCTGGCCCGGCAGGAGGTCTCCTTGGAGGACCCGATGACCTCTGGCTTCAGCATGAACGGAGGTGCTCTGCCGAGCCCCCAGAGCTCCTCAGGGGCCATCCCTGTCCCTGGGGTCTTCACATGCTCAGTCCTTGCCTCAGCCCAGGATGCAGGCCAGGTGGCTGGAATCTGGGGACAGAGAGATGCCCTGTCTGCTCTCCAGGCTTGGAGGCGGCGGTGGTGGCGGCATGTTCTGACTGTAGCTTTGCTCCTGATGGCAGCTCCTGACCTGACGTTAACAACCACGTGTTTTGACTGAGGCAGGCGAACCATGTAAAAATGTATCCCACGGATGTCTCTTTAATCTTCCGGAAGCTGCGTCAAAACACATTTAAGGTGACGCAGCGCGGCGCTACCTTTGAAAACTGCTTTGAGATGTAGCTGATGGCACGGCACGTGATCGGAGAAGCACAGACAGGTTCTGTTAACCGGGGGGCTCCTGCTCCAGCCTGTGCACCCCGGCTCCCTCACACGGCGTCTGCCACGTGCGATGGACGCTCCGATGTTCCAGCTGCGGCCTCACAATCACTTTCTTTCTTTTTTTTCTTTTTTGAGATGGAGTCTCACTCTATTGCCCAGGCTTGAGTTCAATGGGGCGATCTTGGCTCACTGCAACCTCTGCCTCCCAGGTTCAAGTGATTCTCCTGCCTCAGCCTCCCGAATAGCTGGGATTACAGGCGTGCACCACCATGCCTAGCTAATTTTTGTATTTTTTTAGTAAAGACGGGGTTTCACCATGTTGGCCAGGCTGGTCTTGAACTCCTGACCTCATGATCCACCTGCCTCGGCCTCCCAAAGTGTTGGGATTACAGGTGTGAGCCACGGGGCCTGGCCCGGGCTCACAATCACTTTCTAATTTAACCTCAGGGCTTGAGCTGCGGCAGGGGACCCTCAAGGGGAGACGCTTCCCCTGACCAGAGCCCTGGGCTCACAGGCAGCTGCACAGCTGCACAGCTACACAGCCCGGGCTCTGTGGACCCTGGCAGGGGAGGCAGCGCTGGCTGGGGGAGGCTGGCAGGGGGGTGTCCACGTCCTGTCTTCACCTGCTATGGGACGAGCGTTTGCACAATGGCTACCCTTGTTCATGAGGCTTCACGCACAGCCGTTCCAAGAGCGGACCAGACACAGCCCCGCCTCAGGGCCTTTGCACACACCGTTTCCTAACTCTGTGACCCTCCTTCCCGTGCTTGCTCCTCTGGTTCCACAGCTCTTGGTCCCAAGGGCAGCTCCTCAGAGCGGAGCCCCTGGTCACTGCCTCCCAGCCGCCTGTTTTGTTTTCTCCCAGCTCTTCTTGCTGCCTGAATCATCTGCGTGGCTGGTTTCTCTCCGGTCTCCTTGGGGCAGACGCTGCTGAGTCATCCCCAATATCCATTTTCTGTTTCCTTTTAATAAAATAATCGGAGTCCTACATTTTGTCTGGGATCATCACTGTCCATCTAGAAGACCCCATTTCCCAGCGCCCCTTGCAGCTGGGGGTGGCTGCATCAGTAAGTTCTGGGCTTTGTGAGCTGTGGGTGGAGGACTTGCGTGGGGCTTTCTGAAAGTCCTTAGTAGCAGACGTGTGCCCGTGCCCTCCCTGCAAGGCCTTCTGTTTGCCAGAACATGGCTGTGACGGCTGGAGCTCCAGCAGCCATTCTGGGCCATGCCGTGGCACAGTCAGGATGCCCCAGGTCTCGGATCTCCCCCTGGGCTGCCTGCCTCCAGCCTTCTTTGACGTGAGAGAAAAAAAGCCTCAATTGTGCTGCAGTTTCCTCCATCAGTATTCACTGACCCAGGTTCCAGCCGACACACTCGGGCTGTCAGCCAAGCCACAGCAGGGCGTCACTGTGTTCCACCCACTGATGAGCAGCGGCAGGCACTCGGCCGGTACTCGGCAAACAGCAGCCCGGGCAGTCATCACGGCCGCAGCAAACAGGAGCCCATGCTGCTCTGAGCCAGGCCCTTCCTCAGTGTTCCGGTGACTCCGACTCGTTTGATTCTCAGGGGTACTAAGACTCCCCCGACTTGGCAGAGGAGGAAACTGAGGCACAGAGCGGTCACGTCTTTTCCCACTGGTAAGCGGTGGTACTGGACTGATCTTCGGTTCCAGAATCCCTGCTCCCACCCGCCCTGCCTCCATGCCTCTGAGAGCGTGCGACCCGTGGGGGGCTCGGCCAGTTCGCAGGGTTACTGCAGGTCCAGGAAGGGGTGGCTGCTTCTTGAGATGCTGGCCCATGTCCCTCAGAAAGCCCCACGTGCTCTCAAACCTTCTTCCTGCCGTCTCTGCCCAGCCCATCCTCGCCCTCCCGTCCAGGCTCCTGAGGTCGTCTGCTGTGCCGCCTGCCCCGGGACCTTGCCACCGCCCTCTGCACTCCCAGGGCCCTGGAGGGTCTCATGCCTCCTGCTGTGACTAAGGGCCACAGGGGTCTGTGCCGTGGGTGGTCAGAGACACGAGGGCGGCACCCCCGGGGCTGCTGACCAGTGGGGCTGGGCCTTCCCCGCAGGATGGGGTCTGTGGCAAGGGCTGCCGGCTGAAAGCATTTGAAAACTGTGGACCTGATTCCAGTGCCTCAGTTTACAGGCAGCAAAACTGAGATGCATTTCAGGTTGCAGAGGGCAGCAAAGCCAAGCCTGGGATGACCAGTGCCCTGATGCCCCTGGAGGCTGTGGGTGAGTGACGTTGGGGGGAAAGACCAGGCACACCTTCGAACAAGCAAGTGAATGCTGGGGAGGGGGCAGAATGAATGACTGACATGGGAGTGGGTGGAGGGGGAGCATGGCCTGGGGGCCCTGAGATGACGCAGCCCTGATCACCGGTGTCTGCACAGATGCCCCCTCAGCCCCTCTGGGTGACCCTCTGGATGCCTGCTGGCCTCTCGGGGTCTCCCTGGCCAGCACCCTCCCTCGCCCACAGAACCCAGGACACGGGAAGGCCACCGAGACGGCTGCCTCCCTGGGGTGGGCCGCACCATTGTCAGCTGCCAGGAAGGTGGCCTCGTAGACGTTGTTTTTGGTGTAGAGGGACTCACGGTCCAGCACTGCCGCCGTGGTGATCTGGCCGTTGGTGGCATTGATGTGCAGCCAGCTCGCTGGGTCTGACAGCTTTGAGTATCTGCGGAGACCACAAGTGCAGGGGGAGGTAAGGCTGGGGGTGGGCGGGGCTGCCCTGGATCCCAGGCCTCCTTGGCCACACCTCCAGGGCCTGGGCCTGGGCCAGTGTCTCTGTCTCCTTGGAGCCCCCCAGGCCTTGTCCTCCTCTAGGGCTTCCCCTCCACGTTGGACTGGCACCCTCCCCCCCGGCCCCACAACAGGACAGGCCACGCAGTGGCTACGGGCACCAAGCTCATCCAGTAGTGGGTGGTCTCAACTCACAAGGACCCTGTGGGCAGACGCCCTCATTGTCCCCATCGAACGGACAAGGACGCTGAGGAGCAGAGAGGGCAGGAGGTTGCTGAGTCTTATAGCTATGAGAGTGTGGCCAGGATCGGGCCGGCCTGTGTCTAGACAGTGCTGAATGAGTAAGCACCGGTCACAACACTCACGATTGATCAGGGGCTGCATCTGGCTATCTGGGACTAAGGGGCTGCGGCTCCCTCCTGGAAGGACGCCTTAGGTTGGAGATGCCCCCGACCACCCATCTGGGGGAATTCTGGGCTGTGGGTTTCATGGGGTATTTCTGGACCCTTCTGTATGGAACCTGGGAAGCTGCAGGCAGGGACGAGGCATGTCCTGTGCACCCACCTCACAGCCTGCTGCATGAACCGGTCAGGGTCCACAGCTGAAAACGTGGTCAGCACGGTGCCGGGGGGCACGCCCTCCTCCAGGCGGATCAGCTTGTGGTTTGAGGGGAAGTAGGGAGCCTCGTTGATGTCCATGATGGAGATGGTCACCCCTGCCGTGGACTGGAAGGACATCTGGATTCCGCTGGCCAGGGGCGCCTGGTTGGACACCATCACTGTCAGCATGAAAGCTCTGTTGAGCTCGTAGTCGACTGCCTGGAACAACAGATCAGGGCTGGGAGTGACCTGGCACAGCTCCCGTGGGAGTGGGCATGGGGGGACACATGGGAAGGTTGGTCTCCACCCCTCCCTGAGCCATGTCCAGCTCTTCTCTGCTCTGCTCTTTAGCCAGGAGGCCCCAAAGGGTCCCATCTCCCAGGCACCCTTATCTTCTGGCTTCCTGCTGGGTTTGGCCGATGGGAGGAGAGAGGGAGGAGGTCTAGGCCTCCCAGCCCCTGTCCCATGCTGGGCTGAGGCAGAAGCTGGGCTCCTCCTGGGGGGGCTGCAGCCCCCGCTGGGCGGCCCCTCTTCCTGGCCTGGTAACCCCGTCCCTACCTTCCTCCTTTGAGCCTAGTGTGGGGAAGGCTCCTGACGTTGTTGGCCAGCGGGGCCTCACCAGTTGCGGAGGGTCAGATGGTGGCCCCCAAAAGACATGTCCACCTGGGACCTGTGAATGAGCCCTTATTTGGAAATAGCGTCTTTGTACATGTAAGTTAAAGACAGAGGCCCTCATAACAGACAGGCAGGGCTGGGTGCGGTCATGCACGCCTGTAATCCCAGGGCTTCAGGACGCTAAGGTGGGAGGATCGCTTGAGCCCAGGAGTTTGAGGCTGTGGTGCACTGTGATCACACCATTGCACTCTAGCCTGGGTGACAGAGCAAGGCTCTCCAAAATTTCAAAACAGAGAGAAAGGGAGAGGGATATTTGAGACACACAGGTGCAGGGAGGAGCCATGTGGCGACAGAGGTGCAGTCTGGAGTGAGGCAGCTACAGGCCAAGAAACGGGAGAGAGGCAGGCAGTGGGTTCTCCTCTACAACCTCCTAAGCGAGACCGTTCCTGCCGGCACCTTGATTTTATGTCTCTGACTCGCAGAGCTGGAACAGAAGACAGTTCTATTGTTGTAACCCACCTGGTTTGTGGTGACTTGTAACCGCAGCCCCGGACAGAACCATGCCAGGTCTGCAGTTCCCATCACTGCTGCACTTGGCCCCTGCATTCACACAATTCTTTGGTGCCCTTCTGGTGCACCAGGACCCTGGCTGATAAACGCTAGAGCTACGGTTCTGCAGTGATGCTGTATTATCAGAAAAGCTTCGCTCAAGCCTTTCCTACACATTTTGGGGAGGGAGGGAAGTTACATGGAAAAAGCTTGGGGCCCTGAGACGTTCAATGGCAAAGCTTGCAACAGTTTCACTGGAAAAAAACACAACACATTGTGTCTCAATTGCATTAAAATATTCTGCTTAGATACGTGCAAAGTAACATATGCATAAGAGTATTCATTGCGTAGTATCTGTCGAGACAATATGCTGGAAATGACCCAAACATCCATCAGCAATGGTGGGCTGCACAGCCTGCAGTACATCTGCATGGGGAGACACTTGCAGCCGTAAAGAGGAAAGAGAACACCCTCTGTGTACTGAAGAGGAGAGCTTTCCAGGATCTACTGGTGGGCAAAAAAGCAACCCACATAGTGTGCACCTTTTGTGCAAAAGAGAGAGAAAAATATGATTTGTATATGTATTTGCTCATATTTGCAGAAAGAAACATCGTGAGGATAAACCAAAAACTAATAAAAATGATCATCGTTATCAGAGGGAAGGAATGGGGTCAGGGTCACAGCTGGGAGTGTGAGTTTGTGAGTTTGCTCTCTATTTCTTATCATAGAGCTTTGATTTTTTTTTTTTTTTTTTTTTGACAGAGTCTTCCTCCATTGCCAGGCTGGAGTGCAGTGGCATGATCTCGGCTCACTGCAACCTCTGCCTCCTGGCTTCAAGTGATTCTCCTGCCTCAGCCTCCCCAGTAGCTGGGATTACAGGTGCCCGCCACCATGCCTGGCTAATTTTTATATTTTTAGTAGAGACGAGGTTTCACTATGTTGACCAGGCTGGTCTTGAACTTCTGACCTCAGGTGATCCGCCTGCCTCGGCCTCCCAAAGTGCTGGGATGACAGGCGTGGGCCACTGCACCCTGCCCAAAATGTGCTTTTGAGGGTGATGCATTCTGACAGATTTAGGTGCGGAGGATCATGAGGTCTGGTAATTAAAAAAACGTACTCCTGCAAAAAGTGCAGATTGCCACGCAGCAGCGTGCCTATCACTGTGAGATTTACACAACACCATGCTTCCATGCAATCACCATGACACCACGCTTCCATGCAATCACTGTGACACCACGCTTCCACGCAATCACCGTGACACCATGCTTCCATGCAATTACTGTGACACAGTGCTTCCATGCAATCACGACACCACGCTTCCATGCAATCACTGTGACACCACGCTTCCATGCAATCATGACACCACGCTTCCACACAATCACCGTGACACCACGCTTCCATGCAATTACTGTGACACAATGCTTCCATGCAATCACGACACCACGCTTCCACGCAATCACCATGACACGCTTCCATGCAATTACTGTGACACAACGCTTCCATGCAATCACGACACCACACTTCCACGCAATCACCATGACATGCTTCCATGCAATTACTGTGACACCATGCTTCCATGCAATCACCACGACACCACGCTTCCATGCAATCACCATGACACCACACTTCCATGCAATTACTGTGACACCATGCTTCCATGCAATCACACCACGTTTCCATGCAATCACGACACCACGCTTCCACGCAATCACCATGATACCACGCTTCCATGCAATTACTGTGACACCATGCTTCCATGCAATCACCACACCACGCTTCCATGCAATCACCGTGACACCACGCTTCCATGCAATCATCACGACACCACGCTTCCATGCAGTCACTGTGACACCACGCTTCCATGCAATCACTGTGACACCACACTTCCATGCAATCACTGTGACACCACGCTTCCACGCAATCACACCACATTTCCACACAATCACCATGACACGGTGCTTCCATGCAATCATCACGACACCACACTTCCACATAATCACCATGACACGCTTCCACACAATCACCGTGACACTGCGCTTCCATGCAATCACACATTTCCATGCAATCACCAAGACACGCTTCCACGCAATCACACCACACTTCCACACAATCACCGCGACACCACGCTTCCAATCACGACACGCTTCCATGCAATCACTATGACACCACGCTTCCACACAATCACACCACGCTTCCACACAATCACGATACCATGCTTCCACACAATCATGACACGCTTCCATGCAATCACTGTGACACCACGCTTCCATGCAATCACCGTGACACCATGCTTCCACGCAGTCACCATGACACCACGCTTCCACGCAGTCACTGTGACGCCATGCTTCCATGCAATCACAAAACCACGCTTCCACGCAATCACCGTGACACGCTTCCAATCACAACATGCTTCCACGCAATCACCGTGACACCACGCTTCCACACAATCACGATACCATGCTTCCACACAATCACGACACGCTTCCACGCAATCACTGTGACACCACACTTCCATGCAATCACCGCGATACCACGCTTCCACACAATCACAACACGCTTCCACGCAATCACCGTGACACCACGCTTCCACATAATCACGATACCATGCTTCCACACAATCACAAGCTTCCATGCAATCACCGCGACACCATGCTTCCACACAATCACACGCTTCCATGCAATCACGACACACTTCCACACAATCACAACACGCTTCCATGCAATCACCGCGACACCACGCTTCCACGCAACCATGACATGCTTCCACGCAATCATCATGACACAGCGCTTCCACGCAATTATGCAGGTTCCTCCTACTTCTAGGAATGCCTGGAAACTTTCATGATAAACAGTGTAAGACATTTCCACTTAGAGAGGAACTTATCTGCTGGAGGAATCAATCAGCTTTCCCCAAGAAGCATGAGGGCACCATGTCCCGCCACTGATGTGATGTCCCCACGTTCCCACCCCTCGTGAACCACCTGCAGGCAGGCAGGCCAGGCACTGTCTACAGTGGAGCGGAAAAGGCCAGTTTGTGGCTTTGGAGCTTCATAAGCTGAGGGCCTCAGGTGAGACAGGAAGGAACCTGGGGTGTTCCACCCACAAGGTGCTGTTTTGAACCCCACTCCCCATGCTTGGGGCCGGCAGTGAAGCACCTGAGTCTGAACAGATCCAACTCCACCCCATCTCCGGGGCCACCACAGCCTCTCAGGGCCTGATCTTTCCAAGCAGGAACAACCACATAATCTGGTATGTCACACTCAGGACTTCTCGGCACTGCTACTGAATAAGATATTTCAGTACAAAAAGAAGAAATTTAAAAATCACATCAATAAGGCCAGGTGCGGTGGCTCATGCCTGTAATCCCAACACTTTGAAAAGCTGAGGCAGGAGGATCACTTGAGCCTAGGAGTTCGAGAGCAGCCTGGTCAACATAGTGAGATGCTGTCTCTACAAAACAAAAAGAAATTAGTTGAGCGTGGTAGCACACACCTGTAGTCCCAGCTACCCAGGAGGCTGAAGTGGGAAGACTGCTTGAGCCTGGGAGGTCAAGGCTGCAGTGAGCAGTGATCGTACCACTGCACTTCAGCCTGGGCAACAGAGTAAGACCTCGTCTCAAAAAATAAAATTGCCTAAATAATAGTATTGGATGGGCATGGAAGGAAAACTGAGACGGTGGCTCCTGGAAGCCCATGACTGCCTCCAGGAGGGTCTGCAGGGAGTGGCAGAGATCACAGTTCTGGTCCTGGGTCCCCACGGTCCCTGCACTGCCCCTGGGGGTGACACGCAGTCACTGCAATACCACGCTTCCACGCAATCACCGCGACACCACGCTTAGGTGAGCCCTCATCCTCCCCAGGGGTGGTCTCCTTGTCCCTCTGAAGGAAGGGGTGGTCCCTGCTAGCCTCCCTGAGTCCTGAGTGAGATGCCTCGTGGCTCCCTGATGCACGCTGTCACCTCTCACTGCGTTGGTTCATGACCCCCACCCTGACTCTGCCACCCCTGGGGCAGGGGCTGTGCCCTGTACCTCCGCCTCCCCAGCGTCCAGCACAGCGCCAGTGTGGTTCATCTGTGCCCCATAGGTGCCTGGGGGATATAGGGAGTGGGCACCCCCTTGTTCACCACCACTGCCCAGGCCCATCTTGGGGTTGTGTGTGCCACACAGGGGCCTCACACCTGCAGCTGTCACCCTGCAGAACCTTCCACAGCCCAAGCTGACTGCAAGCCTGAAGGGACGCCTGATCCAGAATAACCCAGCACACTCCTCTGAAAGGTTCTACCAGGGGTCTCAGGTACCCCCAAGTCTGGCCTTGGTCCCTCTGTCTCTGGACTCCAGATGCCTCCAAGCTCCCAGCACCTGCCTGCACCCACATCGTGTTGGGGTCCCCCCCAGAGCTGTCCATGCCAACGCCTGCAGCTGCCCCCCCAGGCCCTCCAGCAGCTGGCTGGGACGGGGCCACTCATGTGGCTAGACTGTTTCATCACGTCGTGGTAGCGCTATGAACAAGCCCCTGAGGGAAGTGGTCTTTCTCCCATATTTATTGGCTCATGTTCCCGGGGACATGGAATAATGCTGCATGTCATGCGTTAAAAAATCGTGTCACCAGCCTGAGCAAGGAGGCCTTCCAGAAAGATGATTATGGCCAATAAAAGCCCACAGGAAGATAAAATAAAACACATTTGTAATGGAGAAATCAATAGGTAATTTGCTCCAGCAGTTTCGATTAGGGTGGCTGGATATACTCGCTGAGGCTCAGCATGGCTGCCGCCCACACGTGGCCATGACCCTTCACTCAGAGGTGAGCAGCTGGGCGTGTGCCTGAGCAGCAGCTCCAGCACCGGCTGGGCGGAGTGGGCAGGACCAGGTGGGGACACACCAGGACGTCTGCCCTGCTCCCCTCCGATGGGAGGCTCAGGAGCTTCCATTCAAAGTCTCACTCTGCGCCCCTGTCTTGGGGAGGAGTTGCCTGAACTGACCCCATCACTGACCTGCTCTCCCTGGAATTCCCACCTGCGAGCCTCCCACAGGAAGGCCAGCTCTGTTGCTGCCCGAAGGGGAAGTGGCAGAGGCCGGTTCTTGGCTTTTTAGCTTTAAAACTGAGGGCCATGGGTAAGACGAGAAAGAACCTGGGATGAGCCTGGACCTGGGCCTTGCTCCTTCAAGATAAGATTTCACAACTGGAGGAGGGAGACAAGAGGCCGTGCTGGGCCCTGAGGAGGGTATGATGGTAACAGATGGTATTTGGGTTTGGGGACCTGAGAGCGGAGAAGCTGTGTGCCCACCTCAGGTAGAGCCTGGGAGGTGGCAAGGCGCATTCCTCATCCCCGGCTGGTATGGCTAGGGAGATGGAATTGGGAGTGTGGGGCAGGACAGATCTGGATGACGTGCCCGAGATGCCTGTGGACTTCTTTTGACAGTGGCCGAGCTGGACCGCAGAAGTGAAGGATGATGCAGCCAGGATTTGGGTGACTGATGGCTGAGAACAGAGGTGACCAAACACCTCTGACAGTTGCCCAGGAGTGCTCTCCTTCCCTGCACAGGGCACTGCATCAGCCCAGAGCATAGACACAACTGTGTGAAAAGGGAGGCAGAAGAGATGCCAGTCTACCACTTACCACCACCTGGGGGGACCCAGCTAGAAACAGAAGCTAAGTCGGTTTAGAGAAGGAAAGAGCACACTGCTGCATTGCTGGATTTGGGGCTTCCAGTGTGTACCTGACAAAATATTTCACTGATTCCTCCTCACCATCCCCTCTGCAGACTATAAACTACTGAAGGTTGGGAGCAGTGACCTGGTCAGGTCTGCAGTGTACATACATGATATGGTGCCTGCTCTTCTGAGGGACTCAGGGGACCCTTCATGGAATTAAAGTAACCTTCATGCTCTGGGGAACTAAGCAGGGAGAATGATCAGGAGCCTCTCCCCAGCTCGGGACAGCAGTGACAATGAAGACGATGAGGATGATGATGATGATAACGAGAATGGTTATGATGACGACAGCAGCTAATACCATTGATTCAGTCCTTACCTTGTGCCGGGCACTGTGCCAAATCATTTATATCCAGGGTCTATTTCAGTGTGAGTCATAAGCCTCTGGGCATAGGCCCCACAATTTGCATCATTTTATGTTTGAGGTAACTGAGGCACAGAGAGATTAAGTGGCTGGTCCATGCCAGGGGTAAGTGAGCAAAGAGCTAGCGTGGGAATCTAAGAACAGATGCCCTCAAGATACTGGACATCTCCTGTGGGCTGGGCCATGGGGTCCCTGCACTGGCCTTCTACCTCCCACACCACCCGCCACTCCCCAACCCCTCCCCTCCACCCCACTCCCCTGCTCCGAAAGAGAATGCCTGAAAAGACGACGTCTCTACCAAAGAATGCAAAACCAATTTTGGAAATGTTTTCTAAGGCGAAGCATCCCCAGACTAAATACACACCTTAAACAGATTCTAAATTGAAACTTCAGAGAAAAGCACTATATGGAGTAAGAACAAAAATGAAAGAAAAAAGAAAAAGTGTGGTTCTCCTGTTGAATTCTACCTAGGACACAATGACCCATGACTCTTTGGGGACAGTGTGGCTGCAAGTCTGTGCTCTCAGCTCCTCAAATTTTAAAATTTATTTGAAAATTGACATGCAGTAAGAGTCACTCTCAGGAATGTTAACAAGTGTACGGAAGCACGGCCAGCCCCACGGCCAAGGTGCAGGAGAGTCCCGTCTCCTCCACGCTTCTCTCATGCTGTGCCTTTGCAGTCCCTTCCTCTCCACCCACCAGCAAAGCATTGAAGGGTTTTCTGTCCCCACAGTTTTGTCTTTTCCGGGATGTTCTGC
Source organism: Homo sapiens (assembly GCF_000001405.40). NCBI lineage: Eukaryota > Metazoa > Chordata > Mammalia > Primates > Hominidae > Homo > Homo sapiens. The sequence continues at coordinate 61,915,672 of NC_000020.11, read as the reverse complement.
AGATGGGGGCATGCAACAGGCCACCTTTTGGTTCTGACTCATCTCACTTAGTGTGATGCACTGGAGACCCATCGCGTGTCACATGGATCTCCCGTTTGTTCCTTTTGACGGCTGAGCAGCTTCCCATTATAGGACTTGGGCTTACAGCTGGGGAGAGGCATCATGGGGTCTCAGGGCCCCTGGGCTGGGGACCGTCAGCTGGGTCAGAGTTTCATGCTGCCTCAGGAGGCCTTGGACCCCTCCTCAAGCCTCCGTGTCCCCTCCTCATGGCACTAGGAAGGTTTCAGGCTGGTCAGACGGTACCATCTGGCCTTGCCAGGATGCCCTGGAAGAGGACTGGTTTCTGAGCAGACACAGCCCAGCCAGCCCTCAGCCTCGGCCTCAAACCTGTGGAACGTTGTCCTGAACACACACAGACACCTTGGCTCAGTCAGATAGGCAGGGCCAGCGAGGAACCTGGACGGTTAACAGATGGCTTTATGGCAGAGGTAGCAGGTTCCAGCCCCAGCTTGTACAGTCCCCACTGTGTGATCCTGTGTGTGGGCTCCCAGTTATGCCATCTGTGAAATGGGACAAGAATAGCACCTCCTTGGTGGGCGTGAGGACCAAGTGAGATGGGGGTGAGGATGGCACACCTGGTATCGGTGCCCAACGTCACTGTAGCTGATCACATTGGGGCCTGGCCTGAGGCTCCCTGGGAGTTTCAGGGTGCTGGAGATCTGGAGAAGTGCAGAAATAGGGACGGCACTAGTTCTCTAGGTCATGAAGACTTGAGCCAGCTGCAGCCCTCCAGGCACATGCAGCAGGCAGTGCTGTAGGAACTTGGTTTGCTCCTCCTTGTGCCCAGTGGGGAAGACGGCAGCTGTGAAAAGGTAAAATGCACCCCAAGCCCCAAATCTGAAAATCTGCAGATTTTCACATCTGGGTTTCTGCTGGTGGGTGCCAGCCCGCCTGTGGGTGTGGAGTGGCAGCACCTTTCTAGTTTCTGTTGCTCTGGTGGGAGATGCGGGGTACCAGGCAGGGGCTATGTTTGTTCCCCTGAGCATGGCAGGTCTCCAAGCCTCCCAGGCCTGAGGGATGGGGCCTGCAAGATCTGAGTCGATTCCAGGGTTATTCTGCTGAGGCTGAGCCCGCACCGATCTCCGTTGATTCCAGGGTTATTCTGCCGAGGCTGAGCCCGCACCCGGGAAGAAGAAGCACAAGTCCCAGTGGGATCTGTGTCCTGTGCTTTTCCCAAAGAGGGTTTTGAGGACTTCAATATTTAAAGAGGAAAGAGCAGACAGGAGAGGGAGGAGGAAAGGAGAAAAAAGCGGGGGCCGGGTAGGCAATGAGACAGTGGCTACATCCTTGCGAGGCTCTGCTTAGTGCTCAGTGGATCCACGTTTCACAGAAGCCGGGGTAGGTGTGTGAAGCCCCAGCTACCTGTGTGGCCACAGAAGGGAGGCAGCACCGTGAGACTCAGTCCCCATGCTCCACTTCCCTTGGCATAGTGGGTTTGGGGTCCTGAGGTTTCATCTTCCTTTCACAGGCCCCTCAATGGCCTCAGTGCCACTGATGTTGACTGGCTGTGGGGGGGCAGGAGGCACAGGTGGTGGGGAGATTTTAGCTACGAACGTGGCTCGCAGGCAGCACTCATCAACATCCTGAGAACCAGCGTTCTGTAGACATGCTTCGGGAAACCCCATTCTCACCACGTAGACAGAGGCCTGACAAGGAGAGGGTGGAGCTGGACAGGAGACCCTGATGGCTAGGGGAAGGGACGTGGCACAAACTCAGCAGAGGGTGGCCCGCTGCCAAGCTGTCACATGGCAATAGGTCAGTGAATGTGCCCGGCTGTGCCCACCTGGCTGCTGTCAGCACCTCCTCTCTGCCTCCAAAATTCATGCCCCACCCACCTGCCAGCCAGGGCCTTCCTGCTGTGAGGATATGGCTGCCAAGCAGCTGAGCCCTGGAGGAGTTACTCTCCCAGCGGCCTTCTCAGGAGCATCCCCAGCTGGAGGAAGAACCGGAAGGGGATGATTTCCCATCTCAGGAATCAGTTCCCGGGGTGGCGGTGCCCAGGCCCTCCTGGGACCCTCAGTCCATGCCCCACAGTCTAGTCTGTGCTATATGCTTGGAACCAGTGGCTCCTCTCTGAAGAACAGAAGAGGGCTCCGTGGGCCTGCCAAGGGGCTCCGTGGGCCTGCTGAGGGCCTGGCCCAGTGCCACGAGGCCCATGCAGTCCCAAGACACTGGCGCTTCCCTGAAGTTGGCTGTGCTCTTCCACTTTCCGTGGCTGTGATGCTCCGCGCAGATAGGGCCAGGCAGGCACATGACGGCTGAGGCCACCAGCCCCTGGGCTGGGCAGGAAGCCACCTTCCCTGGAGTCCTTAGGGGTCAGGCTTTCCCCACCACATCGAGCCAGCCTTCTTCCTTGGTACCGGCCCTTTCTGATCTATGTTGGGCTGATGAAGGTGGCGGGGCTGTGTGTGCTCCAGCTACAGAAGTGGCCCTCCAAGGGCAGGGGAGGTGAGACAGGTGCTGATCTCCTGGGGCCGGGGGCTGCCCGTTGTGCTCCCCGTGAAGGCCACAGAATCCGAGCTGTGGGAGTCAGAGATACCTCCTTGGAATCACAAGCAGGAGATGGGCCGAGGCTCGCTACTCACTGGGGAAGGCCCCAGCCAGCTCTGGGCTCACGGCTCACTCCTCTCCTCTGCCTGCATGTCACATCCAGTCTCCATCACCTTCCCATGAGCAACGTTGCCAGCAAAGCAGCTGACGATTCACCTTGTGGGTTTCTAGAGGCCAGAGCTAGAATGTTAGCTTGAGGTCAAATGCGCCCAGAGAAAAGGAGAAAGGGTTTGCCACATCCTTCCTCACCATGCCCAGTCCCTGCGCACACAGATCTGACTTTGCCACTGGGGGGCCGGCTGTGCTAATACCTCACTCTGAAAATTCATAATTAGAGGGGAAGTGAAACGTGTATTTTGCCTCTTCTCTAAGAACTATCTTTTACGGTGAAAAAATAGCCTCTCTTGAAGAAGAAAGCTTATACAGAGTTAGGGCTGGAATGCTGTGACATGCTAATTTACTTTCAAACATATCAGCCAAAATAAAAAGATTTAGTAAATGTAGCACAATGTTAATTAAATCTAGGTGATGGGTATACGGAAGTTCATTTCACTATTATTTCTGCTTGTGTGTATGTTTGAATATTTCATAAAATAAAAATGATGAAGAATTTATAAGATTTTTCAGGAGAACTGGTCTTCACTAGCTTGCTTACAAAAGAGGTTATTAAGAAAAGGAAAAAGATGACTTTGGGGTGTTGAGAAAAGACACAGATCCTGGAGAAAGCCTATTTTCTTCCCCTGTGATCTCCTAACATCTAGCTCCCCTCTTCCTTAGGAGAAGTTTGGGATATGTTTCCATAATTATGTTATGCAGTGTCTTCTCTGGCTAAGAATGGCCATGTGACTAAACTCTGCCCCAGAAGATGTGAACAGGTGTTCTGGGAAGGTCCCTTAATAAAGGAGGGGTGAGCCATTCTTCCCCCCTTTTTGATTTCCTACCGCCTGTAAAAGTCTCGTAATGGCTGGTGCTCTAGTAGCCATTTTGGACCACGAGGGGCCCTAGAAGCTGAAAGGTGTGCACAGCAGAGCAGAGGATAGAAGCAGCCAGGGTTTCTGTTGATTGTGCAGCTGTGACATTGGCCCCAACTGCCCACCTCAGACTCCTCTCACGTGAGAGAATACAACTCTCGAGTATTTAAATTTCTGTGGTTAAGTCTCTGCTCCGGGCTGCTGAAGGAAATTTCTAAATGATCCAACTCAAAATGAAACTTGCTTTTCCTTACGCTTTGGCATATCCTATCCAGCTTTAAGCTCACCTTGCTTTTCCTTACGCTTCGGCATATCCTATCCAGCTTTAAGCTCACCTTGCTTTTCCTTACGCTTCGGCATATCCTATCCAGCTTTAAGCTCACCTTGCTTTTCCTTATGCTTCGGCATATCCTATCCAGCTTTAAGCTCATCTTGCTTTTCCTTATGCTTTGGCATATCCTATCCAGCTTTAAGCTCATCTTGCTTTTCCTTACGCTTCGGCAGATCCTACCCAGCTTTAAGCTCACCATTCTGTCACCCCTCCTTTTCTCTAAAAATGCCCAATGTGCTCTTGCTCTTTTCTTCTTAGTCCTATTCAAAATTGTTTTGGGACAATAGCTGCTAAACTTCTTCACACTAAGTTGTAAACGATTGCTAAGTGTTATGATATAATTCCCAATCTGCCCTTCCAGGGGAATATGAATTATGAGTGTAGAAAAAGAGTTAGATTAGAAGACTGAATCACTACTACTATAATGATAGGCCTTTATAAGTAAATTTGAAAATTTAGATTAAATGGACACTTTTCTAGAAGAACATATCTGACCAAAACCATCAAAGAAATTGAACCAGTAGTTACAAACCGATCTCTCTCCAAAACAAAAAGAAGCACGACCAAAAAGACAAAATCTACAGCTACTCAATGGCTTCACAGCACAGTGTGACGAAACATTCAGGGGACAGATTATTACAGCATCATAAGACCTGTCTCTGGGACAGAAAAACTCTTGAGATTAGTCTGTAACCTTGATACCAAAACCCAGATGAGGACGCTATAGGCCTAAATCACCCAGAAAAGTACATGAAAAACTTCAAATATCAGCAAAACAAATTCTTCAATGTGTTACAAAATATTACCTCACTACTCAGTGGGATCTGTCTCAGGAATGCAAAGATGGTTTAACATTAGGAATTCTAATAATGAAATTCGCCCATTACTAGATTAGGGGGTGGGAGTGAATATATAGACATTGAAAAGGGAATGGGAGGGTATTTTTGGGGGGTCTGCCAAGCCCCTGAAGGTCACATGACAGGTCCTTGTGAAGGTTGTGTCTGCCTCCAGCAGGTTGGGTTACCTGCCTCTACCCTTGGATATTAGGGGGGCAGTAACTTTACACCGAGTATCACTCCTGTTTGACTGGTCCTAGGGAGTGTGCAGGTGGCAGAACTTGGGGTGCCTGGCAGGGTGTGAGAAGAGTACGCACCTTCACCACGGTGACCATGCCCTCGTTGGTTACGGGGTCTGTGCGGACGCTGAAGTGCCCGGATGGATCCCCACTGATGATGCGGTAAACGGCATTCCAGTTTGGAGAGTGGGGCTGATCTCGGTCCATCACCGTGAGGTTTGCGACCACGGTCTCCACGCGGTTTTCGGGGACCTCCCCTGCAAACTGCAAAATGGAAGGAAAGAATGTCACAAACCCGTGTTAAGTGTAAATATGCACAGAGAAGTGCACGTAGCATATGTGCAGCTCAACGAGTGTTCACAAACAGAACACACCGTGTCAGCCCAGCTCGAGTGTTCACAAACAGAACACACCGTGTCAGCCCAGCTCAACGAGTGTTCACAAACAGAACACAACGTGTCGGCCCAGCTCAAGGAGTGTTCACAAACAGAACACACCATGTCAGCCCAGCTCAAGGAGTGTTCACAAACAGAGCACACCGTGTCAGCCCAGCTCAACGAGTGTTCACAAACAGAACACACCGTGTCAGCCACGCCCAGATCAGGAATCAGAGAAGACAGGCTGCTCAGGGGTGCACGGGAGTGCACGCCTCATAGCACGGCTGCCGGGGCCCCACTGAAGCAGGCGTGCAGACCTGCCCGGCAGGTGCGTCAGCCCTGCAGCCACGGCAGAGGGCCACTGATGGAGCGGCTTCAACAATGGGCACTTCTTTTCATTCCCAGTCCCCACCCCAGACCCCTTCCAGGTCCCAAAGTTTCCACCTGTACTGGTTGAATGGTGTCCCCGAAGATATGGCCACATCTCAATCCTTGGAGCTAGAAATGCCACCTTGTAGGAAGAAAAGGTGCTGGAGGTAAGAATTCTGAGCTGGGGAGATTTTTCTGGATTATCCAGGTGGGAGCTAAATGCTACCATGTGCATCTTCAGAAGAGGGAGGCAGAGGGGATTTCACAAAGAAGAGAAGACGCAGACATATTCAGAAGGGGAGGCCGTGGGAGATGGGGGCAGAGACTAGAGTGATGCCACCACAAGCCCAGGAACACCAGGGTGGCCAGCAGAACCCGGAAGAGGCAGGAAGGGTTCTCCCTGGAGTCTTTAGAGGGAGCAAGACCCTGGTGATTTCCAACTGACAGAATAAATTCCTGTTGTTTCAAGCCCCTAGTTTGTGGCCATTTGTTGCAGGAACCTTGCAAGCTCATGCTGACTTCTGGCGTCACAGATGAGTTGACCTGGGTTTTTTCTTTACATGGGCGGAACCTTCCAGCACTTGTGTCTGGCTTCTGCTGGGCACTGTGGCTCTGGGATTCCTTTGTGTTGCTGCGTGCAGCTGAGATGGCTGAGCAGCGCTCTGTGATGTGACGGTGCTGTGATCAGGTACCCTTCCTCCCAGGACGGGCGCTGGAGCATCAGGACAGGGCTGCTGTGCACATCTGCAGGCAGCTCTGCTCCCCTTCCACCGGGAGTGTCCCCGGGTGGGAAGCCCCTGTGTCCTGGCATGAGGCACTGTTAGGGGCAGAATGTTGTGTCCTGGAGTTTCTGTGTGGAAGCCCTAAACCCCCAAGGCCTCAGAGTGTGACTGTATTTGGAGATGGGACTTTTAAAGAGGTGACCAAGTTAAAACAAGGCCGTTAGGGTGTCTGGGGAATTACCCAGGCCACCTTCACACCTGCCCTCAGCCAGGAGTCACGGAGAAGCCCTCAGGTGCAGCAAACAGAAACTTGCACTGGGGTGACCTGAACCCAGGAGCCTGACCTTCCAGGGCTGCAGGTGGCTGGGCCCGTTGGGACGGGGCTTTGTCCTTCCCCGGCCTCCCATGGTCAGGACCCTGCAGCTCGGCCTGGCCCTCTGGCTGCCTGAGAAGCACAGCTGTCCCTTCGGTAAGAAAGAGTCTTCCCGGAGTGCCCCTCCCCAGCTGACTTGTGCTGACACTCCCGTTGGACAGGGCGATGTCCCACGGCCACCACAAGCCCAAAGAAGGGAGCCTTGTGAGGTGGGAAACGGAGAAGGGGTGGGAAACGGGCGTCGGGCGGCCAGCAGACCGCGTCTGCCACAGGCAGGTCCTGCAAGGACAGAGAAGCACACAGAGGCCCCGAGGCAGCGGTTCTGGGCCCAGAATCTCAGAGCCGGTGTGAGAGGAGGCTGTGAGATGGCGCAGATTCACCCGACCCACCCGCGCCCCTTCCGTGCATCTGTCATGAGCGTGGAGGCCCCATTAGACCAGTGGACAAAGACATCAGGTGAACAGGGTCCGGGGAAATACAGATGGCGACTGTCCCTGCTGGCCCAATCAATGAATGAAGGAATGAGTGATAGCCTTCATATAAATGCACAAAAATGAAATACGCTGGTCCCCTTTCCCAGGCAGGAGCCGAGTCAGCATTCCTAAAAAGGACGGCGACGCGACAGAAGAATTCAGAGCCCACACCAACGGGCTGCCTTGTCAAGGATGGAAAAATATTCCAATTTAATCCCAGACAAACACTGCGTCCTTTCTCTGTATTTCAAAAGCTCAGAGAAAGTCCTTTAATCAGCCTCCTCGACCTGGGGCTCTAAGCTGGGCTGAAAACCCCGCAGCCCGGCCCAGCTCTGGGTCTGGTAGGAAGGGCCCTGCCTGTCACGTTTAGGTCCAAGCATTCACATCCCGATACAATCAGCTTGTTAGGAAGAAAAATTGTGGATTTATCCAAAGTGGGATCTCAGCCCTGTCTGTGGAGCAGGAGCCCTTCCTCACACGATGGCCACGCTCAGCCACAGATCTCATCTGAGGATTGGGAGGAACCGTCTTTGCTAAACTCCAGAGTGGACAGCTACCGCCCCCACCACTCCCGATGTCTAGTGTGGGACGGAATCTCCCAGCTGTCTCTGTTCCTGAGCCAGGTGGCCAGAGCCCGGAACCTGCAGCTGGGTACCCGGGGAGGCCTGGAGACGCTGACCTGGCCCTAGAGGAGGGAGCTTCGGGACTCACTCTGTCTTCCCTTCATCACACGTTTTGAGCCGCCCAGGAGTCAGATCGTCCCCCAGCAGGACAAGGAGCTGGCGCCGCCGTGGGACACACTGGGCCCTGCACTGCAAGGCATCATGGCATGGGGGATGGTGCCTACTGGGGGATAGCAGGGGCGACTCAGGCCATGGTTGGAGATCCATATGTTCTGGGGGTGAGAACATGCCTGAGAGTGAGGTACAGGGAGCTGCCTGCCTGATCTCAGCCCTGCAGTCCTTGGGTGTGAGAGGACAGCCCTTGCTGAGGCTGTGGCCACACGGGATCCTGGGCGGCCAGGCCCCGGGCAGAGGACCACTGCAGGGGGACATTCAAGGAAGCTTCGCTGAGGCCTGTGAACAAGTTCCAGAAGGGCCGGGGAATGGGCGGGAGGGGCAGCCCTCCTCAGCCAGGTCCGTGTTGCTGTGAGTCTAGGAGCTGACCTGGTGCCCGGGGGGGCCTGGGGGTGGGACAGAGCTGTGAGGTGGAGGTGATAGTCCCCCTGGTGTCCTCAGGGGAGGTGGTAGCTGGGTCACATTATACACTCCCTGCTTGGACCATCTCCAGGCAGAGGTGGTGGTGGGAGGGCCTCAGGGTTGGGGGAGCTTTGCAGACCTGGAGCAGGGAGGAGGGTGGCCTGCCCCATCGTCAGTGAGGCAGGCAGGTGACCCCTGCAGTGGCTGGTGGAGGACTCAAGGCCAGTGAGCTCCCCTGACCCCGGAGATCTGAGTTGCAAAATGTCCTGGGTGCCAGGACCCTGAGCCCTCTCCAGAGATGCCATGAACACACAGACGCTGCTCTGGCCAGGCCCCACAGCACACACCACTGGTCTCTGACACCTGACCCCGGGCCATTCCCTCTGCTGGGGACACCGTCTTGCCCCAAAGCAGCCTGCCAGGGCCCACAGCACACACTGCTGGGCTCTGACACCTGGCCCCGGGCCATTCCCTCTGCTGGGGACACCGTCTTGCCCCAAAGCAGCCTGCCAGGGCCCCGTAGCACACACTGCTGGGCTCTGACACCTGGCTCAGGGCCACTCCCTCCGCTGGGGACACTGCCTTGCCCCCAAAGCAGCCTGCCTGAATCTTAGGGCGCTTCTCCTTCCTTGAGTGAAAACCTGCTGGCCTCCCCCGGGAGCCACTTGGCAGCCCTCTGTAGCTTCTGGCCTTCAGGCCTCTGTGGGAGGGTTGAGCAGGACCATGCCGCTCCGGTCCTGCGGCCATGTCACCCCAAGTTTCCTTAAGGGCTTGGTGGGATGAAGGGCTCTGGTCAGCTTGGTCTAGTGTGGTGTTGGCCCGAGGCCTGTTTTTATAAATAAAGTTTTATTGACACCCAGCCACACCCCATTCATTTACATATCACCCGTGGCTGCTTTCCTGCCCCAACAGTGGCATTGAGTCGCAGTAACAGAGACAGCCTGACCATAGATGAAAATACTATCTGGTCCTTCACTGAAAATGCTTCAGATCCTTGTTCTCCACCCCTGAGGCCCCCGCCTCAATAACTGGTTTGAAATAGGCTAATGACCTAAGTCAGCCAATTAGGGGTCAGTTCTGGCGGCCCCTGCGTCTGGCCTGGGCATGGTAACCACGTGAATCTGAAGGTGTTGGGTTGGTTGGGAGCCGCCATTCGCAGCCTGAGAACAAAGCCGGCTGGAGGAAGCATGGTCCAGGGGAGCGTCATGGTGAGCTGGTGGAGCCTAGATCCAGCCATGCCTGAAGGGAGAGATTTTCCAAGACTTCTCAGCTCTTGTGAGATGAGCCACTCTCTTTTTTTTCAAGCTGCCAGGGTCAGCATAGTGGTCATTAGTGAGGCTTCCTGGTTCCCCTGCACCTTCTGAATTCCCTTCCTTATTTTCCAGATATCCACTTTCCTGGCCTCCTCTACAGCCACAACCAGGTAAGTGACCTAGGGACATGCCAGCCAGGTGCACCTGGCTGTCTGTGGTTCAGAAGAGAGGCAGAGAGGGCCTGATCCTGGCAAACTGCAGAGATTCCTTGAGCTTTGGAGCCAGCAGAGGCAGAAGGTGTGGCTAGCACCCTTGCAGGCAGCAGGGGCAAGGCTCTGTGCCTAGTGGTGGGGGCAGGAGGGCACCCTCCTGGTGGAGCGGCCGTGCCTGAAGCTCCTGGCCCCTTGGATTTTGTGGCCCCTCACATCCTCTGTAGCGTCTGTCTCTGCTTACATGGCCAGGTGGGTCCTGGTGTTGTCTGCTGTTTTAGCGAGGGCCTGTCTGACGCTTCTCCACTCACTCCCGTCCTTCTGAGGAGGGAGCGCGGCGCTCTCTGCGTCCATTCCCTTGCAGACTTCTGAGTGAAGTTTATACAAAGAGTCTATTCTAAATCATGCAAGTTTAATAAAGGTTCACAAAGAAGGCCTTAGCTGATAAATCTGGTTTAGAATTTTCTTATTAACCTTCCCCCAGCCATAATGACTTTTAAATTTAATTTTTTCAGATTTTCCGACACAAGGAAAGCCTCTCAGGCCCCTTGGGATGAAAAGGCAGGTATTTGGGAAAGGAGAAATTTTAAGAGCATCGGAATGGAATTTGTTGCCGAGACTGTAATCTAGAATTCAACTGTGCACCCATCCCGAGAGGTAGGAGGATTTTGTCTTCCTACGAGGGCCTTCCGGCACAATCCCAGCTCTGAGGCAGAAACTGTGAGCTTCTCAGGGGAAGGTCACCATTCGCAAGAGGAGGATTTGGGCAGGAACCCTGCAGCACAGCCGGTGTTTCAGGAAAAACCCACCCAGCTGTTCCCTTATGATGTCAGTGGGCGGTCAGGGCCGAGAGGGCCAGGCCCCATCCACACAATGTCCAGCAAGACCCTGGGGCCTCCAAGGCACCTATGCTGGGGCCACGGTGGTCCTGTCTTCAGGGAGAAGTCCCGCATCTGCCACACGGCAAGCGGCCACGTGGGAGGCAGTGGGAGGGAAGTTCTGTTCCCCACAGCAGGGTGGTCCCCTCTGTGTCACGGGGAGGAGGGAGCCCGTTCTTCAGGAGGCTGTGGGGTCGGATGGGCTGGCACAGTCAGGGCACTCGGTGCAGCACCTGGTACAGGGTCGGTGCCCACCTGCTGCTGTAATGACCAGGGCTAAGGGGTGGATTTCTGTGCCTGCCGAGATGCCGAGAGACCAGGGGGACACGGTGCAGACAAAGCTGACTTCTGGCTGGTGGGCGTGAGGACTCCAGCCCAGGCAGGTGTTTCATCAAGAAAGAAGGGGGCCAGGGGAGAGACGGAAGAGGGAGAAGCTGCCGGAGAGTCCCCAGGGAGAGCACAGGGCACACCCTGTCCCACATCCCACCAGTTCCCAGCAGCTGCCTGGTGACCCCCATGCTCCATGACCATGAACTCCAGGTACCCAGAGGACTGGGAGCCCCACGAGAGAGCCGCAGCCCCTGGCACGCCTGCGCCCCTTCCAGTGAGTTGCTGCCGTGCTGATCCTCATGCCCCTAACATCCAATCCCTGGTGGAGGCCCCGATGACGGCTCCCGCCAGCTCGGTGTGGGTGGGGCTACGGGCCCTGCAGCCCATACTCTCAGGACTGGCTGCTGTCCCCCGCTGGGGCAAGCCCACAGGACGCCGGCTTGGGGGAAGTCCCAGGGGCGGCCACTCAGATGCCTCCAAAGCACCAAGAGAAGCCACATTTGCAAGAGCAGAAACGCAAAACAGCTGGCAGCGGGCAGCAGCAGAGAGGAGAAGCTTGCGGGCCCTCGCAAGGAGACAGGCCTGTCTCAGAGAAGGGGCACCTTGGGCTCATGCTGGTGACAACCCCAGGGAAACAGAATGACAGCATTTTGGGAGCAGGAGGCAGAGGGGATTATATTATTGTTCCCATTTTGCAGGTAACGAAACTGAGGCTCCAGGAGGCAACCTGCCCGAGGTCACCAGCGGTGGGGAAGGGTCGCTGAGGCTGCACTGGCCCCCTGGGGGCTGCCTCTCGGCCCCATACCCTGCTTGTCTTGAGAGGTCACCTTCACGGTTTTTGTTTGGAATGGGGAATTATACATCCGCGAATGAATAACAATTGCTCATGGTAGAAAAATGGGAAAAACCAAAATCCACAGAAATAAAATATGTACATTTACACTTTTTTTTTTTTTTTTTTTATGGAGTCTCTTCTGCTGCCCACGCTGGAGTGCAATTGCTCGATCTTGGCTCACTGCAACCTCCACTTCCTGTGTTCAAGCAATTCTTCTGCCTCAGCCTCGTGAGTAGCTGGGATTACAAGCACCCGCCATCATGCCCAGCTAATTTTTGTATTTTTGTAGAGACGGGGTTTCACCATGTTGGCCAGGCTGATCTTGAACTCCTGACCTCAGGTGATCTGCCCGCCTCGGCCTCCCAAAGTGCTGGGATTACAGGCGTGAGCCACCATGCCTGGCCTTACAGATTTTAAATATGTAGATTAACCTCTGAGGAGCAGGGGCTGTGACTGCTTTGGTTTTCTCTGTAGCTGTCCTGTACCCTGGCATAGGGAGTGCCCAGTGCGGGGTGAAATAATGAATGAATGAATGAATGTGCAAACATAATGAACAAGGCCTGGCACGTGGCACACGAAGTTTCCTAAGATATTTAGTTTTTTAATTCAATGCTAATACTGTGTGTCTTTTTTTTTTTTTTTTTTTTTTTTGAGACAGTCTTGCTCTGTTGCCCAGGCTGGAGTTTAGTGGCATGATCACACCTCACTGCAGCCTCGAACTCCTGGGCTCAAGTGATCCTCCTGCCTCGGCCTCCCATGTAGCTGGAGCTACAGGCCTGTGCCACCTCTGCTGTGTGTGGTGTGAGATTTTTAATCAGCTCTCTGAGACAGGTGGTGACGAGGCGCTGACCTCATACTTAGACGTCTGCAATGCTAGAATCTTCCTCCTTCAAATATTCCCAAAACGACACCTATGTAGCCTCTTTGCTATAGGTGAAGTCAGGGCTCGACAACAAGCCTGTGGCCTGAATCTTTTTGTTTTTGTAAATAAAGTTTATTGGGACATGGCCACACCCACTCGCTTCTGTTTTGTCTGTGGTTGTTTTTGTCCTACAATGGCGGAGTTTCGGAGTTGCCACGGAGACCTTCCGGCAGCCAAAGCGCAAACATTTACTCTCCAGACCATTCAAGAAAAGGTGTGCCTGTCCCTGTGTCAACGGCCGCTCATTTGCCTGCAAATCCCTGGGAAGGTGGGGCCCCGCACGCTCCTCTGTGGATCTGCCCTTGCACTCCTGCAACGAGCACGGGAGCGGTTCTGCGGGGTGGTGACCGCGTGCCCCAGGGCATGGCTGGCATTTAGGGCACTGCCCATAGACCCCGGGTCTCCGTGGCTGGTGAAGGGCAGAGTGAGGCTGCTTCTCCTGGAATGGAGGCCCCGGGGGTCCTGGTTTCAGAGGCCCCGGCTTGACCTTTTCTGCCTCTGCATCGTTCATCCGTTTGTGCTGCCTGCCCTGCTCTGAAAACGGCCATCCACGATGCCTCCACGCCTGCCGAGGACCCGCCTTTCACGATTCTGGAACTCCAAGGACTGAACACGTCATGGTTTGAATTTCCATCAGTTGCTGGAAGCCAGAAGGTGCCCCTGGCTCCAGGCTGCTCCTCAGGTGTGACACGCAGGACTGCATCTTGGTGATTTGCTGCTGTACTTAATTTTTGTCTGTCCCTCCCACATCCTGTTTCCTGGCAACTAGACTAGTGGCGGTGAGTCAATATCTCATAAAGATGAGCCACGGCCGACTGCGAACTTTACTTCCACCTCTGACGGACAGTGGTGCCACTGAGGCCCAGCTTTGTCTCCTGGAAGGCTCAGGACCTCCTTTTGCCTCTTCCCACGGAGCAGGTCTGAATGAGCGGAAATGGGACTCTGCTGCTGCCCTTGTCACCCCAACCCCATGGGCCAGCGTGGGATTGATGCTTTCACTGAGCTGCCGCTTACTCAGAAGCGTCCGGCTGGTCCTAATGAGGCCTTGACGTTCCCAGCCACCCGGCGTTGGGTGCTGCTTCTCCCGGCCGGAGCCCGGTGTGGACGAGGGCATCTAATTGGAGGGAAGTGCCCAAGCCTGGTGCTCTTGCCCAGCCGGAGCTCAGCGGATCCATCACTGTAACTAGCACAGCTGAGCGCCGGCCCTGACGGCTCCTGTCTGGCTGGGGTGTGGTCTGCTGCGCCCCCCGACGGGGCTGGGAGCCACCTGGGGACACAGCCAGCTGTAGTTCTCTGTTCTGTGATTGCTTGCATTGGAAAATTGATAGCGTAAACCTACAAACCACAGCTCCTTTGGACATTACAACATTATTGCTTTTTGCAATTCTGTGTTCTATTCAGTAAAACAGTGACGATTTCTGCTGAGTTCTGAGTTCACAAATCAGAATTGTCGGATCTGTGGCTCTTGTGACCAGAAGGAAGTTGCAGGCCCTGCCCCTGCCCCTGCCCCTGCCCCTGCCCCTACTCCTCCTGCTCCTGCTCCTGCTCACTGCAATACCCGCTTGAGTGAAAGGACCAGTCATTTAGCTAAAAATTAACCTGAAACCCCTTTTTGGGCTTTTGGGTCCATAGACCAGATTGGCTTGCTCCCTTCCCAGAAAGGACAGAGAGGTTGACCCATCTTCTTACCCGGGATTGGAGCACAACTTCAGGCAGCTCCTGTCAGCAGCTCATCTGTGCCAGGGTGAAGGACACAATTGCTATCAATCGGCATTATTAATCATACAACAGCCACGATGGCCATATTGTTGCTGTTTTACTCATTGGTCTTTCTTTGAGTCAGGTACGCTGCCAAGGGACTGATATCCGGGAATATTCGGTCCTCACACACCCATCAGGCAGGAACAGATGAGGAAAGGGAGGCAACTTGCCCAAGGTCAGCAGCTGGTCAGTTGTGGAGCCAGGCTTGAAGCTGGGGAGTCTGGCCCAGCGCCCACCCCCAACCCCTGGGCCCCATCTCTCCCATGCAGCTTGGACAGGCGGGTCCAAGGAGGCCTGAGAGACTGGCGGAAGCACCGCGGCTGGGAGGACTAAGTCTTGACCCCCAGGCTGAGGGACCTCAAGTTTCTGTGTGTCTCTGCCTTGGGCTTGTCCTTTCCAGTCCGCCATTCCCCCACGTCTCTGGGCCTGTGTCCTGTTGGTCCCTGCCCCAGGGTGGACCCAGAGTTGGCCTCTCAGAAGCGCCCCCTCTGCAGCCGTCTCTGGGAAGCCGTCCCTGGTAGGAGGAGCAAGGAGGCGGGAGGTGATGTCGGGTGGGTGGGAGCTCCTGGTCCCTGCGGCTGCCACCTCTGTGCTCGGAAAAGTTGGCTCCAATTAATGATTTATGGCCGAGGCTTGCACTGTGCGGCCGAGGCTTGCACTGTGCACCCAAGCGTAATTAAGGGCACTGAGTCCGTTCTAATTTTAAGATGCCAAATTCCTGTGCTCAGGAACTCACGCTGAATCGTAATTTCTCCCTTCTTCTGCAGAAGTCAGGGACTCACAGGGCTTGGCCAGAGTGGGCACGCAGCCAGGCTTGAGGGGCTGGGGATCTGTGGGCGAGAGCTGCCCTGGGTCAGCCCAGCCAGTCCCCCCCGCTGAGGCTGGCCAGTAGCCTGTCTGCCCTGCAGAGCTGGGGCTGCCCTTCTTCCTGGCCAGGAGGGTCACTTCCGAGGAGGGACCGCAGGCAGCATCCTCGGGCGGCTTGGGGAGGGAACTTCCAGAAGGACCTCAAAAACATGGGGACCACAGACCCACAGACCCCAGGGCTCCTAAGTTCAGCTGACACCCTGCCTCTGGCAAAACCATTTTTAACCCCTTTGAGAGAAAAATCTGTATTTCCACATCAACTGTGATAACCAGGCACTGGCTGAGCTGGGCACATCCTAAACGCTGGGGACCCACTCATCCTGTCCTCGGAGACCCTGTGGGGAAACCACCACGACTCCCTTCCCTCTTTATTCAAAAAATATTTAACCTGGGCTGGGTGCGGTGGCTCACACCTGTAATCCCAGCAGTTTGGGAGGCCGAGGTGGGCGGATCACGAGGTCAGGAGATCAAGACCATCCTGGCTAACACAGTGAAACCCCATCACTACTAAGAATACAAAAAATTAGCCGGGCGTGGTGGCAGGCGCCTGTAGTTCCAGCTACTCGGGAGGCTGAGGTAGGAGAATGGCGTGAACCCAGGAGGCGGAGGTTGCAGTGAGCCGAGACCACGCCACTGCACTCCAGCCTGGGCGACAGAGCGAGACTCTGTCTCAAAAAAGAAAAAAATTAACCTGATTTTATTCATGCTTGCTTGGGACGGGGAATAGATCATTCACAAAAGACATACAGTAAAAACAAAATATGTCTTATCATGTATGCATTTTAAACTACAACAATGATATACCACCTCCCTCTTCTTTTCTTTTTTTTTTTTGAGACAGGCTAGTGTGCAATGGTGCAATCTCGATTCACTGCACCCTCCACCTCCCAGGTTCAAGCAGTTCTCTGCCTCAGCCTCTTGAGTAGCTGGGATTACAGGTGCGCACCACCACACCCGGCTAATTTTTTTTTAAAATATATATTTTTAGTAGAGATGGGGTTTCACATCTTGGCCAGGCTGGTCTTGAACTCCGGACCTCGTGATCCACCCACCTTGGCCTCCCAAAGTGCTGGGATTACAGGCTTGGGCCACTGCGCCCGGCCCTCCCTCTTCTTTTAACAGCTGGGGAAACTGGGCTGAGAAGGTTTTGGTGACATTGTTGTAAGCCCCTCACCTATGAAAGACCGAGACGGGACAGGACTCCAGGTCTGTTAAAGCTGGAACCTTGTCTGCTCGCCACCCAGCTCCATGCCCCTGGGATGGGGGTCTGGGCACCACCCATGGCATTTTTAGAGCAGATTTATATTGCTGAAGTCTTAAACTTTCACATAGATCAGCAGTGCTCCCGACGACACCTTGAGGTGGGATTAATTCTAGGTGGAAAGCCGGGATAAAATCCTGCGGCTCAGAGAGGTCCAGCTCTCCGGCCTTGGCTACACAGCAGGCAGGGACCAAGGGTGGGGCCAGGGCTGGGCTTCCTGACTCCAGGGGACCCCCCCTCCGTGAGCATGTGTGTGGATGGGGTGGGGGTGGCCTGGAGGAAGGCCTGTGATGCCAGATCTCCAGGGTCACTCTGTGCTGTCTGGACCTGTCCCTGAGAACTTCACTGCAGGACCCATCGGTGTTAATAGGAGGCTTTGGGGCAGGGTCTGAAGCTTGTGTCCTCTGTGGCCACCAGCTTCTAGCGCAGCAGACCCCATGCTCACCTGCTGGAGGGAGTGCTGAGGGCCGAGGGTCCCCACTCAGCCTCACGTGGGCAGTGCAGCCGCGCTCAGAGCCAGTGAAGGGAAAATAACTTTTAATTAACATTTAGGACTCAGAATCGGATCATGCAAATCCCCTGCATCTCTGTAGCTTCTGCTGATTGTTCTTGATTAGGCTTGGTAAAAATAGCCTGGCGGCATGTGCGGCAGTGTGGCCGGCCTTCGCCATCCTGCTGGCCCCTCTGCCTGCTCCGTCCCACGGTGAGGCATGGACAGTGTCCCGGGGCTCCTGCCTGTCACCCATCTCTAGGAGGACACACCAAGGGCCATCCTAACCCCGAGTATTTACTGACACCCCTTCTCCAGGACCATGCGACCCAGTCACCTGGAAAAGCCACCGCAGGGTGGAGGGAACCCTCCCTGCCAGGGTCATCCGTCCATTGTCCACCCACTAGCATGTCACCCCGCCGGCCTGACCAAAGCAGTGGACTGCAGATCCTCTCCCGGACTGTGTTAGACTGGGAGGTGCCGCAGACACTGGCTGAGAAGCATCTAGACATATCTGCGTACTCCTCAAGAGATGCCGTTCCCCTGCCCCGTGATCTGGGGTCTGGGACCTGCCTGAGGCCCCCTGGAACCAAGGATGGACAATGGCCCATCTCTGGGAGGCGCACGAGGCTGCAGTAGCCTGTGCTTAGCCATTGGAAAAGCACAGAGACGCCTCTCTCTAATAAATGCCATGGGGACCCTCTGCCCCAGTCCCAGGAGGAGGAGCCCCAGGGTGGTGTGGCCGGTCAGCAGTTGCGGCGAGGGTAGCTCAGTGCCAAGGGCTGCTTAGTGCTGGTCAGTGGGGGTGGCTGGTCAGTGCTGGTGGCTAGTCAGTCCTCATGGCTGGTCAGTGTTGGTTAGTGCTGGTCAGTGCTGGTGGCTGGTCATTTCTGGTCAGTGCTGGTAAATGGTGGTGGCTGGTCAGCGCTGGTGGCTGATCAGTGCTGGTCAGTGCTTATGCTGGTCAGTGCTTGTGGCTGGTCCACTAGGTCTAGAAGGGCCTCTGCCTTGGCCTCCCAGAGTCTCGGGATGGGGACCAGAGATGAGGGGTAGGGCTTGCCTCCCAGAGTCTCGGGATGGGGACCAGAGACGAGGGGTAGGGCTTGCAATGGAATGATGGGATTCTCTGAATTTTGGGATTTAGGACCACAATGCCCCTTGTTTATCTTCTGCCCCCCAACGTCTCAGAGAATCAGGCCATCCCCACCTTTCGTTCATGGGGACACAGAGGCAGGAATTCTCCCCTGCAATGTGCTTTAAGTTGCCTTGAGTCAAATGCAGAATTCTGTGGGGGGCTCAGTGTGACTCCCTGGGCTGGCCGTTTTTCAGAGCATGTGCAGGTCAGGGACATCCTGCCGGTTCTCCATCTTCCTTCACAGGGATGCTGGCTCCGAGAAAGGCAGAGACACCTGCTCCACACAATTTGGGTCACCTTCTCCCCTCCCTCCCTGCCATCACTTCCTTTTCTTTCTCGGAGTCAGGGAGGAAGGACAGCTGGGGCTGTCCGGCCAGCTGTGTGGGTGCAGCCCTGCTGCGCTCTTGGGCCTGGACGTTATTATTCTTCAGGGCCCTGGGGTTAGCAGCTGCTTCCCCTATGTCCAGACTCCCCGGCAGCCTGGCCCTGAGCTTTTCCTGACCATTGCTCACTGGCCGGAAGAGAGCAAATAGAGACTGAAGCCAAGAGAGAGAAGCAGGTGTTTTCCAAACCATCTGAACGCCTTCCTGGCCAATTGTATGAGAGCTGTTGCATCCTGGGGCTGCGCCCGGTTAAATGCTCCTCGGGCTCCTGGTTGCCCTGGCCGCTTGCTGCCTGGACTCACTGCCAGGAGCCTGGGGGAGCACCTAGAGCCCCCCTGCCCTGCTGCAGTGGGGCTGAGCTGGCTTCCTTCGCTGTGATCTGCCATCTTCCCACCAGATGGCGTTGTGTGCTCACAGCCACCTCCGCCTGGTGCAGCTGCGCCCCAGGCCTGGGATGCAGGACGCAGGAGGCCCAGATGCGGGACGGCCGCTGTGGCGAGGGGCTCTGGCCTTAGTTGCCTTCTCAGCAAGCCGGCCCACCCACCGGGAGGAGCGTCTCCCTCCTGACCCCATCCCTTCCCCTCTCCCTCTTAGCCTCCCGGAGCCCAGAGTCCTCATCTGTCACTGGGTTGGTCGGGGTTGGCTGGGATCAGAGGCTAGCTCTGCACCCTGGCTGTACCCTGGCCGCACCCTGGCCTCACCCTGGTGCCCGAGGGGCACCTCCACAGATGCAGCTGGTGTGCCACTGTCATTGCTATCATGACTGACACACAGCTCTGCGGGGGCCTAGGCCTGGGGGAGAAGGGGGTGATATGGTGGTAGGAGCAGAGAAGACCCTGAGATCCTGGCATCTCAGGGCCACGGCCACTCTGGGAGCCCTCGCTGACTCTCCCCTCTGCACGTCCCAGCCTGGTGCCTTCGACCTTTCTAGAGGGGCTCCCGGGGCTGGGCCACGTGCCCATGATGTCAGCACTGCCACACGGGGCCCAAAATGACAGCCTGGGGACACCGTGTCACACCCCATGGACCCAGGGAATCACCACAAAGGGTCCTGGTTGGTAAGCAGGGCGACAGCCAAGGCCGGGACCTCCCCAGATCGCTGGGCAGCAGGGAAGTGGGGTCATCAAATGTCTGTCGGCGCAGTGGCCTCTGCAGATTTCAAGGGAAGGGTCCCTCCTGGTGGTGCAGCTGCCCTGCTGGAATCCAGAGGAAGTGGGGGCTGCATGCCTTACAGCCCTGTCTCCACCGTGTTCCCACCAGAGAGAGTTTGGTCCCCTGTGAACTAGGGGCTCGGGGCTCACACTGGACTTTCAACAACATTCAGTGAATGGTCACTCAGGCCCCAGGCAGCCGGTATGGGGCCCAGTCACAACCCCCTTTCTGCCGACAGCAGGCCACAGAGGGTCAGCCAAGTTCCACACACAGGGATGGACCCGCCATGCCAAGGCCCCATCTGGGCATTCCCCAAGCGGGTCCCACACGCAGGCCTTCCAAAGTGGCAGTGACATCAGCCCAGGCAGTACCAGTCAACTCCTCCAGACATCACAGAGATGCCTCCCAGGTGGCAACCGACCTCCGCCGCCGGTCCCCTCCCTGACTGAGCCCCGGCCTCTCTCCTACTGCGCACATCAGGAATCGAGCCACTCCACACAGCAGCCTCCGCTGCCCAGGGCCTTTCTTACACGCTATCTGCCAAGTGCCCGTCAGGCAGAGCCGCAGAGAGAGAGGAGGCTGTGCCGCACGCCAGTGCATTCCTGCCCTGCACGGGCCATGCGTCACTGGGCAGCTTCGAGGGACTCACCGTGCTGGCGGTAAATTCTGGCGGGTTGTCATTCACATCTGTCACCGTGATGATGGCTGTGGCTGTGTTTGAGAGGCCATAGTTGAGATTTCCTTCCATATCTGTGGCCTGAACGATGACTGTGTACTGCTGAACTTTCTGGAAGGGAGACACCAGTTGAGAAAGAACAGAAAATCAGTTTGGGTTTTAATTGACAGGGCACTTATCAAAAGAAATCCGTTTACAGGAACGGAGTTCCTGGAACCGGTTCTCTTTCACTGGGGGCTGTGTGCTGGGCGCAGGGCCCTTTCCAAGCCTCCTGGTTGACACTGCCTGTCGGAGTAAGTTTCTCCTCCCCTTGCCATGCGTTAAGGTGCGGCATGAAGAGGTTTGCCTGTGTTTTCATCTCAGTGGCCCTGCCGTTGATAGGGGCAGATCACGTTTGGTGCCAAGATAGAAGGGAGGAGAACAGGGGAGCCCAGAGGGCACTGGGGTTGCATTCGGTCTAGAAAACCAAGCAGGGACAGTTTGCAAAGGGAGGGATGCCCCACAGACGCGGGTCAGGAGGGACTTCGTTTCTTGAGTGTTTAGCTTGTCCAGCTGAACTACAGGTCAGATATTCAAATGGGAAGAAAAGACAAACCCTTTCCCTTCTCTGTGCAGGTGCGGAGATGCAAGCATGCTTTCTGCTGGAAAAGCAGTCCTGACAGTTTACCGTGCAGGCGCAGGTGTGAGCTTTAAATGGCAAATAAGTCTTGGCAGGATGAATGCATTTTATTAGGCATTGAAGGAGTCTGATGGCCTTTCTCCTCAGGGCCCTTGCTGGGAGTCCATCAGTGCCAAAATCCCTGAGCTGGCAGAGGTGGCTTTTCCACACCTCTGTTCTGACCCAGAGGCCATGAACTTCTGAGGTGACAGCTGAGGACAGGCTTGTGGGCAGCTCCCTGCTGGGACCACAGCCCGCCTCTCACCAGTACCATTAGGGGAGGGGGATTCTGGGGACCAAAGCGAAAAGGGAACCTGTGAAATGCTCTCCAAGTGACTAACAATCCTGAGTCGTGCTTCTCTAAGAGGTTAAGGGAAAAGACCAGCTCCTAGCGGTGTGATTCAGTGAAACGTGCTCAAGTTCCATAAACTGGCTCCGTAAGGAATTACAAACAGCAGATGGTCACCAACCTTTTCTCTTTCCAACCATCACCCATCCATCCATCCATCCATCCACCCAGCCACCCACCCCCACATCCACCATCCCTCTATTCACCCATCCATCCATCCACTCACCCACCCATCCACCATCCCTCTATTCACCCATCCATCCATCCATCCACTCACCCACCCATCCACCATCCCTCTATTCACCCATCCATCCATCCATCCACTCACCCACTCATCCACTATCCCTCTATTCACCCATCCATCCATCTATCCAACCACTCACCAACCCATCCACTATCCCTCTATCTGCCCCACACCCATCGATCCACCCACCTACCCACCCACCCACAATCCCTCTATTCATGCACCCATCCACCATCTCTCTATTCGCCCACCCATCTATCCATCCACCCACCTACCCATCCACCATCCCTCTACTCATCCGCCAATCCGTCTATCCCTCTATTCACCCACCCATCCATTTATCTATCCACTCACCCCTCCATCCACCATCCCTCTATTCACCCATCCATCCATTTATCCCTCTATTCACCCACCCATTCATTTATCCACCCACCCACCCAACCACCATCACTCTATTCACCCACCCATCCATCTATCCCTCTATTTACCCACCCATCCATCTATCCATCCACCCACCCACCCATCCACCATCCCTGTGGTCACCCATCCATCTATCCCTCTATTCAGCCACCCATTCATTTATCCACCCACCCACCCAACCACCATCCCTCTATTCACCCACTCGTCCATCTATCCCTCTATTCACCCACCCATCCATCTATCCATCCACCCACCCATCCAGCATCCCTCTACTCACCCATCCATCTATCTCTCTATTCACCCACCCATCCATCTATCCATCCACCCTCCCACCCACCCATCCACCATCCCTCTACTCACCCATCCACCCATCTATCCCTCTATTCACCCACCCATCCATTTATCCATCCACTTACCTACCCATACACCATCCCTCCCTCCCTCTTTCTACCTTTCCATCCCTCTGTCTTTCTATTCCTTCCTCCTTCCCTCTAAGACCAGCCAGCCCCAAGCCAAACTGGCAGCTGATGAGAGATGGATGAATGAGCCCAGCCAAGGATGGAAGGGTTTTCCAGCTGAGCCTAGCCCAAATTGCCAATTTGTGGAATTGTGAGCTAAATAAATAGAAATAAATGGTGGTTGTTTTAGGCTGCTAAGTTTTGGGATCTTTTATTATGCAGCAAAAGCTCCCTGGCATACATCCAAACCCTCAACATGGCCACAGCACTCCATGTGTCATGGCTGCTAACCCCCTCTGTGGCCTCATCTTGAATCAAGCTCCCCAGCCCCTAGATGTCCCTTTCCCATGGAATTCTCTCCCAGCCCTCCAGCCCAGCATGCTCTCAGCTCAGCCTGCTCTTCATCCATGACTCATTCCTGGCTTGCACTTTTACGTTTATTGTGTCCTCCCTTGATCATTGTCTGTAACCCTTGCCAACCTGAGCTCTGGGGGGCCATGGCTGTCTCATCCATCACCCACTGTGTCTCCAGGGTCAAACGTGGGCCCAACACAGAGTAGGTGCCCCATGACAGCAAGTTAATGTTGCCAATGATTGTGGTGGCAACAGAAGCTCTGAGGAATGACAGAGGGGCCTGGGTGCTCCATAAGGTGTCTGGACAGTCTGTGGACAGCTGTGAGTCACCAACGGGCTTTAAGTGCATCACAGGATCCAACTTATACATGACAGCAAGCGATGGCCTGTGGGCTGAATCTGCGCATCACTATTATTGTAAATAAAGTTTTATTGACACATGGCTATGCTCTTTTATTGACACATTATCTATGGCTGCTTTCACACTCTCAAGGCAGAGCTGAGTATCTGCACAGAGACTGTATGCCCCACAAAACCTAAAATATGGACCACCTGGTACTTTATAGAAGACGTTTGCTGACCTTGGGCTCCAATATCAGGCAGTGTAAGCCACTGCCACCTGGACAGGCCTGAGAGCAAGGCCACAAGCATCTCAGGGAGGGAGGGCTGGGGATCCAGAGGAGGCTTCCAGGAAGAGGCAGTCACACTGCCTGAAGGTGACAGGGTGAACTGAGGGCAGGGCTGGGAGGTGCGGTTGGACCCGGGAGGTGGGAACACGGCAGCCAATCAGGGTCTGGGGTGTTCCACAAGGCCTCCCACCCAGAACAGGGTGACTGTGGCTTGGTGACCAGGCCCAGCCTACATGGGGCCAGGGCTCAGTGCAGTGGGGCGCTGGCTCCTGGGCCCTCCAGCCCCAACATGTGCCTCATCATGCAGCCCTGGCTGTTGTTCTGAGAGATCTCCCTCAAGGAGGCAGGTGTCAGGGGCCTCTCGGAAGGGCAGGAAACTGCTTCTTGGCCCATGCCTGCGTGGTCCCTGCAGCAGATCAGTCACCTGGAGAAGGGGGGAGGACTGCAGCACTCAGAGCTCCTGCAGGGCCGGGGAGAGTGGGCGGCTCAGGCCCCCTGCAGGAGAGGGTTCCAGGGGGAGGCTGTGAGGCTCAGCAGGACAGGGAGGGGCCTGCAGGCTGCAGAGCCGTCAGCAACCTTGGCCTCCTGTATTTGGCAGCCCCCTCTGTAAAATGGGACACGACTGTGTTCTGCTGACCACATAGCCGTGACCAGTTGCTGAGACAGTGAACAGGAACGTGCAGCCCAAACCAGGTTTTCATTATTTCTCTCCCACTGTTGGCTTTCTCCCCTCCCTCGTTACCCCAACATTTGCCCCACATGGCGCCCTGTCTGCACTGTGCACCCCACACCTCCTATCCCTGCCCCTCTGTGCTTGCGGGTGTGTTGTCCCTCTCCCTCCTTCCGCTGGTGAGACCCCACTCTTCCTTCCAAAATGAGCTCCCCTAAAGTCTCTGGAATTGATTTTGCTTCTCTCATTAACCCTGGAGGTGCAGCGTGACCCGGACAGCCACAACCCTGCCCACATCTGCTGTAGGCTGGACTCTCCTGGAAGACCCAGAGTGCCATGAGGACTGAGTCTTGTCCAGCTTTGTGTCCAAAGTGCCAGATACAGACCTGGCACACAGTAGGTAATCGGTGTCTGTTGAGGGAACCAAGTTAATGAGTCGTGTCTAACAGAGCTGACATTTACCAAGATGAATAGAACTTGGAGTCAAGGAGATACAAAAAAAACCAGAAATAGCTTACACTTACTTGGGTGCTATATCCTACTTTGATAGTTTTCTCACAGTAGGTTAACCCTTACCTGCTCCCCTTCTTCCTTTCTCCCTCATCCGTCTACCCATCCCCTTACCCATCCATCCATCCATCATTTACCCATCCATCATCTGCACATCCATCATGCATCATCCACCCATCCATCCATTCATAATCCATCCATCCACCTGTCCAGCATCCATCATCCACCCATGCATCCATCATCCATCCATCCACTCACCCTTCCATCATCCATTTATCCATCCATCCATCCACCCGTCATCTATCCATCCATCATCCATCCATCCATCCACCCATCTACCATCCACCATCTGCTTACCCATCCATTATCCATCTATCCATACATCCATTCACTCACCCATCCATCATCCATCTATCCATCCATCCATCCACCCTTCTATCATCCACCATCTACTTACCCATCCATTATCCATCTATGCATCCATCATGTATCCATCCATCCACTCACCCATCCAACATCCATCTATCCATCCATCATCTATCCATCCATCATCCAACCATCCATTCACCCATCCATCATCTACCATCCACCATCCACTCACCCATCCATGATGCATAATCCATCCATGCATCCATCCATCCATCCATCCATCCACCCATGCATCCATCATCTATCCATCCATCATCCAACTATCCACTCACTCATCCATCATTGATCCATCCACCCATCCATCAGCCACCTATCCATCCACCCATCATCCATCCATCCATCATCCAACCATCCACTCACTCATCCATCATCGATCCATCTACCCATCCATCATCTATCCATCCATCCATTCACTCACCCATCCACCATCCATCTATCCATCCATCCATTATCTATCCATCCATCATCCAACCATCCATCCACCCATCCATCATCCACCATCCACCATCCACTCACCCATCCATCATGCATAATCCATCCATGCATCCATCCATCCATCCATCATCCATCTGTCTGTCCATCCATCCATCATCTATCCATCCATCATCCAACTATCCACTCACTCATCCATCATTGATCCATCCACCCATCCATCATCCACCTATCCATCCATCCATCCATCATCTATCCACCCATCATCCATCCATCCACTAACTCATTCATCATCGATCCATCTACCCATCCATCATCCATCATCCACCATCCACTTACTCATCCATCATCCATCCATCCATCATCCATCCATCATCCACTCACTCATCCATCATCTATCCATCCATCCATCCATCCATCCATGCATCATCCATTCATCTATCACCCATCATCTACCCACCCATCCCTCATCCATCATCCACCATCCACCCACCCATCCATCATCCATCATCCACCATCCACTCACCCATCCATCCATCCATCCATCCATCCATCCATCCATCCATCCATCCATGCTTTAAAGAGACCTCTCCTTATGTCAGGTGGATTACAACCAACCAATAAGGAAGCTGAGGTCCTCTCATCCATCCATGAGATAAGGAAACTGAGGGAGGTGAGAGAGGCTTCTACGGAAGTGCAAGGGGAGCTGGTTGAGGAAGGAAGGTGGGGGCTCACTAGAGGGAGGAGGGAGTGATAGCATGAGCTGCAGGCACAGCAGGGCTGGGGCAGGAGGTATGAGGTGCATGGTGCAGAACAGGGCATTGTTGGGGGCTAATGCAGAGGCCGTGAGGGAGGGGAGAAAGCCAACAATGGGGAGAGAACAATAAAAAAGCATGTTCCTGTTCACTATTTCAGTGACTGGTGTCACACTGCGTGGTCAGTGGAGCTCATATTTCTTTACCATTTACGGAGGGGAAGACTGAGTCCAGTGAGGGCCAGGCAGTCCCATGACCTCCCCAGTTCTACACAGCTGACCAGGGCAGAGCGAGGGGACCGGTCAGGGTCCCTGATGCTGTGTCAGTCTGCGCTTCAGGCCTTTGTTATGGATGGGACTCAGGCAGCACCAATGATGTCCATGGTGACATCAGCCCGATGCCCGCTGGGTCTCCTGAATGTGGGATGGACATCATGGAAACAGCAGAGCTGGCGCCACCCTTGACTGGCTGCTCTTGGCAACCTCAGGGTCAGGATCTGCCTTCTAACTGTGGACCAATGTGTGTCCAGACATTCGCTGGGCCTGAGGCCTTGGACTTCATGGTACTACCCATAGCAGAGGTCCCTTCCCCAAGGTTTCTGTGCCTCAGGATCCCAACAGAAAGAAAATGTGCCCTCCTGTTCATCAAGGCAGAGACCAGCCAGCCCACCTCTGGAAGCTTCCCCACCCTGGCTGTGTTCTCCTTCACCTGTGAGCACCCGGCCCTCCCTTGCAGCGGCTGGACGGAGCCTGAAGGTTGGCTCTGCCTCTAGGTAGGAGGCTGCAGAGATGGGCTGGGGACGGTGCCAGCAGCGGTGGACAGGCTTGCCAATGAGAACCCAAATGTCAGATACCCATGCCACCTTGGTGAGGGGCCGGGATCCTGCCTGCGGAGTCTCATTTCATCCATGTCCCATCTGTGTGTACCGGCAGTGGCGGCGGCTCTGCAGGGATGTGGCTGCATCTCACTTCAGTCCCCGCTCCCCCAGGAAACGGAATCAGGTTTTCTGACAGGGCAGCAGGCAGCCTCGCTGTGGACACTCTTCATTTCTCACCCAAGTTTCTCTTGTTCTTTACAAATCCGATTTTCTTCCCCCTCCCAGGACAGATTTGGAAATTGAAGCTGCAGGGGGCTCTCAGCAGCCTCTTTCCTGGGCGTGATGTCCCCCTCAGGAGGTGCCCCACTGCCTGCCTGCACCGGCCCCCCTCGGCCACCCATCCTGCAGCGTAGGGTCCCCAGGCTGCTCTCAGCTACATGTTTATTTGGCTGTGGCTGCCTCCTCCCGCAGCATGGCACCGCCAGAAGGACCAGACTGGAAAACAGGAGACTGACACGGGCCGGCAGGAAAGGGAGGGATCCAAGCGGAGAAGAATGTCAGCCTGCAGAGAAACTGCTGTCACAGACTTGCGGCATGACATCATTCTCCAAGTCTCCATTTCTTCAGTCATCCAATCAGAGCCGGTTCATGGAAGCCACCCCTGGCTGTGGTGCTTTCAATGTATAGGAAAGAAATGTATTCTTTTCTATATATTGAAAATAAATCAAGCATCGTAGAAACCCAGAGACATGTACAGTGTATTGTGTGTGTGCATGTGTGTATGCGTGCTTGTGCACGAGTGTGCATGCCTGTGTGTGCGTGTATACACACGTGTATGTGTGCACCTCTGTATGCATGTAAACCCACATGTGCATGGATGTGCATGCGTGTTGTGTGTGTGTGTGTGCAGCTGACTGCCACTAGAGGGCAGCTGGGTCTTGATTTCGAGAGGCAGGGCAGGGGTGTCTCCTGGCTGGGTAGGGGCAGGAAGCTAGACCCGCAGGAAGGAAGAACTCTCCCAGGGGACCCCCGGAAGCAGCCAGTGGCCTTCCCGTTGGCAGGGCTTCTGAAGTCCAGGCAGGGTTGGCCTGGCTCCCCTGGGAGCACTGGGGAGGTGGGGTCAGGCTCCTGACCTCATCACTGTGCCCATCTCCCCCTTTTCTGGGATGTTCTCTGGGGTGAGAGGGTGGGTGGGCAGGACCCAGGCATGTGCTCATGAGGCGGTCATGGGAGCTCCTGCAAACAGGCCTCCTTGCAGACGTGGCTGATCTGCATGTAGCGGGCCTGGGCTGGCTTGGCTGGAGGTTTCGACACATTTATCTAAAAGGCTTACATTGGGCTGCTCCCTTTGCCCTCAAGTGCATTTCATTCCTGTGAGGCGGGCAAGGGGAGCCCCACGTTAACCACAGGGCAGGGCCCTGTTCTCAGAAGTGTCTGGCACCTCCTCCCGGTGCCCCAACAGGCCTCGCTGTGTGCAGTCCTCCAAGGGCCCGTGTGGCACAGGGGCACGGCGCCCTCCCACTTTGCAGAAGATGAAGGCCTGGGACTTCCCTGAGGTCAGGGGCTGGTGAGTGCTCTGGAGGCCAGCAAGTGTCTCCCAGCCCTCATAGGACAAACAGATGACCCAGGACTCAGCTCTGGACCAGCGTCCCAGCGTCCTCTCTCCATAGCTGACATGTGCAGCCTCTGCTCCCCACGTCAACCCTCGATGGAGGTGTCTGGGCGGGCAGCGGGAGTCCTGCACAGCTGGGTGTGCCCTGCTGGATGCATGCTCCTGTCCTGGGCTGGGGCCCCTACCCTTCCTGCTTCTGCCAGGTGCAGAGAATTCATTAAAAAGTGATTTGGCCATTTTCAAGTTCAAGAGGAGGGAAGAAAACCACAGTGGGCCATCCCTGGGGTTTTTGCTCACCTCCCCATAGCTCAGCATGTAAATTTTGCAGAACAGCCATCAATAATGCAGGCGGCCAGCCTGCCCTAGAAAGGCATCAAAGCTTCCTGAGTCGAGCGTGCCCTGGCCATACCCAGCATCGGCTGGCCGGCTGCACAGCCAGTGAGGCACCCTGGCAGGAGCCACGCCTGGAACTCAGATCCTGAAGTTCTCCTGGATGCTGCCCCCACCCCAGCCACCATCTAGGGATGGTCTCATCTGCCAGGCTGCAAGCACGCCTCCCCCACCTGCTCTGGGCTCTCTGCACCTAGAGGCGGTACATATGGGGGTATAAAAGGAGTCCCAAGGCCCTGTAGCCCAGGCTTGCAGATGCCCTGCATCCCTTCCTTCTGGGTGAGCCAGAGCCAGTCCCAGCACGACGGCGGCTGCTGCTCTGGGAGCTTCTCCAGCTCCTCTCAGGTCAGCGCTGTTCCCACTGCTTCCTCCTGGACCACACACTCCCCAAGGGCCTTCCCTGCTGTCACTGCTGGAACCTCCATCCCCTTGGAAGCTGCGAGATGGAGCAGACAGAGATCTGGGTCCTGCTCTCCGTCTCATCCTCAGGCTGCACAGCACCTGGGGTCTGTCCGGAGCCTGAGAATGTGACTCCGGCATGAAGATTAGATGCTGTGGGAGGAGGGAGTGCAGGCACCACGGAAAACAGGCTGGCGGGTCCTCACAAGTCAAGAGTCACCACGGGGCCTGGCAGCTCCGCTCCTGGGTATGTATCCAAAAGAGCTCAAACCAGGGGTTCTGACAAACACTTACACGCCCTCGTTCAAAGCAGCGCCATTAACAGCAGCCAAAAGGGCCGAACAGCCAAGGGTCCATTGAGCGATGAATGGACAAAGAGAACGTGGTTGCCCCATGCAGCGGAATATTATTCAGCCATTAAGAGGCATGAAACGCAGACACGAACTACCACGGTGACGCTCGGTGAGAGACACCAGACACGAAACGCCATGCATGGAAGGAGCCCACTTACAGGAAATGTCCAGAATAGGCAAATCCGTAGAAGCAGAAAGAAGATTTGGGGCTGCCAGGGGCTGGGGGAGCTGGGGGTAAGGGAGTCGAGGAGAAATGGGATGGTTCTGGGGTGATGGAAGAGTCCTGGAGCTAAGTCAAGGTGATGGTTGCACAACCTTGTGACCACTGAACCCCGCTGAAGCGTACAGTTAAAGGGTGTGTTTGGTGGCGTGTGAGCTCCCTCTCAAGGCACAGGCACGAACGTGCTATGTGTCGACTTCAGTCCCCGCTGCCTTGCAGGGGCCCGAGGGACTCAGCACCCTATGTCCACTCTAGCATGGATCACCGAGCTGGTGGGGTGGGGGCTGCCTCTGGCTGGCAGTCGTTCTGGCCAGATTCTGTGCTGGGCCTGCAGACTGACCCTTAGGCTATCAGAGAAGGGACTCTCCAGGCTGAAGGGACCTGGGGCCTACCCTATGCCTACTCTTAGCCCGGGGCTCCAGCCGGTGTCCCAACCCCGCACCTCCCGCTACAGGCTGAGTCCCTCTCCAGGAAGCCTTCCCCGCCCCCACCCCAGGGCTCTCTCCTTCCTCCAAACCCCTCAGCCCTTCGGGGCTGCTGCTGTTCTGGGAGGAGGTGCTGCCTGGGTGGCACATTCCACCTGTCCAGGTGAATTTCCCGGGCACCCAGGAACTAGCAGCAGCCGCCCCCGAGGTGAGGTGCTCAGCCCTTCAGCCTTCAAATGCAGGTCCGGGGGTGCGGAGGGCTCCTTTCTGAGGTTCCCTCGCCTGGGGTGGGGAGGGGCTGAGCATGGAGCCCCTCGCTGGGTGCCCCCAGGCTGTCACCGAGAGATCACCCCTGCTCAGGGGCACGGCCACACGGGGAGCCCCAAGGGGTGCCATCTTCCCTCCCTCCCTCCTGAACACCCTGCTCACCCCTTTAAACTCGTGGACCGTCCACTGCCACTGTCTCTCCCTCACCACTTCTGGCTCCGCAGACTTTGCCTCCTGCAGGATGAGGGGCTGAAAACCAGGGACCCGGCCCCTTAGCTGTCCGGGTTGCTGCGTGGAAGGAAGCGTGTCTCACTCAACCTTCTGCTCAGCTGCCCTTTGCACAGCCAGGACAGTGACGTGCAGCTGCCTCAGCTCTTGTGGGTTTTATGACCCCTTGGGGCCTCCGGTGTCCCTAGCTCTGGCCGTGTTCACTGGTGGCCCAGAGCCTCTGCACTGCGCCCCACAAGCCCAACTCCAGCAGACCCTCCCCTCTCACTCTACAGCCAGGTTTGCTTTCTGCTGTGCTGAGCTGGATCAAACCCAGAGAAAACACCAGCATTTCCCAGTTCCAGGCAGCGAGTCCCAGTTCCAGGCAGCGATTCCTCCCTCGGCCTGCTGTTGGGGGCAGGGGAGGCCACAAAGAAAGTCTCTGCTTCCTAAATCCACAAAACCCACCACACGGGGGTTGGGGGGTGGGGATGCTGGGACCCTCTTGCTTCCCCCTCTCTCTGTCTGTCCGTCTGTTTCTCTGTCTCTCGCATTCTCTGCTGGGCACAGAGGGAAGAGGAGCTGCCAGGAATGACTGCTGGTGATTAGAAGAGTCTAGATGTCTGGGAGGAACAAGATGGAGGCAGGCAGGGGAGGTCCCGTCAGTCCAGCAGGCGCTGGGGGCTCCTCCCTGGGGCCTCTCTTGGCCCCCCACCCCTGGGTCATAGAGGAGAACACTTCCCTCTCCAGGGGCCGGGCAGTCACACCCGACTGTGGAGGGCCACGTGCCTGAGCTCTCCAGTGGCCTGGGGTTTCTGAGCCATAAGTTCCAGTGGCTCTTGGAGCCCTTGCCCTCCTGTGGCTGATGCTCTGGGGAAGCTTTTCCCAAATTGGGCACTGTCAGCCCTGGGGCTGGGTCGTTCTCTGCTGTGGGGTGTCCTGGGCACTGAGGGGTGCTGAGCATTCCTGGCCTCCACCCATGCAATGCTGGTGGTGCCCCCCACCGAGCTGTGACAACCACAGATACCACCACTTGCCCAGTGTCCCAAGAAAGACGTCGCCCTAGGTTGGAAGCATGGCTCTAGGGGAGGAGACCGACAGCAAATAGCAAAGAGTATCATATCAGCTGGGGACAGAGGCCGTGTAGAAAACACAGCAGGAGAGAGGGACAGGGCACTCAGTGCACTACATTAAACCGGGCGGCAGGCAGGGCTGTTTGCCAGGCAGACATGTGGCTGTCGAGCTGTGGAGGTCTCGGGAGGAATGCTGTAGGCGGGGGGAGCAGCCAGCGAGAAGGCCCTGGGGCAGGCGGGGTGGGCTTGGGGTGCCGGGGGAATGGGGCCGGGTTCATTTCTCATTTCTGGGTGAGACAGGAAACCGTGGTGGGGTTTGAAAAGACAAGAGCTCAGATTGGTGTTTGAACAGGATCACTGGGCTTCTGGGCGTGGACAGAGCAGGAGATGCGCAGAGGCTGGGGCATGTGCTCCGTGGTCTGAGTGGCTTCCGTCGGGTGTGGGGGAGACAGTGGACATAAAAGAGAAGGAAAGGCACCTGCGGGGCCGGCCGGGTGACTTCTCAGAAGATAGGAAGGGGCGGGGGGCTGGGGCGGCCCATGCCACCTGGGGTGCCGGGAAACCCTCGGGAATATCCAGCCCTTCCGCAGACACGTTCCCTCTCCCATTCTCCTGAGACGCACGGGCCTTTTTGTCTTTCATTTTCTCACTTTTGATAGACCTAGAGGAAGTATTTCTCTACGGCAGGGAAAACAGCCGCACACAGTGACTCAGGGAGCATCCTGGGCCTGGCGTCGGAACCCCGGGAGGGAGGGGCTGCACCCCCCGGGCCAGGGGCTTCAGAGCCCTGGGTGGTCACTCCCTTAGCCCAGGCCTCCTGGTGCCTTGCAGGAAAGCAGGCCCCGTGACCAGAGGTCCTGAATCTTGAGAGAATCCAGAAGGCGGGATTTGAATAGAAATCTCTCGTTTCGATGTTGACCGAGTTAAAACAAGATTAATACAAACTGCACCTCTGTGGTGGGACCTGTCTCTGGGTTTGAGACCCTGGATCTGACCACCAAAGGGGCCGTGCCGCTGAGGGCACAGATGAAATCCCCGCTCCTTCCTCCTAAGTAACCTGGCTTTCACGTCATGGTGCCATCCTGGAGCGTGGCACCGCCCACGTGCAAATGGTCAGCCACGCTGTGTGCCAATAAAGCCTCAGCACAAAGCCAGACACAGGCTTCTCGGCAAAAGGGACTGGGTCTGGCTGCTTCCTGTCAGGGTCTGGTCAAATGAGGTGGCTTAAAGACAGCAGTCCGGAAGGCCAGAGGTTCGAGGTGGAGGCGCGGGCAGGGTCCGGCTCCATCCAGGGGCTTGAGGGAGGACCTGTCCTGCCTCTTCCACCTCCTGGCGGCTCCAGGCACCCTTGGCTTGTAGCCTTATCGTCTGGTCTCTGCCTCGGTCTCCATGCAGCCTTCTCCCCTGTGTCTCCCTCTGCCTCTGTAAGGATTTAGGGTCCACCCCAATGCAGACGATTTTATCTCCAGATCTTTACACCTGCAAAGGCCCCTTTTCCAGATAAGGTCACGCTGCCAGGGATCAGGGTGTGGATGTAGCTTTTCTGGGGACCACGATTAAACCCAGTCCAGATGCTGATTGGGCCAGGTCTGTGGCTGGGCCAGTGGCCCCCAGGGGACCTGGACTTCCGGCTGTGACGGGTTCTCACTCCTCCCCACCTGCAGTCCCCCACGTGCCGCCCCCTCCTCTTCCTGCCCTCTGCCTGGCGCTGGCCCTTCTCAGATGGAGACGTTGGCCTCTGCTCCAGCTACGACCCCAGCCGCCTGGGCCCAGTTCCAAAGGCAGATGAACAGCGGTCGACTAATTGACCACTGGAGGCTCTGAGGCGGGAGTCTTGGCCGCTGCTGCCAGGTGGGGCCGTAATCCTGGCCACGGTTCATGTTGTGGCCGGCTCACGGGAGCGGCTCGCTGGGGAGCTGCACCATGAAATGGTTTATTTCTTCCGCAGCCACGGCTTCTCTCTCCTGCAGCCCTGCCCGGGACCACACTTGGCACTTTGGTTACGAAATGCCACCGCTGGAATGGAGCCTCCTCTCAGACTCCATGGCCATCGTCTCCCCTCCCTTCGCAGCGCAGCTTCCTGAGGCACGGAGATCACCCCGTGTGCACGTGGCCCCACGGTGGGAGAACTGCTCAGGGGCTGCAGGCTCATCCTCCAGTGGCGTCCGTGGATGGAGGAGCTGTCCTGACCCTGCTCTGCTGTGACCCCGCTCAGCATGGCTGACACTCATGCCCTGTGGCCGCAGGAACCCTACATGCTGGTGGGTGTAAGGGGCACTCAGCTTCCTCACCAGGGAGGGACCTCTTGGCAGGAAGTGGCCTGAGTTGGTTGGGGGTCACCTGGGCCATCCTGTGGCTCAGCCCCCTCCTCTGCCATCCAGGGTCCCCCATGAAACCAGGTCACCATTAGCACCGCTGTTATTGCCCTCCTGGGGCCTGGGGGGCCCTCACTCTAACTCACTGGCACCTCTTCTCACCTTGCTGGGTGGCCACACCTGCCAGCTCTGGCCTTTGGAAACCTTGAGACAGCAGTGGTGGGCGCCAGCTCACGTGTGGCCCAACCTTCAGAGCACGCACTGCCCAGCGTGCCTGGGAACCTCATCCTGTGTGGGGACCGCGCCCAAACCTCGACCCTCTCTCTGCATCCGACCCTCACCCCCAAGGCCAGGGGTGGCGGCCTCTGCGTCCTGGGGGTGACCTGCTGGCCTGGGGTCCTCTTGGGGCTGCTCAGTGCCCCACACTTGGGGGACGCCATGGGACTCGGGAGCCGAGGCCTCTGTTTCGGAGGGAGGTGGAAGCCCCAAGATGACGGCTCCTTGGCTGGGTCCACCTTCTCACCGCTGTCCTTCCCTCTCTTCTCTTCTTTTGGGAGGGGGCGGAGGGGAGATCAAGAAGACTTCAGGGGCACAAATCCGGCCCGAGGTGGGTCAGCAGCAGATTTGTCTCAATTGCTAATATTTTTTTTTCTGCAAGACAACATAGCCATATTCGGTGTCTTCAAAACAGGGTTCCATGACAGTGATTCAAAACCCAGCCAGCGGGAAACGCTGAACCCCGCCTGCCCCAGGCTACTGCCCTCCCCAGGCAGATGCCTCTGGGTGGGGCTTACGAGAGGCTCGCTGTCTGGGAGAAATGCCTTCAGAAAGCCACGCCGCTCTCAGAGGGAAAGGGGACATTCTGGTCACCGACGAACACTTTCTACTGGAATTTGAATCATGTGAATACATTAACTAAAGTCGATGGTGGTGAGAACGATATCCTGAGCAGTAGAACAGAGCCACGTTATCACTCTCCATCCATTGGATGACAGCACCGGGCGGGCAGAGGGTCTTGAAGACGTTCGGGGAGGTGTGGGTTTTGCTTTCCCCAGAATCCTTTCAGACCAGGAGATCACGAATTCGGCCCCCCTTGTTTGGGAAGAAATTTCAAGCTGATGGAGGTGACCAGGTGATAGTCCTCTTGTGATAGGACCGGAAGGCCGGATTCAGTTTCTAATAACAAAATCAACATCCTCGGGAGCAGCCTGGAAGGGACGCTGAGAACAATGCTGGCCCGGTGCTAATTTCACTGCCCAACAATCGGAACAGCGCCTGCGTCTGCAGAGCCCACTCTCACCTTCAGGACGGGGCTCGGGCGGCACGTTCACCTCCTCATTAGGCCATAAATATTCTAATTAGGAAACAACGCCAGATGAATAGGATTAGCAAGTGGGGCATCTTCGGCTGGTACACGAGAGACACTTGAACCGCTCAGGTCTTATCGAAGCCTCTCCTGACATCTTAATCAAGTAGAAGCGCTCAATTTACATAGCTCTGCCTAATTAGACACGGCGGCAATGATGTTTGTGGATTTTCTTCTTCCTAAAGATGACTCACTCTGTCAGATGGAGGCTGGTGCTGAGAAGTATCTCTGGTGCTTCCCCCGAAGACTCTGCTTGTTGCCCAAGGGCAGGGGAGATGAATCTTTTTAAAGGGGGAGGAAGAGAAAAAGGAACTACCGATGTGTCCTTTTCAGAAGTGGCTGAGCTGTCCGGCCGATGCAAGGCAAGCTGGGCTGGTGGAGAAATGGTCCCGATGTGTGCTCTTCTCTGATACGCCAAGCCAGACAGAAATCAGCTTCTCGGGCTCAGCAGGCCTGGGCCCAGGGGGGCAGTGGCTCTGCTGGGTGAAGGCCGGGTCCCGGGGGAGCTGAACTGGTGCTCGCTTGGCGTCTACACTGCTGTCAGTGGCCGCCTGCGTGGGTTTACTAATGCCTGGCAACGGTGGTCCTGGAGCCGTTGTCTTAAAACCTGTTGTTGTTTTATTGTTTGCTGCTGAAAATCCGACAACGTGCATCCTCTGCTGCAGAAGCGGTTATAATTATAAACCATCATTCAATTTCCCCAGGAGGTGGGCGAAGGAAGAGCAGGGCAGCTCTGAACATTAAGCACAGACCCACACTGAAAGCAGAGCCCTGGCGAGGGGCGCCCTGGCCTCGGCACACCCCCGCCGAGTCTTTGGCAGCTTCCAGGACTTCTATTCCGAGGCAAAGGCGAAAAAGTGGGAGAGACTGTGTGCAAGGCGGGAGACAGGACCTGGAATGGCTGAGCGGGCAGAGTGGGGTGGCCAATGCCAGGGCCCTGCGTCTCCTCCGGCCAAGGGGTCACAAATTCAGAGGTCACCTACGACTTTGAGACTATGCCATAAACTGCTGCAGAGACTGGCCCAAGGGGATGACCTCTCCATGTCTGGGGAGGGAAGCCCGCCTCAATGTCCCCACTGGGAGGGGCTGCTGAAGACCTGGGGCCAGGCGGGGGCCCTGGGACATGGCTGCTGCGTGCTGGAGGCAGCTTCCCTAATGGAAGCCCTCGAGCTGGTGCCTTTAGAAGGGGAAACAGACTTGTTTGCACAAGGAAAATAACGTGGAAATGACATGAACACCTTTGGTTCTGCTCACGAGAAGCCCTGAGGGCGCCCAACACTGTCTCTGTACCCAAATGGAGCCAGCTGCAGGCCACGCCTGGGTCTGTCTCAGATTCAAGACCCACAGCCACCTTCCAGCCGGGGGCTGCATTGAACCTGGGGAGGGAGCAGCTCAGGGACCTGGATGTTCCTAGGCTTGGGCTCGGTTTGAAAGGGGCAGGGGGAACAGAAGGTGGGAGGGGTCCTGCTGCCGGGCACGTGCTGCCCATGAAGGTCTTGTTTTGATCGTGGCTGGAAATGAGGACGCCATGGCCACGATGGGGCCTTAGCTTTGCCCCAGCTGCCCCAGGCCTACAGCTCAGCTCCTGGCCACTCACGCAGGCCAGGGCCTGTTGTCCTCTCTGGGATGACCACGCCCGTCTGTGTCCACGAAGTCCTCCCTCTGGGGCCCCCGTGGTTCCTGGTGATGACCCTGTCACAGTCTGCTTGGGGCCGGGCCTCATTTGGGTTACACCTCATCCCCTGCCTGGGGGTCCTCCCAGCCAAAGACGCGTTGTCACACAATGGACCCCAGGGACGTTCCGGGGGTCATGGCCCCAAAGTCCAGCCCCATGACCGTCCCCTGAGCCCCTGAACCATGGCTCTGCTGTCCCCCCACGATGCTGGTCCACATGGGGGTCCCAGGTTTCACTGCATCAACCAGCTTGTTTCACACGCACAAGACAGAAACTGATCTTCCTGGAATCGAATGTTAGCAGCTGAAGGATCATCAAGGAAAATAACCACACAACCTATGTTCCCGACGAGCCCTGGAAGAGGAAGACACGGGACCGCCCTCTCCAGCACACCACGCCTGAGATGCACCAGACGGGGCCTCCCGTCGGATAGAAGCCGGGCTGTTCACATCCCCAGGCACACACAGCGGAGAACGCCAGCGCCCGCAACACCAGCGTCTCCTCATGTTCCTCAATCTTCATAAATCTCCGTCTGTCAACCACACCTCTAATGGCTTTTAAATGAGCATTTTATGTGGAACATTTTGCAGGCCACGCTGAAGCTGCCGACAGCGGGGGGTGGGGGGTGGGGGGTGGGTACCGCTCTGTGTCTGCTGTGGGCCTTGGGGAGCAGGCTGGCCCCGCCTTGCCTCGGTGTCTGGCCTGGGCAGGGGGTCCAGCTGCCGGGTCAGCCTCACTGGGGCCTGGCCAGTGGGTGGGGAGATCTCTGGGTGGCTGGGACTGCTAGCCCTCCCTTGGCCGAGCTGCCATGATCTGTAGGGGCAGGGGGAGCTGAGCCCAGGAGGCTGGGCACTGTCCCTATCACGGGCCTTGACATGCCCACAGGAATGCCTGGCCCAGGGAGGCCAGGGGGTGTCCCTCCCGTAGGGTGCACCAGGCCAGCTGGGGGAACCCCAGGGGGTCGTGGGCTCCGTGGCGCTCTTGATCCCTCCCAAGGTCAGAGCCTGCACCCATACTAACTGCCGGGGCCTTGTGAGATTTTCAGCTATGAAGAGGGGTCCACAGATGTTGCCTAGATATATTTTCAGCCTGGAAAATATCACATATTCTTTCCTACAATATAAACTACAAAGTACCCCAGACCTCCCAGCCCTCCACCCGGCAGTGGGAAAGCTTTAGCTGTTTGTCTTTAGTCCCTTTATCTATAGACATTCGTGCTGAAGGAGACCAGATGGTCCTGAAGCCACAGGGACCCCCTCAACCCCACTGGAAACCAGAGGGAGGGCGGACCGACACGAAACCAGTGCAGGCCAGAGCAGGTGGCCTATGGTCCCCTTTAGATCCCCAGCTTATCATTATAATACGAAAACCCCGGCCCTAAGGGAAGACTGCTGCCATGTTGTACACCAGATGTAAGAAGAGATGTGTTCATGGACTGCGTCTGCACGTCTAGAACCCTCCGCACGCCTGCATGCCTCCCCTGCAGGCACCCAATCCCGTGAAACTCCCACACCTTCCCCTTCCCAGTTCTCCGGTCGCTCAGTAGAACCAGCTGCCTCTCCAATTGGACGTTGCTCTCTCGCGGCCGATATAGAGTAGGGAGAGAACGGTTTCCTGCGGCCAGCATGCAGCCAGCCATGCCCCTGCACTGGGACTGGACGGCGAGGCCCCATCGGATCTCCCTAAGCATCCCCACTGCCCTTTTGGCCCCTGTGCTTTCCCCGTCACACACCAGGAGCTGATGGCACGCAGGTGGGGCAGTCTGTGGGCTCTAGGTAACCCCTGACCCTGCCCCTGCAAGGGGCCATCCCAGAGGTGCCGGCGCTCACAGGCCTGACCCTTGCTCGGCTGTCCTGTCCTCTCCTTGGACACAGCCGGCAGCCGTGCCATCCCATCTGTACCTCTGGAGCATCACGTGTGTGGGAGTGTGTGGACAGGGGCTTGCACGCACACGCTCCAGTCAGACCACCTGCTCTGCCAAAAGCTGTGCAAACGTCCCAGAGAGGTGCCAGCCTGTGGAAACGAGCTGCTCACAGGTGTGTGTGTGTGTGTGTGTTGGGGGAGCGCAAACAGGGGCTGCCCTCTCTCCCCAGGGCAGGCGGGGGACCCCAGGCTACAGAGGAGATGGGGGACGGTATCTGGTTCCTGTACATCTGTATGGGCCTCACTAACAGCACTCCTGACTCGGCCATGTGCCCATGGGATCATCTCCCTAGCTGAATGACGGGACCAGGGCCAGGTGCAGCTCATCTGCAAAGCCTTGTCTGAGCGGAGCGGGCGCTGGTTCATGGCCACTGGAGGGCGGTGGGGCCTCAGCGGATCCTGCAGTCCTGAGGTGAAGGTGCTGGGACTGACCACAGCTCACTCGGAGCCCCAGGCATTCTGGCCAACATCACTCTAAGAACGTTTATGTAAATCCTGCATCAAAAGTCCTCGCCTGTGCCATCCGTGCCAGCCCTCACGCTGCCTGCCACACGACTCCATCTCTGATCCTTGGAGTCCAAGGCTGTCATCATCCTTCTGTCTCTCAGATGAAAGGTGCCACGGCTGGGGCTGACAACGTCCTCTGCTGTGCGGGTCTGAGTCCTGAGCCCGTGCTGAACCCGGCGGCCACCTCGCCTTCCCCGCAAGCCGCATGGCTGCCAAGGGTTACCCCCCAACTGGCCTCTCTGCCCCCATGTGTTACCCTGGGCACCACCCCCTTACGATTTAGGAATTTCCAGGAAATCCCCTTTGTGCTCTTCCCAGGGACAGAGACGGGTGGGATTTTCCAGGCTGCAGCTTGGCTTTGGTTGATTTGAAAGGCGGGGATGAAGACAGCACTGCAGGTGAGTCTTGGTTTTTGGAGAAGAGGCAGAAACTGGAGGCCCCGGGGGGTCCCACAGCCCCAAACCTGGAAGGAGGACCTGCCACTTCCTTGCCAGTCCCGGCCCCAAAAGCGACACCAGCAAGCCCCGGTGACAGGTTGGCAGCCCCAGCTTGCAGTGGGGTCCCCGCACACCCAGAGCTCGAGGGCCGTGACGCACTCAGAAGCCGCCAACTTGGAGCAGAAGGGTTGAGGCCAGCAAGACCGAGGAGCTGCCAGAAAGTGGCGCTGTGGCCTCTGGAAACAAGCCTCCCGCGGGCAGGGCTGCACTGGCTGTGAGCCCAGCGAGGTGGCTCTACCGGCTCCTGGGAGCCAAATGCCTCAGAGGGTAAATTACGTCTGGAATGACACTGGCCTCTGTGGGCACAGTGCAAACAGGAGACCAGACAGCGAGACCTGGAGATGGGGAAGGCAGGCGATGCCCTGTCCTGGGCACCTGGGGACTCAAGGTGCTGCTGGTGGGGCGCTTTCAGCCCCAGGGGCGGGTGGTGAATCTTCTGGGAACGCACAGCCCAGTGCTGGAGATGCGCCTGCACTTGACAAGCTTCAGAGCAGAGGCAGGCCCCCGACCTCACCCACCGCCCAGGGCCTCCCTCTGGGGTCTGTCTCTGAGTGGGGCGGGCACTTGAGATGAAGGGGTGGAGGGAGGCCTCTGTCACAAAAGCCTCGTAGGACCGCAGGACAGTGCAGGAGGTGGGAGCGCATGGAACCCAGCACCAACCAGCAGCCCATTCATTTGGCTGTGATGGTTTCAGGCTGTGTGAAAAGCACTGCTTCTCCATGCCCCCTTCGTCACAGCCAGGCCGCCGCAGCCTGGGTGGGGTGGGTCTCCTTGGAGGTGCCAGGCCCAGAAGGGGTGGGTTTCAAGGCAGGCGTGTGTGTTCAGGTCCTGAGAGGGGCTGTCAGAGCACCCCAGACCCCGAGTGCAGCTGCGGCTAGACCCCGAGACCCCAGCGGGTGGTCCCTGCTTTTCTGAGGCCTCCGCCCATAGCCACACGCACCAGCTGGGCCTGTTCTGGAAATCTCACAAGGACTCGCTCATAGCAGCCGGTGCTGAGTGCTCCAGAGCCTCCTTTGCTGAGTCTCTCCCATGGCAAGAGAGTGCCACTGGGGAGACTGTCGATCACTCCCCGACGGCGCCACTGGAGAGGCTCCCCGAGGGTCCTGTGGGTGTCCTGCGGGGACCAGGAGCTCACCCGCCTGCACGCAGACCCCACCCCGCCTCACCTCTCGGTCCAGGCCAGCCGCCACTGTGACGATATCTCCAGTCTCGCTGTTGATGGTGAACATATTCTGGGACGGGCTCTGTGGGGTCTGGGTCACGATCCGGTACCGCACCATCCCGTTGGCCGTGGTGCTGTCGTCAGCATCGTTGGCCGTGACGGTCATCACGTAGGTGCCTGGAACGGAGACAGCAGCTCAGATGGGGATGGCCTGCCACACAGGCTGCCACCCCCGCACACACCTGGGCAGAGCCCCCCGACCACAGAGCTCTCCGTGAGTCTGGCGTAGCGGAACCCCCTTCCTCTCGGCGTGTTCAGAGGTGGTGTTAGTGCACCTGCCGCCTCCACCCCACCTTATAGAATCATAGAAGGATTTCTTCTAGAGCTTGAGGTTCCTTTGAGGTCATCTGCTCTGACCTCTTCCTTTTTTGGCTGGGGAAAGACCAGGCCTCGGAGGAGGAAGAACTTCTCTAAGCTTCCAGAGCCTGGGGCAGCAGAGCAGGCCTGGAGCCGGGTGGCCTGAGGCCCCGACAGTGCGTCCAAGGTGCTTCCACTCCTGCAGGGAGCCCAGTGTGGTTGGGCTTAAAGGAAGGGACTCAGGCACTGAAGCAGGGCCTGGTATAGGTCTGGACACACAGAAGCTGTATAATAAACACTGCAGAGGACACAGTGGAAAACAAACCTAGAAGGGACTCTGAGCAGGGAGGCTGTGCCTATAGGACTCCGTCAGATGGAGCACATCTGGGGGCGCCCTGGGACTGGGGGCCGCTGGCATTTCAGAGGGGCTCGGTGAGCTGCCCATGTGCTCTCTCAGCTTGGTGCCTCAGTTTCCCCATGCACACATTGGGGTTGAGGTCTATAGTGCACTCTGGCACATTCCCCACTTTCTGAGAATGGCACTTGGCTTTTCTTTGGCTGTGCAGCCTTTCCTGCCCTGGGGAGGGCCTGCATCAGCACGCCCCACCCTGTGGCCTCAGGACATCTCCAGGTCTGAGGACCAAGCTCTGCTGGGAGCAGTGGTGGGTGGGGGCTTTAGTCCCTGCCTACTGAGCACCAACTCTGTGCTAGCGCTGTACCCGGTGGAGGCCCCGCTCTGTGAGCTCCTGACTGCTGTCTCCTGATGCTGGCACGGCGGGCTCTCTCACCTGGAAGTCCTGGGGCTGGACTCTGCCCGCCACCTTCCGGTGTTCCTGCCCTGGCTCTGCACACGTGTGTGCTCAGCTTGCCCTGCTGGCTGCCTGAGATGCCCCAGAACTCTGGAAGCTCGGGTGCCCGGCCCTGCAGCGTTCATGCACAGAGGAGAGCTGCTGGTGCCCTGCTGGGCCCTGGGGATGGTGCAACCTCTACCTGTGCAGTGCCTCCCCTGGCTGACGGGGCTGGGGTCATGCGGCGGGCCAGGTGCGGGGTGGCAGTCTCAGAGAGACCCGAGGTGCTCGTTCCCGTGTGCATGAGATGAAGGACTCTCGCCACACCAGCCTTGGGATCTTGCACAATCTGTTCTGCATCTGGAACGTTCTTCCCTCTCCTCCACCTGGCCAACTCCTCCTCATCCCCAAAGCCCCGTCCTGGCCCTCTGGACTGAGTCATGGGGCCCTGTGCATCCTCATCTCACCTGCATTGAAACAGCTGTGTGTCTACTTATTGTCTATGTCCTCTGTGGGATTACAGCCACCACAAGGGCGGGGCTGGGTCCATGCTGTCCCTGTGACCTGGCACACAGATGCCCTGTTGGACATTTGCTGGACTGTGCCAGAAGCCCAGGGTGCGGGGCGGCCTC
Organism: Homo sapiens; assembly: GCF_000001405.40. Taxonomy (NCBI): domain Eukaryota; kingdom Metazoa; phylum Chordata; class Mammalia; order Primates; family Hominidae; genus Homo; species Homo sapiens. The sequence continues at coordinate 61,872,127 of NC_000020.11, read as the reverse complement.
ATGCTCAGGAGGCAGGGTCTGCGAGGAGCCCGAAGCTACTGCTTATTTCCAGGACCCCAGAGCAGGCAGGGAGCCTTCCCCCTCGCCCCTCCCCCACCTCGCCCTCCCTCTGCAGCCCTGCAGAGAAGACCGCCACTCTGGCCTTCCACCCAGGCAGGACAAGCCCAGGTGGGATGCAGGGGAACCCTGGGTGTGTCTGACTAGGAGTTTGCTTCAGCTTTCAGCTTCTACTGAATGCAAAATTCTCAAAGCAGACACGTTTCATGAAAACACAGAAAAACAAGCGGAGGCAGGAGCACTTCAAAGAGCAAGCTGTATGGCACGTGAATTATAGTTCAATCAAACAGATTTATGCAGTAAGCAAACGGGTGGGAGGGGCCGTGGCCTGGCGACCATCAGCCTCTGGAACTAGGGACCCCACCCCGATGATCCTTGCCCCCATCACGATGTCCCCACCACTTTAGAGCACAACAAGCCTGGTCCCAACCATACTCCCCTCTAAAGAGACATCCCCCTCCCTCTGTGCTGGCTTTCCTCTGCATTTTCCTAAGAGGAAAACCCTGAAGTGCAGCACCCTAGGAGTGAGGGTGAACTGGGAAGAAACAGTCCTAACACACGCGCAGAGCTAACTGCAGTAACTTAGGCTGAGGTTCTCTGTGATTGTTAGCGTCCCCTACTTAGCAGCAAAAAGAAATCATTCGTGGAGAGGGATAACATCACACACAGCCTCCTTTTTAAAAGAGCACAAAACTTTCAATGTGGCAATGAGAAGACTTCAAGCTGACTTCTCAACAGGAACGATGGAAGCTGGAAAACAATGGAATACAAGGAACTCACGAGGAGCCTGGCATTCATTATTCAGTGAAAAAAACTTTCTAAAATAAAAGTGAAAAATAGACACTAAATGTGATAAATGATAAAACAAAAAATTACCACCTGGAGACCCACACTAGAGGAAATACTAAGGGTGTTTTCAGGCAGAAGGAAAATGATTCTAGAGGGCACCTTGGAAATGCAGAAAGATATGAGGAGCTCTGTCTCTGTCTCTCTCTCTGATATGTACACACACACACACACACACACACACATCCTATAAATATACATATACGTAATGTTTATATAAAGGATAAATACACTGGTGCGTCTAAGGAATATGACTTGTATAAACAAAAATAACTTTGCCTCGTGAGGGTTTTAAAGCTGCTTACCGAAACACCAGAACAAACACCTGCAGAATTTCATTTGCAAAGCAGATGGTGGGTCTGACCAGGGCGGTGTTACTAACGTTCAGCCTTCATCAAGCCAGGAATCCCCGAGCAAGTGAAGCCAATGTTGGCGCATCAGGCACTATTTGAAACCACCCATCTCTACGAAAGGGCAGAGCTGGGAAAGTCATGGGGGTCGGTGGTGACCGCATTTGGCTCATCTGGTTCAGAAAGTCAAAGGGAGAAGCCACTCCAGCTTCCCGAAGCACTCACTGTTCCCCTCCACCCGTGGCCCCCGGCATTTTCGTCTGTGAAACCTGTGAGGATCCACATGCCTGTCGCAGAAAGGGGCCCAGTAGCTTGATGGTGGGGGTGGCAGGATGATGGCAGGGACATGCAGAAGGTGGAGGGAGAGAAGCAAAGCCCTGACCAGTGAGGGAAGAAGGGATCGGGCACTGTCTGTTGTACTCACTGAAAGCAGCACAGCCAGCCTGGTTTCTGAGAATGACGGTCTCTCGGGCTGGATGGGGATGCGGAGCCCTTCTGACGGCCTTGGCCTCTTCCTCACCCTGCCCCAGCCCCTACCGCCATTCCTGGGTCCCCACCCTGTGCCCAGCTGGCCCGAGGGTCTTTTGTGCATGGGTTTGTCATGTCTCAGAGAAATCTCACGGATGGCCTGCTGCCCACGTGCAGGAACTCGGGCCAGTCACGCATCGGACAGCGGTGGAGCAGGGCTGGGGTCCAGGATCTGGGCTTGGAGCTCTTCTCCACTCAGCCCTACTGGCTGGGGGAGGTGGAGGGACAGCGAGTCAGCCCAGGACTCCCAGCACCTCAGGGTTACTGATCCACTGTGAGGCAGAGACCCGCGTACTCCCTTTGAGTGCCTGCCCTGATCCACCATATCACTGAGAAATCACATTAGCAGAACGGCTGGGAGCCTCCCACCACAGAGGTCCCCCTCCTCCGCCTCCACAGGACTCAGATAACCTCACGACATCATGGGAACTCCCTGCCCACTGGGGCCCAGCTCTCCCCACTGAGGATGGAATGTGGAGTGGCATTTCCAGCTGATCTCTCCTGAAGGACTCCTCGGTCCCCGAAGGCCAGGCAGGAGGTCCTCCCCCACCAATCGAAGCTGCCTCCTCCAAGCAGTCCCTCGGCGGAAGGGGCCTGCTGCTGTGTGATTTCATGTAGGGAGGAGGACTAAGCCCCCTTGGAGGCTTGGGGACCTGGGGAAAAGGCGGGCCAGGATGTGGACGTGAGAGGGTTTGGCATTGAGGAGGGGCCAGGTGGGATGTGTGGAATGGGAAGTCAGCGGGAGGCTGGAAACAGACCTTTGGGACCCTGACTGGGCCACCTCCTTTTTTGACAGATGGGGAAACTGAATCCCACAGACGAGGAACGTGGCTGGGTCCAGTGAGCTCTGCTAGACCCAGACTGAAAGCAGCCACGCTCTCCTCCAGGGTCCAGCAGACACTTTCTGTAAAGGGCTGGACAGTATGTATGTCAGGCTTTGCGGGCACACATTCCCTGTTCCAACTCCTCAAAGCTGCACAGAAGCAGCCTGAGAGGATGCGTCCAGCAATGGGCACGGCTGTGTTCCCATCAAACCATTCACAGAAGCAGGTGCTGAGCTGTGTTTGGCCGGTGGTTTGCTGACCTCTGCTGTATGCTCTTTTTTTGGATTTCAGGGACAACATTGGTTTTTAAAAATACAGGGGAATCAATATAGGGTTGCCAACTTCTAGTTCTACCAAGGGAAGACCTTAAAGTATACATCTAGCTCAAATGTTTCATGAAAGGAAAATAATGTTTTACCATCAAAATCATAGGAAAGACTTAGTCTCAGAATAAAGGCCAGTCCTTCATTCAATAAGTTGAGCTCCTTGAAGGCACTTGCCACGTTTGCCACGTCTAGAGGCTTTGTGTGTGTCCACCACAGCCTGCCACGTTTGCCACGTCTAGAGGCTTTGTGTGTGTCCACCACAGCCTGTGAGCTGCAGGTGCCACAGCTGGAGGCTTGGCTCAGTGGGGGCCAGGTGTGCCCGGCTGGGATGGGGCTTCCCCACGTGTGCTCAGAGCTCCCCGTCTCCCGCCCTCCCCTCTGGAATACATGGTGGGGAAACCAGGTGACAAGAGGAGAGGCAGCTCCAGCACAGGAGGAAAGCACCCAGCTGGCCAGGGAGGAGGACACCTGCCCAGTGTGGGGGGACACCTGCCCAGAGTGGAGGGACACCCGGCCAGTGTGGAGGGGACATCCGCCCAGCATGGAGGACACCGCTTAGCATGGAGGGACACTCAGCCAGCGTGGAGGGGACATCTGCCCAGCATGGAGGTATAATCGCCTGGTTTGCCTTAAGGCTGATGACAGCAGGGTTTATGGCCTGTTGTGGGTTTGGGAGTTGAGATGCTGGCCCTTCCCTCTACTGTCTATGATGCTGAATACTGTGGAGCTGTCCGGGTCCCCACCTACCAAGCTGTCTGTGCCTCTCACCCCTTGTTGGCCCCTGCCCCATTAGAAGCTGGGCCTCTGCGGCAGGAACCAGCCAGGCTGCCTCCCCTCTGACTCCTCAGAGGTCCTGCTCAGGCCTACAGCTGTAGAGGGTTCCCTTGGACTGAATTCCCTCCCATCTACAGCATTCCCGCGTCTCTGTACCACGGAACACAGACGGCCCCAGGATGCCCGCCCTGGGAAGGGGTCCTGGCGTGGACGAACCCCCTCTGCACCCCCACCGTGGGATGAGCTGGTGGCCCTGGCCCAGACCCCAGAGTCCTCCAGCGTGGAAACTCCACATGTCTGACTTGAAGGACTGATCCATTCTGCGGTTTATGCTCATTAACCAAGCACTAATCGGATATTGATCAGGGGTCCAAGTCTCTGCCTGCTTTTTGGTTACGAATAATTGCACCCCTTACATCTGATGCAAGCAACAATATCCCCATTTCCATGTGGTGGAGTTTTTGCAGAAATAGAATGTCTTCCTCACAGAGAAGAGCCTGGACGTTCTGAGATGGCCGGAGTCATCGGAACTCAGCTCACCTTGGCAGATGCATCGCGCCTCGTGGGCCACCTTAGTTTACGCACCCACTCCCCCGTGGAAAGGACTGCTCATTAGAAGCTTGCAGTGGCTTTTATCACATTAGCTCTTCATTAACTCAAGACAGTAATGGCTTTAAACCAATGCCATGGTGCCCTCCTCTGCTCGCCTCCTGCCTCAGGAGGCAAATCCTGCACTTAGAGCTGCTGGCCACCTCCAGGGCACAGGAGGAGGGGCCTGGGGGGAGGAGGAAAATGTGATGAGCACCCAGGAATCCCCCACTTTACTTGGGCTCAATTTTATCATAAGCTCTCTCTCTCTCTTTTTTTTTTTTTTGGATGGAGTCTTGCTCTGTCGCCCAGGCAGGAGGGCAGTGGCATGATCTTTGTTCACTGCAGCCTTCACCTCCTGGGTTCAACTGATTCCCCTGCCTCAGCCTCCCAAGTAGCTGAGATCACAGGAGTGCACCAACATGCCCGACTAATTTTTGTGTTTTTAGTAGAGATGGGGTTTCTCCATGTTGGTCAGGCTGGTCTTGAACTCCTGAGCTTAGGTGATCCACCTGCCTTGGCCTCCCAAAGTGCTGGGATTACAGGTGTGAGCTACCGTGCCTGGCCTATCATAAGCTCTTTGAGGGGAGGTCCCCTGCTTCTGACACAGTGCCTGGACTGGCAAAGCCAGGGTGTCAGTGTTTCAGGAAGGGAGAGCAGGGCTTCAAAATCCCAGGCTCAGAGTCAAACATGCATGCGCCCAGAGCGAGTGTTCTGGAAACAGCTGTGTGTGTGTGGGCACCTGGAAGGCAGCCTCCACCCGTCTCTCTCCTGCTGGTTCCTCACTGGATGCTCCCTGAGGATGGACGCTGCTCTTAAGAACCACCCCCAGCCGTCGGCATCATCTCCTTCCCGGGAAAGGGCGACGGCAGGGCCCCTCTTTGGGAGGCCCCTCTTTGGGAGGTGGCTCAGGATCCCACTCTCTGGCAACAAGGACCGCTCCCTGCTTTCCGGCCAACTGCGAAAACATGCTCCATCTAGGCATCTACGCTTTTTTCTTTTTGCTACGTTCAGGAATCTGCTTTTTAAGGCCAAATGACACACTTTTGAGAATTCTTTTCTGGATGCAGAAATAAAACACACTCATGATAACTAGCACACGCTCACCGGGAAACATCTAAAGGCACAATGAGGAGAAGGCACTGACCGTCTCACACCCAACACACCTGCTGGAACGCTGGGGTGTAGCC